>NC_000018.10:30286206-30911206 GCF_000001405.40 Homo sapiens | reverse complement strand
TAGAATCAGCTTCTCCATTCCTATAAACTAATTATGCTGGCCGGGCATGGTGGCTCATGCCTGTAATCCCAGCACTTTGGGAGGCAGGGGCGGGCGGATCACTTGAGGTCAGGAGTTTGAGACCAGCTGGCCAACATGGTGAAACTCCGTCTCTACTAAAAATACAAAAAGTAGCCGGGCGTGGTGACACGTGCCTGTAATCCCACCTGCTTGGGAGGCTGAGGCAGGAGAATCGCTTTAACCCAAGAGGCGGAGGTTGCAGTGAGCCAAGATCGTGCTACTGCACTCCCACCTGGGTGACAGAGTGGGACCCCATCTCAAAAAAAAAATGCTGAGATTTTATGCTTAAAAAAAACTTTTATTTCAGGTTCAGGAGTATATGTGCAGGTTTGTTATATAGGCAAACTCGTGTCACGGAGGTTTATTTTACATATTGTTTCATCACCCAGGTACTAAGCTTAGTACACAATCATTATTTTTTCTGATCCTCTTTCTTCTCCCGCTTTCCACCCTCAAAGAGGTCCCAGTGTCTGTTGTTCCCCTCTATGTGTCTATGTGCTCTCATCATTTAGCTCCTACTTATAAGTAAGAACAAGTGGTATTTGGTTTTCTGTTCCCGTGTTAGTTTCTCCAACCAAGTTTTTGCAAAGGATATGCTCTCATTTCTTTTTATGTCTGCATACTATTCCATGGTATGATAATGTGTATATGTACCACATTTTCATTATCCAGTCTATCATTGATGGGCATTTAAGTTGATTCCATGTCTTTGGTATTGTAAATAGTGCTGCAATAAACATACGCATGCATGAGTCTTTATGAAAGAAGTATTTCTATTCCTTAGGGTATATACCTAGTAATAGGATTGCTGGGTCAAATGGTAGTTCTATTTTTAGCTCTTTGAGGAATTGCCTCACTGCCTTCTACAATGGTTGAACTAATTTACACTCCCACACCAACAGTGTATAAGCACTCCCTTTTCTCCACAACCTTGCCAGCATTTGTTATTTTTTGACTTTTTAATAATAGCGATTCAACTGCTGTGAGACGGTATCTCATTGTGGTTTTGATTTGCATTTATCTAATGATCAGTGATGTTAAGCTTTTTTTCATATGCTTGTTGGCTGCATATATGTCTTCTTTTGAAAACTGTCTGTTCATATCATTTGCCCACTTATTAATGGGATTTTTTTTTCTTGTAAATTTGTTTAAGTTCCTTATAGATGCTGGATATTAGACCTTTGCCAGATGAACAGTTTGTAAATACCGTCTCCCTTTCTGTAGGTTGTCTGTTTACTCTGTTGACAGTTTCCTTTGCTGTGCAGAAGCACTCAAGTTTAATTGGCTCTCATTTGTCAATTTTTGCTTTTGTTGCGATTGCTTTTGGCGTCATTACAAAATCTTGGCCAGTTCCTATGTCCAGAACAATATTGCCTACGTTGTCTTCCAGGATTTTATTATTATTATTATTATTATACTTTAAGTTTTAGGCTACATGTGCACAACGTGCAGGTTTTGTTACATATGTATACATGTGCCATGTTGGTGTGCTGCACCCATTAACTCGTCATTTAGCATTAGGTATATCTCCTAATGCTATCCCTCTCCCCTCCCCCACAACAGTCCCCGGTGTGTGATGTTCCCCTTCCTGTGTCCATGTGTTCTCATTGTTCAATTCCCACCTATGAGTGAGAATATGCGGTGTTTGGTTTTTTGTCCTTGTGATAGTTTGCTGAGAATGATGGTTTCCAGCTTCATCCATGTCCCTACAAAGGACATGAACTCATCATTTTTTATGGCTGCATAGTATTCCATGGTGTATATGTGCCACATTTTCTTAATCCAGTCTACCATTGTTGGACATTTGGGTTGGTTCCAAGTCTTTGCTATTGTGAATAGTGCCACAATAAACATACCTGTGCATGTGTCTTTATAGCAGCATGATTTATAATCCTTTGGGTATATACCCAGTAATGGGATGGCTGGGTCAAATGGTATTTCTAGTTCTAGATCCCTGAGGAATCGCCACACTGACTTCCACAATGGTTGAACTAGTTTACAGTCCCACCATAGTTTGGGGTTTTAAGTCTTTAATCCATTTTGAGTTGATTTTTGTATATGGTATAAGTAAGAGGTCCAGGTTTAGTCTTTTGCATATGGCTAACTAGTTATCCAGCACCATTTATTGAATAAGGAGTTCTTTCCCCATTGCTTTTTTTGTCAACTTTGATGAAGATCAGATGGTTGTAGGTGTGCTGAGATTTTAACTGAGAGTTTGTTGAATTTATATATCAATTTGGGAAGAATAGATAATCTAACAATATAGTCTTCACATTGATACACATATATGCCTTGATTTATTTGCATTTTTAATTTTTCTTAATATTTTGTGTTTTTAGCCTACAGTTCTTGCACATATTTTGTCAGATCTGTACTAAAGTATTACATATATTTCATGGTTTTGTAAGTGGTATGACTTTTTAATTTCAACTTCCAGTTGTTTATTAGTAGTATTGAACTATACAACTCATTTTACATCTTCTTTTACCCTTCTTTCATCTTACTAAACTCACTATTAGTCATAGCAGATTTTTAGTAGATTACATCATATATTTTACCAGATAACTATGTCATCTGGGAATTTCAAAGATTATTTCTGCCTTTCTAATCTGGGTGATGTTTACTTCTTTTTATTCCCTGAGACCACTAGCTAGAATCTCCAGCATGTTAAACAGAGTTAGTGAGAAAATATATTCTTACCTTATTCCTTGCCATAGCACGAGAACATTCAGTCTTTCACAATTATGTCTGATAGCTGTAGATGCCCCTTTTTAAGTTGAAATTTCTCCCTTCTATTTCCAGTGTGCTGAAAGAGTTTTTTAAAATTAGGAATTGATGTTGAATTTTGTCAGATGCTTATTCTGTGACTGCTGAGATGATCATATGTATTTTTCTTTAGCTTGTTAACATGGCGAATTACATGGCTTGATTTCCTAATGTTAAGCCAATCTTACATTCCTGAAGTAAATTGAGCTTGATCGTAATGTGCTACTACTTTTATATATTGTATTTGATTTAGAATTTTTCCATATATGTTCATAAGAGAAATTACGTTGTAGTTTTTGTTTGTTTGTTTTGGGAATGTCTTTGTCCAATTTTGGTATCAAGGTAACACTGGCCTTATAGAATGAGTTGAGTCTTCCCTTTGCAATATTGCCGCTGAGTTTGCATAGCATATTGTCATTTTTTCCTTAAAGGTTTGGTAGAGGCTACCAATAAAACAATAGGCGTCTGGACTTTTCCATATATATATATATATGTTATGTTATATATGTGTCTCATATATACACATATACATATATAACACACATATATAACATAACATATATATATATAATATTCCCTACTGCTCTCCACTGAGGACTTCAATCACCTGCCTATTAGACAGCTTGAAGTTTTCCTGTAGTTCACTGATGCTTTATTTTTTTTCAGACATTTTTCCCTCTGCGTGTCATTTTGGATCATTTTTATGGCTATTTCTTCAAGTTTGCTAATCTTTTCTTTTGCGGTGTTTTGTCTGTCATTAATTTCATTTAGTGTTTATTTAAAAAATCTTAGACGATATACTTTTTACCACTAGACTTTTGATTTTGGTGTCATTTTATACTGTCCATGTCTCTATGCAACATGTTTAATCTTTCTGTAGCTTTTCTGCGCATACTGAATTCACTCATAACAATTGTTTCAATATCCCTGTCTGATCATTTTAACACCTGTGTAGGTTTTGTGTTGGTTTTGACTGGTCTTTTTCCTTGTTATGCATCATCTTTTAAAGCTTCTTTGAATGTCTGCTAGTGTTGTGTTGGATGCCAGACATTGTGAGTTTTACCTTGTTGGGTGCTTGATCTTTTTGTATTCCTATAAACATTTTTGAGCTTTATTCTGGGATACGGCTATGTTACTTGGAAACAGTTTCATCAGGTGTGCTTTTAAGGTTGGTTATGTAGGACCAGAGCAGCCATTAGTCTAGAGCTAATTATTCTCCACCACTAAGGCAAGACTTGTCTGAACATTATACCCAGTTTCCCATGATGTAGGAAGTTTCCCCGTCTGGCTTTTGGTAATAGGACATGCTTGCTTGCCCTGTATAGTTCCTGACTACTGTTTCCCCTAATCCTTTTAGGTAGTTCTCTTCCTGGCCGTGGTTCATTTCCTCACACAGATGCACTGATCATTATTACTCTGCAGAATCCCAAGGTAAACTCTCTGCATATCATATTCTGTGCAATTTTCTCTCCTCCAGTATCCTGCCCTGAAAGCTCTAACCGTCCTTTTTCATTGTGGATCTGTGTTCTCCTTTCTGTACCACAGCCAGAAAACTTTCTTAAGGTTGTAAGCTAGAGCGATCATAAGAATTACCTCATTTGTTTTCCATATCTTAGAAACTACCTGTTATTTTTGTCTAATTCCGTATCCTTAAAATCATTACTATTTGCATTTTATTTGGTTTTTCAGTAGTTTAGATTAGATGGAAGGGTAAAGCCAGTCCTTATTTACTCATCTTATTTGAAGTGGAAGTTTCTTCTTTTTATTTTTAAAAATATTATATGTGGGACATACAGATATATGTAATTTATATGTGAATTATAAAGCTCCACCTCCTGTCAGATCAGCAGAGGCATTCGATTCTCATAGGAGTGTGAACCCTGTTGTGAACTGCAAGTGAGGGATCTAGGTTGCAGCTCCTTATGAGAATCTAACTAATGCCTGATGATCTGAGGTGGGACAGCTTCATCCCGAAACCATCCCCGCTCTACCCCAGTCCGTGGAAAAATTGTCTTCCAGGAAATCAGTCCCTGGTGTCAAAAATGCTGGGGACCGCTGACTTACAATGCCTATGTACACTTCTCTTATGATATATCCCACTCTTCACACTATCCTCTCTTCAGTGTTAACAATTATCCTCATTTTTATGTCTATTAATTTTTATATTTAAAAATATATTTATCAAATGCATATTTGATTAAACAAAATTATATTCATTGTGCTTTTCTGAGCTATGTAAAAATGATCTCCCCTTTATATTATTTAATATCAGTTTTTAAGTTTCAACCACATTAATTTGTAAAACATTTACTTTTTCGATTTATTGGCTCTTCTCCTGACAGTGTGTATATCTGAGGTTTCAGTTTTATTTTATTTATGAAGATTTATTTTATCAACATTCTTTTTCAATGCCACTTTCTATTTTTTTGTGTGCGAATAACTTGTTTGTTGCATTTTTTCCCCTCATCTGTCTGGCTGATGGAAAGAACTTACTGTTGCTATTGTTACATTTTAACAATGTGTAAAACTAAGTTTCCTTGCATACTTTTTTTGCTTTGAACTTGCTGAATTTTTAAAATAATCACATGCAGGTCTCTTTTCTTTAGGAAATGTCTTTTTTAAAAAATGGCTTTGAATATTTCTTCCATGTCATTTGTTTTAGTCTCTTCTTAAGGAAATTTACCAGCAAGTAAATAGAATTTCCATTCTTTAGTCTACCTGCCTATCACCTTCTCTCCCATTATCTTTATCTGCTCATTTTTGTATTTCAAGAAGGCACACAGGTACCACTCACAGATATATTTTTTATTGATTGATTTATTTAACACATATTTATTGAGTTCCGAACATGGGACTTCATATCCTCTGAACTTTTCAACCTCTAAAGTACTTTTAATTCTTTTATTTGTATTCCTTTCTTATTTCATTCGCCTCATTTTCTTCTCATTCTGTCAATATTCCTTTTCTTCTTGTTGCCTTCTCAGAGAAGCTATAATTTACAATTTATGGTTACCAGTTTTCTGCCATTGTCTTTGGATCCTGGAATAAATACGATTCAAATGGAAATTCTTTTCTTGATTTTCCTAGATTGTTTTCCCTTTTTATAAATGGAGAATTTAAAAACACATCTTATTGGTTTTGTGTTTCTTTTTCTCCATTTACTTTTGTTTAAGGTAAAGTTCACTTCTGATTCAGTATTTGTTAAATAAGAAGCTGGTTTCTCTTTCCCACACTTTTGTCTTCTCTCTACCTTAGGAATGGGGAGATTATATACTCAGATATATTATTGGGCAGCAGATATATGAATCTCATAATTTTAATTTTATTGCAGGCATTCAGTAGTTAATTATGGTCTACTGTGCCGTTATTTCCCCCTATCTATACAGCTTTGTTCTGTTTCCCACTCAAACAATTGGTGTATAACACATACAGAGAGCAAAGGCCTTCCTTGCTCCACCATCATCAACACATTTTAATTTTAGGGACTGGAGCTCTTACAGATCAGTATATAAATGATAATCCCCACTTCAAAACCCCCTATTTATAAATATATAAGCACTTTCCAAATTAATCTAAGTATGAAAATGTTTTCAATAAAATTTTTAATGTAATATTTTGGATTTGTCAATTTAATCTCAAAGAACAATCATAAGTATATACAATGATATTCTCTAAAAAATTGTATCAAATATGAAATAGTTCAAAACAGTCTGAATATTCATTAAAAAGACACTAGCTAAAGAAAGTATGGCAGTCAGTGTTAGAGGTATTGTTTTTGTTTTGGGGGTTCTGGAATGAAATATGTGTGCTCAATTTACCATTGTTAACCATCTTTCACCAGAAGCCTTATGTGTATTGTTCAATTTCTTGAGATATAGACATATCTTAAGAGAGATACTTCTGGTACCTACTACTTTGAGTATTTGAAAGGTGATAGAAAGTAATTACCACAACTATTTTGTTTTTTGGTAACTATAAGCTTAGATATTTTCCATGACGCAGCCAGCAAGAAGTTATCTTGTATATTTTGCAGCCATCTATAGGAAATGTTCTAAATTTCAGC
This sequence comes from Homo sapiens, assembly GCF_000001405.40. NCBI lineage: Eukaryota > Metazoa > Chordata > Mammalia > Primates > Hominidae > Homo > Homo sapiens. The sequence goes on along the minus strand of NC_000018.10, from coordinate 30,904,317 downwards.
TCTTCCTCTCCATTTTGCTTTTTAATACAATTTACCTATTTTTCTAAAAACTTTCCAAAATCTGTAATCTGCGAATCCCTCTTCCCATTCCCCTTGTGGTTTTCAGTGCTGTTTTATTTATCCTTTTATGTAATTTCTAAGTTCCATGTCAATAAAGTTTTGGTATGATTGGTAATAACACATGTGCTCACTCTACTACCTTAAACAAAACTTCTGAAGTTACTTTGATAAGTAAAAAAACCCTCAAAATTCTACATTTTGAAAAAAAATGGAGCGTATAAACCTGAAGCTATTGAATATTAAAGTTATTTCTATTTTAGGAAAACTGATTCTTTCACTAAAAGGCTCCAACTCAATTTTAAAGATGCCATATATTAAAGAGTTTAAGATTTTAAATGAAGTCAGAAAGATAATGTAAACAAATGAAGCTGAGTATGTGTAAGAAATGTGGGTAATGAACTCTGTGGCATTCAGATTCACATGCAGTCTAAACCAAAATGACTCATAGTTGGATTCTGCCAGCAGGTAACATGTGAGCTTTGGTGTACACAGAGGCATAGTCAGATGCTAACCTCAGGGACAAGCATATGAGCTGGCCATACAGTGCAGGCCAGGTCTAGGTGTGAGAATGAGCACATCAAGAGCCTTCTCTATGAATCATACAGTCTTGCTTCCATGTTTTTTTCTGTCATCTTTCATCATAATCATAAAAATTGGCACATAATATGTAACTCTTAAAAAATTCTGTTAAAACATCACTTCTTAGCCATGCGTGGTGGCTCATGCCTGTAATCCCAGCTACCAGGGAGGCTGAGGCAGGAGAATCGCTCGAACCCAGGAGGCAGAGGTTGCAGTGAGCCGAGACTGTGCCACTGCACTCCAGCCTGGGTGACAGAGTGAGACTCCATCTCAAACAAACAAACAAAAACAAAAAAACACACACAAAAATAAAAAAAACATAACTTCTTTAGAGAATGTGCTGTTTCTCACTATTGAAATGATACTGAGTGTAATATGTCAAAGAAAAGTTGCACAAATACAAGGTAGAGGCAAGAAACTCTTTACTGAAGACTCTTGCAATGAAGAGAGAGATTGAACTAATGTTCACTGAAACACAAAGTGGGATGTTTTTTAGGCATTGGGGTGAGCTAGTGGAAAAGTACTGGTGGACATTAGGGAGAAGGTTGGTCAATGTGATTGTGACGTCTGTGTTTGATAATTGTCAGTTATGGAATAGCTAATTGTCATTTATCCCATACAGACTGAGAGATAGGGGACTGTCTTTCTCGATGATTACATTTCAAAGGAAAGGTGCCCAGGTCCTTGAGAAAGACATTTCCTGAGTTGTAAAACTAATAGAAGATTTACTGCTCAAAGGAACAGAGACAAACTTATAATTGCAAATTTTCTTAAGTAAATGCTGTAAGATACAGGAAGCCAGGAGTTGAGAGCCAGGAAGAAGCCTGTCTAAAGTTTAGTCAATTTGAGGAGAATGTTAAACCCATCTTGGGCAAATGAAAGTATGTGGTGATATTTGAACTGATTGTATGTATTGTCAGTGTCATATGCTAGCATATTTTAAATGAGCATATTGTAGAAAATTACTACACTTTTATAAGTAAAATTATAAAATATGCATCAATGGTAACAAAGTCATCATTATCACCATAGATGCACATAATGAAGTACAATAGAGAACTTTGGAAAATATTTAGAAAAAAAGACATGTCTTATCATTTCTTAATATTTTCAGCACTTTTGGAGTGTTCAGCTGGCTAACAGAGAGATGTAATGGTTGGATTTACATACAGAGATGATTGATTTTGAACGAAAAGCTTAAAATGACATTAGCACCGTTTTCTTTTCTTTTCTGGTTTTTAATACAATCCCAACATTGATAGAAACACATTTTCTTTTTTTGCTCATTTTAATCTTTACATTTTTTATTACAATTAATGATTATAATTAGATTTTAAAATAATTGGATTAAATATGTTTGATTGTTAACTGTTGGACTAGACTCTGAAGACTCTGTATAAGCATAATATTATTTGACGATCAACCTTATTGATGTTTAAAATTTGATCCAGCAATTTCACTACTGGGCATATACTGAAAGGGAAATAAATTACTATCAAAAAAATACCTGCATTTATATGTTTCTCACAGCATTATTCGCAATAGCAAAGATATGGGATCAACCTAAGTGTCAGTAACAAAGATAAGGAATCAACCTAAGTGTCCATCAGTGGAGGACTGGATAAAGAAAATGTGGTGTATACATATCTTTATCCAATCCTTTAGTGATGGACGCTTAGATATAGAGATATATACACAAACCATGGAATACTCTTCAGCCATAAAAAATAATGAAATCATGTATTTTGCAACAACATGGATAGAACCGGGTGCTATTCTCCTAAGTGAAATAACTGAGAAACAGAAAGTCAAATACCACATCTTCTCACTCCTAAGTGGGATCTAAACAGTGGATACACATGGACATGCTGAATAGAATAATAGATATTGGAGACTCTAAGAGGTGGGAGGGTGGGAGTGGGGTGAGGGTTGAAAAATTACCTATTGGAAACAATATTCACCATTTGGGTAATGGGCACACTAAAAGCCCAGACCTCACCACTACACAATATATGCATCAAGAAATCTTCAATAGTACTATCCAAATATATAAATATTTAAAAAAATAAAATCGTACTTTTAAGTCAAAGATTCTCTCTAGACAGCACAATAGAATACATGCACTTATAAATTAATAAAGAGGTCACAGGGTACGCAAAATTCTTTAAGTCAGTTCAGCCCAAATTGCCACTTAAATGTCTTCTACATTTTTAGTTTTCTCGTCAACCAAGTTGCTCAGTGCGGAGAAAGAAAAGTGAGTGGAGGTAAACAGCAGCTGTGAGATAAGAATGTGTGCATTTCTTGAATTTATGTCTTGTGTCTGTAATCTCTCTGATTCTCATGGACCTGTTTTCTTACCACTTCCTCTAATGTCATTTCATCTCTGTCCTAGCCATCACGTCAGTATACTACCTTTGAAATTTTGTTGATGTAGTATTGACATCATTTGAATATATGTTCCCACCACATCGCATGTTGAATTGTAATCTCCAGTGCTGGAGTTGGGGTCTGCCGGGAAGTGTTTGGGCTGTGGAAGAGGATCCCTCATGGCTTGGTGCAGTCTTCGTGATAGTGAGTTCTCACAAGATCTGGTTGTTTAAATGTGTTTGGGAAATATTTAGTAAAGAACTCAAGACATCTTATTATTTCGTACTATTTTCAGCACTTCTGGAATGTTCAGCCAGCTAACATACCCCAACACTCTCTCTCTTGCTTCCACTCCTTCTATGTGAAATGCCTGTTCCCCCTTCACTTTCCACCATCATTGTAAGCTTCCTGAGGCCTCCCCAGAAGCAGATGTTGGTGCTATGCTTTCTGTACAGCCCCCAAAACCATCAGCCAATTAAACCTCTTTTCTTTATAAATTACCCAGTCTCAGGTATGCCTTTAAAGCATGCAAGAAGGGCCTAATACAAGTTTCCGTTTTGAAGAATCTTTCCAGGGTAGCATCTATTGGCCAGCTGGAGTCATGGAGAAGTGGGACACACATTCAGTGGTCGTTTCAGTGAAATGGACCTTTTATACAAAAGGCAATAAATGTATCTAATTTTCATTGCTTTAGCATGGCCTTCTCGATAATTCTTGCTTCTTATCTTCAGGATACAAACTCTTTGAAAACTACTTAAGAATCATTTCTGCCCCATTAAGCATCCTTGTTTTGTTTGTTTGTTTTTAACATTTTCTTCATTGTAGAGCTTTGCAGGTAAATGCTGATTAAGCTTGCTTCTACTATTATTTATGTGTGTAATTGGATTTTCATTGCTTTTACTTTTTTTAGAAACTCTTGACTCACTCACTCTTAATCAATTTTATCCTCTTTCTCTAATTACATTCTAGTCCTTGTCCTGATTGATATATTTCCATAAACTTAATAATTAACTTATTGCTGCCCTAATCAAGTGTTAACGTTTGCCATTATCACTCAATAATACAATTAGCCCTATTAAAAATGCTAAAATACTTTGCTTTCTCATCATTCAATTCCTGAATAAGGCTAATTGTTTCTTATTCCAATGGATCGTGTGCCAAGGATTTGAATTTGCTTCTTTTTTTCTGTGATCTCAAGAATACAAAAAGTTCTACATGCATTGGAAAGAATTTTCCTATAGGCTCCAAAATAAAACTATTCTATGAAACATTTTGTTTAAATCTATACTTCTCGAAATTTCTTCTTTTTCTCTATGCTTTTGAAAAACCTATGTATCGTTTTACTATTTCTTATTTCATCTCTTTGTATCTATCCATTAACTGGCCTAAGATAGAACTGAGTTATATTTTAAATCAATAATTACATTTTTAATAAACTTGCATGTCATTCATAATTTATTTTTATCATTGTTTTTTCTTTCCAGAAACAAACCAAAGTTCAAACAGCACTGAAGCCCAAATTAAGTTGGAGTCTATTGTGGATTTTTTCATTTATTCCATGCTTTGGGAGATCTATCCCTTAGTCCCTATAGTATAGAAGCTCTTTACTTTGTCCTTAGTTTATTATTGATGACTGGTAAACCTCTGTTGTGTTCATATGATGCCAAATATGGTTAGAGATGCCAAGGAATGATGAATGTGATTGGAAAGTAGGCACTTCAAACCACTGAGAGTTGTTAAATATAACACTAAGTTATGCATGGGCAGAATTATTGCAAATGGGTTGTTACACAGTCTGACACTTCACAACATGAGTGTATGTTATGGGGCTAAAGAAAGAATACAATTTTATATTCTCAATTCATTTTAGGGAAACATTTGTCATATGACTTCATAAGCAATTTTCTTTGTTAGTAATAAAATTGACTTGGACAGGCATCTCTAAGTAAATAAACATAATTAATATGATTTTATTAATGCAGCCAAAATGTTTTCCTCCCAGAAGATTTGACGTACACCAAGCCTAGCAGCACTTGGCCACCTGCACAGCTTAACTGTGTCTCCCTCTCACCCACTGCCACATTCCCAGTAGTATTTGTACAGTGAGATTTCATAGGTAGGACTGTTCAGGTAGTGTCTGAGAATGAGAATATGAACGATTCCAGTTAAGCAAATGGAACAATTAATAACTTCTTATATTGAGTGCCCACTTCGTTCAGAGGCCAAGACACTGTGGATGATCATAAAGAAACAGAAGGAAACAAATAATCTCTTTCTGTCTCTTAGGAGTTTCTAGTCATGGCAAAGAGAGGTCATATATTGGGCCCTGCAGAAAGGGCAGGAGTTAGACAAGGCACCAGTTTAAGATGCACAAACAATACATCAAGATTCAAGGAACCAGAATGGAGTTGTCATTGATGAAAAAATACAGCAAGTTTTTTTTATTATACTTTAAGTTTTAGGGTACATGTGCACAACGTGCAGGTTTGTTACATATGTATACATGTGCCATGTTGGTGTGCTGCACACATTAACTCATCATTTAGCATTAGGTATATCTCGTAATGCTATCCCTCCCCTCTCTGCCCATCCCACGACAGTCCCCAGTGTGTGATGTTCCCCTTCCTGTGTCCATGTGTTCTCATTGTTCAATTCCCACCTATGAGTGAGAACATGCGGTGTTTGGTTTTTTGTCCTTACAGGAAGATTTTTATATTACTAAGAAGCACTGTGGCTCATCACTTTTGTGGCATCTTAACTGATTGTAATTTGTGTGTCCTGTCCCTATTAAGTAAAATATATAAGATATTTGTTAAGCATATGCTGCTACATATAATATGTAGTTGTGTCTCACTGACGCCACAGTGGTGAACAAAAGTTTATATCTTTATCTTCAAAAATTAGTATCTTCTCTCCTTCTCTCTCTATATACACATATACACATATGTGTGTGTGTACATTATGTACATATATAAGCAAACAACCACATAAAGCAAATGTTGGCTAGTACAATATTAACAAAAAGCAGACTATGGTAGCACAGAGGAAGGAAAAAGTAGTTTCTGATAAGAGAATTAAATTTGTATTTTGAATCTCTGTGTTTCTGTTATTGTTTAGAAAAACCTCATACAAATATTAGTTACAATGGGCAGATAGAACCACAAATCCATGTGTAATCCATGATCAGCAGAATAATGATTCAAAAGGGATTTACTGATAACAGAACAACACCTGAGCCTCTAAGTGGCAGGTGGGAAAGGGTGGTGTGGATTTTGGACAGCAGGTGAATAGGAGAAGATGAGAAACAGAATACTTACAGGAGCTACTTTTTGCCAGCCTGGGACAGAAGAGTGCTACTGGTGAACATATTTTATTTAATGCAATTCTCCCAACAACTCTATGGCTTAGGGATTTATCCCTGTTTTAGAGATGAAGACACAACTTCTGAATAATTTGCTTGGCTGGGAAGGAACATGCAAAATATCACAGGGAAACTTTAATAAATGAGAAACCAAGGGACAACTTGCAACATCAACTGAAAAAAAATTCACATAGATTCTTGGAGGAAAGAGGAGAAAGTAACTGTTTGGTACTGGTGATAGGAGTAGATTAAACCTATGTATGGAATATAACATGAGAAATGAGGCAGAGAGAGAACTAGACTAGGAAGGAGAGTCTTTGGGGATTTGAATGGGAATAATCTGAAAGGTAAAGATTAATCTATTCTCCTCTACTGTATTCTGTGGAGAGGAACTCTGGGCTTTTCCATGTATAGTTTACACGCAGCTTCCTGACACTATGATGACATAGTATTTTTGTATGCTAAATAGTTGGCCTAAAGATATGGTTGGTGACCCAATTATCAAGAAATAGATAGAAAAGAACTGAAGTGTCAGTGCTGTGCTGTTAACACAGTAGACAATTGGTCTTCCTTTTTTCCACCAAACTCAGAGAATAGCATCAGAATGAGCACAAGAAAACAAGCAGGGCTCATACTCCTGTCATTTCACCCTGGTTTTCGTGCAGAAACTAGTTCATAAGACACTTATTTTAACTCTTTTTGTGACTCATATGAGCCAAGGTTGTGTCACCAGGAGTTATTTTCATTTATGCTAATGGAAAAATAAAATAAATTGCAGAAATGTCAACAGCTTGGTTTTATTGGCTAAAAGTTCCAGATTGAATTCTTAAATTATTTTTATAGATTTAAGGGGTTCAAGTGCAGTTTTATTACATTGGATATACTGTGAAGTGACGAAGTCAGGGCTTTTAGTGCACCCATTACCCAAAGAGTGTACATTATATCCAATAAATAAAGATTCCATTTTTTTTGATGTGTATTAGTTGTAAAGTTTCTTGTGTGATATGGAAAAGTGGCTAAGCAGTCAGCACCTTCAGTTATTTACATGGATTTGATAGAAATAGTCAAGCTACTCAGTTTTTACTATTAGCTCAGCAATTTTAATTACCACAGAAAAGATACTTTCTGTGATATATATATATAGGCAAAAACAACAACAACAACAAAACCCAAAAACCAAAAAGATTTTAGCATTTCTCTTAATGGCTCAAGACCAATTCTTGAAGATATATTACTACAATATCAAGTAAGTGTCAAAGCAAAGGACATCCTCATTTTCAGGAATTGGAAAGAGAAAAGAGTTGATAGTAATCTGAGTGTATTTGACTGAACTGATATCTTTACTTAGATCATCTTCAAAGAGTATAACATTCTTTGACATTCTATAAAAATCTTCATGAATTTGAAATTGGAATACAAATTACTTTATTCCCCCATAGGCTTCAGGAGTTCCCTACTAGCAAGGCAGTCTGTATATGCAATCTGTGAAGTCTAGCTTAGGCACATATGAATTTTTTTTTCTTCTTCCTCTATTGGAAAAAGAGAACAAATAGAAGGTGAATAAAATCACTCTCACGTTCGTCGATATGATTTCTGAGGAATAAATTGACAACAAAGAGGAGTCTAATGCAAGACAAAGAATTGTGCTAACTACCTTTTGTTTCGTCTTTAAGCCTTCATTTCTTAATATAAATTTCCGAGGTTAGGATTTTTACCTATTGTATTCACTGCTCCATCCCCAGGGTTTGTAACATTGCTTGGCACTTAGAAGCATTTCATAAATATTTGCCGAATAAATGAATAAGTGAATTAATCTCTATTAGTCATACATAGCTACTAATGCTTTTCAGCATACCATCAAACTAAGTAATTATTGAAGGATTAACTTAACTGCAGACTTAGAGGACAGGTATAAACATGGTGAATTTAATAATATTGAAAAGAAATGTTGAATCATATCGATTTGTAGAACAAAATAGTATTCTTGATTTTATTAATTATTTTTATTAACACTTTTATTTTCAACTATATCCTTCATGAAATATCTGAACATTGAAGTATTTAATTTTAAAGTCTTCTCAGAAAGGGAAACTGGATCTAGTGTTGGAGTACTAGAAGGGGAAATTTTGATTTAAAAAAGCAATTTATCAATTAGGAAATAAAAGTTGTCCTAAGAAGAATTCTACATTGGTGGGTGTTCCAAATAATAATTCTAAGAGTTCTTCCAATTAGAACATTTTTTTTTGAAAATTTCCTGGATTATTTTCTGTTTTTTTTTTTTTTTTTAAATCACTATTACTTTTGAATGCCTACAGGTTTTATTTCCCCTAAATATAATTTAGCTGATGTTTCTTAACTACCCATCTTTACTATAAGCTTCTTAATGGCAAGGATTATGTCATGTACTTTTGTGGCATCTTCTCTAGAGCCTAGTCTAGTGTTGTACATGAAAGATGCTCTAACTATCTATTGATCATTGAATAGTTGAAGAAGATATGAGAGAACCTTGTTATTATTTGAAAAAAGCTCTAGGTACTTTGCTTATATTACCTAATTCAATACTGGCTACAAACATAGGACATATGTAATAGAATTGAAATCAGAATCTAAGCCATCTGAATATATCTCTGCATAATCCATAAAATTTAAATACTTATATATCAGCATTTCTGACCTGAAGTCTTGAATAAGTGCTTTGCTTTTATATGGCAATACAGTTCTTTTGTAATCTGTGCTTTGACGAAGTCATGTCCAGGGCTATATATAAATTATATATATGTGTGTGTGTGTGTGTGTGTGTGTGTGTGCATATATTATTCTCCCTAGGCATTTCTTAGGCATTGGTGAAGTAATATATTTTCTTATATGTTGGATGTTTGGTGAAAGGAAAAATTATAGATGAAACATATATTAAACACTATAAGTTTTGACTCAAAATTATTACGAATGCTAAGAATTTTCATAGCTAAATGTTTTTATCTCTTTTTAGTTCCTTGAATTGAAACAATTGTGATTAGCTGGGCAAAAGTAAAGGACTACTTTGTTTAAAATCTATTTTTCACCACCTGTTATTTTTTTCTATTAATTGCTAAGCAACATAAAAGCAATTTAAAACCTACTTAGTAAGGGCTTTAGAAATATTTCATAAAAATATACGTTTTTAATTTTCTTTTCAAATCTCACTCATTTTATTACATAAGGATTCTACTAGTTTTTAATTTTGATAATTATTATAAACACAAATTTATTCAGAGAAGTAAGGCTAGTCATCTTTTGTAGGCAAATTTAAAAACCTGCTTTTTTCTTGCATGGTTTGATACTGTACAGACTTTTGTTTATCATTTTATTTTTCAATGTGACCCTGAGATTTTGCTAACTGTATTTAGAAACTCTTGTCATTCTTCATTTTGCAAATGGTCATTTATGTTATTATGCTAATAAGTTGAATAAGTTTAACACTGGCCTAGGAGTGGATTTGAGCAAGCTTCTGGGAAACCTCTGCAAATTCAGAAAGTTAATGGCTTGACCTCCCAATTCTCCAATGTAAAATATGCTATAATGATTTTTCAGGCTCTTAGCTCCCCGGCATTTCTACAAAAAATAGCTTCCATTTACTTCAAATGACTTGACTCTCTTATAATCTAATTGTAAATGAATAATCCTTTCTTTATCTCCTCAAATTATTAATGTCTGTGTTTGGTTAAGGCCCTTCTTTATGACAGAGAAGGAAAAATGTCTCAGCAGATGTTCCAAACAAAGACAGTGAATTCTTTGGAATTTATGATTCCAGGAGGATATTTCAAAGTGGCAGCTCGTGTATTTGAGCAAAGCTCCAAAGAAGAAATATGATAAATACTTCCAATATTTATTTACTTACTTAGGCAGAAGGTTAGTGATGTAGGAGGGAATGCAAGCAATATATAAAAATTTGGCATGCACCCTTTTAAGAACTTACAAAGGAGGAGTTGAATTTTAATTTCTTCACCATCATGACAGTCTGAAGATTTCTTGTTAAATTGAAACTTTGCCTACCAGTTTACATTTAAAGCTCATTTCCTAATGAATGTTTACTCATTCAAAGCCAATACTTGGGTAAACTGGTGTCAATTCAAGGAATGATTGTACTATTTTGCTGCAGTTGAAATGAATGCAAACAGGGAAAAAATAGAGTGATATTAGATTTATTATCATGTTGGTTTAAAGTTGTATTTTTGTCAAAAATATAAAAGAACTATTATTAATAGTGTAGGTTTTAAAGAAATTACTTAAATAATTATCAAATTTGGTAAGAATTTATTTCAAGATCATCAGTGGCATTCTTTGTATTTATTAAAATGATAGTAGCAAGCTCTCTGATTTACGGCTCTTTGGTTGCAAAAGCCACCATACTTCTGGAACACTCACATTAAGGGGTTTATTTTAATAGGCTTCTACTCTTGATTTTTTTTTCACCTTCTTCCCATCTAGGAATTTACCCAGCAACACATTCATTATTGTATAAGAAGAGTCAATAACTATCAATGTGCCCTGATATGAGAGGAAAAAGGAAGATCAATTTCTTGGTCCTTTTGAACCAGAATCTTGCCCTTTAATGGATTACTTAAAGTTGTTCACTTACCCTAGTGGTTTCTCATCAGCATCTTTATTATCTTTTGAGTTTTAGGAGGCAGATGATGAAAGGCTGGTTTTACAACACCTGTTGCCTTATATAAGTGTTTATTCAGAACTGATACGAGTATTCTCAATCTTTAGGGTCCTGGCTCTGGGCAGAAAGTGCTCACATACTGATTTTTTTTTCCATTTCTGTACCAGGCATATAAGGCAGTGGTATAGTTAAGTAAAGCTCTTAGAAACTAAGCATTTTGTCTTCTGTCTTGGATAATTTGTCCTTGATGCCATTTCACATTAAGGATATGATTAAAATCCATAGGAGAATGGGGGAAGCTTTGAATGAAAAGCTGATTCTCAATGCGAAGTGTTCTGTTTTCCCTGGAATGACCTTGGCAGGGGGCAAAGGGCAAGCAGAGAGACTAGAGATAGCTGCCTAGTGTCTGGTTAACAAAGTATGCACTTAAAGAGAGCAGATGGTTCTTTTATAAACCATATAGCTGTGTTGACTCAGAAAAGACATTCTGTGCTTCTCAAAAAGTTACTTTAAGTCTACAACATAGGCAACTGTGCTAAAAGGTACTCGTTCAGATATCTGCTGTAGAAATTAAATACATAAAATCCTCTAAATCACATTTTATGATCTTAACTGATGGCTTGAAAATGGTCTGGTTTTGGGGAAGCTTAGGACATGGCTCCTTAAAACAGCATCCTCAATTTCTTGTTAATTGCATCTTTGAAAAGCAGAGATCTTAAAACGATATTTGCAATGAAAGTAATTCGACTGGGAGATGTGGTTAATATAAGAGGGAAACTAAGAAAATATAGCATCATGAGTGTTCTGAAAACTTTCTAATGAAGTTTAAATGAAGACTGTGAAAGATTAAAAAGATATAAATTAGGAAAAACCCACTAATATTTCTACCTGAAAATTAACTTATACAATTTTTATAGCAACCTATTATTCTACTGTAATTTCTGCATTGATTAGTGGGTTTCTGTAGCCAATTGTTTTTAAATAGTTTTGAGTTGCAATGATTTAAACATCTGTAAGGATTTCTATTCTGGAGAAAAAAGTCACGTGTTTACCATTCAAATTCCAGTAAGGACATTTACATTTCTCTATTTGGCATAGTTTTGGTTTCTGTAGTCTCCACAGGTAAACTGGCACAGCAGCTTAGTCCTTTGGAATCAATGACTTCAGGACTTGGGCAAGGTTGTGTCACTTATTTACCAGGAAACTTATTGGTTCTAATTCAAACATCTTTCTGTAGAAAATTTGAATAAATGTAACAAATAGAATCACAAATAGCAAGGGATCATTTACATGCTTCCATGTCTTCAAGTAGGAAAAAAAAAAAATGTCAAATACTACCTGTCTAGCGAAAACAAAATGGATAGTTGTGTACTTCTCCATTAAATTTTAGCTGACTTCACAACCAATGTTGGTATTTTTTAGGAAAAAAAAAATCCATTTCTGCCCAAAGGATCCATCTTAAATTAATTCATAATATTTACTTATAATAGCACAATTCTTTGACTATGTAGAGGTAATTCGAAGGTTGGTTAAGTGATGTAAGGTCCTTTGAGAAATATTACATATTAATCATGTGAATCTTTTATTTATATTTTTTTCCTGAGAACTAAGCCCTCCTGTGTTCACACTTGAATTCTATAATTTCACTAAAAGGAATGAATGGACATGTGATAACTGTGATAACTGACTTTGCATTTTTTTCTTTTTCCTTTTTCTTTTTTTTTCCAGACAGAGTCTCGCTCTGTCTCCCAGGCTGGAGTGCAGTGGCATGATCTTGGCTCACTGCAGCCTTCACTTCCAGGGTTCAGGTGAGTCTCCTGCCTCAGCCTCCTGGGTAGCTGGGACTACAGGTGTGCACCACCATGCCTGGCTAATTTTTGTATTTTTAGTAGAGACGAGGTTTTGCCATGTAGGCCAGGCTGGTCTCAAACTCCTGACCTCAGATAAATTGCCCGCCTCGGCCTCCAAAAGTGCTGGGATTACAGGCGTGAGCCACCACGCCTGGCCTCTTTCTATCTTTTCTCTATCCCCTGCAAATCCTTCCTTCTTACGAATAACCCCTGTCCATTTTGGCTACCACCTAATTTCAGAAGTCCTGCTAGGATGTTTTTCAAATAGATTCACCAAAAACATCTTTTGAAATGTTCTCTTCTCAGACACCAGAGATGCTTGGCCCAACATCACTATCATATAATCGCAATATCGCACAGTGGTGTGTGACAAGTTTGGAGTGAAAGCCCGTCTCTGGGTGATGTTCCTGTAGAGATAGGTCGACTTGCGTTCCAATGTGTTACAAAATGTTAGGGCCGAAACTTCCTCAGATTTTATATAGTTTCCCTGCTCTTCAAAAGACTCATTTGGGAGGCAGATATGAGGACAAAAGTCATGTTTCCAGACTTTTCCTACTGTTTATGGTTTAGGATGCATGGCTGGTTGGTACCTGGATTCATTTCACCTCAGGATGACCTCTTCTCAGCCCCCTTGAACACAGAATCTTGGAGAAACCATGTCCCCACTAGACTTGCCCAGATGTACCTAAGCACCACTTAGACCTGTGCTGTGACCTCCTGCACACTCACCTGCATTACTATTCATTACATTACTTAATGCATTTGACAAATTTAGTAGCAAATTAGCTTTTCCTTTATAAATTATTTAATTGCTTAAGGCTTCAGTTAGTTGATTTATCTAAAACAGACAACAAAAAGGAGTGGCTATACATGTTTCACATAGCTTTTTGTTTGGAAGGTATACATATTTAAAGGGGTTGTGTGACATTATTCACACCTCTAGATCTTCCTATTTTCCCCCTTGTAATATTCAGATGGGGGTGACTCCAATATTTGAGATAGTTTTCTAAATCATTGTAATTGTAACAAACTAGAGGTCACACTCCCCTTTCTGTAAAATCCATGAAATTTCAGCCTTTTTTGCAGAATTTCTAAGTGGGAAGTATAGATAAAAGGATACCTGGGTGAGTACAGTTCTGCAAGAAGCAGAACGATATTGATGTTGTGATGTTGCTTTCCATGTGCAATTCTTGGTTGAATTTTAAGCTTATTTTTCCTAAAATGCAGTTTTCACTGTTTTAAAATGAATTTGACCTCACCGATGTCAAGGTAGGAAGAAAGGGGATTTACATTGTTTGTCTAAGCCCTCAAATTTGAATGCCTCATGGCAAAGCGAGCTATCCTTTTCCCAGATCTGACATCCTGCAGACAGAAGATGGTGCTGTTGGTTAGGAACAATACGTGGCCCTGCATTTTTCTATCAAGCTCATGATCAGGCTGTTATCACAATCATTCTTTACCAAACAGGAAAAAAAGTCACAGTCAACTGAAATGCATTCTGGCATCTGACTTCAGTTACTTTACTTTTTAAAAATGACCCGAAGAATGCTTTCACCGTGTTATTTTTCCTATTTGATGTAAATCTTGGAAACTGTGGAGAAAAAGTAAGTTCTAATATATAGTGCATGTTATTTCCCTTCATGTAGTGAGGTTTTACATTATCTGAAATAACTGCAAAACATCCCAGCCTGGATGACTCATTGGTTACAGGAAAAAGCCAGACATTTAAAACCAATGCATAAGAATATTACTGTTTCATGAACTCTGAATATTGAAAAAACATTTTCTGACTATGGGTTGTTCACTGCATAAATACTCCCATGGCATGGTACTCAAGCAAGCTCAGATGCCAGATAAGGAGCCTGCTTTCTCCTGCACATGCTAAACCATACCATGGCCACATCTGGATCCCCTGGCTGTAGTTCTTGGAAAGGCCAATGAATGCGACATGCAGGCATGGGCTCATGTCTTCAAGAAAGATCCAGGAAAGGGCAGGAAAACTTTCAGATCCCTAAAGCAGAGGTCAGGCCACCTAACATCATTTGAAATATCATGGAAATAGGTCAATATTGCACAGCAGTATTAAAGTTTAAACATGAGAGTTAGAGCTATCAGTCAAATCTAGAGAATCATAGGCTGACTAAAAATCTAGGCAGGAATTGCCAAGGGAAAACAGTACTGCCCTTGCAGTTACTGCCAAGGGGCTGGATGCTTCCTATTCATATATTGGTTAACACCAATTTGGGAGAATTGTGGTTAGCTTGAAAGATTTGTTTATGTCTGGTGATGCATGGTGACATCCTTTGGAGGAAGTCTCAGACAATAAGAGAATCTTAATTAGTAATAATTATAAGTTTGAATATTTCCACTGAACTTGAGAATATGTAGGTTCTCCTTGTTCAAAAATCCCTACATTTCTTCTTAGGTATCTATTCTCCATGGTTTGTAGATAAATCTGTAACTCATTCAGGTGGGAATAACCAGCATAAAGATCTGTGGAAGGAGGCACTGGTTTGAAAAAGATGCTGAAACTAGACTGTATTTTAAATCAATTTCCACTATCTGACAATTTCTTCTGTGTGCCTCAATTTCTCATTGGGGTAATGAAAGTACCTAACTCACGGGGTTACATGGAGTCAGAGAGTTTATCACAGGTAAATCGTGATGAAAGTTACCTGGTTCATAATAAGTGTGGCATAAGGGCTTGTTACCATTATTTCTGCTCGCTTAGAGAAGGCTATGAAAGCATCTAGAGGCAGGAGTTAAACCAATGAGCACGCTTTCCTTCTGATGATACAAATTCTCTATGCCAGGTCTTGACCCTTTTTTGCAATACTTCCTGAGACTTCTGACATCATAGGTACTTTCTGCTTCCCAGTGCACGTGAATAAGCAGAAGGAATAAGTATGTCAATGATGGTGATGACTTGCCATGACAGGAGGAGACAATCAGCTTATAAACTGTACAGTTAACTAAGTCCCTAGATGACTTTACAAGCAGAAATATTTTAGAAAGGAAAATAAAAAAGATATTTGGTATCATTGTTCTGAGATCATCGCACATCTAACTGTACATGCGTATGTGATTTTAACCATTAAGAAGAAAAATGAAACCAAAAGCATATATTTGGAGATACTCTGGATACTAAAGATCCATTTCAGTGAATTGGTGAAGTTGATATCCTTCTATCAGAATTTCCGTGGATCAGATGTTCTCTTTCCAAAAGCCTCAACATACTGTCTCCAAAGGGGGATCCCTTTAGGTTTGCACATTTTGCCTTGGTCTATTATGATACCATTTTATGATAGCAGTTTTTGGTGTATTAGTGTTTGACGCTGGCTTTATTTTTTTTCCCTTAAATAATTTAGAAGGTACAATTCCTTCAAATGTTTCCCAATATCAGAAACTTCATTTTTGTGAAACAGAAAAAAATGTATCTATTAGAGTATATCATTTAAGTGAACGCTGAGCTCTATAGGGAATAATACTTATCTATGATATCTATTGATAATCTTAGACTTTTGATTTCTATGACTCCTGTCAAATTCCCTAGATTGGGCTAGTTATCTTGCCTATGTGTTTTTCACAGTACTTTCTTCTCTTTTCTATTTTTAGTAGAATAGCATTATAATTGGCTAATTGCTTCTCTAGCTTTCCCAGTAGCTCTGTATATGAACAAAGGCTGAATCTTGTTCATTGCTGTGCCCTTATAATTTAGCAAGATGTCTATAGTAGGCACTCAATAAATATTTCTTGAATAAATGAAATAAATGAGAGGTAGAAGGTGATCAAATGTGTGTGTGTGCGTGTGTGCGCGTGCACATGTGTGTGACAATGAGACAGAGAGAGAGAGAATGATGTTGGAACTGGAGGCATGAGATTGTCATCAGAGATTTTAAGACAAGAATAGACATACAATTAGCTTGTTTAATTTTTCTCTAGAATTTCCTTAAGGAATGTAGATTCCAAAGTCTGTGCCAAGGTTTGCTGGTGCTTCAGTAAATTTAGAGGCTCTGTGGGAAATTTAAACTTTTTTCTAACAGAAACTCCACTTATGACATCTGTTGAATATTGGGAGAACTGCTAGCTCAGGGTAGTTCACAGACTTAACATTAAATCACACTATATTCTCTTCACTTACATCATGTTTTTGAGAAGTTGTTCTTTACTTTTGGCACTTGTTGCAATAAAAAGCAAGTACCAAATGAAAATTGGGGTGTCTAATCTGATTTCAGATTGGGATGTCTAATCTGATTTGAAAAGTTGTGCAATACGCAGCAGCAATACACATCCCATTAGTAATAGGTTACCGCTACTTAAGAATGAAATAACACTAATTTTCCTTTCAATGTATGTGTATTCTCTTTTCAGATATCTACTAAGTTGTTAAGACGTAAGTACTTCTTAAGTTGTGTGCATCTCACAACTTAATAGATGTAACCGTTGGGCATTTCTTTTGTCCTAGGAACACTTAATTACTGAGATAGGGCCGGGAGCAGTGGCTCACGCCTGTAATCCTAGCACTTTGGGAGGCCGAGGCGGGCGAATCTCGAGGTCAGGAGATCAAGACCATCCTGGCTAACACGATGAAACCGCGTCTCTACTAAAAATACCAAAAAAATTAGCCGGGCGTGGTAGCAGGCGCCTACAGTCCCAGCTACTAGGGAGGCTGAGGCAGGAGAACGGCGTGAACCCGGGGGCGGAGCTTGCAGTGAGCCGAGATGGCGCCACTGCACTCCAGCCTGGGCGACAGAGCAAGACTCCGTCCCAAAAAAAAAAAAACAAAAACAAAACAAACAAACAAAAAACAGAATTACTGAGATAGTAAGGGCACTGTGAACTGAAAGTTTGGGGATCTCTGTCTAAGGGTAAAATTGGAAAACTAGAAACAAGGCCTCGGATGAGAGGATTTTGGTTATTTGAAGGTGAGATGCTGCCAGTACTACAGTTTTGTTCCTCAACATGGATCTTCAACTGAAGGTTAGAATAGATAATTAAACAGAGACCTTGAATTTTAGGCGAAAAATTTAGTTATATTATTGTTTAATAGAGTTACTGCTATATGAATCTTAGTTTTATTTCCTCACACATTGTAAAATCTTCCCAATTAAATTTTTTTTATTACTCGTGAATCAAGTATTACAAAATCTAATAACATGACAGTGAAATACAAAATAATTTCTAAACGTTCTTTTGGAAATATACGATAATGCTTTTTGTTTTTATTTTTATTCATTTATTTTTTTTAAATGGAGTTTCGCTCTTATTGCCCAGGCTGGAATGCAATAGTACGATCTCGGCTCACTGCAACTTCTGCCTCCCAGGTTCAAGCGATTTTCCTGCCTCAGCCTCCTGAGTAGCTGGGATTACAGGCATGTGCCACCATGCCTGGCTAATTTTGTATTTTTAGTAGAGACGGGGTTTCTCTATATTTGTCATGCTGGTGTCGAACTCCCGACCTCAGGTGATCCGGCTGCCTCGGCCTCCCAAAGTGCTGGGATAACAGGCATGAGCCACTGCGCCTGGCTTATGCTTTATTTTTAGACTTCTTTTTAATGCTGCTGAGAAATTCTAAAGCAAATCGACAGTATGGTTTCATTGAATTTTACCTGTAGTCAATATTAGCCATTTTAAGCTTTCTATTAGTTAAAAAAAAAAAAAAAAGTAAATGTATCACTTGTTATTAGGACTTTGGGCACTGGTCAAAACTGAACTTTTTTTTCTTACTTTACACAACTAATTAACAATTTAACTTGACAATAGATTTTTTTCCTCATCTCAGTTTTAGAAAATATCATAATTCAAGAGACTTTGAAAAACAAGGTAATTCTGAATTTTAGATTCATATTTTAATAAAAAATGTTGTTTGGTATCTTCCTTTGTCATAAAAGCTTTTAGATATTTCTCTAAAAGCCCCAATAATGTAGAGCAAATGTCTTCGACTTGTGACATACACAGGAAGTGTTTCCAAGGTTTTCATATTAATCTTGTGATTTTCTCTGTTTGAAAAGAAAAAGAATATGCATGACCTGGCAGTCAATCCGAAGGCAGTATTTTCCCTTGATGAATATCTCATCTTTTTTCTTTAAGCACTGCAAAGTACTTTTGTCCTTTATTTGCCACTATTGCTTATGATAAAAAATTAAATTACTGTTCATCCTTTCAATACGTTTTCCTCAGAGGATCACTGCTGAAGAACAAACATTTAAAAGAGGATGTGGAAGGTTTAGTTTTATACACAGTCCTGCTATATTATTCATTGCAATGCATTTTTAATGCTAGAGAAAAAAATAAAATGTATGTTAATTTCTAGGGTGAGACAGGCAGTGATCGAGGGAATGATAAATTCACAGAGGCTGGAGATGTGTGCTTAATAATAAAATAAGGTATCTCTCTCTCTCAGATCGTAGGCTTTTTAATTTTTTAATTAATTTTTTTTCTGCATCATGTGGAAGGGAAACTTACAAGGTGTTTTTGAATGAAAGTCTTAACATAAGACATCATCTCCAATTAGCTAATATTTCTCAGAGTCTTCATATTTGCAATTGAGAAAGAGGTTGTCTGAGAAAGGTGATTAAAAACAAAAATGAAACAAACAAAACAAAAGGCTTTTGCTAAATTCTGTATTACATTCCCCCCTTTTCTCGCTCCATTTTATTTTACATTGTTTCATGAAGTTTGCACTCTTGTTGTTCATAAATAAACCAATTATTTTTTCTAAATTTATGTAATATGTGAGCATAATTTTTTTTTGAGACAGCGTTTCACTCCCATCACCCAGGCTGGAATGCAGTGGCGCGATCTCAGCTCACTGCAAACTCTGCCTCCCAAATTCAAGCGATTCTCTTGCCTCAGCCTCCCGAGTGGCAGGGATTTCAGTTGTGTGTCACCACACCCAGCTACTTTTTGTATTTTTAATAGAGACGGGTTGTGCCATGTTGGCTAGGCTGGTCTCCAACTTCTGACCTCAGGTGATCCACCCAGCTCTGCCTCCTAAAGTGCTCTTTTTATTTTTAAAACCGGATACTGTTTTATTAGAACAGCAAATGAATAGTGTGCTTTATTTTGCCTACGAATTGTCAAGGCGAATTGCCTTCTTTGTATTACATTCTTCAAAATTAAATAATTTATCTTCAATCCGACATCTAGTAAGGAATCGACTTACAAACTTCTTACAATGTAAGAGAGCAGATTAAACTTTATGGACTCTGTTCTTCAAGCTTCTCTATTCCAGAAAGAGGGATGCCTAGCCTTGTTTGATGTAAATAAAAGGTAGTGAAAGCACATGAGTCCTAGGATATTTTCTCAAATTCTCAAAAATCATATTCAATATGTTGTCATCCATCCGAAAACACTTATTTTGGAACTTGGGAAGGATGAATTTGTAAATACAAACAAACAAACAAAATTGTCATGGAGATTTATCTATTCTCCATTATCTGCCAAATACGAAGTAGCAATTGAGTCGGTTAAAAAAAAGAAGAAAGCATTACCTAATTTCTTTTGCTGAGTGCAGATGAACAAAAAGAAGAAAACTGCACATTAGTCCAACATGCATGACTCAGGGCTTGCCTTTTCAAAATATTTAATTTTAACCTCTGAACCAAAAACAATATGTTTTTTATATACTCTTAACCCGAATATAAAACTTCTTATATAATTCAGGTTTTGCTCATGCAACCATTCCATGTTAGCACTTCTTTTCACTGCTTTCAGAGACATTAATGTAAAACTGGAAATATCTGCTTTTTAGAGAAAACACAATTTTATTTCAGAGCTAATAATATACAAAATGACAAATGCCGACTTTTCCAGTATCACCTGATTGATTTTACTCTGGGAATGTAGTGGTCTTAATTTTATCTTACTCATTTTATAATAGCTATCACCATAGCAACAAGATAGATTTTACCCAAATGAAAAAAAAAAATTCATTGTATGTAACTATCTACAATGATTTGTGATAAACGGGCTATACATCAACATTAAAAATGAAATTCAAATTATCAGTCACAATCAAAGTCTAACAAAGCCAATCACTTGCAAATATATTGTTTTGTCTTATTCATTTCTACTTCTTGCTTTCTTCTGCTCTATTGCTAAGGCACCTAGATAGTTCATTAGTTTAAATTATAGAAATCTGAGACCCCTGAATCAAAATTTCAACTTAACATTGCAACTGTTATCTCTCTTCAAGTTAAATCTAATAGAGAAATGTGTTTTCTATAGAGGAGAAGTAGTTAATGTGACTTGGCTCATCCAAAGTTTTCATTGATGTTCCAATGTGGTTGTGCCTCAGGAGAAACGTTTGGATATTTGTTCTGGAAGGCAGGATGATATCTTGTCCAAGATCTGTGTGACCCTGCCATTTGCTGGAGGTGTGACTGCTATAGACCAAATGCTTGTGTCCCCCCAGAATTCATATGTTAAAATCGAATCCCCAGTTTTAGGGTATCGGGAAGTAGGTCGTTTGGGAAGTGATTAGGTCATGAAGGTAGAGCTTTCATGCATGAGATTAGTACCTTATATAGGGCTGAAGAGGTCAGAGTTCTCCCCTCCATCATTGAGGACACAGGTAGAAGATGTCATCTATGAAGCAGAAAGCAGACTCTTACCAGACACCAAATCTGCTGGCACCTTGATCTTGAACTTCCCAGCCTCCAGAACTGTGCGAAAAATTTCTGTTGTTTATAAGCTACCTAGTTTATGGTACTTTGTTATAACATCCCATCCAAACTAAGACAGTAGTGTGAAGTTATTAATTTAAAAATCCTGAAGCTCATTTTTTTGTTTTTAAAATGGGATTTCTGCAACAATTAATTGAAATAATCATAAATATCTTTAAGTAAAATGTCTGATTTATGAAAATTGCTAAAACATTTTAACTATGATAATGCTGGTATTAATGGAAGAACTACACTTCCCCTGTAAGTGTATCTTTCTCTTTCTCCATCTCAAAACATATTATTCATATTTTCTGATGGAATTAAAGTGAATTTTCTGAAATATTTACTTTCAGATATATTCATCATCCTTTTTGTTAACCATGGTATGTAGCCCCATGAGCCATGCTACAGCACCAGCATCTAATGAAATTTCAATATTCTACTTGCTTATCTTAGAAAAACACTCCTTCTTGGAAAAATGAACAGATTCTTTTTACCTATAAAACATATATTATTTACAATTACAAGAAATTACTTGGAAATTCTAAACAGTATTTTCTCAAAAGAATTTTTTTTCTTATAACTTTAATGGACTCTGGACGTACATTTGCATCCTTTTCCCGCAGCGTAACTGGAGCTCAGTAGTCTCATGCTTGAGCACTGTGGCATAGCTGAGAAAGAAATAGGAATTCTGTGTTTTTCATTTATATACTGGTTATGAGCCTTGTATAATAAGTCATGTCAGAATATAGTCACTTGGAAAGTTCATTCTATTTAGAAACTACCATCAGAGGGATGCAAAGGCCAGAACTTGGGGTTAAATCTTGGATCTGTGCTAATTCTTTTCAGAATGTAACTAATAAAACACATTTTTGATGTAACTTTTCCTTTGATGTAACTAATAAAACACATTCATAAACTGTAAGAATATACCAAAAAGGGATATATGGTTGCGGTCTGGAGTTGTCTCCAAATTCATCCCTCTCAGTCCAGATAAATTAATGAAACAGCACCCACTGTTTATAATGCAGATTTTATGTACTACATACAGTACTAAACACTGTAAAGGCATCTCTTGTTTGATTACCAGAACATTTGAGAGTGGACATTTTTACATTTGAGTTCACAGAGGAAAAACAACTTGTTCGTAGCTAGGAGTGGCACTGAACTAGGTCTCATGGACTCCAGATGCATTCATTCTTAAATGAAATACTGACTTCCCCAGAGAAAGTGGAATCTCAACCATTTAATAATTAGGGGAACCTTTATTTCTTTTTCTTTTTTTTTTTTTTTTTTTTTTTGAGATGGAGTCTCACTCTGCTGCCCAGGATTGGATGGAGTGCAGTGGCACCATCCTGGCTCACTGCAAGCTCCACCTCCTGGGTTCATGTGATTCTCCTGCCTCAGCCTCCCAAGTAGCTGGGACTACAGGTGTGTGCCACCACGCCTGGCTAATTTTTTTTTGTATTTTTATTAGAGACAAGGTTTCACTCTGTTAGCCAGGATGATCTCGATCTCCTGACCTCGTGATCTGCCGGCCTTGGCCTCCCAACGTGCTGGGATTACAGGCGTGAGCCACTGCGCTAGCACTAGACACCATTTGGGAAGAGATGGGCCTTTATTTGGAAAACACCTTTGTATGAACTCTTAGGGTAGATGGGCAAGGAGGCATGAACGTTTTCAGATACCAACATGCCATAGGCAGGGAAAACAGCTCCACAAATGATAAAGTGAGAGATTGGGAATTTGTAGTTTTTGCTCCAAAGAGGAAGAAGAGAGGAACAAGAAGTGATAAGACAAGGGAGAGGAAAGAGAGGCGATCATAAATGAAGTGAAGCTCAAGTGATGGAAGATTGGTAAGCTTTGAGGTTATGGGTTGGCTAAAGGGCAATGCAGAATGATGCTGATCAAGGTGTGTTGAAGGGTCTGCCTTTCTGCAGTATAAAGCACTCCTCCCTCCTCCATGGTGAAATTTACTTTGCTTATAAATATATCATGGGAGTGAATCTTGGGGTCATTCCAAAGATTCTTCTGGGTTTCACATCTGGAGAGACAATGGTGATCTCTAAGATAACTTGCACAGAAGCAGAAATCTGGTAGACAAAGTGGGCTATGAAAATGTGTGCCTAAGACCTTTGTAGACTTTTTGAATTTTAATAGAACCTGGAATTGAAAACAAAAATTCAAGTCAGGTGTACCTAGGTCACAAAATGAGAAGTGCTGACAGCCATATGACACTTTAAAGTGTTGAGTGATTGTTCACTTCAAGGTCAGGATCAGAATGAGTGTCTCTTTCAGACCTTCGTCTCTTAGATGCTGGTGTATAGCCAAGGCTAATTAGCCATAACTTTCTGGAATGAAACTCTGAGGTATATGATATGTGGAGCCAGGGACTATGTTACATTCAAACGTCTCCATTCACTTCTCCATAATGGAGAATTTGCTCTTTTGTGCACAAAAGAGCAAATGTGCTCCCTCGGTACCCAGGAAGCACATTCCAAGCTTTGTGTCATCACCGTTGTTCATTTTCTCTACCATTGCTTCTGCTCCTGCTTCTAGGAGACTCGTAGCTGTCAAGGAAAATCAGAAAACTGTGCCGACAGAGAGAAGTCATCTCAGGCTCTGAACTCAGGTATAAGAGCTTGCCTTTACTGAAGCCACTCAATTATTAGAAATCATTACACGTTTCACAAAGTGTCACAACCTCTCTTTGGGTAAGGCATGGTTATCCCCATTTTGCAGACAATGGAAATTGACAAAGGATTACAAAATTAATATAAATAGAGTCAGCATCAAATATCAAACAACAACAGCAAGAACACAGGTGTGCTGTCTGAAGCCTGGCACATTCCATGTGCCCATTCATCACTACTGGCTGGATCAAAGCTTGTGCTCTTCCCTGCTTCACTGCCATTTAGCAATATTTTGAGTCATCTCCTCTGGAGTCCACATTTCATTTACTCCTCTTTCTTTTCCAAAACTTACAATTTCCTTGAACAATAATTTCACTCCTGCTCCTCTCACCTTTAGGAGTATTCCCTGGCTAACACTTTACTGAGAAAATTGAAGAAAGTAAACATGAAATTCCT
Organism: Homo sapiens; assembly: GCF_000001405.40. Classification (NCBI taxonomy): domain Eukaryota; kingdom Metazoa; phylum Chordata; class Mammalia; order Primates; family Hominidae; genus Homo; species Homo sapiens. The sequence continues at coordinate 30,879,700 of NC_000018.10, read as the reverse complement.
CAGTTTTACTCCTCTGCAAAACTTTTATATAAAAGCATCTTCACTTCTACACCAACATTTCTAATCTTCTCCTTTCATGATTATTTCTTTTATTTTATCTCTAAGGAAAACTAAATCCTTTTTCTTTCTAAGATGAATTAACCTTTCCACCTGTAGTCTTGATCTCATCCTGTTTTATCTTTCCAGGACTGGTTAATCAATTATATTCTCATCTTCATAATCAATCCTCACCTATCCCCAGACATCAGATATTTTTTTCTATGCCTGTAAAAATGCTCAGATTCATTTCTCCAAGCCAAACCAAGGCAAAACACAACAGAGCATTAGAAAAACAACTGTAGACCTAGAACTTGACCATTGCCCCTTCTCTCACAATGCTATTCTGTTCCTCCTTTTCCTTTCCTGAACACATTTCCTGAAATAATTGCTCTATGTCTACATGTTCTCACTTCAATATCATTCTTCTGCATCCTAAGATTTGACCTTTTTCTGCAGTGTTCTATTGAGTTCCACTTTCACAATGCAACAGGGACCTCATATAAGTAGGTACACAGGCAACATAGAGCTTTCTAGGAAAATCAGATCGTTGGTTCAGCTTGACCATGGCAGAGAGCAAGGGAATTGTTGCTGGAAAGTGGTATAGACATCAAATTGTGAAAAGCTTTGCGTTTCTGGTTAATATTTTGAACTTCATCTTAAGAAAATGGGGATGCATGAAGGGATTTTAAACAAATGGTGGTAGGATTAGGTTTGTAGTATAGAAATGATACAGCCCTCTGACCAGTATATTAATATAGATGACACTAGAGAGTTATCAGGTCAGAATTGTAGCAAGTTTACAGAAAAGGAACAGATGAAGATTTGAACTAAGATAACAGTGAGAAAGGAGACATGGAAATAGATATGAGGTTATTTCTAATGCAGAAGATGAAGGGATCAGTGACTGAATGTGGAAAGTGGAGGATGAGTGAAAGATAAATCCCATATTTTTTTTACTTGAGCAACTAAGTAACACAATTTTTCCAGACAAATGGAGAAGAGCATGTGTGTGTGTGGTAGAAAGGTAATAGTTCATTTTTATTCATGTCAAATTTGAGGCACTTCTATCTCTTATTATCCCATCACCAACACACCACCCTCTCACATCTTTCTGTATCAGTTCCTCCTCTTGCTATGAAACAAAAAGTGCCCTTGCTCCTGACAAAGGTCAGACTTTAGAGGTGGTTGAAACCTGCTGACATTTAAATGACTTTTCTCCTCCAATTATGACTTCTTTCTATTACATGATTAACATCTCTAAAGGATCACTGCCATTGGTATGTCCCATAAAAGAAAGATTCAAAAGTACAAAACAAACAACCTCCTACCAAAAAAATTCCCTGATCCCATGCCTTCCTTCAACTATCACCACATTCCTCTGCTTCTTATTTTAGCAAAACTTGTCAAGAGATTTTCAGTAACACCGTCTACATTTCTTCACATTGCTTTGCATCTCCCTTTGTCCTTATCTTAATTCAGGGTTTCTCCACCTTGGCACACTTTTGGGCTGGGTAATTTTTTGTCATGGGGCCTGTACTGTGTACTGTAGAATCCTTTCAGAATCTCTGGCCTCTACCCAGTAGATGCTAGTAGCACCTCTCCCCCCAGCTCCCAAATGTGACAACTAAAAATGTCTCCAGATACTGCCAAATGTTTCCTGGACCCCAAAACATATCTGGTCTGTGGATCATTGCCCTAATCTACTTATGCTTCTGTTCCTACCACTCTGATGAAACTACTTTTATTAACTCATTGTGACTTCTATATCACCCAACTCAAAAATTAGTTCTGTCTTCATTTTATTCCATCTCTCAGGTACAGCTCACAAATTGCACATCTTTATTCTTCTTGGGACCTTCTTTTTCATTCAGTAATCATATTCTTTTCTGGTTTTTCTCCCACCTCAGTGAGCCCTCCTTAAAATTTATTTACTTGTTCCTCCTCCACTTTGTTCAGCTTCCAAATATTAAGATGATGCAGGGCTTGGTGCCAGACTCTTCATCTCTAGGTATGCTTGCCACCTACGTGATCACATACAGTCCCAACAACTTAAACATCTTCTATTTGCTGATGACTCCCAATTTTACATCTCTGGTCAGGATTAATATATGTACATGAAATTAATTAATATGTACATGAAAATTCAATTTTATCCATTATATATGCATATATATATATGTGTGTGTGTGTGTGTGTGTGTGTGTGTGTGTGTGTGTGTAGAGTAACTGCTGTCTTTACTTGGCTCCATCCACTCTCTCCCTAAATAGTGTTCTCTTATTACCAACTTAACAGAGCCATGACAGATATTTTGTTTTTTCCCTATCATCTTGCCCTGAAGCAAACTTGGGAACTGCATTTAAAACTTCACTCTTCTTAATCACACATATTCAATTATATAAAAACAATTCTATATCCAACATATATTTCCATTTTTCCCCCATCTCTCCCCTTGTCCTATCTTTGCCGCTATTATGCTAGTTCTGATCATCATCTCTCACTTGTGTTACTACAACAATTTTGCAACTGGTCTACCTGCTTCAACTCTTGCCCCATTAAATCCATTCTACACTTGATAGGCAGAGAGGCTTTCAAAAACCTAACTATAACATGGCACGTATTGCTTAAACAATCCAGTATCTTTTGTTGCACTTAGAATAAAGTCCATGCTCTTTACCAGAATCAACAAGGCTAGTATGACCCATGCCTATCTGTCCTGACCTCATCACCTACAAACTTTGCTTTATTCTCTGTGCTTCAGGTACATCAGCCTTTATTTTCTTCCCTGAAGACATTTGCCCTTGAAGATGCCTTTGCCAGGTCACTTTTCCTTCTGGTCTTCTCTTGTCTCTTATTTTATTCAGGTCTTATGTGAAATACAATTTTTCAACGAGGCCTAGATGGACCATCTACTCTAAATTAGTATCCCCTGCCAGTAATATTTTTAAATCAATCTTTAATTTCTTTTTCTCAGTCCATACCACCATTTGAAACTCTCTCCTTTATTTATGCACATTTCCTCTTTTTCCTCTCCCATTAAAATGTTAGGACCAGAAAAGGAACACTGCATCTGTTTTGTTCCAACAAGCATCTCTGTGCTTAGATCCATGCCTGCAACCTATCCAGCACTCGGTGCTAAATAAATTCATCTATGCTTGCAGAGTCTACACCAACGTTTGTTCCTTTCTGTCTCACACATTTCCTCCTGTCACTGGACTTATTTCATCCGGGCTTCCTACTCACTGATCACTTCAACTCAGCCTATTTATAACAAAGAAGTTGCTCTACTTTTCCAAATCAGATCCAGCATTTGACTTGCTGAGTTCTTAATGGTAATTTCATTCTTTGTTGTCCAGACCTGTTATTTGACTGCCATCTTTGAATTACCTATTTTACCTACCACATCCAATTAATCTCTAAGCCTTTAAGAATTTTCCCTGATGTAAGTCATTAACATCAATTTTGTCCTTTCTTTTTTTACTGCTACTTGCACATTCTAGGCCCTTTTTCCCATCTGGAATACACTAGTTCCTTTGCTCCCTAAGGGATCTTTCTTCTCTCTAGTCTTTCTTTGTTCTGACCATTCCATATAGTCAAGATCGATCTTCTTTTAAGAGGACTATAATTTTGACATTCCCCATCTTAGTGTTCTTCAATGATTCAATATTGCCTACTGAATAAAGTTGCAAATTCTTTCTTTGGAATTTATGTTGTATAAATCCTCTCCACTCCACCAATTTTATCTTTGCTCATTTTATGTGTTCTTTAATGTAGACATACCAGAGAGAAATTTTTACTTCATTACTTTTCCCTTATTTGGCTAGGTTGATGTGGAATAAGAAAAAATATATATTTAATGCAACTAAGAATTATTATCTTGCTTCTCAGAATAGTTTCACTGAAACAAGTTTCAATTTAAAAAATTAATCATTATTTTCAACAAAGTTTTTGATTCCGTACTCTTGGGAATAGATTTTGTCAATACTTTCTTCAAACTGAGGCATTACTTTTGTGTCTAAGTACTGCTTTCAACTCTGACAATAAGGAAAATAATTTTTATCATTTCAATGTACATGAAAATTCAATTTAATTTTAAAATCAGGTACAAAAGAATAGTTTCTTGCAGGACGGGACCTCACGTTTTTTGTACTTTCTAGAATAGACAGTATACTGCATGACTTCTAATTCAAAAATGAAAAAAATTGAAAGTAATATATTTTGTTCTTGAGATTTGAGAAGGAGCTAATAGTCACTTGATAAATTAACTAGATATTTCTATCAAAACAGTAAAATACTATTGACCAAGTATTTTTTTACTAATATCCTATAACTTACAAAACAGCTTAACAACAACTTATAAAATATAAATAACATTTTCTTTCTCTCTTTTCCTTTTCAAATAGGCCATTTAATCTATATGTGACTCCATTATAGGTAGCAATTATACAGAGATCTGGTCACAAAGACAGAAGTAGAAGTGATAATCCCCAATTTGTAGTCCAGAACTACATCATGCGCTGTAGCTGTGAATGCTAGTACATACATCGCATGTCCCACTAGCATCTTAAATCTTCATCCAGGGGCGTGTTTTTTACTATTATAATAAGCAGAGGTTATCCCAAGGACACTAATCATGGGTTTCTGTGTTTGTATGAATTTGGGGATTTTCCCTTTAGCTCTTTTGCCTCCTTGCTGCAGGATGTTCTAACCATGAGCCCAGGATCTGGTTTGTTTACTGTCAGGTGGTTTGTTCTCTCTACTTAGCAAGTCTGTTCTCCTTTAAGGGAGGCTATGACCACTGTATCTAACCTACCTCAGTTTGTCCACTTGACTCCCACTCAATTAGAGAAAATAAATGACCAAATACCTCTATGTGACCTTTAGTGGACACTACATGTAGCTGAAGAATCATCAGCTGAGCCCTGACTAAACGCTTGACTCATAAACTTGTTAGGTATCACTAAAATAGTTATTATTTTAAACCACTAGGTTCTGGGATCATTTCTGATGAAGCAATACCTGAAAGCAGATTGAAAATTACCTATTAAAATGTAAGCAGTTATTTAATCATTCATTAATTTCTTTAAAAAGTACTATATATAGCTGGTAGATATGGAAACATAAGAAAAGATTTCCCTTTCAAGGAGACAGTGATAAATGAACTGAGACATTTCTCATTTAAGAGGTGAAAATGGGGCTTTCGATTTCTTAGACGTGAACTGCCTCTGACAGTGTTTTCTCGGCATTGCAATTTTAATCCAATTTGCTAACTTGTTTGGTTCTGGTTCTTTAGGGTTAATAAGACATACCCTGCCTATGACACAGGTGAAATATGTTTCAAGTTTTATATATAATATATATTTTATTTTACTTTATTTTATTTTTTTGAGACATAGTATCACTCTGTCACCCAGGCTGGAGTGCAATGGCACAATCTCGGCTCGCTGCAACCTCCACCTCCCAGGTTCAAGTGATCCTCTTGCCTCAGCCTCACAAGTAGCTGTGATTACAGATGACTGTCACCACGCCCGGCTAATTGTATTTTTATTGGAGACAGAGTTTCACCATGTTGGCCAGGCTGGGCTTGAACTCCTGACCTCAAGTGATCCGCCAGCCTCGGCCATATGAAGACATTTATAAAGTTTAAAGTTTGTAAAGACATTTACAATGTCTGACATATATATGACATAAATTATGTCATAAATTATAAATGTCTTTACAAAGCTCAAGGTGTCATTATGATTCCATTTCTGTGTGCAAAGTGTACATCATAAATATATCAGTGATTAAAAACTGATTTCCACCATGACCACAACCACTTATATTTTCTTCTGTGGAAAGAAATACATATTCAATGTAAAATAACATTTATATTGGAAGGAAGATTTAGAATTATAGCTAAGGAAAGGCTAATTGCAAATAGAAAATAAATCCTTCACATAAAGTTTGGTAAAAAGATGAGAATTCAAATGAATAAGACTCTTGTGGTCAAAACTGATTTTTCAGTGTTTCATTGTAGAAGAAGAGTGCTATAATGAATATAGCATAGGCATTGTGGCTCAGAAGTTATGACTTCAAATTCTGGCCCCTGCGCTCAATAGGTTTTGTATTTGGAAGACATATTTATACCTTCCACATACAAGTTACAGCCACATATAACATTTTTTATACATAATTTATTAACTGATTTGAAAATAATCCCTGTGAACATGAATGGTATCTCTGCAGAAAGTCTATGACCTGACAAAATAGGCACCTCGAAAGGCTATATACCTTTTGTATGTACACACAGAAGGTGTCCATTAAACAAACAAAAACAACAAACAAATATGTTACTCCTTTATATCCATGCCATGTATTGTTCCCTGTATTCCTCCCGTGCTGTGAATGGAGAAAAAAAATAGACATGTTAGCCATCTTTTACGAAGCTGCAAATTTACTTAAAAAGTAATGTAAAATTTGCATTGAAAGTTGCTTCAATGCAATTAAAGTTTAATAATGTTAGAGCACTTATTTATTTTATGATGTTTTATAAATGTTAAATGATGGTTTATTTCTTTATTTTCAGAAGAAGATAATTGCTAACATTATGGTTGTCTGGAAAGAGTCACTATTAGGGCTTTCTCCTTCCTTTTGTCGTTATGAAGCAACATTTTCCATAAGGTTGTTTTTAACTGGTGATGAGCGACACTTGATTTCTTTTCTTTTCTTTTCCTGCTTTGTAACTCAGAAGCCCAATTTTAAATTATGCGATTCTTCACTTTAAAACTTTTTCACGTTTCTCTAATGATTTAAGTCTAACAATATTTCCTGCTTAGTTTCTAGCCTAAGGCAGAGCTGTGGAAAACATTATAATTTCCTGCAGGAGTTCTATTTGATGATGTAGTTCATATCATTGGAAAAAATCATTTGTAACCCTATTTCCATAAACCCGTTTTTGACATTGGGGAATTATATCCAGACATCTTTCCTAGCGAGGCTACACTAAAGGCAATACGCTGTTTTACTGGTTCTTTCTCCTGAGCCTGTTAGAGTTCATGGACCACCTGAATGGGAATCACCCTTAGATCTTTGTTAAAAATGAAGATCCTGGCATCTCATACACAAGATTCTAATTTAGTAGGGCTGAGATGGAACGCAGGCTTTCCATTTTTTAACAAGCATCTTCAGGAGTTTCTTCTGGATACCTGCAGTAAATATGAGACACATTGGAAATAAAGTTTCCCCATACATATAATGTGTACTCATAGACAAAATCAAGTGGAAAAATGAGGTAATAATTTGACTATTTTTTGATGAAAATCTTTAGTAAATAGGCATATCTTCTTAGAGGATCCTGCAACTCATTTTGTTACAAAATTGCAACTCTCACAGCCTCATTTTTTTCCCCCTATGTGGCCATAGTAATGAATTAGGAGCTCACCAAATCAGTCAAATAGTTGTTCACATTTGGAGGTTTTTAAAATATAACTCATAAATTCTTTGATATCTCTCCCTTCAAAAGAGGCAGCCTAATACCTCCCTTCTCATGAATGTGGGCTGCTGGAGAGAGAGAGAGAAGAGACAGAGGGAGGGGGGGGAGAGAGAGAGAGAGAGAGAGAGAGAAGATCTTGTGATATTAATTACTTTTTACCTTTGTTCATTCCCACTTATTTATTTATTGGTCTTTAACATTGTTTGTTATTATTTCTTTGTTATTGCTAAATATTTACTGTTGGTTTTTTGTTTATTTATTTTGAGACAGATGTTGGCCACAAGTGATGGACTTAGCCGCCAGCTTGGCATGTCTAAGGTTGACCAGACAGCTCTGGCCAGTCAGTGTACTGTTCAGGTCCAGCAGAGAGGTGGGATCTTTTGCTAACAGCTGGCACCAGCTAGTCAATTAGGCAAATGAGCCACCTTTAAACTGGATCCCTAAGCCTTAGAAAAATCTTCAGAAGACTCCAGCCCTGGCTGACACCTTGGCTGCAACCTTATGAAAGACACTGAGCTGAAACTGCCCAGCAAAACTGTGCCTGACTATCTAACATGCAGAAACTCTAAAAGCGTAAAGTTTAATATTGGTTAAGCCACTAAGCTTTGGATATTTAGCAACAATCAGAAAACACACTTAGTTATATTCCATCCTAATATTTTTATTATTCCATTTTATGAGAAATTATGTAAAATAGTTACATATCCAATGGTCTAACAATTCATCTTGAAGACTTAAAATACTGTGGTCCATAGACCTCTGTTCATTTCCCTTACCTTCATCAAAACCTCTTTGTTTTTTCTGTCGACGAAATTGCTATGCTTTCTAAATACTACAGTATTGAAAAAGACATTTTAACAATCATATTAGTCAATGAGATTAAATGGAAAATTTGGAGTTTTTCCTATGTATGATCTATTATTTCATTCAACAAATGTTTACAGACACCTACTAAGTGCTACTCATTCTTCTAGGAACTTGGGATACATCAGGCAACAAAAGAGACAAAATCCTTGTTCCCACGGAACTTATATTTCAGTTAGACCAGTGTGGATTTATGCTTTTTTATTTTTTAAATGGCCTTAAGTTAAGAAAATAGAATTACAGAATGTTTGAAAATAAATGAAAGAAACCTATGCAATATCACAGCAAATATGTGCTGAGGACATACCATGTGTACATAGAACTATGTGTACAGCATAGGCCCTGCCTTCATGTAACCTATTATGTAGTTTCCACATGAATGCCTTTTTATGAACTCAATTTTTAAAAATGATCTTTGAAAAAATCAAAGTTGCATCAGTTAGACCTGTATATCAAAATGATAATGATAAATTAAGATGGTAATTTATCTATCACTCATCTCTTGACTATTCATATGATGCAATAAGACTGTTTGAGCTCTTCAGACTATTTTGTCATCCTATCACTTTTTAATGCCAACTCTCTCCCATAGGAACATTCTACCCAGAGAGCCCTTGTTATCTTTGCGTTCCATTTAGGAAAGAGTGATACTGTCATAAGGCACATGGGGTTTTGTTTCGGTTTTGCTTTTTTATTTTTAAACTGCTCCTTGACATACCTATACTGTAACATCAGAAAGGCATCTATTTTTTTCTAAGCTGAGGATGATACTGCCTACTATTTTTATAGCATTTATATTATAATTGTGTATTTCTGGATTTACCAGTGACCTAGAAAATACATTTTAAACATAAAATGATGACTAAAAACTTACAAATATAAATAAACCACATTTGAAATGAAGTTAACTTTACAATGGAAATGTAGCAAGGTGTAGCTTTTAGCAATAACAGCTTTTAATAAATTTTTTGAATTGATAATTCTTTTTTTAGGTTTTCATAGACCTTTAGAAGTGACTAACTTTTGAGATCATTAATTTAGTTTAAATTCATCAGTTTACAGATAAATAACCAGAGTCCAAGGAATTTTAGCCAAACAGCTATCAGCAGAAAAGCAAGAAAAACCTCAGCCTATGACTTCCAGTCTTTTATTTGGCCTTTTGTTGTTTAAATGGTCTTTTGTCACACCATGGTCTCAACTCATTATTATGTATAAAAAGAAGCAGGCAAATATTCATTTCAGAAATGCTTAATTTTTCATTTTGTAGAAAGCAACTTCAAAATTTAATGTCTTACATTCATAATTACCAGTTAGACCAATGTGGATTTACATTTTTTTATTTTTTAAATGGCCTTAAGTTAAGAAAATAGAAGTACAGAATCTTTTGAAAATAAATGAAAAAAATCTATACAATATCACAGCACCAAAACACAATTGCTGTTAATTTTATATTTTTACATTCTAGTTTTAATGTAGTTGTAATAATAGTAAGCATGCAATTATATATGTGTGCTGTGTGTGTTTACTTGATATTTTATAAGATGCCCAAATTGGAGTATTGCAAACACCATTGCAAGCAATACCTTGTATATTGAACTTTATCTATCTATCTATAGCTATTTTTATTTCACCCACATTAATTTTAGGGGATCATTAATACACTAAAAGATTTGGGTATATATGCCCTTGATATACATTTTTACGTTACTTCCCCCAAAAGCCATGGTACAAATTATCCATGCTATTAACAAGAGAATTACATTGAAAACAGATCAACTTTTTCCTTTTTAACTCATCATTGTTTCTCCATCACCTAGTCCGGGGCTGGCACAGAATAAACACCTAAAAATGATTTGCTGAGTGGATAAATAAATATAAAGCTACTAGTTTCTGTTCCAATCTATTTTTTTTATTGATTTGGATATTAACATTTAAAAATATTTGTGGTTTAATGGGCTGAAGTATGTTATCTCATTGTTTTAAATTGCATATTGTTGAACCAGATTATAATGTGTAATTTCTATATATTTGGTGGTTAGTTTCATTTTCCTTTTTAAAAATAAATTCTGCATCTCTCTTTGTCCATTTACCTATCAATGCTTTTCATTTTCAACAGTTACAACCATTTTACATAATGAAGACACTATTTCATATTTCCAGTACCATTTGCATCTTTTCTCCTCTTTGTTTTTTTTTTTTTTTTTTTTTTTTTTTTTGAGACGGAGTCTCGCTCTGTCGCCCAGGCTGGAGTGCAGTGGCGGGATCTCGGCTCACTGCAAGCTCCGCCTCCCGGGTTCACGCCATTCTCCTGCCTCAGCCTCCCAAGTAGCTGGGACTACAGGCGCCCGCCACTACGCCCGGCTAATTTTTTGTATTTTTAGTAGAGACGGGGTTTCACCGTTTTAGCCGGGATGGTCTCGATCTCCTGACCTCGTGATCCGCCCGCCTCGGCCTCCCAAAGTGCTGGGATTACAGGCGTGAGCCACCGCGCCCGGCCTCTCCTCTTTGTTATGCTTCATTTTTAACCTAGGTAAAAATATTAGGCAGCTAAGTCTGATTATATTTCCTATTGTGACTTATTCCATTGCTTCTAAATTTAAAATATTTGGAATTTTTGTATTTTTAGTAGAGACGGGGTTTCGCCATGTTGGCCAGGTTAGTCTTGAACTCCTGACCTCAGGTGATCCACCCGCCTCGGCCTCCCAAAGTGCTGGGATTACAGGCATGAGCCACAGTGCCCTGCCAGTAATAGCCAGTTTAACTGAGGTAGTATGATATCTCATTGTAGTTTTGATTTGCATTTCCCTAATGATTAGTGATGTTGAGGTTCTTTTTTATATATATTTTTTGGCCATTTAAATCTTCTTTTGAGAAATGTGTATCTTTTGCTCATTTTAAAATTGGATTTTTTTTTTGCTATTGAGTTGTTTGAGTCCGTTATATATTGATGTTATTAATCCCCTGTTAAATGAATAGTATGCAAATATTTCCTCACATTCTGTAGGTTGTCTCTTCATGTTGTTGATTTTTTCATTTGCTGTGCAGAAGCTTTTTAGCTTGATATAATTCCACTTTCAATTTTTGCTTTGGTTATCTGAGTTTATGAGGTCTTACTCAAGAAATCTTTGCTCACCTAATGTCCTGGAGCACTTCTCCAATGTTTTCTTCTGGTAGTTTCATAGCTTAGGTCTTACAATTAAATGTGTAATCCATTTTGATATCATTTTTGTATATGGTGAAAGATAGGAGTCTACACTTCTCAAAAGAAGCCATTTATGTGGCCAAGAAATATATGAAAAGAAGCGCATCATCACTGGTCATTAGAGAAATGCAAATCAAAACCACAATGAGATACCCTCTCATGCCAGTTAAAATGGTGATTATTAAAAAGTCAGGAAACAACAGATGCTGGTGAGGCTGTGGAGAAATAGGAATGCTTTTACACTGTTGGTGGGAGTGTAAATTAGTTCAACCATTGTGGAAGACAGTGTGGCAATTCCTCAAGGATCTAGAACTAGAAATACCATTTGACCCGGCAAACCCATTACTGGGTATATACCCAAAGAATTACAAATCATTCTATTACAAAGACACATGCACACATATGTGTATTGCAGCACTGTTCACAATAGCAAAGACTTAGAACCAAGTATATACTGGGTATATACTCAAAGGATTATAAATCATTCTACTATAAAGATACAGGCACACATATGTTTATTGCAGCACTATTTACATTAGCAAAGACTTGGAACCAACCCAAATGCCCATCAATGATAGACTGGATTAAGAAAATGTGGCACATATACACCATGGAATACTACGCAGCCATAACAAAGAATGAGTTCATGTCCTTTGCAGGGACATGGATGAAGCTGGAAGCCATCATTCTCAGCAAACTAATGCAGAATCAGAAAACCAGATACGACATGTTCTCACTCATAAGTGGGAGCTGAACAGTGAGAGCACATGTACACAGGGAGGGGAACATCACACACTGGGACCTGTTGTGGGGTAAAGGGAAAGGGGAGGGAGAACATTAGGACAAATATCTAATGCATGCAAGGCTTAAAACCTAGATGATGGGTTGACAGGTGCAGCAAAACACCATGGCACATGTATACCTATGTAACAAACCTGCATATTCTGCACATGTATCCCAGAACTTAAAGTAAAAAAAAAAAAAAAAAAAAAAAAAAAAAAAAAAAAAAAAGATAGGGGTCTAGTTTCATTCTTCTACTTATGGATATTCCATTTTCCGAGCACTATTATTTATTGGAGACACTGTCTTTTCCCCAATGCATGTCCTTGTTGCCATTTTTTAATGAATTGGCTACAAATGTATGTGGATTTATTCCTGTTCATTGGTCTATATGTCTGTTTTTATGCCCCGTATTATGCTGTTTGGGTTACTATGATACGTCTTTATGTCTTTTAAACTAGAAAGTCAACTTCTTCCTCTACCACTCCCCTTCCCCAGTGCCTTCCTCTCCCCGCTCTGTCCTACCATTATCATTTGTTGAAGAAAGAGAGTTCTTTGCTCTCTAGGGTTTTCTGCAATTTTCTGATTGACTTTCAAAATTTGTTCATGATCTGTTGCTTTCTGAATGTAATACATATTGGAATATGGTCCCATCTTTCTGAAAGTATAAACTATTAAAAATTGAGTAAGAAAATTTTAAAGGTAGAAGTATCCTTAAAGGTTATGTAGCCCACTTTTTAAGTTCTTTCATGTGCCCCTCATGTTTTTGAGCCATCTCAACATTTTGGTTTTTGTTTTGCAAATTTCCACTCATTTATCTACACTCATCGTAAAGTTCACTAAACATTACTGAAGCTTAGGTAGAGTGAAGTTATGTACCATTCCATTCCCCAAACCTGTTTTAAATGAAGGGATATTTTATCAAGTAAATATGTTTAAGCAAACTCCCCATGTGGGACACAATGACATTTGAATGTAGTTTGGAAAGCAATGCTATGACAAGTATAAGAGGCCAATCTGAAAAGACTACATACTGTATGATTCCAACTATGTAACACTCTAGAAAAGGCAAAACTATGGAGACAGTGAAAAGAGCAGTGGTTTCCATGGGTTGCAGTGGGGGAAACAGAGGAAGGCTAAATGGGTGGAGCACAGAGGATTTTTCCACATTTAGAGTCATTTCCTTGAGCTACTCTCCTAGAAATAGGATTGCTATATATGAAAGGATATGAGTACTTTACATTTGTATATTTTTCCAAATTTTTACCAATTTAAAAATGTCACCAACCATATATAGTTATATTTTTCTTTCACTATCAAAAGTTATCATTTTGTTTACACTACTCATAATTATTGTCTTAATTTTTGTTTCTTTGAGTGCAAACGAAATTGAACTGCTTTCATATATTTGTTAAAAAACTGTATTTTCTATTTTATAAATTGACTTTTTAAGTTACTTTTGTTAATTATCCATTTATTTGTTTTAGTATTTTTAGTTATCAATATGGATTCAAATAAAGTATTTAACCATTTGATTTTATATTTGTTTTAAATATATTTTTGATCTTTTGCTTGCCTTCTAATTTTATAGAATTAATGTACATATGTTGTAATAGCTATGTAGGCAAATTTGCAGAACATAACCTTTGTGATTTCTTTCTATCCCTTCTAAGGTTAGTAAATTGTTTCTTTCCCTGAGTTGAAAAGAATTTGAATTCTTTTCGTTAGTTATTTTTAATAGTTTACTTTTTAATGGAGCTTGAATTTTTAAAATGGTTTGCCAACTATTTTTACAGCAATTTTAGGTTTACAACGAAGATTTTTTTCTATACCCCCTACCCCTACAACCTCTCTCTGGTTACCAACATTCCCCACTAAAGTGGTACATTTTACAATTGATGAAGATACATTGACATTGACACATCATTATCATCCAAAGTCCATAGCTAACATTAAGGTTACTCTTGGTGGGGTACATCCTGTGGGTTTGGACAAATGTATAATGACATGTATCCATTGCTAGAGTAGCATACAGCGTAGTTTCACTGCCCTAAAAATCCTCTGTGCTCCACCTATTCATCCTTCCTCTGTTTTCCCCACTGCAACCCGTGGCAACCACTGATCTTTTCATGGTCTCCGTAGTTCTGCCTTTTCCAGAATGTCATATAGTTGGAATCATACAGTATGTAGTCTTTTCAGATTGGCTTCTCTTACTTATAAATATACATTTACATTTCCTTTGTGTCTTTTCATAATTTGATAGCTCATTCTTGATAGCTAATTTCCTTTTAGTGTTGAATAATATTCTGTTTTCTGGATATATCACAGTTTTTGTATCCATTCACCTGCTAAAGGATATCTTGGTTACTTTAAAGTTTTGTCAATTTGAAATAAAGCTGCTATAAACATCTGTGTGTAGGTTTTTGTGTAAACATATTTACACAAAAATACTCTTTATGATATATATAGTCCTCTTTTGACTATATATACCATAAAGTGCAACTGCCAGATTGTATGGTAAATACCACTCTAAGTTGCTTCTATATACAGGGAGGACCTGGAGAAAGTAGAAAAATCAGAAAACTTAAATAACTTCCTCTAAGAAGCAGAGAGAACTTTCACCACTAGAAAGAACTTGAAAAAATGAGTAGTTACAGCCAATAAAAAGTGGAGGAGCAATTCTCACTGTTTACAGACTTACATATACAGCCCTTGGAGGGTCCAGTAGGTCCCGTGAAATCATTGTGTTGATTGCGAAAACAAATTCCTGTCCTGGAAACTTGGAATTCTGATACTCATGATAGAAGTCTGCCTGCTCAATACCTTCCTGGAAAAACGGTTGGAAGAGGTATTATTTGAAGGTGGACACACACATACACACACATAATTAAAAATTACATACATATGTATATGTAAAATTTACATATATATGCATTATAGATGTGATAATTTACATATATATGTAATTTTATACATATATTTAACGTTATACATTTAGACATATATGTAGCATATTTTTTTTTCATTAAGGAGAATATAGCTAGCAAGCCTAACAAAGAGGCCTTGAATCCCGTCCTTCTCCTCATCCTTCTTGGGAGTTGAGACAAGGGCAGTGACTCAGACTAAAGGAATAAGAGGCCTTTCCTCACAACTTCTGACCTTCATTTCCACTACACACTGGGTGCTCAGGCCTGGACTTTCTCTCATGCACCTGAGAACTTTTTACATGCCTCATGTGGACCCAGGTCAAGAATGGTCTTCTCTAGGCAGTGCCTGGAAGAGGACTGGGAAAAACAAACAGAAAAAGTGCTATGAAGCCATCATGTGAGTGCTCATGGGCAGTGTGATTGTTTATGTGAGTTACACGCATTTATTAGCAATCATACAGCTCCTTGGGAACTTAGCATGTGGGCAACAAGCATTGATCTGAATGGCTCTGACAGATGTAACATCTCCAGTCAAGGGCACAGGAAAGAACAACTCAGGTTTATTTTATTTTATTTTGCTCATTAAAACTTGTTAGACTTAAGTGTATAACAAATAAATGAATAATCTGAATAAATAAATGCCATCTGCTTAAAATATTGCTTTTATTTCATTTAATGAGACATAAGTAGGAGAAAAGTCAATATAAAAATGGAATTCATTTAAATTTAAAATCTTGGTGTGTAATATTAATTGGCATTTGGGCTGCTTTTCTCTTCATACTCTAGGAGTAAATGGAATGAGTGTGTGTGCGAGTGTGTGTGTGTATGTATGTATGTTTTTTGAGAGGGATTACTGTTTTTATCTCACTCTCACAGTGTCTATAGCTAAGATGTTGATTGCTTGCTTTTTGCTTTTTCTTAATTTGCATAGGCACAAATGTGGTCCATACATTATCCACACTATGTCTAGAGCAGTACAACAGCCACTTCTGCTGATTTCGGTATCTCTCGCCTTCAATTGAGACTTTCTGAAGCAACAAGAATCCTTCAATATAAATTGGACAGCAAAGCTCCTCTTCTGAGAAGGGAAATGACTACTGGCTAAAGTCTAATTAGAATTCTAAATTACAGGCTTCAGAATTCTTAATCACGGGGATTTTCTCTGCTTAGTTGATCTCATTTTTTTGTAACATTTAAAGTCAAACACTGTGCTCCCTAAAAGCAAATATATTCACTCTCACCCACACAAAACTCAGCGCCTCCACCTCGGATCTTACTCTCCCATCATTTCACAGCTGAATAGCTGGCTCGTTGCTCTCCGCAAATCATAACACTCTGCTCTCAGAACTTTATTTATAACTCATGCTCACCGTGATGATTTCTCTGACTATAGAGAGGGTGATCAGGAGACTTATCATCCAAACTGGGACACTTTTAAGAGTAATAAAAGTGCTATTAATAGTTATACCAGGAAAAGGCAAAATTCACAACTGTCCCTGGCAAACCAAGATAAATGTTCACTGTGACTACAACCCTAATTATTCTATAAACCCTAAACATCATAAACACATATAAACAAATATAAATATATACAAATATTCTCTCTCCTCCCTCCCCACATATATTTCCACCAGTTACTCACTAAAACATTGATTTTGCTGAAGATCCAAGGAAAACATTATTTCAAAATTTAAATGTATGTCTTTCCAACTACCCCCTTTAGCCCAGAGACTAACTTTCTGTTTGCTCTTTGGTGACCATTGAATTCTACTGTGCTCATTACCTTTTGGATGAGCCCATCACTGCCTTGTTTATTCATAACTGAAAGGGTTTGGAGGAACGAAGGACTTGTGGAAAGCTCTGGGTGAAGGTGAAAAGTCTTTTTATTATGCGGAAGGCCTAGGGGTCAATAGGACAGGACTGACCAACGAGAGTAATGATCAGTCTGATTGGCCAGGGAAAGGCCATAAAATAGTGTGATTCTAGGAAAGCACGTTATTAAGTCCAGAAAAATCAGGTAAGGAGTAGGGAATATAGCTCTAGGCTGTTCTATATGGCTCTGCAAGACTGCAGATTCTATGAGTACCAGCATCATTAACCGGTGCACACGAATGCAAGGCTGCAGCATGCTTTCTATTTATACTTTAAGATGTGTATGACTGTCTTTTCAACTCTTAGTCCTATGACGAAGTAACCCTGTGGCTTGCTTGTGTGTTCACCCTCATGAGCTAGTTCAGCAATGATTACATTGTCTAGCATGAAAGGCCTCTCATGCTTTAACCAGAAAGTTTGCTAGAGATTTTCTAAATTTAGAAATGAATTCACAATATTTACTCATGTGTTATTTAAATGTCTTGCAAACATTCAGCTGAATATTTTTGGGTTTTAGTAGGATAAATAAATGGCTTATCATATATCAAGGAAAACCTTCTGTAGTTGGAAAATAAGCTGATTTACAATCATTCACAAATAAAAATGGACATTGTTTTTAAAATTGTTTTAAAGTCATTTAAAAATTTTAATTTTTTTTACAATTGGTGCAAAGAGACAAAGAGTGGGTTGGACTTACTACAGTTTTTGTTGTTAATGTGTCAGTATAGGAGGAGTTTCCTTTTCATTCTTATTTTGTCTCTCCTTTTATCAAACATATATATCTCTGGTGGAAGATACCATCTAAAACTTTAAACTACTCATTACTAACAAAATGGCCTTGGAGCTTGGAGTAAGAAGAGAGTTTGGATAAGTAATTTAGATAACTCAATTCTTTTCTACCTTTTGTTTTCAAATTAATTTTTGTTATTCCTTTGTTAAAAGTTTTCTCTATTCCATTCATGACTCTTATCCAAATAAATGTCTAGCCTAAATATTAGGTCACTTTTGAATGCCATATCCTTTGGTGTGTGTGTACACATACACACACCACATACACATGTATGTATGATGTATGTACATATAATTATGACAGCTTCCTGTACTTAATTTTGTATCATTTCATAGAATGTATGTTTCTAGAGAACAGCAATGGCATTGTCTTTTTCTCTTTCCTTGGTAAACCCCAAATGTTTCCAACAATCATGGTCATGTGGCCATGTCTCAATATGTGTTCAAGAAAGAGTTGTTTAGTAAATAACCACTTTGCTTGTTTAAAAAAATGTATTCAACTTTGCCTACCATAAAAAAGTAAGGTACAGAGTTTTTGTTGTTATTCTTTGTGTGTTTTTTAATAATCTTGAATAATATCAAATAAAAAGTAAGAACTATCTCTCTATATCTCTGTACTCTGAACTAGTTCTACATATATTTAAATATTAGCAACTGATGAAATATTAGAGAATTTATTCTAGAATCATAGATATGATATAGGGGTTAAAAATAAGATCGACATAACAAAGCAACACTTAGCTTATTCTTGTCTGTATGTGATGGGAAGCTATCTGCTATAAACTCTCTCTTGCTGTCAAAGCAGGGTAGGGATGAAGAGAGAATATTCCCTGCTTCCCTGAAGGCACAGGAGATGTGAGTTTGTTTTCTAATTGGTTCTCTGCTCATGTACGTTCTGGAACTGAGCTGGCAATCAACACTGATAGATACGAGGATGTAACTGGTCTCAGGTCCAATTTGCAAGGTATTTGGCCTAAGAAAGATTACTAATCTAAAAGTGTAGTTCATTACTCCTTATCAGTAACAAAAAAATACAGAAAATATCTTTTACAATATTCTAGATTTAATATACATATCAGGAAGAGTCTTTGGAGATAGATCAACGAGTAAATTTCTTTGGAGGCCTTGAAAACTTTTTCAAAATTTTCTACTGGTGTGACTAAAGGACAATTTTGCCTGGAGACTGGGGGTAGTTTCATGATGATATTTAACTCCCTTTAACCATGCACTTCTGTGAATCTCTCAAATGGTTGAGTGTATTATGCATAAACACAGTATGATACTTTTCATTTTGTACATATATGTGTAGATTCATGCATTAAAAACACTTTAAGGACATGTAAAATCCACATTATGCTTTTCTTCCTAAACATCCTGTTTCTTTAAAGTAACAAAAGACTGGTAAGATGAAGGTGAAATTGCCCAAATCCAAAATTAGGTGAAGTTTATTATGCAAAGGTATACAAAAGACATAGAAAAACATAATGACTGAAATTGATTTATGATTTTCTAAAAATTGTAAATGAATATATCCATACCTTTAATATGTCTGGAGACTGATAAACACAGCTGTCTGTAATGAGAAAGATTACATCATTTTACTCTAAATAACCCTTCTAATGAGAAATCAGGATTAAGTTAAATCTGGGGAAGAAATTTGTATTTGCCTTGAGAATTTCAAGCTGATCTCCCCTGGGGAGAATGATAGAGCATTAAGAGATTTTAACTCGAAATGAGGTTATGGGATTGTAAATTGCTGACAGATATTTAGTAAATGATTTAGTATTTGTGTTTACATTCTAGCTTAGAAAAGATTTTGACATTTTCAGAAAACTGAAGACATGTCTTCAAAACACATTTAGCTAATCCAAGTGAAGTGTCCAAAGAATGAGAGAAGAATAAGCAATTAAATTTGTATATTTGAATTATGCATTAAAATTTAAAATAAACATTTACTATCTGAGCAAGCCTCAGTCTTTAGTATTTTAGTGCCATGCAATTAATTTATTAGTATCAATTAAGGAAGTAGTGGTAATATCCTTTAGCAAATGTTGGAATTCACAATATCAGGCATATTAAAAATACTTCTATACCTCTCCTCATTTGTAGAGGAGAGCTCCATTATACAAAATCCAGGAGGATTCTTTTTCAGGTGATTTAGCATGCATTCTTCCTGAAAACATTCAGAAATCGAGGAATATGTATGTAAGGTATTGTGTTTATTGTACACCCAGCGGGAGTGAGCAGAGTAGCTCATGTCCAGCTAACTCTACAAAAAGGTAGCTCTCTGGGGAAGATGGATAAGACTGAAATTGATAACACAACTTACTGCATTTTTCCTCTTGAAACTTTTATTTTCATTGTGACTCCTACCATCATACACAGTCCCTTTCTCTTCTTTGTGATAAACTCACACAGCTTGCAAAAAGTGATTCAGGCTTCATTAGAGAAATGCCACCCGAAGGGTCTCTTTCAAAAGCTTTGTGTTTTTCAGCTGGACACAAGACTGAACGCATCATGGTTTTTATGGCCCCACCATCTGTAGCCCAAGATAGACGCCACTGTCATTACAGATATTGCAGGAAAATGTGCTAGTTTTTTACTGAGCTGCCTTGTGGACCACTGTCACTGGGGAATATCACAGCCTGGTTTATGGGAGGCTGTCCTATTTTATATGCAGGTACATCATAAAAAGCTTTATGCTTGGGAGCCTAGCTAGAAATACAGCGCTTTCCACCCAGCCAAGATTTGCCTTTTTATTTCTTCTGTAGGAAAAAGTAGCTCACCATTTATCTTTTTATGTCCATTTCTAATTCAAAAATATCCTTTTTCTCTCAGATTTCTAAATCTGAAACCCTCTCTGGGTTTGTGTCCTTCCCCTTTGCTTCTTCACATACATTTTCTTCTGCCCAAAAACCTGTGCAATTAACTTCTGTCACCTTAAAAGCCTTTCTTACAGCACATTGCTCCAGCTGTTGAAGCATATGTAATTACATCCCACTCTACCTGTCCTGGGGCATGCTAGTTTCATACAATTTTCATATCACTCTTTTTCATTATTCAGACAGAGTGAAATTTTAAGGAAAGTGTGATTAGGCTGAAATTGGAACTATTCAAGGTTTGGCATTGTGTGAAAAAGCAGGCTCTTTCCTTCCTTACACCGAACTAAAAAGCGATTGTTAAAAAAAATGGTTCAATCAGCTTGGTACACGCACTGGTCACATATTCAGGATCATCACTACTAGCCCTTTTCATGGACCCATATTAAGGTATATTAGTATTTTCATGGAGCTTAATCTAGAGGAAATGGTGTTAATGATGAAAGGATATTATAGATTTATATAGATTCTGTCTGTAGATTTTTGTCAATGAGAGCCAAGAAAGACACATTGAAGTAATGTGAGTAATACAGGCATTTATGCAAATTGTTCCATTGAAGTGCTTAAAGAATATTGAACATCATTAAAAAAATCATTGTACAAAGAGAGAAAAAGGATTAAAAAGCTTAAATAGTTGTTCTCTCTTTACATTACATCAAAACAAAAGCCTATAAAGCAGACATCGCCATGGAAAATAAATTCAATCTATTTTAAATTAATAACTATTTCCTTAACTTCTTAATATGCAAACCCCATAATTCCTTAAGATATTCAGTGGTTCACTGTAATCAATAAACATCTTATATCTGATTTCCTCAAGAGTAAATTGGGCTGCTAGAAACATAAAATTTATAAAATCTCTGTGATTTTGACAATTCCATTTATTCCTCCCTGATAGTAAATAGAATTGAAAAGTCAATCTAATACTCTGACATGTCTCTCATATGCAAGTCTATAAACACTATTAATTTGTCACACAATCTTATTGTTCTTATCAAATTATTAAGTCCATTAGTGTGTCACATCTAGTTATCAGAGGAATTAAAAGTGTGTTGAGCTTCCCCAGGGACAGAATACAAGCTGTAAAGCGTAAGAAAAGCCAGGCATAGAAGAGGTGTGTAAATATGCATTTGTTATGATATGGTAAGATTGCACATGTGTGTGAGCAAATATAAATGATTTTTGGACTTCTCTGTGTTCTTCTACTATCATCTGCTATTTTTTTCTCCTTAATTAGAAAAAGTAGCAGAGGAATGACTACTTAAAATTCTAGTTGCTAGTTAAAATTACAGAGTACATTTGAGTGCATGTCATTACAAGTTCCTTCTAAACAAAAGTTATAGTCATAAACAAAAAAAGTTCATTCGCCAGGACTAGAATTTTATGATCATGTAAATTTTAGTTCTTTTGCTTGATAGATATGTGAATCTGTTTGAGAGGATAGATCCATGTGGTAAAAATTAAAACAAATTCCAAATTTTGTAAGGGGTTTGGGTTAACAAGATCTGTTGTCTATTACTTGTAGGTATGTAAATTAGTACAACCAACTTGGAAAATAAATTGGTATTATCTATTCAAACTGAAGGTTTATATATTCTTGGACTGAGTAATTCCAATTCTCATACATTGCCTTAAAAGAAAACCTTCTTGTATGAGTGTACCAAGAGATGGCCTAGAAATGTTTATCATAACACTGACTGTAATAGAAAATCACTAGAAAATAACTACAAAGTCTACTGGCTAAAGAGTATATAAATAAATATTGAGGCATATTTATATAATGGCATGTTACATGCTAGTGAAAACAAATTAATTACAGTAACATGAATCAACATGCTTAAATCACAAACTTCAATATTGAGCAAAAAAAGCAAGTCTTAGAAAAATACTGATAGTATTATTGTATTTTATTTACTTACAGATACAAAGCTAAACAAAACAAAGGTTATATATCACTTGGTGACACATATATATTTGGTAAAAGTACAAAGAAATGCAAGAGAATGATCTAGCCCCTAATTTAGGAGCAGTGGTTACTTCTGAGGGAGATGGGACTGAAAAAGGAAATACAGAGGCATTTGAAGGTAATGATAGTGTTTAATTTCCTAAGAAAGATGGTGGGCTCATGAATGCTAATTCTTACTCTTCAAATTACAGAGATACACTATGTCAGTGTAAACACACACACTTTTATATATTAGATGTATTTTACAGTAAAAAAATAAAGTAACTGAAAAATTACACTTACTCTTTAAAGTTCGGTTCCAATATTTCATATCAACTTATGAATTCTGCTTGGATTCTCTATAAATGCATGCTCTCTCTGAACACGTTTAACACTCTGGCAACTCTTCCTTAGATTGGTATTTACCATAATCTTCCAGTTCTTGTTATGATTTGAAAGACCGTAGTAGTCAATGGAAAGGGTAGTATTGGGATTACAGACAAGACGATCAGACTTTCTTGCCCTCTACCCACACTGCCTTTGAAATGTTCTTTGGTTTTTCTGAAGTACTAATTTTCTGTACCAGTTTTATTATGAGAAATACTCTGACTGTGCCATATATGCAAGTCAAAATGAAGGGAAAAGTTTTGTATAGGATGTAAAATTGATCGATGTGTTATGGAGTACACTTTTGATTTTTTTCTCTGAAGTCTAACAATATTCTACATTTCTATTAAATAAACTTGTTCAAATTAATGTGTTGTTCTTTTCACTTCTGCTCATTGGCATGATTTTTTTTTCAGTTTGAAGATGTGGAATGCAAACATTTTGATTCTTTGCTGTCACAAATCACTCAACTTTTTAAAATTGGCACTTCCTAAAGCATCTCCATTTTCACACATCTTTTGAATATAACATTCTAACTATTGTCAGAATGGCGGGACTGCTATGAGATGGCTATATCTTCAATATGATGCAATAACTGTTGACAACCACTGTAGTGTGCAGGCTACTGGAGAATGATGGTAAGTGAGAGAAAGATTCAGATCCCATGAAAGCTCCAAGGAAATCCAGCCAAAAACATTCCTCGATATCAGTTGTTGGACTCTTTGTGATGTGTTTTGTAGTTCAACTCATTTCCCTTTAGGACCTCAGTAGACACTAAATACATTACATACTAATTTGTTAAAAACGTATTTGAAACAACTAATACCACTCAAAATACAGTATGAGTAAGTTACTGCCGTGGCTGTTCCTTCTAAGGAAAGACTGAATAAATAGTGAGAATTAAATTTTGAAAGCACACTTCACCAAAAAAACATTTCAATCCTTTTGGATGTGTGAGAGGAGCCAGTTACGGATATATTTAGCATATAATTTGTTCTTACTAATGAGTTCTTCACTTATCCAGTTTGTAAACCATGATCATTTTTTATAACTATAATTTTCTGAGTGCTTATATGTCCCAGCACCATTCCAAGCACTTAATATGCTTAAAAAAAATTTTTTTTATTAAGACAGGGTGTCTCTCTGTCAACTGGGCTTGAGTGCAATGGCATGAACATAGTTCACTGCAGCTTCAAACTCCTGGGCTGAAGCGATCCTCCCGCCTAGGCATCTGGAGTAGCTAGGACTATAGGTGCACAACACCAGGCCAGGCTAATCTACTTTTATTTATTTTTTTGTAGAATCAGGGTCTCTCTATGTTGCCCAGGCTGGTATCAAATGCCTAGCCTTAAGTGATTTTTCCTGCCTTGGCACTGGGATTACAGGTATAATATGCATTATTTAATTAACTCACAAGCAATACTTTAAAGTAGGTATTATTAACCTGAATATATAGATGAGAAAACAGAGAAGTAGATAATTTAAATTGTTCTTCAGGGATTATACAGCCAAAGTTTGGATTTTAACACAGATCTGTTGGACTTCACAGTTTATATTCTCTTTTTAATGGCTTTATTGAGGTACAATGGACATACAAAAAACCCCCAAAACCTACACATATATTTAATGCAATTTGATAGGTTTGAAAATTTATATTCTTAACTACTTTCACTGTAGTATTCTCATTAGCCTCCCAGAAATTTCCATGCTGTGATTTTTCCTGTTAAAATTAATCTTTTTCTTAAATCAAGTTTTTGAGAAGTCCAATCAATTAATCTAAAGCAGAGTTCCCTTAACCAGTATTTTTTTTTTTTTTTGCTATACAGTATCTAATCTCTTCCTGCTGATGTTTTTCCACATGTGTTGTCAACACATCCTCTGCTGACCTACTTGGTTGCCATTCAGCATTCAGTCCTTGGTCCCTTTGTAATCTGACTTTCAACTCCATCTTTTTAAACTGAGAAAACACTGTGCAATGTAAAAATGAACTTGCTTTGAGAAAGAATAATTCATTTTAAGATAAAAATGATTGTTCTGTGTATTTCTTTATAATATTAAGGTGTCGATATTAATATTCCATGCCAATGAAAACTGTATCAGTGTAAAGTCACCAATTAACTTTCAGGTGTGAAGTGTTTCTCATTTTACTCAACCTTTTTTCTGGGATATACCCACACTGACTACTTTTATTTATTTTTATTTTTATTTTTATTTTTTGAGACAGAGTCTCGCACTGTCACCCAGGCTGGAGTGCAGTGGCGCATCTCGGCTCACTGCAACTTCTGCCTCCCGGGCTCACGCCATTCTCCTGCCTCAGCCTCCCGAGTAGCTGGGACTACAGGAGCCCGCCACCGCGCCCGGCTAATTTTTTATATTTTTAGTAGAGGCGGGTTTTCACCGTGTTGGCCAGGATGGTCTCAATCTCCTGACGTTGTGATCCGCCCGCCTATGTTATTCTTTGATCACCTTGCTCTGTCTGTCTGAAATGCCTTTGCCTCAACATCATCTGTTCTAACCGTATTTATTTTTCATTATGTTCCAGTGTTTTCCCTGATTCCTCCTAAGAAAAATTATTTTTTTGTGAATCTATTATAACAGCATATTTTTTCTGAAATAATTCTTTTTGTGTCTGCATTGATGCTGATTTTTGCCACCGAAAAGAAGCTTCAAATTGTCAGAAATTATTTTACAGCCATTTTTGTTTTTCCAGTGAGACTATCACAATAGATAGTACATGTACATTTTCAACAAATATTTGCTAATTGAATCATGGCTTTATTATAGTATTTTGCCTATTATTAGTAAGTTGACCAAAATAAAATATTTACTGGAAAAAGAATAAAAGTGGGCACTAGTTGTTTGAGTGCTATTATCAGTGTAAGTATGCTTTTGTCTATCTAGCTCATGGCCATGAATATGATACAGGAGCTAATCAAATAGTAATTTAGCTTCCTGTCATTAAAAAAGTCTATGTACATCTTTAATGAAATCAAATCA
Source organism: Homo sapiens (assembly GCF_000001405.40). Classification (NCBI taxonomy): domain Eukaryota; kingdom Metazoa; phylum Chordata; class Mammalia; order Primates; family Hominidae; genus Homo; species Homo sapiens. Next base: position 30,853,548 of record NC_000018.10, on the reverse strand, counting down.
ATTGAAAATAATATCCTTCTTAGAGTGAAAATTTGTCACCAGCGATGTTTTATATAATCTTGAAAAAATATGCTATTTGATGCCATTTAGAATCAGGATAGAAGTATTTAAAATGCAAATTATAAAATTTAAAGGATTCTTTTTTTCTAGCCCACGTGTAACATTTTCTGTGAATATATTATTGATTTTTCCAAAATAAAAACAATAACATATAATGCAGTGCACTCTAAATTCATGGTTTAGAGTGTTTGGAGATCTGAGGATGTAGTTCTTCTATAGGAGACTTGAAGTGAGTTTTGATGTTTCAATTAGTGCCAATTCACAGCCCACAAGAGCTGTGGAGAGCTACCATCTGGTGGCCTACTACACACAGAGAAGAGATGAATGTCTCATGGATATAACTAACTTCCTGGCAGATAATTTCTGTGTGAATAAATCCTTAGAGCAATTCAAGTGTGTATTTATTTCAGCTTTTTATTGGAATAGATGAGACAGGTGAACAAATATCCATTAAGGAGTTACTGCCTTTCATGGAACTTATGATGACAAGAAGGCAATATAAGGTTCTCAATCATGCTCAGAAGAATTGTGCAGCATGGTTTTAAGAGGGCCAATAGCACATTTGGACAGAATAAATGTCTGTTGTTCTCTTAGATTAATATTCCAAAAATGAAATTTAAAGCCCCAAACTGTGTGGATTTATTTTAAAGTTCAGCTATAAAGCTTCCCAAAGATATAACCCAGCCAACCAGGAAGGCTCGCTGCTAGGAATTTTGTGGCTCATGCTACTCGAGGATGAATATGGAAATATGGTATTAGACAGCTTGCTGTCAGTTTCTAAAAATCATTACACCCACAGAAATTCCATTTGGCCCACCAAATTTGCACTTTCCCAACTCATATTTCCTAGCATCATTTCTGCTTTTCTGAGTCACATTATGAGGCTAAAGCAAGTGCTTTCAAGAAAAGTAGAATCCATCTCCTCAAAAATATCAGTTTCTTTCAAAATTGAGTTATATGGGAAAGGAAATGAGTGGATGACTATATTTAATTAAATTTTCTCAGACTAAAGCCTGAATTCGATTAAGCCCACTGATTATTAAGGTTATCAGCACTTGGATTAGCATTTATTTTCTATTTCTACACTAAGCTTCAAAATAAGCAAGTGGACATAATGATCATTTACTGAGCACTGATTAAATAACAGATATTCTGCCAAATTGTTATATGCATTTCTCATCATGTTAAAAACCTGCCATCTCTATTTTCTGATAAGAACTTGCCCAAAGTCACCAAGGGGGAAATAGTTGAGCCAAGGTTCAAATCCATTTCTATCTCAGATGTCTGTGCTTACAGACATTATAATATTTTTCTTAAAGGTTTATATGTGTAAACACTTATATATTGCATATGTACAAAGATACTGCATCATCTTTCAGGTCCTCTCCATGCGTTTAATTTATCCCGGTAAATACAGTGATCATAATTTATTCAGTGATATTTGACATTTTTGTATATATACATGAAACCATTCAGAACAAAAGTAGATTTGAATATAGGCTAGCCTCTTATACTAAAAATTATGCCATTTGTATTATAGTTATTTATACCTGTATATCCTATTTACATTTCATATGAATAAATATTATATTTCTATAGAGCTATGCAAATGCATGTAATGGTGTAAAAATTGATTGGTTCTTGCTCTGAAAACACTAACAACATAAAGAAACTCTGGAAACTATATTATAAATAGTGTTCTCTTTGAAGTGTTTAGCTGGGCTGAAATTAACTATCACCTTGTTCTTATTGTGTGAGCAGCTATTATTAAAAATTATGATACATGCACTAGATGTATTGGAAGTCTTTTTGTATAAAATAGTACTGCTTTCTGAAAGATTCTATAACTTCGTTTTCCAAGAACACATTTACTTCTATTAAAATAGAAGTGGCTCATGCCTGTAACCCCAGCACTTTGGGAGGCTGAGGCTGGTGGATCACCTGAGGTCAGGAGTTCAAGACCAGCCTGACCAACATGGTGAAACCCTGTCTATACTAAAAATACAAAAAATTAGCTGGCATGGTGGTGCATGCCTGTGATCCCAGCTCAGGAGGCTGAGGCAGGAGAATCACTTGAACCCGGGAGGCAGAGGTTGCAGTGAGCCAAGATCACACCATTGTACTCCATCCTGGGCAACAACACTGATACTCTGTCTCAAAAAAAAAAAAATCTCTGCAAAGATTTTTCCAATACAAATAACAAGCTAATGTAAACATTTAATATATATTTTTAACTCATAAAAACACATCAATTTAATGCATATGCCATATAGAAAATGTAATAATTCAATAAAGGACTAGATAATGTTTATTAAAAAGTAGGAGTAACGTCAACAAGATGGCAGAATAGAAGGATGCACACTTTCCTTCCCTCATTAGATGCAACAATTCAACAGCAACACATGGATCATTTCCCTTTTTGAGAAATTCAGAGACTGGTGGAGAGGCTCTTGCGTCCTGGCTGAGCGAGAAACTATCCACATCAGAACTAGTAGGTAAAGCTGACACACATACTCCCCATAAACCCTCCCCTTGCAGAGTTCTATACAACTGGGAGAGAATCTCCAGTTCCCAGCTTCTCTCTGAGAAGTAAAGAGTTTGTACCTCACATTTAGCATCCTTACATTTCTGGCTTTTCCCCGAAGTTCTGGCTTCTAACTAACTTGTCTCTGGGAGTTGATGAGGCTGACAATCAATTGTGTCCTGGAAGCTACAAAGAAAAAAAGTGGCACTTTAAAATGGACATGTAAGGGTGGCTGGCAAGATGGCTGAATAGGAACAGCTCCAGTCTGCAGCTCCCAGAAATAACAACACAGAAGGTGGGTGATTTCTGCATTTCCATCTGAGGTACCTGGTTCAACTCACTGGTACTAGTTGGACAGTGGGTGCAGCCCACAGAGGGCAAGCAGAAGCAGGATGGGGCATTGCCTCACCCAGGAAATGCAAGGGATTGGGGAATTCCCTCCCCTAGCCAAGGGAAGCCCTGAGGGACTGCACTCTTAGGGATGGTACACTCCAGCCCAGATAATACACTTTTCCCATGGTCTCTGCAACCCACAGACCAGGAGATTCCCTCAGGTGCCTATGCCACCAGGGCCCTGGGTTTCAAGCAGAAAACTGGGCAGCCATTTGGGCAGACACCAAGCTAGCTGCAAGAGTTTATTTTTCATACCCCAGTGGCACCTGGAATGCCAGCAAGACAGAACCATTCACTCCCCTGGAAAGGGGGCTGAAGCCAGGGAGCCAAATGGTCTATCTCAATGGATCCCACCCCCACAGAGCCCAGCAAGCTAAGATCCACTGGCTTTAAATTCTTACTGCCAGCAGAGCAGTCTGAAGTCAACCTGGGACTCTCGAGCTTGGTGGGGGAAGGGGCGTCCGCCATTACTGAGGCTTGAGTAGGCGATTTTCCCCTCACAGTGTAAACAAAACCACTGGAAAGTTCAAACTGGGTGGAGCCGACCACAACACCGCAAAGCTACTGAAGCCAGACTGCCTCTCTAGATTCCTCATCTCTGGGCAGGGCATCTCTGAAAAGAAGGTAGCAGCCCCAGTCAGGGGCTTATAGATAAAACTCCCATCTTCCTGGTACCAAGCACCTTTGGGAAGGGGCAGCTGCAGGTGCAGATTCAGCAGACTTAAAAGTTCCCGGCTGCTGGCTCTGAAGAGAGCAGCAGATCTCCCAGTGCAGCACTGGAGCTCTGGGAAGGGACAGACGGCCTCCTCAAGTGGGTCCCTGACCCCCATGCCTCCTGACTGGGAGACACTTCCCAGCAGGGGTCAACAGACACCTCATACAGGAGAGCTCTGGCTGGCATCTGGTGGGTGCCTCTCTGGGATGAAGCTTCCAGAGGAAGGAACAGGCAGCAACCTTTGCTGTTCTGCAGCCTCCACTGGTGATACCCAGGCAAACAGGGTCTGAATGGACCTCTAGCAAACTCCAGCAGACCTGCAGCAGAGAGGCCTGATTGTTAGAAGGAAAAGTAACATACAGAAAGGAATAGCATCAACATCAACAAAAAGGACATCCACTCAGAAACCCCATCTAAAGGTCACCAAGATCAAAGACCAAAGATAAATAAATCCACCAAGATGAGGAAAAAAACAGTGCAAAAAGGATGAAAATTCCAAAAACCAGAATGCCACTTCTCCTGCAAAGGATCACAACTCTTCGCCAGTAAGGGAACAAAACTGAATGGAGAATGAATTTGACAAACTGACAGAAGTAAGCGTCAGAAGGTGGGTAATAACAAACTCCTCCAAACTAAACGAACATGCTCTAACCCAATGCAAGGAAGCTAAGAACCTTGAAAAAAGGTTAGAGGAATTGCTATCTAGAATAACCAGTTTAGAGAAGAAAATAAATGACCTGATGAAGCTGAAAAACATAGCACGAGAACTTCGTGAAGCATACACAAGTATCAATGGCTGAATCACTGAAGCAGAAGAAAAGATATCAGAGATTGAAGATCAATTTAATGGTATAAAGCATGAAGACAAGATTAGAGAAAAAAAGAGTGAAAAGGAATGAACAAACCCCCCCAAAATACGGGACTATGTGAAAAGATGAAACCTACATCTGATTGGTGTACCTGAAGTGACGGGGAGAATGGAACCAAGTTGGAAAACACTCTTCAGGATATTATCCAGGAGAACTTCCCCCTAGAAATACAGGCCAACCTTCAAATTCAGAAAATAAAGAGAACACCACAAAGATACTTCTCAAGAGCAACCCCAAGACACATAATCATCAGATTTGCCAAGGCTGAAATGAAGGAAAAAATGTTAAGGGCAGCTAGAGAGAAAGGTCAGGTTACCCACAAAGGGAAGCCTATCAGACTAAAAGTGGATCTCTCTGCAGAAACCCTACAGGCCAGAAGACAGTGGGGGCCAATATTCAACATTCTTAAAGAAAAGAATTTTCAACCCAGAATTTCATATCCAGCCAAACTAAGCTTCATAAGTGAAGGAGAAATAAAATCCTTTACAGACAAGCAGATGCTGAGAGATTTTGTCACCACCAGGCCTGCCTTACAAGAGCTCCTGAAGGAAGCACTAAACATGGAAAGGAACAACTGGTACCAGCCACTGCAAAAACATGGCAAATTGTAAAGACCGTCAACATTATGAAGAAACTGCGTCAACTAACGGGCAAAATAACCAGCTAGCATCATAACGACAGGATCAAATTCACACATAACAATATTAACCTTAAATGTAAATGAGCTAAATGCCCCAATTAAAAGACACAAATTGGCAATTTGGATAAAGAGTCAAGACCCATCGGTGTGCTGTATTCAGGAGACCCATCTCATGCACAAAGATACACATAGGCTCAAAATAAAGGGGTGGAGTAATATTTACCAAGCAAATGGAAAGCAAAAAAAAAAAAAAAAAAAAAAAGCAGGGGTTGCAATACTCCTAGCCTCTGATAAAACAGACTTTAAACCCACAAAGATCAGAAAAGACAAAGACGGGTATTACATAGTGGTAAAGGGATCAATACAACAAGAAGAGCTAACTATCCTAATTATATATATGCACCCAATACAGGAGCACCCATATTCATAATGTAAGTTCTTAGAGACCTACAAAGAGACTTAGACTCCCACACAATGATAGTGGGAGATTTTAACATCCCACTGTCAATATTAGATCAATGAGACAGAAAATTAACAAGGATATTCAGGACTTGATTTCAGCTCTGGACCAGGCAGACCTAATAGACATCTACAGAACTCTCCACCCCAAATAAATAGAATATACATTCTTCTCAGTACCACATCACATTTATTCTAAAATAAACCACATAATTGGAAGTAAAACACTCTTCAGCAAAAGAATGGAAATCATAACAAACAGTCTCTCAGACCATGGTGCAATCAACTTAGAACACAGGATTAAGAAACTCACTCAAAACCACACAGCTACATGGAAACTGAACAATCTGCTCCTGAATGACTACTAGGTAAATAACAAAATTCAGACAGAAATAAATAAGTTCTTTGAAAACAATGAGAACAAAGACAAAAACATACCAGAATCTCTGGGACACAGCTAAAGCAGTGTTTACGGGGAAATTTAGAGCAATAAATGCCTAAGGGAGAAAGCAGGAAAGATCTAAAATCGATACCCTAATATCACAATTAAAAGTACTAGAGAAACAAGAGCAAACAAATCCAAAAGCTAGCAGAAGACAAGAAGTAACTAAGATCAGAGCAGAACTGAAGGAGATAGAGACACGACAACCCTTCAAAAAAATCAGTAAATCGAGTAGGCAGTTTTTTGAAAACACTAACAAAATAGATAGACTGCTAGCCAGACTAATAAAGAAGAAAAGAGAGAATGATCAAAATGACACAATAAAAATGATAAAGGGGGTATCTCCACTGATCCCACAGAAATACAAACTACCATCAGAGAATACCATAAAAACCTCTATGCAAATAAACTAGAAAATCTAGAAGAAAGGGATAAATTCCTGGACACACCCTCTCACAACTAAACCAGGAAGAAGTCAAATCCTTGAATAAACCAATAACAAGTTCTGAAATTGAGGCAGTAATTAATAGCCTACCAACCCAAAAAAGCCAAGGACCAGATGGATTCACAGCCGAATTTTACCAGAGGTACAACGAGGATTTGGTACCATTTCTTCTGAAACTATTTTAAACAATAGAAAAAGAGGAACTCCTCCCTAACTCATTTTATGAGGCCAACATCATCCTGATACCAAAACCTGGCAGAAACACAACAAAAATAAAAAATTTCAGGCCAATATCCCTGAAGAATATCGATGCAAAAATCTTTAATAAAATACTGGCAAACCGAATCCAGCAGCACATCAGAAAGGTTATCCATCACGATCAAATCAGCTTCATCCCTGGGGTGCAAGGCTGGTTTAGTGTCTGCAAATCAATAAGCATAATCCATCACATAAACCAATCCAATGACAAAAACCACATGATTATTTCAATAGATGGAGAAAAGGCCTTTGCTAAAACTCAACAGCACTTCATGCTAAAAACTCTCAATAAACTAGGTATTGATGGAATGTATCTCAAAATAATAATAGGTATTTATGACAAACCCACAGCCAATATCATACTGAATGGGCAAAAGATGGAAACATTCCCTTTGAAAACTGGCACAAGACAAGGATGCCCTCTCTCACCACTCCTATTCAACATAGTATTGGAAGTTCTGGCCAGGGCAATCAGGAAAGAGAAAGAAATAAAGGGTGTTCAAATAGGAAGAGAGGAAGTCAAATAGTCTCTGTTTGTAGATGACATGACTGTATATTTAGAAAACCCCATTGTCTCAGCCCAAAATCTCCTTAAGCTGATAAGCAACTTCGGCAATATCTCAGGATATAAAATCAATGTGCAAAAATCAGAAGCATTCCTATATACCAATAATAGACAGAGAGCCAAATCTTGAGTGAATATCCATTCACAATTGCTATAAAGAGAATAAAATATCTACGAATACAACTTACAAGGGATGTGAAGAACCTCTTCAAAGAGAACTACAAACCACTGCTCAAGGAAATAAGAGAGGACACGAACTAATGGAAAAAATCCCATGTTCATGGATAGGAAGAATCAATATTGTGAAAATGGCCATACTGTCCAAAAGAACTTACAGATTCAATGCTATCCCCATCAAACAACCACTGACATTCTTCACAGAATTAGAAAAAAATACTTTACATTTCATATGGAACCAAAAAAGAGCTCGTATAGCCCAGACAATCCTAAGCAAAAAGAACAAAGCTGGAGGCATCATGCTACCTGACTTCAAGCTATACTACAATGCTACAGTAACCATAACAGCATGGTACTGGTACCAAAACAGATAGATATATAGACCAATGGAACAGAACAGAGGCCTCAGAAATAACACCACACATCTACAACCATCTGATCTTTGACAAACCTGACAAATCAAGCAAGGGGGAAAGGATTCCCTATTTAATAATTGGTGCTGGAAAAACTGGCTAGCCATATGCAGAAAACTGAAACTGGACCCCTTCCTTACTCCTTATACAAAAATTAACTCAAGATGGAATAAAGGCTTAAATGTAAGACCTAAAATCCTAAAATCATAAAAACCCTAGAAGAAAACCTAGGCAATACCATTCGGGACATAGGCATAGGCAAAGACTTCATGACTAAAACACCAAAAGCAATGGCAACAAAAGCCAACATTGACAAATGGGATCTAATTGAGCTAAAGAGCTTCTGCATAGCAAAATAAACTATCATCAGAGTGAACAGGCAACCTACAGAATGGGAGAAAATTTTTGCTATCTATCCATCTGACAAAGGGCTAACATCCAGAATGTACAAGGAACTTAAACAAATTTACAAGAAAAACATCAAATAACCCCATCAAAAATGGGTTGAAGGATATGAACAGACACTTCTCAAAAGAAGACATTCATGTGGCCAACAAACATGAAAAAAAGTTCACCATCACCGGTCATTAGAGAAATGCAAATCAAAACCACAATGAGATACCAACTCATGCCAGTTAGAATGGCGATCATTAAGAAGTCAGGAAACAACAGATGTTGGAGAGTGATGGGAGTGTACATTAGTTCAACCATTGTGGAAGGCAGTGTGGCAATTCCTCAAAGATCTAGAAGCAGAAATAACATCTGACCCAGCAATCTCATTACTGGGTATATCCCCAAAGGATTATAAATCATTCTACCATAAAGAACCATGCACATGTATGTTTATTGCAGGACTGTTCACAATAGCAAAGACTTGGAACCAACCCAAATGCCCATCAGTGATAGACTGGATAAAGAAAAAGGGTCACACATACACCATGGAATACTATGCAGCCATAAAAAGGATGATTTCATGTTCTTTGCAGGGACATGGAAGAAGCTGGAAACCGTTATTCTCAGCAAACTCACAGAGGAACAGGAAACCAAACACTGCATGTTCTCACTCATAAATGGGAGTCGAACAAAGAGAACTCATGGACACAGGGAGGGGAACATCACACACCAGAGCCTGTTGGGGGCTGGGGGCCAGGGGAGGGCTAGCATTAGGAAAAATACCTAATGTAGATGACAAGTTGATGGGTGCTGCAAACCACCATGGCACGTGTATACCTATGTAACAAACCTGTATGTTCTGCACATGTATCCCAGAATTTAAAGTATAATAATAAATAAATAAATACAAATAAATAAAATGGACCTGTAGTGCTTCCCACAGCTCCTTCCCTGGCCCACTCCGGTGATAAAACCAAGCTTTCAGCTTCTCCCTGGAAAGAGTTGGACTACACAGTAAGCTCCCCAACCCTTAATTTTTGTGGCCGCAACTTCAAGGACTGGATAATAACTCTTCTGTTTCTGATTATTGACAGGGGCCAACATTTTCTGGTTCCCTGTGGTCTACAGAGAGCAAAGAAATGGTTCAATAGATAATACATTTTTTATGAGTGTGTGGGCATTTGCTACAGCTCTCTGTACGTCTCTCTGGCTTAGTGTAGAACGAGTAGTTGATAAACTCCATCTTTCAGCCTCTCCATGAGGATAAAAGGAATTGGTCCACACATCTAGTGCCCCAACTTTTCCAGCTGTTACTTGAGAAACTGGTTTTCTTCTCACATGCCTTTAGGCAATGATAGTGCATGGTATACTCTAGACTTCTGGGAACTGCTAAGAACAAAGATGTGAGAACAAAGATGTAGCCTAGAAGAACACAAAGTTTGAGAGACACCCAGAATTACTGGCCAGGCTAACTGGTAAAAGTCTATACAAATTTCTACATAAGGCCAGTTGTTGAAGATTGGGAGAGGTAGCTGCTTAATTTAATGCATAGACACCAACACAGAGAGTCAAAGAAAAAGAAGAAATTGGGATATATATTTTAAATAAAGGAACAAGATAAATCTATAAAAACCAACCCCAATGAAATGGAAATATGTAATTTATTAGATGGAAAAACAAAAGTAATTTTCAAAAAGATGCTCACTGAGGTCAGAAGAGCAATACATCAAGGAAGTGAGCATTTCAATTTAAAGAAAATATTTTTTAAAGTGCTAATAGAAATTATAGAGTTGAATAGTATAATAACTAAAAAATTCACTAGAGATGTTTGACAGCAGACTACATCAAGCAGAAGAAAATATCAGCGAAATTGAAGACAGGTTATTAGAAATTGTCCAGTCACAGGAACAAAAAGAAAAGAACAGAAAGGGCTGAAGATAGCTTGAGGAACTTATAAGACACCATCAAGCTGACCAATATTGTATTAGTCTGTTTTCACACTGCTATAAAGAAGTACCTGAGACTGGGTAATTTATAAAGGAAAGAGGTTTAATTGATTCACTGTTCTGCATGGCTGGGGAGGTTTCAGGAAACTTACAATCATGGCAGAACGGGAAGCAGGCATGTCTTACATGACAACAGGTAAGAGAGAAGAGTGTGTGAGGGAGGAACTGTCAAACACTTATAGAACTATCAGATCTCACGATAACTCATTCATATCATGAGAACAGTATGGGGAAAACCACCCCCATGATCCAATCACCTCCCTCCCTGGACAGGTGGGGATTACAGGTCCCTTTCTCGACACATGGGGATTATAATTTGAGATGAGATTTGGGTAGGGACACAGAGCCAAAACATATCAAATATACATATTATGAAAGTCCGAGAAAGAGAAGAGAGAGAGTAAGGAGAAGAAAGCTTATTTAAAGATATAATGGCTGAAAACTTCTCAAATCTGGCAAGTAAACAAACATTCAGTTCCAAGAAGCCTATGGAATGCCAAACAAGCCCAAAGAAATTCATATTGAGACACAGTATAATCTAATTTTCAAAAGTCAGAAATTTTAAAAATAGAAAGATAAAAGCAACTTGTTACATAAAAGGAAACCTCATAATATAAACTGCAGATTTTTCAGCAGAAACATTGCAAGCCAGAAGAGTATGGGAACATACATGCAAAGTGTTGAGAGAAAAAGAAGCACCAACCAAAAATAATTTGCCCAGCAAATGAAGAAGAAATAAAGATTTTCCCAACAAATAATAGCTGAAGAAATTCATCACCACTAGGCTTGCCTTACAAGAAATTCTAATGGGAGTTCTTCCTAGTCAAAGTGGAAAGATATTACATAGCAACACAATAGCATAAAGAAATATGAAACTTGGCTGGCAAAGATAAGCATATAGAAGAATACAGAATACTGTATTACTGTAATAGTGTTGGGAATATCACTTTAATTACTGTATAAACATTAAAAGAAGTTATTTTAAATAATAATATTTAAAATCCTGTTAACAGGTACACATTACAAATAGATGTAAATTGTGAGTTATTAATAATATATAATGCGGGAGAAGAATATAAAAATGTAGAGCTTTTTGTATGAGAGTGAAGCTGTTATCAGCTATAAATAGACTGTTATAATCATAAGATATTTTATGAGAGCCACTACCCACAAAGAAAATACCAATGAAAGTTTATGCAAAGGAAAAATAGAAAAAAATCAAGGTGTATTAATACGAAATATGAGACACAAAGAGATTCAACAGAACAAGAACAAAAGAAGTATGATACAAAAACAGTTAAAATGGCAATAGTAAATCCTTCTCTATCAATAATTACATTAAATTCAAATGAATTAAATCCCCAATCAAAAGACATGAGTGGCTTGAAAAACAAACAAACAAACCAACAAAAAAAACAAAAACAGCCAAGATGCAACTAAATGCTGCCTATAGGAGACTTACTTTATATTTAAGGACACATAGGCTGTAAATACAAAAATTTCAAAAAAAGATATCCCAAACAAATGGCAAAAAGAGATGGGGTGGCTATATTTATATTAGACAAAATAGGTTTTAAGTAATAACTGTCATAAGAGACAAAGAAGGACATTATATAGTGATAAAAGGATCAACCAGGAAGAAATAACAATTATAAATATATATACCTAAACTAATATTAGAGCACTAAATATATAAAGCAAATATTGACAAAGCTGAAGAGGAAAATAAACAATATAATAATAGTAGGAGACTTCAATAGTCCACTTTTAATGATGGAAATATAAACCAGACAGAAAATGAACAAAAAGACCAGTGGACTAGAATAGAACAATAGACCAGATGGATCTAAAAGACATATATGGGCAAACTCAATAACAGAATATACATTATTCAAGTGTTCACAGTACATTCTCCAGATCACATGTTAGGAGACAAAAAAAGTCTTAAATTTTAAAAGTTTGAAATCATGTCAAGTATCTTTTCTAATTACAATGGAACAAAACTAAAAATTCATATCAGAAGAAAAACTGGAAAATTCAAAACTAGAGGATAATATAACAATACATTTTTGAATTACCAATGGGTCATAAAAGAAATCAAAAGGGAAATTTCAAAATATCTTGAGAAAAGCAAAAACAAAAATGAAATATACTAAAACTTATGAGATGCAGCAAAAGCAGTTCTGTGAGGGAAGTTAATAGAGCTAAATGCTTACATTAATAAATGAGAAATTTCAAATAAACAAACTAACTTTACACCTCAAGGAATAAGAAAGTGAAGAAAAAACCGAGCCCAAAAATTAACAGAAAGACGAATATAATAAAGATTAGAGCAGAAATAAATGAAATAGATGATAGAAAACAATAGAAAAAAATCATTGAAATGAGTTTGCTTTTTGAAAAGATAAAATTGACAAACCTTTAGCTAAACTAAGGAAAAAAGAGTGAAGACTCAAATGAAGTAAGAAATAAAACAGGAGACATTCAAACTTATGTCATAGAAATATAAAGGCTCATAAGAGATCACTATAAGCAATTATATATGAGCAAAATGAATAACTTAGGGAAATGAATAAATTCCTAGAAACACACAACTTACCAAGACTGAGTCAATAAGAAACAGAAGGTCAGATCATAGCTATCACTAGCGTGGAGATTGAATCAGTAATCAACAAACTCCCAACCAAGAAAAGTCCAGGACTAGATGGCTTTACTGGTATATTTTACCAAATATAAAAAGAAAAAAAAAATCCCAATTCTTCTCAAACTCTTCCAAAAATTGAAGAGGAGGAAACACTTCTAACTCATTTTATGAAGCCAGTATTATCCTGACACCAAAGCTAGACACAGATACCATAAAATATATATATACAGACTAAGATCCCTCTAGAACATAGATAAAAACATTCTCAACAAAATATTAGCAAACTGAATTCAACAGCATTTCAAAAGGATCATACACTATGACCAAGTGAGATTTATCCCTGAGATGCAAGAGTGGTTCAACATGTAAAAATCAATTAATGTGATATACCACATTAACCACAAAAAGAAATAAATACACGTGATCATCTTATTAGATGCAAAAAATCTTGATAAAATTCAGCAGCCTCTCATGATAAATATATTCAATAAAGTAGTAATAGAAGGAAATTACCTTAACATAGTAAAGGCCATATATTAAAAGCCCATAGCTAACATCATACTCAATGGTGAAAGCTTTCTACTAAATTAGGAAAAAGGCAGCAACCCACTCTACAATTTGATTCAACATAGTACTGGAAGTCCTAGCCAAAGCAATCAGGAAAGGAAAAAAAAAAAGGCATCCAAATCAAAGAAGAAGTAAAATTGTCCCTGATTGCAGATGACATTACTTTATGTACAGAAAACTAAAGACTTCATAAAATACTAAGACTAATAAACCATTCAGGAAATTTGGGGGAATTCAGGAGAGTCGCAGGATATAGTGAGAGGTGACAGCGTGCTGGCAGTCCTCAGAGCCCTCGCTCGCTCTCGGCAGCTCCTCTGCCTGGGCTCCCACTTTGGCGGCACTTGAGGAGCCCTTCAGCCCACCACTGCACTGTGGGAGCCCCTTTCTGGGCTGGCCAAGGCTGAAGCCCACCCACTCAGCTTGCAGGGAGGTGTGGAGGGAGAGGCGCGAGTGGGAACCGGGGCTGCGTGCAGAGCTTGTGGGCCAGCTGGAGTTCCGGGTGGGCGTGGGCTTGGCGGCCCCGCACTCGGAGCAGCCGGCCAGCCCTGCTGGCCCTGGGTAATGAGGGACTTAGCACCCGGGCCAGTGGCTGCGGAGGGTGTACTGGGTTCCCCAGCAGTGCCAGCCCACCGGTGCTGCGCTCCATTTCTCACTAAGTCTTAGCTGCCTTCCCGCGGGGCAGGGCTCGGGACCTGCAGCCCGCCATGCCTGAGCCTCCCACCCCCTCCATGGGCTCCTGTGCAGCCGGAGCCTCCCCGACGAGGACCACTCCCTGCTCCAAGGCGCCCAGTCCCATCGACCACCCAAGGGCTGAGGAATGCGAGTGCAGGGCGCAGGACTGGCAGGCAGCTCCACCTGCAGCCCCAGTGAGGGATCCACTAGGTGAAGCCAGCTGGGCTCCTGAGTCTGGTGGGGACCTGGAGAGTCTTCATATCTACCTCAGGGATTGTAAACACACCAATCAGCACCCTGTGTCTAGCTCAAGGTTTGTGAGTGCACCAATTGACACTCTGTATCTAGCTGCTCTGGTGGGGCCTTGGAGAACCTGTGTGTGGAAACTCTGTATCTAACTAATCTGATGGGGACGTGGAGAACCTTTGTATCTAGCTCAGGGATTGTAAATGCACCAGTCAGCGCCCTGACAAAACAGGCCAGTCGGCTCTACCAATCAGCAGGATGTGGGTGGGGCCAGATAAGAGAATAAAAGCAGGCTGCCCCAGCCAGCATTGGCAACCCGCTCGGGTCCCCTTCCACAATGTGGAAGCTTTGTTCTTTCGGTCTTTGCAATAAATCTTGCTACTGCTCACTCTTTGGGTCCACGCTGCTTTTAGTGCTGTAACACTCACCGGGAAGATCTGCAGCTTCACTCCTGAGGCCAGCGAGACCACGAGGCCACCAGGAGGAACGAACAACTCCAGACGCGCTGCCTTAAGAGCTGTAACACTCACCGCGAAGGTCTGCAGCTTCACTCCTGAGCCAGCGAGACCACGAACCCAACAGAAGGAAGAAACTCCAAACACATCTGAACATTAGAAGGGACAGACTCCAGACGCACCACCTTAAGAGCTGTAACACTCACCGTGAGGGTCCGCGGCTTCATTCTTGAAGTCAGTGAGACCAAGAACCCACCAATTCCGGACACAATAGTACCTACATATACTATAAAAACCAGTTGTGTTTCTATACAATAATAGTGAACTACTAGAAAAGGAAATTAGAAAAAAAATCCCATTTACAATAATGTGAAAAAGAATAAAATACTTAGGCATAGACTTAACTAAAGAAGGTAAAGATTTGCTCACTGAAAAGTAGAAAATAATGACGAAAGACATTAGACAAGAAACAAACAAGTGGAAAAACATCCTGTATTTTTTCCACGTGGACTGATAGACTCAATATTGTTAAAATGTCCATAGTATCCAAAGTGATCTACAGTTGCAATGCAATTCCTATACAAATTGTAATAGCATTTCTTACAGAAATAGGAAAAACAATTCTAAAATTCATATGGAACCACAAAAAACCTTAATAGTCACAACAATCTTGAAAAAGAACAAAGCTGGAGGCATCACAGTTTTTGATTTAAAATGTTTTCACAAACTGACAGTAATTAAAACTGTATAGGACTGGCATAAAGACAGATATATTGACCAATAGAAGAGAATAGAGAGCTCAAAAATAAATTCACACATATATGTTCAAATTATTTTTAATAGGGGTGCCAAGAATATAAAATGGGGAAAGGACAGCCTCTTTAACAAAGGTGTTGGGAAAACTGAATATTCACATATAAAGAAATGATATCGTGATGCTACATGTACAAAAAAGTCAACTCTAAATGGATGAAAGATGGAAACATAAGACCTGAAAATGTAAAACTCATAGAAGAAAACATAAAGAAAATGCTCCAAAACATCGGTCTTGGCAATTTTTCACAGGTCTGACAACCGAAGCACAGGAAATAAAGACAAAATAAATAAGTAGGACTTTATTAAACTAAAAGTTTTTGCATAAAAAGAAAATAATTAATAGAGCCAAAAAGCAACCAATGGAATTGGAGAAAATATTTGCAATCTACATATCTGATCGTTGGTTAATATAAAAAATACATAAGAAGCTCCTAAAACTCAATAGCAAAAACTGCCACTAACCTGATTACAAAATGAACTAAAGAGTTGAATAAATATTTCCCCAAAATAGATAGACACTTAGCCAACAGGTATACGAAAAGATGCTCAACATCACTAATCATCAGGGAAATGCAAATCAAAATCACAATGATATATCACTTTCCACCTGTCAAATGGCTATTACCAAAACAATGAGACAATAAGTTTTGGAGAGAATGTGGATAAAAGAAACCACATGTATACTGTTGGTAGGGATGTAAATTGGTACAGCCTATGGAAAACAGTATGGAGGTTCTCAAAAAATTAAAAATAGTACCATCTGATGCAGCAATTCCACTTTAGAGTGTTTATCCAAGATAATTAAAATTGAGATTCTGAATCATCACTTCTGTGTTCATTGCAGCATTATTCACAATGGCTAATGTATGAAACAATCTAAATGCCCATAGATAGATAAGTGAATAAAGAAAATGTAGTATACACATACAATGACATATCATTCAGCCTTAAAAAAGAAGGAAATCCTCCAACCTGCAACATCACAAATAAACCTAGAGGCTATTATGCTAAAAAATAAAGAAGCTAGTCAAGAAGGATAAATACTGCATGATTCTACTTATATATGAGCATTGGCTGGACACTCTGGCTCATGCCTATAATCCCAGCACTTTGGGAGGTAGAAGCAGGTGGATCACTTGAGGTCAGAAGTTGGAGACCAGCGTAGCCAACATGGTGAAACCCTGTCTCTATTAAAAATACAAAAACTAGCCAGGCATGGTGGCCTGTAATCCCAGCTACTCAGGGAGGCTGAGGTAGGAGAATCACTTGAATCTGGCAGGCGGAGGTTGTAGTGAGCCCAGATCTCATCACTGCACTGCAGCCTGGGTGACAGAGCAAGATTCCCTCTCAAAAAACAAACAAAAAAAAAATGGAGAGAGAGAAAGCAACAGAACTAATTATCATATATATGTATGTATCTGGAAAAGTAAAACTCATAGAAGTGAACAACAGAATGATGGTTGCCTGGGACTGTGAGGAGGGGAAATGGGCAGTTGTTAATCAAAGTGTGTAGAATTTCAATTATGCAAGATGAATTAGTTCAGGAGATCTGATGGGTGACATTGTACCTATAGATAACATTACTGTAATAGACACTTAAAAATCTGTTAAAAGGGTATATAATGTTGTGTTCTTACCAAAATGTAAAAAAAAAAAAAAGATAAAAAAGTAACTATAAACACAGAGTATACAAAATTCCTCAAGGACATGATTGTTGTAATAAAAAACCAATTGGAAATGGATGTATGTTTAGCTAATGTAAATTTTAGTTGAAAATATACCCTTGAAGATTGGCTGAGTTAATCTATAGCATTCTTCTTATAATATTATAGCCGCCATCATAGAATCAACAAATCCTGGCAAGAGTCTGCAATACAAAGCAGTCTTTCTTCTCTGTTATTTATTCCAGAAGGCCAATGTGACACAAAAGGGACACTGATGATAGGAACAACATTAGCTGATGTAGAACTAATAGAGACAATAGTTCAACATACATCCTGTTCCTGAAGTAATGTCACTTGATAATTTGCAAAATAAAATAAAAGAACTTTCATAAACAGTGTCATCCTGAATTATTTATCTCCTGGTACTTTATAGTTAATATTTCCATTAAGCTATTTTCCTTATCTTATCACTCTTACACTTATTGCAGCATTTCGACCACCCTACTTCTTTTTGTTTTGTTTTATTTTTAATAGACTTTGGGTTTTTTTTTTTTTTTTAGAACAGTTTTAGGTTCATAGCAAAATTAAGTGAAAGTACAGAGTTTCCATATATACTCTGCAACCACATATGCATAGCCTTCCCCATTATCAACATTCTCTACCCCCACCACAGTGGTACATTTTTCACAATTGGTGAACCCACATTGACACTTCATTATCCCTCAAAGTCCATAGCTTACATTAGGATTAACTCTTGGTGCTGTACTTTCTATAAGTTTGATAATGTATAATTACATTTATCTACCATGTAGTGGCTTACAGAGTAGTTTCATTGCCTTTAAAATCCTATATCCTCCAACTATTCATCCCTCTCTCCTCAAACCTTAGCAACCACTGACTTTTTACTGTTTCCATATTTTTACCTTTTCCAAAATGGCGTGCAATTGGAATCATAGAGTATACAGACTTTTCAGATTGGCTTTTTTCACTTAAAATTGTGCATTTAAGTTTCCTTCATGTCTTTTCTTTCGATAGATCATTTCTTTTTAGCACTGAATAATATTCCATTGTCTGGATATATGACAGTTTAACCATTCACCTACTGAAGGACATCTTAGTTGCTTTCAAGTTTTGTCAATTTTGAATAAAGCTGCTACAAACATCCATGTGTAGGTTTTTGCGTGGATTCAAGTTTTCAACTTTGTTGGCTACATTCTGAAGAGGTAGATTTATTTTTTTTTTCATGTGGATGTTCAGTTTTTCTGATACCATTTGATGAAAATATTACCTTTTTCCATTGTATTGCTTTTTCTCCTTTGTCAAAGACCAGTTGACTATATTTTAAGTAGGCCTTTTTCTGAGATCTCTATTTTGCTCCACTGATCTATTTATTTATTCTTGTCTATCCTTTCACCAAGAACTCCACCTTGATTAGTGTAACTTTGTGTTAAGTCTTGAAGTTGGGTAGTGTTAGTCTCCATCTTTGTTCTTCGCCTTCAATTTTGTGCTGGTTATTCCAGCTCTTTTGCCTCTCCACATAAACTTGAGAACCAGTGTGTCGATATTCACAAAATAACTTGCTGGGATTTTGATTGAGATAACATTGAATCCATGATGTTGAAAAGAATTAGTATCTTGACAATACTGAGTCTTCCATGAGGATGAACTGTCTTTTCATTATTGTTCTCCATTAGAGCTGTTAGCATATTAATCATTGTTGTTTTAAAATCCTATCTGATAATTCTAATACCCCTGCAATGTCTGAGTCTTGTTTTGATGTTTGTTCTGTCTATTCAAATTTTACTTTAGTATATGTTTTAACTTTTCTTCATAGCCAGACATGATTTACTGGGTAAAAGTAATAAATAGGCCTAGTATAAATAGGCCTTTAGTAATTTTCTGGTAAGATGTGAGGAGAGAAGAAGAATTCTATAGTTCTATGGATTAGGTCTGAAATTTTTAATAGGCCTGTGCCCCTGGACTGTGAATTTCACACTTGCTCCTCAGTCTTTCCCTCCCATCTCCTTAGATGGGACAGAATGGCTAGAGTGGGCTGAAGTTGGATTTTTCCCTCCTCTCTCATGGAAGGCTAGAGGGAACTGCAGTTGGATATTTTCTTTACCACAGGTCAGTTGGTAAAACCCAGGTAGGATACACTCTGGTTAAATAATTTCTCCTGAGGGCAGATCTTGTTAAGAATAGAATTCGCTGATAGATTTCAAGAGGGTTCCTCCCCTGGCCCCTGCTGTCAGAGCAGGAGATTTTTCTGATATTTACAAGTCTAGATAGCTCCTGGAGGCAAAACTCTCAAAAGTGTGCCCCTCTCCCTATGCCTCCAAAAACTGGATTCCCCTGGAGTTTTTAATCTCTCAGATCTGTCCACACTGAACAATTTGTCCAGCAATTTGTCAATTACAGCTCAGGTTTTCCTACCTAGGCACTGAGATTTCTGCTCCGGTGAGTTGTCATTCTTCGTATTCACCTGTGATCTCTCCAATTTTGAGGGCAAAGGTTTGCCCTGTGGCCTCGCTTCTCCTATGGATCCAAGAATTGTTGATTTTTCAGTTTGTTCAGCTTTTTAGTTATCATTCGAATAGAGTGGTAACTTCTAAGCCCCTTACATCCTGGACCAGAAACAGTGCCCTATTTCTCCTGAGCCATTAGAAGCAGATTAGTAACTATACATTCTGATGATAAGTGTTTTGCCATGTGTAATAGAAAAGAGATTCAGAGTCTCAGGCCCTAGAAAATTATTCCGTGGCTGCTTTTTTTCATTTCAATACTGAGGGAAAAAAAGCAATTGATGTTGATAAGAAGAACTATTCACATGGCACCTCCATAAATTCAATAGCTATTTTTCTTTTGTTAGTTTTCAAAGACTATGATTAGCAGTTAAATGATAAGTCCAAGTGACAATTTTTGTCTCATGCTATTTCTTTTATTTAATTATTTAATGGGTGGAGATTATTTCTTGTTTGGCATTTTATTCCAACCTGTCCTGGGCTCATGATGCACTTTCATCTTGGTTCATGTTTGCTTGCTTTTGCTTTTTTATTATGTACAATGCAGGGTAAACCCATGACCTAATAGATATAACAAAGATGCAACACTGCCTGTAACTTACATTTGTGAATGTCCTCCTCTCCTATACCCTTTTCCTACTTCCTCTCTTTTTATATAATCATAATTTGGACTATAGTGTGTTAACCATTCCCTTCCATGTACATATACATATACATGCATATATGTATACATATTATCACACATACATATGGTTTTATTAGTATATGTGTGCAATCCTACATAATATAGTGTTTATATGTGATTAATCTGAAAATACATAAAAAGGATATCATAACAGTGTACCATATTACATTCTAAGTACAAATTCCTATTTACAGTTATTTCTCAATCCTTTAACAATAACATTTCATGTCTTCTGGCTCCTATACTGGCTGCTGAGCATTCTGTGGTTCCTCCAACAGTCATGCTATTGTAGACAATCAATTTTCTTTTTCCCTCTATTTAAGATCCTTGTCTTTGATTTTTTTTCAGTTTTGTTATGATTTGTCTTATCTTTTTATGATTTATCCTGATTGTTATGCATTTGGTTTGCAGATCTATGTTTGTACACTTGGAAAATGTGCTGCCATTAGTATTTTAAATATTGCCTCTTCAACATTCTTCCTAGTCTTTTTACCAAGAATTCCAACCAGATATAAGTTGTGTTCTTTCTGCTTAGGACTGCCTTGGCTATTCAGGCTCTTTTTTTGGCTCTATATGAATTTAAAAATTTAAAAGTTGGTAGTTTGATAGGAATAGCATTGAATCTGTAAATTGCTTTGAGCAGTACAGCCATTTTAATGATATTGAGTCTTCCTATCCATGAGTATGGGATGTTTTACCATTTGTTTGTGTCTTCTGATTTTGTTGAGTAGAGTAGTGTTTTGTAATTTTTATTGTAGAGATCTTTCATCTCCCTGGTTAGTTGTATTCCTAGGTATTTTAATCTTTTTGTGGCAATTGTGAATGGGACTGCCTTTCTGATTTGGCTCTCAGTTTGGTTGTTGTTCGTGTATAGGAATGATAGTGATTTTTGTACATCGATTTTTGCATTCTGCAACTTTGCTGAAGTTTATCAGCTGGAGGAGGTTATGGGCCAAGACTGCGGTTTTCTAGATATAGAGTAATTTTTTTTTTTTTGCAAACAGAATAGTTTGACTTCCTCTCTTCCTATTTGGAAGCCCTTTATTTCTTTCTCTTGACTGATTGCTCTGGCTATGACTTCCAATAATATGTTGAATAGAGGTGGTGAGAGAGAGCATCTTTGTCTTGTGCTGGTTTTCAAGGGGAATACTTACAACTTTTGCCCATTTAGTATAATGTTAGCTGTGGGTTTGTCATAGACGGCTCTTATTATTGTAAGGTATGTTTCTTCAATTCCTAATTTATTGAGAGTTTTTTTTTTTTTTAACATGAAGGGACCTAGAATTTTATCAAAAGCCTTTTCTGCATCTATTGAAATAAATCATGTGGGTTTTGTCTTTACTTCTTTTTATGTGATAAATCACAATTATTGATTTTTATATGTTGATCTGATCTTGCATCTCAGAATGAAGTCTACTTGATCATGCTGGATTAGCTTTTTGATGTGCAGCTGGATTTGGTTTGCAAGTATTTTGTTGATGATTTTGGCATCAGTGTTCATCAAGAATATTGGCCCAAAGTTTTCTTTTTTTGTTGTGTCTCTGCCAGGTTTTGATATCAGGGTGATGCTGGCCTCATACAATGAGTTGGGGGGAAGTCCCTCCTCCTCAACTTTTTGGAATAGTTTCTGTAGGAATGGTACCATCTCTTCTTTGTACATCTGGTAGAATTCAGCTACGAATCCATCAGGTCCTGGGGCTTTTTTTTGAACTTGTTACTGGTATGTTCAGGGAATCAGTTTCTTCCTGGCTGAGTTTTGGGAAGGTGTATGTGTCCAGGAATTTATCCATCCTTCTAGGTTTTCTATTTTGTGTGCGTAGAGGTGCCCATACTAGTTTCTGATGGCTGTTTTTATTTCTGTGCAGTCAGTAGTAACATTCCCTTCATCATTTTTAATTGTGTTTATTTGGATCTTCTCTCTTTTCTTCTTAATTAGTCTAGCTGGTGGCCTATTTCATTAATGTTTTCAATAACCAACTCATGGATTCATTGTTCTTTTGAATGGTTTTGCATGTCTTGATTTCCTTCAGTTTAGCTCTGATTTTTGTTATTTCCTGTCTTCTGCTAGCTTGGGGTTGATTTGTTCTTGCTTCTCTAATTCTTTCAGTTGTGAAGTTAGGTTGTTAATTTTAAATCTCTAACTTTCTGATGTGGGCATTTAGTGCTATGAATTTTCCCCCCATCACCCACCCCCCCACCCCCACCCACCCCCCCGCTTTTTTTTTCTTTGAGACTCTGTCGCCCAGGCTGGAGAGCAGTGGTGTGATCTCAGTTCACTGCAAGCTCCACCCTCCTGGGTTCAAGCAACTCTCCTGCCTCAGCCTCCCAAGTAGCTGGGACTACAGGCATGTGCCACCATGCCTGGCTAATTTTTTGTATTTTTAGTAGAGATAAGTTTTCACCGTGTTAGCCAGGATGGTCTCGATCTCCTAACCTTGTGATCCGCCCACCTTGGCCTTCCAAAGTGCTGGGATTACAGGTGTGAACCACTGCCCCCAACCCACCTGGCTGAATTTCCCTCTTAACACTGCCTTAGCTGTGTTTAAGAGATTCTGATATATTGTATCCTTCTCATTATTTTCAAAAAACCTTGATTTCTGCTTTTTTTTTTTCATTATTTACCTAAAATTCATTCAGGAGCATGTTGTTTAATTTCTATATAATGGTATGGTTTTGAGAGATTTTCATTGTGTTTACTTCTATTTTTATTGTGCTGTGTTCCGAGAGTGTGTTTGGTATGATTTCAGTACTTTTACATTTGTTGAGGTTGTTTTATGTTCAATTATTGGTCAATTTTAGATGATGTACCATGTGGCAATGAGAAGAATGTATATTCTATTGTTTTGGGGTGAAGATTTCTAAACAAGTCTGTCAGATCCGCTTGGTCCAATGCTGAGTTTAGGCCCTGAATATGTTTGTTGATTTTCTGCCTCAGCCATCTGCCAAATACTGTCAGTAAAGTGTTGAAGTCTCCTACTATTATTGTGTGGGAGTCTGTGATGTCTCTTTGTAGGTTGCTAAGAACTTGATTTATGAATCTGAATGCTCCTCTGTTAGGTGCATATATATTTAGGATAGTTAGCTCTTCTTGTTGAACTGAACCTTGTACCACTGCGTAATGCCCTTCCTTGTCTTTTTTTGGTCTTTGATGGTTTGAAATCTGTTTTGTCCGAAATTAAGACTGCTACCCCTGCTTTTTTCTGTTTTCCATTTGCTTGGTAGATTTGTCTCCATCCCTTTATTTTGAGCCTATGGATGTCATTACATGGGAGATCGGTCTCTTAAAGACAGCATGCCATTGGGTCTTCCTTTTTTATCCAGCTTGTACTCTGTGTGCCTTTCAAGTGGGGAATTTAGTCCATTTACACTCAAGGTTAGTATTTAAATGTGTAGATTTGATCCTGTCATTATGCTATTAGCTGGTTATTATGTTGGCTTGTGGGTGTGGTTACTTTACAGTGATACTGCTCTGTGTGTTTCAATGTTTTTGTATTAGCTGGTAGTGGTCTTTCTATATTTAATGCTCCTTTCAAGTTCTCCTGTGAGACAGGTCTGGTGGTAATGAAGTCCCTTAACATTTGCTTATCTGAAAAGGATCTTATTTCTCTTTCACTTATGAAGCTTAGTTTAGCTGGATAGCATGAAATTCTTGGTTGAAGATTTTTATCAAGAATGTTGAATATAGGTCCACAATCTCTTCTGGTTTGTAGGGTTTCAGCTGAGAGGTCCACTGTTAGTTTGATAGGGATCCCTTGGTAGGTGACCTACCCTTTCTCTCTAGCTACCCTACACTCTGTATCAGACATTTCCAAAATCTCCAGCCCTTGTTTCAAAATCTTTGCAACTTTTTTCTGCTGTTTATCATCACAGAGGATAAGGTTATAGTTTGTTTAGTAATCTTTATGATCTTAATCCTGCAGGTATCCTGTGCAAAGTTTCCTCCAGACGTTGTTTGTTTCTAATTCTGGCAACAGCACCCTTCAAAGATTCTGACTCAGAGGAAGTGTCTCAGGATCACTGCATCACCTTACTACACCTCCTATGATTATATGACTATGGGCTTCCAGACTCAGGCCAGACCTCCAGCTTGTCTGCTGTGACTCTTTGTAGCTTTGTATTTGGCTGTCTACCTCCCAGCTTCTCAGCCTTGTCTCCAGGTCCAGGGGGCCGATGCTCCAACAATAATGAAGCTCTAATTCCTGGTTCCCTGAGCCTGCTCGGGTTTTTGTTTCTTTCGCTTTTTGTTTTTGTTTGTTTGGGGGAAGGTGAGCTTGGAGATTTCTCCTACCATTAGTTGAGGACAGAAATGGAATAAAAAGTATATGTTGGGGAGACATGACCAGTCTGGTGAAGTGTTGGTAAGTTTTCCAACTTTTTAAAAAGTATATGCACTATAGATATTCTACATAGATTATATAGATATATAAACAGATAGACATAGATTTTTTCCCCTGGCACCTTGCTTTCATGTTCTTTAAAGAAATGAATAAACTACTCTACACAAAGGAGTTACTTTACCTAGCTCAGAATGGTATCACAGAGTTTAAAGACTTTCATACGGTTTCCCTAATAAATACTCAAAATCAATTTTCATTGTTGAAATTTTATACTTCTGTTTCTGCCTATGTTTTCTGAAAACAATTGTTCATATAATTGTAGATAATGATCACATTCTCCTGAGTTTAAATATTATATCAATTTCTTCCATTTTAATAATGTTCTTTTATGTTAGCTGAAGCTTTAATGAGGAGTTTGTGGAGTTTTTCAAAACATGGTAAACTACTTACATAGCTCTTAAAAGGAGACATGCAGTGGGAAAATCAAGCCCATGTAAAAAAAAAAAATGGAAACAACACACGGTATATAGTAAAATCGCAATTACTTTAAAATGTGGAATCTGTGAACTAAGTGACTACAATGCTGTACAGAACATTTTGTTTTTCTCTTGGTCTCTAACTTATTAACCACATTATTTTCAAAGAAAAGGAAGTAAAGCCATTATCTGTGAGTTAAAGAATTTACAGAAAACATAGCAGTATAAAAAAGCTAATGATGGCCAGGTGCAGTGGCTCACTCCTGTAATCCCAGCACTTTGGGAGGCCGAGGCGGGCGGATCACGAGGTCAGGAGATCGAGACCATCCTGGCTAACATGGTGAAACCCTGTCTCCACTAAAAATACAAAAAATTAGCCGGGCGCGGTGGTGGGCGCCTGTAGTCCCAGCTACTCGGGAGGCTGCGGCAGGAGAATGGCATGAACCCGGGAGGCGGAGCTTGCAGTGAACCGAGATAGCGCCACTGCAGTCCGGCCTGGGAGAAAGAGTGAGACTCCGTCTCTAAAACAAACAGACAAAAAAAGCTAATTATCTGCATATAACTAGATTAAAAAATATATGAGATATAAATTAAATATATGTTTTCTCAAATGCAGGGCCTAGATAAAAATGCAAATGGGGTATGTAAAACTATAAATAGTACTTAATTAAATAATGACTCAGTGTCTGGAGAAAAAGAGACCTGTGCAATAACTATTTTTTTCCTTTCTTGATGAAAATGCAAATTAAATCATTAATAGTTTATAAATGAGCCTGGCTAAGAGACAGCTAGTGTATATCCTGCTTTAAATTAAATAAAAGCAATAAGTGTCCAATTATATTTATTGAGGTAAACTCCAAAATCACTTAATGTTTATGAAATATGTTTATATATTTATCTTATTGTTTTTCTCCCATGAAACCTTTGTTTATGCTACTGTGAATTTTGGCATAAAATAAAATCAGTCGGCACATGATTTTCTTTCAATTTCCATTCATTCCTTTACTGCTATTTCCTCCATCTTCTCTTCCTCTCTCCCTTTCTGCAGAGACACATACAGACACACATTTGTATCGGAAAGACAGGATAAAAGGCACAATAAAATCACATCATTTTGTTAGCTTTTGAGTCAGCATCAGAATTTGGTAACTATATTCTTGCCACTAAGAGTTATTGATGATATTCACCCTAAGGGCTCTGTATAGTACATTTCAATTTAGTATTTACAGAATTTGTATGCAACTAGTCCCTCTATGGAAAGACTTTATAATATTAAAGAGAAATGGAATGAACAAAAGCAAGTGTATTATGCAATCAACTCTTGATGATCAGTGTATTTTTTAATTGTGTGACTTCTCCATGATAGAGTTTTGTTTATATCCAGACAATCTTCTCTCTGTACTCAGAATGCTCCTAAGTATCTCCTCCTCCTCTGTCCAAGGAATGCAAATAAAGCTTAAGTCTAGCAAGAAAAAAATATAATTAGGAAAGCAAATCCTCTGAAAAATTTCATTCAAAAACCAAATATAAACTGCCCTTAACACACTTTTAGATTATCAATGTACTGTTTCCCTTCATTACAACTAATAACTGAATTTCCTGTAAATAAATTATTTGAGTAAGGCTATGTATAAAAAACAAAGAACATAAATTATAGAAATGAATAAATAATGTCAAATATACTTTGAAATTCAGATTGGTTAGTGCAGTGAGATGTGAGGGTAATAAGTAAAAAGGCACATTAGGGGAGAATTTTCAGGAGGAAATAAAGTTATTTCTTTATTTAATCTTTTTTACTTTTATTTGAGTTACAAAGACTTGCCATGCCGTAAAAAGATGGTATATTGTTATGAAGTGCCACAAAGTTTTAGCAAAGAATTTTCTTCCGAGAAAGAGTAATGTTGATAGAGCAGGTCCAAAATGAGACAAAGCAAAGTATAACAATAGCAACAACTCTTATTTGTATAATAATTTGCAGCTTGTGAAGACCTTTAACATCTGTTATTTCATCTAATACAGAAACTTTGTTATTAATAAGGTAGACAGTATTATCCTAATTTTAAACAGGAGGTAACTTAGAAAAAATTACCTGTTATAAACAAGATGCCCCATTTGAAATATACAGAATTGGGTCACATGGTACATTATAGCAATGTAGCAAATGATAGAACATTTAGTGCTTTTCATGGGGCAACTACCCCTGAAAAAATGTATGTGAAAAGTTTAAAATTAGTAAAATATCAGGGTGCTATCTTGCAGTGAGCCTCTACTTTAAAGAATTTTAACTGTGGTAAGGAAGATAAGCATATCAGGCAGTTATTTTACTGCTTAGCCTATTACAATAGCACCAATGGCCTTAAGAAATGCACAAAATTGTTTTCAAAGTTGGCTGTAGTGATTTCTGCCCTGCTCCACCAATTACAAGGTAAAGTCATCATTTCCATCTCTGGAATACAGGCTAGCCGTATGATTTCTGCACCAAGTTTTTTATTAGGCTTCTAATATAGGCCATGCTGATGGAACAAAGTTTATAAGTATTATTTTATTATCTTTTTATCAAGGCATTCGGAGCAGGAATGTATTCCTTGATGAATTCCCATTTCTGTCCATCTCAACCACTGTAAAATACTTAATGTTAAATGCCCATGCAACAAATTTTTAATTATATAAGTGGATTGCACTTGTGACTAAAACATCTAGTTTCTTACTCAATGTTTATTTCTCCATATCTCTTTACAAACAGAGCTCTGATTTTGTTGAATATATAAAAGTGACCACCTTGAAAAAAATACATTTCCCAGCGTCCCTTGTAAACATGTGATATAGTTCTACCCATTGAGATCTAAGAGAAAGTATACAATGTGCCTAACTCGTTACAAGGAAGCCAACTCAACCAGAATAATCCTTTTACATTTTCTTCTTCCCATCTTTCTTCCTGGAGTATGGTTTGGATACTGGAGCTCCAACTGTTACCTGCAACCATACAGTAAGAAGAACATGCTAAGGATAGTTGAGCAGAGAAACAGGAAGAACCTGGGCCCCTGATGGTATCATGGAACTGTTAGGCCTGCCTTAAATTGCTAACCATAGAATTCTCATTACTTGAAGGGAAAAATACTCATCTTATTTAAGCCTTGATTACTTACTTAAGCTTTCTGTTATACATGGCTTAAGTGAATATATTATTCTCATGTAATTCACATTATTCAATTTTCAGATGAATAAACTTAGACCCCTAGAGGCTAAATGATGCCAAAGATCATATATTAAGTAGGTTTCAAAATGGAAGGAGAAACTCTGACTTTCTGAGATTTTTTTTTTTCCCCAAAGCTTCTTTCACTGTAATGCAGCTAGAGTGCTTATGAAGTAGTGACATTCTTAAAGGTAAGATGTTGCCTTATTTTATTGTATTTTTTTAATGTATCTTTGTGTCTTTCAGATATAAGCATACTTGCCAGGCACTGTTTCTTGTATTGGAGATGGAAAGGAAGAAAAACTAGTCTCCTGTTTGCATGGAGCTTTGAATCATATTCTAATGAATAAATGAATTAGTATATGAATAATCAATATATTGCTTTCTTGTCCCTTCCGAATGACTGATTTATCAAATATGGCAATGATTTATTTCATTGCTCACACATAGAATAGCACATGAATATGTCTACTTCCTGACCTCCCCCATTTACCAAAGAGTACTTTGAGACCCAATAACTTGAAATAATATGTTCAAGCATACACAATTATTGAAGAAACTTTAACATTGGATGACAGGTTAATATTACCAAGATCATAGAACAAAGCCAATTCATTAGGATTCATGTAATGAATTGGAGGATACATCTACTGGTTAGCTGGAACTGGAAGCTGAAGGGAGGCAAGGTTCCTACTCTTTCACTGGGTACATGCTGGTGAAGTGAACTGTATTCACTGTAAGCAGGCTAGTAGGAAACCAAATCCAACAGAGTGGTTTAGAATGTCTAAAATCTAAAAGGGCTACACCAAATCATTTAGAAACTAAATGATTTCTTTTACATCAGAGAAACATAAGAAATTCACAATATGAATCCAGTTTGACACTTATTTGTCATGGGCCACACTGGGGTTTAAATCAAATATTTCTCACCTGTACAATGGCATAAAGATGTCTCAACCACTCTCAATTATTTTTTTCTCAATTGTATAAATTCAGATTTCTAGGTTCTGTTTTTCACCTCCCTCAAATTATGAACAGAATGTAAAGAACTGTGCAGAATAACTATTGAAAGCCCTTATGGGGAAACTTGTCCACATGAGAAGAGAAACTTTCTGAAGGTTTTCTGCATGTGTAATAAATTGACTGAAATTTTTGCTCACATAAAGAAAAGAGTCACTTTACAGAGACAAATGACATTAAAGCTAAAACTTAAGCAAATTCTGCATTTTAACTCATGACATTTTTGTGTATGTCTTTTACGTGATTAGAAAATAAATGTAAGAGAACAGTTTGAAGTTTAAGAAGTTTGTACTTAGATACATCATTATTCTTTATTAAAAAATGAGATTTACAGCTTTATGAGAACTTGAGTTTTTGTATCTGTAAGGTGTCTTCTGTCTATTTTCACATGAATTTCCATAATGCACAATGAAAAATTTTATTACACTTATTTCATATAAACATCATGGGAAATGACTATCTTAATATGAAGTCTGATATTGGGTATAGAAGTTAAGCCTTTTACTTCTGAATATTGTATGCAGTATTACTTTGCATTTTGAAAGTCAAATTATTCTGTACAAATGGTAAAATTTACCTTTATAAAGAAAATGTTTATATTTGCTGGCTTGTGTTTTTTCAGCTCTTAGGAATTATTGATCTTATGATACATTTCAGTATTTTACATCTAATACATTCTCAATGTGTGACACAGATGTTTGCTGAGGTCACCTGCTCCGTGATATATATGTATGTATGTGTGTGTGTGTGTATAATATTTTTACTAACCCATTTGTCTACAAATTTTTTTCTCACAGTGGCATACCCATGGTTAGAAGGTGCATATGGTCCACTCCCAGTGCAGGCATTGTCATTACATCACTTAAAAACAATAATAAAACTAACTCAAAATTGATATTTTTAATTATCACCATTTGTTAGCAATTCTAAATAATGCTAATGATAAAATTATCCTTCCTGAAAAATATAATCTTTTGTAGATATAAATAGTAAATAATTAATACAGTTACTGCTGAATTTTAATTAATTATACGTGTGCATGTGTATTTCAAATCACATTTTATTACTTATCCTCTAAGTAATCTGCTACCTCCTCATTTACTTAGCTCCCTCTGCTCCCTGTTAACAAAATCAATTTTTGCATTATATTCTTTTCTACAAAAACACAAATTAAAACAAGTTTCATGCAAAGCATTTGTGTCTGTGGTCTTCGCTACAGAATTGGTTTCTGATGATGGTGGTGGTAAGTGATATTTACATGGCTGATCCACTCAACCCCTTTTCTGTCTCATGATCCTGAGATTCTGTCTGCGATCTCACATTCATAAGCCTTTATAAAAATTTGAAGCTTCTTGAAAACTCAATTCAATTTGCTCTGACATACAAAGAAGTTTAGTTCTT
The DNA here is from genome assembly GCF_000001405.40 of Homo sapiens. Lineage (NCBI taxonomy): Eukaryota > Metazoa > Chordata > Mammalia > Primates > Hominidae > Homo > Homo sapiens. The sequence continues at coordinate 30,822,491 of NC_000018.10, read as the reverse complement.
TACTCTTTCTGATTCTACCTGTCATTAAAAAACGGCTCACCAATGTACTCTGCTTAACTACAGATAGATTATGCACTTCAGCTTCAACCATTTAGCAGCACAGAAGAAATGGAAGAAGCTTTAGCATTTGTGAAATAGAGAGCTATTTCCATCTTATATGAGCTGTACTATTTATCTGAGATGGTGCAAATGACTACTGCCAATTTTGGTTATAAATAATATTTCAACTTCACTATAGAGCAGTTTTAAAAAGATTTCATATTCATAAGAGTGGGTTTCAGGACACTCTGGCTTTGGAATAAAGTTGGCCTTGAGAGAAATCATTTACGTTTCTAAATTTTTAGCAGTATCAGCCCTAAAATGGAAGCTCCTTTCAGAATTCCCTTCAAGTACAAATGCTGATGTTGAGGAACCTTGCAAGGGGCTTTCTACAGTTACCATTGTCAAGTGTACAGATCATATATTATTTTAACAGTTTTAAAGTCTATCAATACAGACAATACAATAGTGATAACAATAACAAAACCTGACATTAACTAAACATTTCCACACTTAGTGCTAAATGCTACATACGCATCCTTTCAATTGATCTTGACCTTCCAAAATTTTCTCTGTAAGTGGCACTACCATCCTTTGATTTGCTCAAGCCCTCAAACATTTGATTCTTCCATGTGCGTCACCCCTCTACATACCTTCAGTGCATCCTGTCAACTCTAAGCTGGCCTCCCCTCTCCTTGGCCCTACAGCAGTAGCTTTGTACGAGGTTTTCTGCTTCTACTTTACTTCCCTACAATCTGTTTTCCATATAGCAGACAGAGTAAACTTTTAAAAATATCCATTAGATCATGTCACTGACCTTCTCTAACCTTCCAATGACCTCAGAGTTGCACTAAAATTCATTTTTCTGACCTGCATTGACCTGAATTACCCGACTACTGCCTGCCTGTCTGACCATCTCTGTCATTTCTCTGTGCCACCACTGTAGCTAACAAACAGGCCTTGTTCTATTTTTCATAAATTCCATGTTCCTTCTCACCCCAGGGGCTTGGCATTTACTGTTTCTTCTTGCCAAGAAAGCTGTGGCCCAAGTGCTCCACACTGTTGGCTGTTGTGAAATGTTACCTCCTCAGTGCCACCTGCTCGTGAATACTTTCTGGAATATTATCACAAGCACACATTTGTTTCTTTTACTATATTGTATCTTGGTAGTGCCAAATGACCTCTCAGATGATGTCAGGTATCCTTAGGTATATATCCTGGGGCAATGTGTCATTTGTGTACAATGCCATGTTGTCTTATTGTGCATAGATGCTAGGTTGAAATAAACAAACACATAAATTATTATAGTACAGGATTTCTCCCAGCACCTGCTTCACTGTGTAAGAGAGAAGCTCTCTCACATGCATATTTTATATATGAAATTGTTGGCAGAAAGCTAGGAATTCAGGATGACTCTCCTGAAGGAACTCATATAATATGTATATTTGAATATGTATATTTATATATACATAAAAAGACAAAAAATGGTAAGTGTATAGCTTGTTCAATTTTTTATTGAGCAAACATATTCATGAGACCAGCACCCATATAAGAAACAGCATTGCTGGTATCTGAGAAGTCACTCTCATTTTTACTTTCAAGTACTATACTCCCTATGCACCCGAGGGTAACCAATATCCTGATATTAGATTAGTTTTTAGGATATTAGATTGGTAATTAGATTAGTTTTTCTACAATATTAGTTTTTCTGGTTTTGAACTTTATAAATGAAATCATATTGTATCATACTGTGAGTACAGAATTATACAAGGGAACTTTAGAAGTTTGTGGAAATATGGAATTAAAAGAAAAATAAAAAATATAACTTTATACCCCCAGATAAGTTTCATCAAGTTCAAGACAATTTTGGAAGTAATGGTACCAGCCATTTAGTCCATCACTAAAAAACTGAAAATCGGCCCAGCGCGGTGGCTCACGCCAGTAATCCCAGCACTTTGGGAGGCCGAGGTGGGCGGATTACAAGGTCAGGAGTTCGAGACTAGTCTGGCCAACATGGTGAAACCCCGTCTCTACTAAAAATGCAAAAATTAGCCGGGCATGGTTGCGCATGCCTGTAATCCCAGCTACTCAGGAGGCTGAGGCAGGAGAATTGCTTGAACCTGGCAGGCGGAGGTTGCAGTGAACCGAGACTGCAGCACTGCACTCTAGCCTGGGTGACAGAGCAAGACTGCACCTCGAGAAAAAACAAACAAACAACAAAAAAAACCTAAAGATCTTGGGAATTTAATCATCTTAATGAAGTCTTTTTAACATTCTTAAGAAAAACGAGTGCCCTTAAAATATTTTTTTTCAGATTAGAAAACAAAAAGCAGTCAGAAGAAGCCAAATCAGGACGGTAAGGTGGATGCCTAATGATTTCCCATTGAAATTCACAAAATTGCCTTTGTTGCTGAGAGAAATGAGGAGGAGCATTGTAGAGGTGGACAAGGACTCTCTGGTGAAGTTTTCCTGGACATGTCCCTGCTGCAGCTTTGGCTAACTTTCTCAAAACTCTCTCATAATAAGCAGATGTGATCATTCTTTGGTCTTCAGACCAAAGTAAAATGCCCGAGCATCGCAAAACACTGCTGCCGTCACCTTTGCTCCTCGTGGGTCTGCTACTGCTTTAACTGGGCCACTCCCACCTCTTGGCAGCCATTGCTTAGATTGTGCTTTGTCTTCAGAATCTTATGGGAAAAGCCATGTTTCATCTCCTGCTACAAGTCTTTGAAGAAAAGCTTCAGGATCTTGATCCCGCATCTTTAAAATTTCCATTGAAATCTCCGCTTTTGCCTGCAGCTGATCTGAACACAACGATTTTGGCACCCATTGAATAAAAATTTTGCTCAACCTTAATTTTTTAGTTAGAAATGTGCGCGCTGAGCCAAGAGAGAAGTCTATGGCATTGGTTATTGTTTACATTGTTAATCGTCAGTCCTGTTCAATCTGGGCACAAGCAAAATTATTTTTTTCCTCACGAATTGATGTGACTGGCGTGCCACTGTAGGCTTTATCTTCTGCATCGTCTTGCTCCATATTCAAAGAAGTTATCCATTTTGTAAACTGCTAATTTCTTTGGGGGCATTGCCCTTACACACTTTTTGTAAGGCATAAAGGATTTCACCATTCTTCAACCCAAGCTTCACCATTAATGTGATGTTTATTTTTGTTTCAACTTTAATAGAATTCATGCTTCTCTTTTCAGACTGATGTCTATTATTCTTCTTAGTGCCTCAAACTGGATCCAGTTTAGACATGTTATGTAACAGGTTAGTACAAGTTTATTTTGTTGCGAAAGTTTCAAAATTCGTATTTTTTTTTCAAAATACACATTTTCCATGAACTTGTTGGAGACCCTTCATACCTTTTCTTTTGTCTCAATAGTGTTTTTTTAAAGATTTATTGATGTTGCAGTGTATGCAGATTTTGGGGAGATTGCTGTATAGTATTTCACTAATTGAGCATAACAAATATATTTCCTATGGATCATTTCCAAGCCTTTTTTTTTTTTTCTATCACCAGTAGTTCTATGAGGGACATTCTTGTAAATGTTATCTGGTGAACATGTGCATGCATTTCTGTTGTTTTTTTCACCAGGAGTAGAACTGTTTGGCCATAGAGTATTCTTTTGTTTGCCTTAAGTCAGTACTGCCAATTTTCAGAGTGACTGCGCCAAATCTTACAACAGAAGTGTAGTGCTCTTGCATTATGCAAGTATAATATAGGTTCTAGTATAACACAGGCAGAGAAAAAAAAGAATTAAAGCCATGTTTTTCAAGCTATGTTCATTTTGCTAAATCAACTAAATAAGAACATCAAAGTGGAATGTTTCTCCCCATTGTGCAGTCATTTCCAGAGGGATGTTGGCTTCGAAGAAAGCTAGAACTCTAAGTATGTTAAATTAGCAGAATCCTGCCATAGTCAGACAGCATGATATACAGAAAAACCACAGGGTTTAGTGCTGAAAGTCCCGGATTCTAATCTAGATTCTGTCCTCTATAGGCTCTGGATTGCTCAAATTATTCAGCCTCTTTATTTTCTCAGCTTCTTCAACAAAAAATGGAAAGTACAAAACATTATGTGACTAAGTTTTTGTGAGGCTTCAAAAAAGCATGTGATATTCTTTCTCTTTACCAAGAAGTGAAATAATCCTTGTCTTCTTCCATGAAAGAAAAAAAAGTGATTGCTATATTTGATGGACACTTGTATATGCCACTAGAATATTCTTTGTCTCTACTACCTCTTTTCAAAAACTCCTGAATTACACTTGGAGATCCACGTGGTACTTTAGAAACTGATCCCATATATAGTCTTATAAGCCGAGTTGCACTATTTAGGCTTTTCCAATCTATGCATGTCATTTTCCTACAACAGGGATTACGCTAGCAGTCAATACTCCAATCAGTGTAATTCTCAGATTGCTTCTAAGATTGAGGGTAATATTCTTTTCCTGTTGCTTTTCTATAACGGTTTCATTGAGATGAAATTTCCATATCATATAATTCACCCATTTAAAGTATACAATTTATTTTTTGTATATTCACAGAGTTGTACAGTCATCATCACTACCTAATTTCAGAATATTTTCATAATTCCAAACAAAACCCCATACCCATTAGCAGTCACTCCCCATTTTCCCCTAACCCACAGACTGAGGCAATCACTAGATTTACCTAGTCCTGATATTTTTTATTAATGGAATGAAATATGTGGTCTTTTATGACCAGCCACTTCCAGTGAGTATAGTGTTTTCAAGGTTTATCTATGTTGTGGCTTGGTTTTGGGCTTGAAAAGTCAACAAAAATTTTGGCAGATACTGCTGCTGGATCTGAGAATGCCTCCTTAAACTAGCAGGGGTTGAAGATCTTCTAGTATTCCCCTCTCTTATTGAATTATGCTAAACTGATATGTCACCCTCTTGTTGCTAACCCTGTAGACAAAGAAAGTTTTTTTCTACATCTTCAAAAATATTTTTTGAGCTACTAGTAGCCTAACACTATACTGGAGCTACTTCTTCATTCCTCTTCCACATTGGAGATCTTTGTACATCTGAATTTCTATAGCTTTACCTTCATGCTGTTGTTTTGATTGCTGAGGTTGGTCACAAAGTTCAGTGACATTCAGCATTTTCCTCTACTCTAGTATCTGGCTAGAAACAACCTTGAATATGAGTAACATTGCTCCTTATCAATCATCATTGTCCATATTAAAAAAGCCTCTTTCAATGGCCAGAGTCAGCCTTCTTAGTTCCTGTTTTGAAGTCTATTGCTCCTTGCTATGCTACATCTCAAGGCAGATAGAAGTCAACAGGCACACTGGGTTTAATGATTCTGACATCTCTCTGAGATCTCTTATTCTACTTAATTTCTCTGGTTCTTAATGACTCATTAACTACATATTCTCGTCTTCTCTTCCCCAACATCAGATCGGGAGAATGCTGCCACTACAAATTCACAAGGCAAAACCACCGTGAACACGTAACAGAAATGACAGACAATGAACAGTGGGAGAGTTGCTTCCTCCCTCTTAATGTGTGACAACTGCATAGGGTTACTATTTCTTTACAAATTTATCACAGTGTTCAAATGTTTCTTTGTGGACTCTCTGGATTAGGAAGTGTTAGCTTTGTGGTCTCCTGGATTCTTCCACTTCAATACGCTAATGTTAAATATTTTCATGGCATACATAGTTGATTTTTTTGCATCTTCTGTAACTTTGAAAAGATAGAAACAAATTTGGGAGAGTATCTGTTTGTTCATTGCTCAGGTTTATAAGTGAGGTGCCTTTCTAAACAGCAGCATCCCAATACACCTACATGTGTTGTCATGAATCTTTGTTGCTGTTGTGATTAGTCAGAGCTGATTTATTGGGGGAAATTCAGCCAGATATCAAGTGAAATTTTCCCCTGATATTTAACGTAGGTTCTTTTCTATTTTCCCTAAGTGTCGGCTGGTCTGAGAAATAAAGGGACAGAGTACAAAAAACAGAAATTTTAAAGCTGGGTTTCTGGGGGAAACATCACATGTCGGCAGGTTCCATGAAGCCCCCTGAGCTGCAAAACCAGCAAGTTTTTATTAGTGATTTTCAAAAGGGGAGGGAATGTACAAATAGGGTGTGGGTCACAGAGATCACGTGCTTCACAAGGGAATAGAATATCACAAGGCAAATGGAGGCAGGGCAAGATCACAGGACCACAGGACCGGGGCGAATTTAAAATTGCTAATGAAGTTTCAGGCACACATTGTCATTGATAACATCTTATCAGGAGACAGGGTTTGAGAGCAGACAACTGGTCTGACCAAAAATTTATTAGGCAGGAATTTCCTCATCCTAATAAGCCTGGGAGCACTATGGGAGACTGGGGCTTATTTCATCCCTACAGCTCAACCATAAAAGACGGCCGCCCCCCGAAGCGGCCATTTTAGAGGCCTACCCTCAGGGACGCATTCTCTTTCTCAGGGATGTTCCTTGCTGAGAAAAAGAATTCAGCGATATTTCTCCCATTTGCTTTTGAAAGAAGAGAAATATGGCTCTGTTCCACCCAGCTCACCGGCGGTCAGAGTTAAAGGTTATCTCTCTTGTTCCCTGAACATTGCTGTTATCCTGTCCTTTTTTCAAGGTGCCCAGATTTCATATTGTTCACACACACATGCTCTACAATTTATGCAGTTAACACAATCATCACAGGGTCCTGAGGCGACATACATCCTCCTCAGCTTACGAGATGACAGGATTAAGAGATTAAAGTAAAGACAGGCATAGGAAATCACAAGGGTATTGATTGGGGAAGTGATAAGTGTCCATGAAATCTTCACAATATATGTTCAGAGATTGCAGTAAAGACAGGCATAAGAAATTATAAAAGTATTAATTTGGGGAACTAATAAATGTCCATGAAATCTTCACAATCCACGTTCTTCTGCCATGGCTTTAGCCGGTCCCTCCGTTTGGGGTCCCTGACTTCCCACAACACTGATTATTTCATTTAATTTCACAATAATTTAATTAGCTTTATACTATTCTTATACTTACTACTGATACAATGGTCCAAAAAGTTTTAATTTTGTAACAAGAGCTCCTGCCACTCACCAAAAGATAAAACAGCAATGGAGGAGAGCAAGGAAATAAGACTAGAGGAAAAATGAAGAGGAAAATCAACAATTAGCATTTAAATTAAATCGTTACAGAAAATCACTTCAAACAAAACAGTATAGACAAATCTACTTTCCATTCCATGATTTATGTGGTTTTGGTATGGATTTAGGCAAGAATCATTCAACAAACACATATTAAGTATATTTACTCTAGTGCTGCTTTTAAAAACAATAGCAAAGTGAGCACAACTTAGAGTTGTTTTCAAAGGTGTTACATTTAGAGGTTTAGACAGTTGCCTGTCATTCTTACTCTGCTAGCACTAAGAAAAGCTTAATTAAATAACAACAAAATATTTAAAATTTCAGTACCTCAAAATTAGGTTAATGTTGAAAAGTTCATTATATTTAAATTAAAGGTTTTTTTGGATATTGTGTTGCTTTTGCTATTAAGTTAATAACAAAAATAATTATATTTCAGGGCATTTGAATTTCCTGCAAAAGATGATATTTGACTAAAAAGACAGGCATTACCTTTATTTAAAAAACAGACACTGTGAACAACAAAACGACAGGCTACTGTTAAACACAGATTTAGGATAGTTATTTAAAGTAACATGATTCAGCAGGGATTGTTACTTGTCTCCAGCCAATAAGATAGTGGAGCATGCACTTGTAAATGAGTGAGTATAAACAAATTGTGTTTTGTGGGTTGCAGGAAACATATCATTGAAGAGGAAATGAGAGGAATCTGAGAAGTTGAGCCTAAAGGAAAGTAAATACAGGAAAATCCTGCTTCCTGAAAGTGATATTTTGTTAAGGCCACCTCTGATTTGCCCTCTGTACTCTTTCCCAGATTGACCTAACCATTTTCAGATTCACTACTTAAGATACCTCATGAGACTTTCTAGAGAACATTGGGGTTGGGCGGTGAACTTTGACCAAAGCAAATGAAGGGTACTAAGAGGAAACACAAAATCTGATGGTTTTTCTTCTGGCTGGAAAAATGGAAAGAAAATACAAGTGATGAAAAGTTAAAGAATAAAATAATTTTAATGGCAAAGTATATACATCCTGCATTTCCAAATATGGCCGTGCCATGATTCCAGATGAAGGTACAACTTTCATATTTCTTGCACAATTCTCCTTGGGGACTTATATTACTTGATGTTATCACCCATGAGGGTGAGGAATCTGATGGAAAAAATTGCTTTCTTCTATCCTCTGGTGATCATCTTGCTTTAGGGTATCTCTGGAGATGCTTCTAAATATCTCTCTGGTCACCACTAGCAAGGGAATATTATAAAATTACCATTGTTCATGTTCAGCATGTTCTGTAAGACTAGTAAACTGAAAGGTGATTTCTCAAGTATCCCTGAGGTTTCTAGCAAGACTAAAATGTATGCTTGAGACCCATTCCAGATACTGAGCACTTGCTAGGCACTGTGCCAAGCCCTTTAATGCATTCCTTCATTTAATCCTTAAAGTAATTTCAGTGTTGGTTTCTGTTTTTATCTGCATTGTATAGATTAGGATACTGAGGTTTAAGGGATGGACTCTTTGGTACCATAATTCAAACCCTTGTCTGTTTTCATAATCTGTTAACCATTCTGTTGCATTGTTTCTTCTGGACAAGAAATATTTTTAATGAATATTTCTGTTTCTTTCTACTTTTTCCGCTGCCTTCTTTGATGCAGGTTTCCTTCCTCCGCTTGCTTTCCACAGAAATTACCACAGTGTCTAATCAGATAAGGTTAATTTGATTGTTGTTTTATTGCCTTCATCATGTAGACTGACTGTTCATTAAAGGAAAGAGAATTTTTGTCTTCCGAGGGAAAGTTAATTTTATTTATATTCCTATACTAAGAAAATTTGAGGAGTTGTCTCAAAATGTATGACATTTGGAAATAAACAGAACGATAATTCATTATTTAAATTGATTTTTATCACAGAGCTGTTGAACATAGAATATGGAGGGTGCTTAGAAATAGTTTTGTTTTCCATTTGTTTATATTTGCGAAAAACTGAGAAGGGTTTAAAACTTGTTTGAAGTCGACACAAACAACCAATAGCAGAACCAAGTCTCAGACCAAGTCTCAAATTTTAGTGATTTTTAACAATTGAAATTAACTTAACTAGCCATTTAAAATGACTTTTTCTTTTGTTCACTCAATTCTGTTCTTCTGAGCTTGTCCTACTTAGGAAGAATATGTAGAAATGTCTTAACAATGAGGTGAACAATTATGACCTAAAAAGTTTTGCTCAGCATTGTCGTTTGGATGATTTTTGGTGTGTCACCCAGCAAACTTGCTGCATAATCCAAGGGACAATAAAATAGGCTGAATATAAACATCTTAATGAAGACTTTTTGAATAATGTTTAAAAACGTACACCATTTAAATGTCTCAGCATAATGTATATATTCAAATTCGACCAACCTAAACAATAGATCTTTACTCCTCTTCTAAATTCTTAACATAAGTTAGAATGATTGTTCTGTGTGTGCTATTTTTGAAATATGCTTTAGTTGTTGTTTTGGTTAACTGCCTAGTTCTAAAAGAACAATTTACATTTCCAAGTCTGAAATTTTAAAATGATGTGTGAAATGACAGATATTTAGAGAAAAAAAACTTCACTTTTGACAGCTTTTCTTTAATCAGTTTCTGTTGCATGAATCTATTTATAGAAATATTTAATCAATTGAATCTCTTCATCCTTAAAAAGAGGCCACATCTTACAAAATATCCAGTTAAGACAAAAGAAAAAATTCTGCCCTCTTTTTAGGCTACACCTATATCAATACTTTAAAAGCTTTTTGCTGCTTTGAAACACAGGATTGGTTTCCTGACAATGATTTATGTACTAATATCTCTAGCATATTGCCTCTTTTTCATAATAATAAACCTGTTCAAGTTGGGATATTGGAGGTAAACACACCAATATAAAACATACTGACCCTAAAAGAGGTATTTCTATCACATGCAAGCACACCATAGATAATGGCACATGGTAGAAGTGAAAAAAATATGCGAAGAAAAACAAAAACTTTCAGTCTATCAAGCCCTTTTAAAAAATAACTGCATTTTAAGTTTATAGTTTTGGACTCACTGGACTAAATGCCTGTGCACTCTGGGAATACTAATGATTGAGTGTCAAGCAGGCCAAGTAAGTTGGCATCTTTCCAAGCAGGAAAAACTTTTGACAGTTTTTGGAGGAGACTGAGACTGAGAATGAGACTACGGCAGAGAAAGAGGACCATGGAGGAAGAGTCAGCTCTTTCTTATGTTATAACAAACAAGTTAGCTCCAACTCAGAAATTAAATGCCCCTTTCCAGAAAGGTCTTGAATGTGCAAGACCCACCTTTGTTGGAAGATGATTTAGCAACCATATGTTATACGATAATAGCCTGTAAGATTCTCATTAACCTCTACCTTGACCCTGCATGATTTATCAACATCTTCTTTCCACCCATATCCAATATTCTGCTCCAGATGCATTTTGGTAAGTGCAATGTTATTTATCTTACTACACTCCAGGGGCTGTGTCAGCTTCCTGTTGACCCTGCTGTAATTCAGCTGATGGTGGTAACACCCTTATTATCACTGAATCTTCTCACTCTTCCTGCTCTCCACTCCACTGGAAAGTGTGAATGGGTGCATCACACAAGCCACATTCAAAAACATTTGTGAGGGAATTCCTTTGCGAATGATACTAACAAAGATGACCTGGCCTTAACAAATAGTTTTGTTCAAGGCCTAGAGAACTACTACTTTATATTTTCTTTAAACTGTGCAATCCCAACAGAGCTTTTTGGCTTAATTATTCTGATATCAGTGACTTAAATGTTAAAAATGAGATATCAATTGTATTGGATCATTTATAGTGATTTCATGAAAATCCTCTAACCGTGCAAAACAGAAAAATATAGATTTTAACATATTGTTATTCCACAACATGGAAATCCACGAACTTTGAATTCAATGTAACCTGAAGAGAACTTTCTTTTTCTCAAACTCTTACCCCAAATGAAACCAAACAAAACAAACTCCCCATTTATATCCTTATCTTGTTAACATCATTCTCTCATCAGTCCAGTCTAGAAACACAAGAGCATCATTTTAGATTTCTCCTCTTGGTGACCATCTATCATCATTAACTCAACATGTTCTCACTGCCTCAAGCATCTCCTTCTTGGTCCCCTCCTTTCCATCCTCACTGACCTGCCCTAATCCTCTTTCCTCATTCTTCTCTTGGATTCTGCTATGACTCTTTTTAGTTATCTTTCTTCCTTTATGCTTACTTTTCTCTAATCCAACCTCAATGTCCTTTTCAGTGTAATTCAACACATATATGTGGTCAGTTACAAGATGAAAATTTAATTATTTTAATCACAGAATAAAAACCTTAAGTTTTTTTGCATAATACACTAGATTCTTCTTAGTAAGAAACTTACATAAATGTTATACCTTACCTGATTCTACATCCCATTTTCTCTTTCTGAATTACTTAGTGTTGCCAGAACCTGTCAGACTTCTTCATGTTTTCACACCTAATATTCCCTTCATCTGTCATGCCTGCTGCTGACTGTCACCCAAGTGCCTATTCATCCTGTCAGTCTTAGCTCCAGGCTCCTCTGCTCCTTAAATACATCTTGGATTCTCCCAGGTAACTGTCAGCAACCTGCTTTAAGTTCTTTCTACATCTGGAATGTAACTTTATTAGAGCAACAATACATAGCATTTGGTTAGCATGCCTATCTCCATTCTATAAAGTCCTGAAGGCAGGCACCAATATTCCCCTTATATTTTTATCCTGAGTACCTAAAATTGAGCTTGAATGAAGTAGACACAGTACATATTTTGTAGAATGCAGGAATTTGTCAAGTAATCTTCTTTATGAGTGCAAAGATAGATAAGCACATGATGAGTTTTCCAAACTGTGATTAAATAATTCCTTACCTCTCATTCATAACCAAATCACGAACCCTGGGTCTTAAAACCATTTGGCTTCTGTGACAGATAAACTACCTAGGATGCTTATATTGCCACACCATTTGCCAACAGAGATAAACAGAGAATAATAAGGGAATCATTTCCTACTGGTTGCCAGACAAATGTCAGCTGGAAAATCTTGTCTACTAGAATGTGGAAACCCTAAATTCAGATGTTTGTTCTTGCTCTGTGATGCCCAAGTTGTAATAGAAATGTACATTTTTTTCCCCTAAGGTGTAAGGTGAATGATAAGCTCCTCATTTCCATTCTTCCCTTCAAGGAACTGGAAAAGATATGTCTGAAATTCAAAAACAGATTTTGATTGTAGCAAGTGGATAGTGAATTTACTGATTAGATAACATAGAGTTAGGTGGTTTCCAGGGATGCAGGACGTAAGTGTTACCTTATGCATCCCTATTTAGTTTTATCAGCATTTATAAAGGTTGAATTTCTTTTATTTGAAACAACAAATTTTACAAACATTTAAATGTAAAGTGACAATGTCAACTTACTTTTACTCAAAAAATTGTAACATTAACACTAAAATTACCTTTAAAAAGCTCATTTAAAGATGCCACATATCTTTAATACATATATGTGATATGCATAAGGTATACCTAAATGTATATGCATATAAATGTAATGATAACCAAGATAAAAGTAATATAATGGGTACCTGAGAAGCAGTACAATTAAAATGAAATTAGATACTAAATTTTTAAGAAAGCTTTCAGAGTTCAAGCAGAGATGCTGGCTTAGGTGTAGTGGTGTGTGAAAATGATTTTCTCAAATTAGTCTCATCTGGTTTCTGCATTTAGGGAACTGCCTTCCTTGTTCACACACTTTCCACCTTCAACCACACTCACCTTCTGCCTATCCTGCTTAGTGTTGAAATTGACAGTTTAAAAAGTCTAAAAACAACAGATGCTGGCAAGGTTTTAGAGAAAAGCGTCGCTTATACACTGTTGGTAGGAAAGTAAATTAGTTCAGTCACTATAGAAAGCAGTTTGGAGATTTCTCAAAACCTGAAATAGAGCTACCATTTGACTAACTGATCTCATTACTGGGTATGTACCCAAAGGAAAATAAGTCATTCTACCAAAAGACACATACATTTATATGTTCATTGCAGCACTATTCATAATAGCAAAGACACGGAATCAGTCTAGGTGCCCATCAAGGGTGGACTGGATAAAGAAAATATGGTACATATACATCATGAAATACTATGCAGCCATAAAAACGAACAAGGCCATGTTGTTTGGAGAAACACAGATACAGCTAGAGGCCGTTATCCTAAGTGAATTAATGCATGAACAGAAAACCAAATAGTACACGTTCTCATTTATAAGTGGGAGCTAAACATTGGATACACAGGGACATAAAGATGGGAACAATAGATCCTGGGGAGTAATAGAGGGAGGAGGGGAGGAGGGGATGAGAATTGCAAAACTAACTTTTGGGTATTATGCTCAGTACCTGGGTGACAAGATCACTTGTATCCCAAACCTCAGCATCACGCAATATACCCATGTAACAAACCTGCACATGTATCCCCTGAACCTAAAATAAAAGTTGACAAAAATGAGCCCTTCCAATGGTCCTTTGAAGTGATAGGAAGTATGTTGGGAGGGCAGGAAAGACTAGTCTGAAGGTTTTTTTCCTGGGAAGAGGGAGATATAACCTGTGGACGGTTCACCATCTTCTCACAAGGAGCACAAAAGTGAGACTCTGCCCACCCTTTGCTTCTTCTCCCTGCTCCAAGCGTGGAGGAGAAGGAAGGAGGAGAAGGATAAGGAGAGGTGCCAGGTAGCCTCTCACCCCTTTTTCTCCGAAGTCTTTCTGCCTTTGGTAAGACAAAGAAGATGAAGAAGAGAACATCAAATTGTAATGAGGTTTTGAGTTTTGATGATTACTTTGTCTGAACATAAAAGTTACTGGAATGGATATCTTGGATCCATTGGAGAGACTAATGTGGCTGGAGACCTTAGTTAAATCAGATAATGGCAGGAAAAGTTACAGGCTCTGATTGGGATTTCACCCAGGAAGGAAAAACAAACATTAAGCTCCACTGAAGGGGTTTACAGGGACAATGAAAGAAAAAAATAAATTTGTGTTATTATTGTGTCTTATGAGTCCTACGTGTGTGGCATTGCAGATGACAAGTATGGCTTGTGGCAGCTTTACCCACCGCTGCAGCAAAGAAGGGATTTTTTTTTTAACCCTAGTTAGTATAAATTCACTACACATTGAGCAAATTAGACTTAATTTGTACATAGTAATAATTCCAAGAAAGGGTTTTATATATAGATAAACAATTTGCTCTTGTACATAGGATATGTTAATATGGTACACTTTATCCTTCTAAACTGTCAATGAGGTAAAGTTTAAGATAAATATATTTTCTAAATCTGTGTTTCAGTTCATATTTACAATGTGTTTTTAAATGCAACATTATATTTGTGTCTAATGTTCTCGTTTTTGGAGTATGGGAATTGGGGATAATTTCCATTAAAGTTGTATTATATTCATCCATAATTTACAGGACGGTTACGAGGCTCAATGAGATAATAATGCACATTACAGTCCTTTGGCAACTTTAACAAATGTTAGATATTATAACTACTATTATTATTACTTAAGTACTAACAATTACTCTATACTATGACACAAAATAGTCTTATCTTTAACTTTAGTGCCATTTTAGCATTAGGAATATCAATATCTAAAGTTATAATAACATCAATGTATTAGATTGTCTTACTTCTCTTTTGAGTTTTAAAAGCCATTTGATTATACCTTTTATATGTTAATAAGTATAGAAATAGGAATTTGACCATATCATGGAAGATCTGTATTTTTACCTTATTGCTTGGCATTATATAATTGAATATTCTATCTTAACGTTCTATTATGAAATATTTCTTCAGTATATGACAAACCAGTAGCACACATAGAAAGACACAGAGGACATACTGCATAAAAAAGGTTAAAAGGTCAGTCTTTCTGATCACCTCTTTCCTTCCCAGAGTTAGCCAGTTTTATATACTAGAACAGGTATAAGGCATACCTCACAGATATTACAGGTTTGGTTCCAGACCACTGCAATAAAGCAAATGTCCCAATAAGCAAGTCACGTAAAATTTTTGGCTTCCTAGTGTATACAAAAGTTATGTTTCCACTATACTGTAGTCTATTAAGTGTGCATTATATCTAAAACACAACATATGTGCCTTAATTTAAAAATACTTTGTTGCTAAAAAATGCTAATGAGCATCTGACCCTTCAGTGAATCATAATCTTTTTGCTGGTGGAGGGAATTGTCTCAATGTTGATGGCTGCTGACTCATCAGAATGAAGGTTACTGAAGATTGGAGTGGTCATGGAAATGTCTTAAAATAAGACAAAATGAAGTTTGCTGCATTGTTGACTCTCCCTTAATAAAAGATTTCTCTATAGCATGCAAAGCTGCTTGATAGCATTTTACTCACAGTAGAACTTCCTTCAAAATTGCAATGTATCATCTCAAACCATGCCACTACTGTTAACTAAGTTTATGCAGTATTCTAAGTCCTTTTTGTCATTTTAACAATGTTCTTAGCATCTTCACAGGAGTTCAATCTCAAGAAACCACTTTGTTCATCTGTAAGAAGAAACTGCTCATCCCTTAATGTTTTATCACGACATTGCAGCAATTCAATCACATCTTCAGGCTCCACTTCTAATTCTAATTCTCTTGCTGCTTCTGCCATATCTGCATTTCCTTCTTCCACTGAAGTCTTGAACTCTCAGTTGCATATGAAGGTTGGAATAAATTTCTTTCAAGCCCCTATTAATAGTGATATTTTTATTTTCTCCCATGGATCATGAGTGTTCTTAATGGCATCTAGAATGGTGAATTCTTTCTAGAAGATTTTCAGTGTATGTTGTCCCAATCCATCAGAGTAATCTCTATCTATGGCAGCTATAGCCCTACAAAATATATTTCTTAAATAATAAGACTTGAGAGTCAAAATGACTCCTTGATCCATGGGTTGCAGAGTAGATATTGTGTTAGCAGCATGAAAACAACCTTCATCTCTTTGTACATCTCCATCAGAGCTCTTGGGTGGCTAAGTGCATTGTCAATGAGCACTAATAGTTTGAAAAGAATCTTTTGTTCTGAGTGGAAGTTCTCAAGAGTAGGCTTAAAATATTCAGTATACCTTGCTGTAAACAGATGTGCTGTCATCCAGGCTTTGTTGTTGCATTTATAGAGCATAGACAGAATAGATGTAGCATAATTCTTAAGGGCCCCAGGGATTTTGGAATGGCAAATGAGCATTGGCTTCAAGTTAAAGTCATCAACTGCATTGGTACCTGACAAGAGATTCAGCCTGTTCTTTGCAGCTTTGAAGCTAGGCATTGACATTTCCTCTCTTGCTATAAAAGTCCTAGATGGCATCTTCTTCCAATAGAAGGTTGTTCTGTGTACACCGAAAATCTGTTGGTTAGTGTAACCACTATCATCAATGATCTTAGCTGGATCTTCTGGATAACTTGCTGAAGCTTCTCCATCAGCACCTGCTTCTTCACCTTGCACTTTTATGTGTTCTGGAGATGGCTTATTTCCTTAAACCTCATGAACCAGCCCCTGCTATTAACAACTTCACACTTCTCTTCTGCAGCTTCTTCTCCTCTTTCAACCATGATGGAATTGAAGAGTTGGGGTCTTGCTCTGGATTAGGCTTCGGCTTAAGGGAATGTTGTGTCTGGTTTGATCTATGCAGACTGCTCAAACTTTCTCCATGACAGCAGTAAAGCTGTTTCCCTTTCAGATAATTCAAGTGCTCATTGGAGTAACACTTTTAATTTCCTTTAAGAACTTTTCCTTTTCATTAACAACTTGACTGCTTAGTGTAACAGGCCTAGTTTTCAGCCTATCTCAGCTTTCAACATGCCTTTCTCATTAAGCTTAATCATTTCTAACTTTTGATTTAAAGTAAGAGACATGTGACTCTTACTTTCACTTAAATACTTAGGGGCCACTGTAGTGTTATTAATTTGGCCTAATTTCAATATTACTTTATTTCAGTGAAAAGGGAAGTCTCAAGAGAAGAAAAGAGATAGGGAAAGGCTGGTCACTGGAGCAGTGAGAATACACACAACATTTATTCATTAAGTTTGCCATCTTAAATGGGTTTGGTTCATAAAAAACCATTACAATAAAACAATTACAATAGTAACATCAAAGATCACTGATCACAACTCACCATAACAGATATTATAACAATAAAAATGTTTGAGATGTTGCAAGGATTACCAAAATGGAATACAGAGACATGGAGTGAGCACATGCTGTTGGAAAAATGATGCCGATCAACGCTTGTTCCAGGGTTGTCACAAAGCCTCAATTTGCAAAATACATAATGTCTGCAAAGCACAATAAAGTGCTGCACAATACAATGAGGAATGCCTGTAGTCATACATAACTTACTTAATGCAATAGAATCATTCTTAACAAACCGTTCTGTGATTTGACCTTTATTTTATTTTATGTTAACTGATCACTTATGACAATCAACTTTTTGTACCACCTCATGCCAATTTACCACATTCTTTTACTGCCTACGTAATTCTCCATTATACAGATGTATAATAATTTATTAGATGATCCTACTTCTTTATATTAACATTATTTTTAATATTTAAATGAACTTTCAGATATTTATATCTGTGAAACTTCCAGTTTTACAGCTGTTGGAAATTTCCTAGAAGTGGACTTGCTTGTGTGTTAATTTGCTGTAAAAAATTTGTATCTATACTTCTAGGTCGCTTTTTGAAAACAAATATATACCACCAACAATGGCTGACAATATCCATTCCATCGCAGTCTCATGAGCATAGGATTTTACAAAATGCTTTATCTTGTCATTTTGACACTTTAGATTGGGCATTACTGCTGCTTTACAGTGTATTTCCTTTCCCTGAATAAATCTGATGACTAATTTTAAAATTTATTTTATTTATTTTAATTATTTCCCTTTTTTTGAATTCTTGTTCATATAATAATATGATATGTTTATATCATAATTTATCATAAATGTGGCATTTTAAATCGGCAGTGATAGTATGGACGATGTAACAACTGATCTTAAAAAGCTATATTCAAAATGTATTGCTACTTGCAGCAGAATTCTATATAAAGGTACATGTATAAAATAAACAATAGGCATGCTAGAATAAAACATAAATATTTTCTATGTTTTGAGTGTTGAGTATCACTTTAAGAAGGCTATAAAGCCAAAAAACATTATAAGATATAATAACAGAAAACAAACTCCACTAGTATTTGTAACACATAAACAATTTTTAAGGAACATAAAAAACTGAATTTGCTGCAGGAACAAATGGAGTCATCATTTTGATATATTCATTGTTCTTTAGTCATTTTTGTGCACTCTTTATTATATACACATATACATAGAGAGAGACAGATTATCTCTATATATAATTTCTCTCTCTCTCTCTCTCTCTCTCCCTCTCCCTCTCTCTCTCTCTCTCGCTATATATATATATATATATATATATATATATATATATATATATATATCTTTTTTTTTTTAATACGGAGAAGTCTCACCCTGTCACCCAGACTGGAGTGCAGTGGTGCGATCTTGGCTCAGTGCAACCTCTGCCTCCTGGGTTTAAGCAATTCTCTTGCTTCAGACTCCGGAGTAGCTGGGATCATAGGAGCCCGCCACAATGTCCAGCTAATTTTTGTATTTTTAGTACAGACGGGGTTTTATCCTGTGGGGCAGGCTGGTTTCAAACTCCTGGCCTCAAATGATCCACCCACCTCGGTCTCCGAAAGTGCTGGGATTACAGGTGTGAGCGTCCGCGCCCGGCCCATTTTTGTGCTATATTTTGTTGCAGTTATTTTGAAGTCAGGGATGTTTTGGCAGGGCCACTGTTAACTTTTTTTGTTCCCCAGAAATTATTGACAATAATTTTCTAAAATATAAATGTCTTTATTAGAGGCTTTAAAGAAGAAAGTTATAAATATCTATAATCCAAGAATAACCATTTTAATAGATTTGTTTAGTATCTTTCCAGTTTCTCTTTTTCCTCTTTCTCTCCCTCACTCCTCTCCTTCCTTCCTTGCCTCTGTCCTTTCCCTCCTTCTTTCCTTCCTTTCTACCTTTTAAAACAAAGATGCAATCATAGAGTACAGGTTTTTGGGTTTCTTTTTTTTCACATAATATAATTTTAACACATTTAGAAGAAAGCTACATGTATTATTTTTTTCTTCTGAATATTTTTAAAATTGTATTGATCTACAGTATGTAACTAAATACCGTTCATGAGCATTAGGCTAATGCTGTCTTGTGCTACTATAAACAATTCAGCTGTGTATTTCCTTGCACATTTATCACTTACAATATATCTAATTATTTCCTTCAGTTAAATTTTCAGAAGTGACATTTGTAGGTCAATGTATCTGCACATTAAAAATTGTGGTACTTATTGCCAAATTGCCCTACAAAATGTTAGCTCTGGCACTGATGTATTATCATTTTTATTATCCTTTGTTATTTTTGTTATCAGTATTTTATTTGCCAACCTAATTTTTGAAAAAAAATCTCATTTAATTTGATTTGAATTTATTGGATTGCTAATGAAGTTCATTATTTCTCATTCATTTTAATGATTCTATTTTAAAGTGACTTCCTAATGATCTCCTGTACATTTTTATCCCACCTTCACCTGTCTTTCTCCCCCCTTTTTAAATTTTAACATTTTCCATTCACCTTGGAAGATTTCTTGCAATAATCTGCTGATATACTAAAATGATTTTCCCTATTTGCAATATATATTTTTATTATTTGTTTGTGATGTTATACAACAAAAATGGCTTATAGTATCAGCAATATAGAGCTATTGTATTAAATGTGTTTAACTTTGTAACATACTTTGAATGCATCTGGCACATACATGCTAAATTAGTAAATAAATGTGCAATAATTAGAAAATAATATGTACTGGATGATGAAATATAAACTGATATAGTTTGGATGTTTGTTCTCTCCACATCTCATGTTGAAATGTGACCTCCAATGTTGAAATTTCGCCTAGTAGGAGGTGTTTGGGTCCTGCGGATGGATCCCTCATGAATGGCTTGGTGTCCTTTTCATGGTAATGGGAGTTCTCACTCTGGAATTCATATGAGAACTGGTTATTTAAAAAGAGCCTGGGATCTCTTCATTATCTCTCTTGCTCCATCTCTTTCTAGCTCCCTCTCTTGCCCTGTGACACTCTGACTCCCCCTCACCTTCCACCATAATTGGAAGTTTCCTGAGGCCCTCACCAGAAGCAGATGCTGGCACTATGATTTGTGCACAGCCTGCAGTACCATGAGCCAATTACACCTCTTTTCTTTATAAATTACCTAGCCTAAGGTATTCCTCTATAGTAAAGCAAATTGGAGTAACACAAAAAGCAACAACAGCAATAGTAATCACTAGCTAGATGTTGAATGATTATTTTATATTTTACACTACATTAAACACTCTATACACATTATCTGATTGATAAGAATCCAATGAGAGGTGAACCATTATCTATATTTTCCAGCTAAGAAAACAAGCTTTTGACAGTTAAAGAAATTTAACTGGCAGGGCTGGGATTTAAACTTTTTCTTGTTGTTGTTTAATTCGGAGTCTTGCTCTGGGCTGCCCAGACTTGAGTGCAGTGGCACCATCTCGGCTCACTGCAGCCTCTGCCTCCTGGGTTCAAGGGATTCTCCTGCCTTAGCCTCCTGAGTAGTTGGGATGACAGGTGCATGCCACCATGCCTGGCTAATTTTTTGTGTTTTCAGTAGTAGTGGGGTTTCACCATGTTGGCCAGGCTGGTCTCAAACTCCTGACCTCAAGTGATCCCACCTGCCTCAGCCTCCCAAAGAGCTGGGATTACAGGCATGAGCCACTGCACCAGCCTCTCCTCTCTTTTGACCTCTCTTCACAGACAAATACATATAAATAACTACCTATATATTCTAAATAGGCAAAACTATATCATATATAGTATCCTAACTCAAAGAACCTTATATTTTATTACAGGAATCACAGGAAGAACTCAGGCTACACTTAGTGTTTTGTACAATTTTTCACTATAAAGAGGTGCCAAGTATCAAAGATTTATAAACTTAAATAAACTTCGTATTCATTTTTTAAGATGACAAATCTTGGGGAGATATTTATAGTTTGGGGATTATTTATAGGTTTCAGCTCCTATTTCTCACATTCTTTATTCCAATTCTGTAGAGCATGTCCTGCAGATTTTGCTTATTTTGTCACTAAAGGAAAAAGAAAGGTCACCCAAAGAATGAGACATAGTGTCCCAGACTCTAGACCTTAAAAAAACACAGGAGATAACCAAAGCCTCTTTAGAAATAACATTTCCTTTATCTTCTTATGTTTTTCCTATCTCCATCCATCAGCCTGCTTTCAAGTTCCCAGGAATTAAGCACCAGCAAATTAAATATTTTCACCCAATTTACAATCCTGCCATCAGAAGATGCTCTTAACAATACTGTTTTTTTCTCTGTGTATACAACTGCACTGAAAAAGACAGATGCAAAGTGTATAAAAAAGGAGACTTCAATGAATTGGATCACTGCCAAGTTGTTCAGGTTCTACAGAAATGTACCTTTCTGTGGTTGCCTTTAATTACTAATTTCTAGGTTAATTTAACTGCAAGCAGTAAGCTGCTAAAGAGATTAGTATAAGATCACATTTGAATTTAAATGTTAGAATTACATTTAAGTTTATCACTCCTATCATTGCTTTATTCCAAATCCTGCTGTGCTGCTTCAGGCCTTCCTTCTCCATTCATTCCAGAATCCAGCAAGGCTCAAACTAAGAGTTACAATATCAATGTCTTGTTAAACATCTTGGGCAATCACTAAGAATCTCATTGTAGTGGAAACATGCATGGCAGAGGACTGCCCTTTCTTACAATTTGTGGTGATCTAATAGTGGTGGAGCTGTCACCTCACTGTAATTTTATATTTCAAAGCTATTAGTGTTACCTGCACCTGTAATAAAAAAGACAAGAATTTATACTTATTTAAGGTTACATTTAAGTGTCTTGAGAAGGGTAATTGATTAGTGTGCTCATCAGAAACAGAATATCTATAGTTTTCTTAAATATCTTCTCTTCAGATGGTTGAGATGCTGCCAGAAAACACAGGAACAGTTATTGAGTATAGTATTAATTTTAGAGCAACCTCATACAGGAATGGTGATTTAGACATGGCTATTGGCAGAATTACCACTGAAATCTTCTATAAATATAATAGTAGAGAATAACTTTCAATATATAATTTCTGAAAATACAAATTACCTTTGGGAAAAGGTCCAAAGTGGAACTTCTGTATATGTTGTGCTTTTGCTGAGATATGGTAGCAATTCCAAAGAATCATGAGATGTGGCTTGTTAGTTACCTGTCTGCTCTTATTTTAGCAACTTCTAATTTTTACTCCTTTAATCCAAAAAATTCAGAGGCAAAACCTTATAATGTGTCATGTTCACAGTATACATATGCAAAAAATGAGACTTCCAATGGGAAAGAAACTGCAGGTCATTTCTGTTAACTTATTCATAAGTTGTTTATTTTACATAATTGTTGGACTTTTTATTTATTCACCAATTCTGGTTAAGAAGATATCATCTCACTTTGACATAGGTGGAAAATTTGGTAACGAAGCAGTCAATAAAAATTTTACAGGTAAAGTAAAAATTAACTTTTGTTATTTTTTCAACTGTTTTAATACCCTGTTTTTCCCTGCAGATTTGGAAAGAGACAGAGAACACTTCTGCAGAGATGTAGAAGTCAACATTATTTTGTCTTTGGCAAATAACAAACCTTGTCCTAAGGAAATCTTGTTTTTCTTAAAATCTCTTATTGCCATTTCTATACATTCTAGAAAGTTGTGCAGCCTGCTAACTAAGGAATTTGGGAAAATGGTTAACTTTGGCATATTATCATTTCAATAAATTCGGTGAAACTCTGTATTTTATACTTTGTCTCTTACAGGCACATATTTAGAATGAAAAGTAATGTTATTCTAACTACAAAGATCTCTATAATTGGCTGTAAAAATCTATATAAGTAAAGTGAGAAGACATGCCAGGAGAAGCTCCCTAGAAGAGGTGAATCTTGAGTTTGTTATTAACACACAAATAGTATTTCCATGAGAAGAGAAGAGAGTCTGCAGAGTTACTTGTAAAACAGCACTGCGGTAGTAATTTTTAGTTCCTCATTTGTCTTCATTTGGCCTTCATACCGACATCTAGAGGAGAAACTACCTTGTATTATTCACATTTCTTTTACATGTTTGTTTTTCTCTCCTAGTCCATAGAAAAAGAAGCTTGTAGGGAAGAAGGCATGTTTTATGCATGTTTAAAAGCAAATGAATGAATACATAAATAAATGATTGGATAAGTGTGCTTAGCTTGCTAAAGAGAGAAGAAAGGCACGTCATTTAAGGTGGTGACTTACATGAAACAAAGTTGGCATAGGAGGGTGTTGCAGATTAAGTTTTCCCGGAAGCAAACTGAGATGGAGTTTATTGAGAACTCCATTAGGTTCTCACTGAGAACTCCATTAGGTTCTCATGAGTCCATAAGGTGCTCACTAGGGGCAGCCCTTGGGATCAGCACCTGTGAAAGGGAGAAGACAAAGCAGGTGTAGGCAGAAGAAGTGGAGAATGCAACCCCGATCGTGGCCTCAGCCCACTCTGGAGAGCTCAGGAGCTGGAATGCCTTTTTAGAGTTACAGGTCAAGTTGGTCACAATTTTTGTGCCTGTAGTGATGAGTCATTGAATATGGAACACGCTGGGAAGGGGCATAACCTTGGGAAAATTGGCTCTACATGTGAGGCTATCTCTAAAGACTCTGGCAATTGAAAGATGTCTGCTATCAGCACTTCTTGCAGCTGGGGCAACAAGTCCTTTGATGGAGATCTGGGCAAGGCATTACAATGCTCATCAAAATGAGATGAAACCAGACTGCAAAGGCTTTTGCAAGTGAGAATGAAGGGTTTAAAGTAAATAATATTTTAAATGGTGATTATGTGTTCTTTTATAAAGCACAATAATACTGTAAAGTTCACTCCATTCACAGTGGAAAGATCAAAGTCAAGGGAACCAGTTTAGGAAGTCAATCGAGCGATCACGAGGCAAGGCCTTGACAAACTAGCAGCCATCAGGAATGACAATAAAGTGAACCTGGTGACTGAATTGATTGGGGGTTTGGGGAGGCCTGCCTACCAACTTCTGAGCCTGTCCTACATGCAAGATACTTTTGTTCTATGTTTTGCAATTAATAGTCTCAATAAGGTGGATATGATTTTAATTTTATTCTACAGAAAAATAGAAGATGCTTTGAGAGGTTAAATAAATTGCCCAAGTCTTTCAGCTAGCGATTGAGGGAGACTAGGTCTGTCTGACTGCAGATCATACATTTTACCACAATATCACATACTTCTTTGCCAAGTCCCAAGCCAGAGGATACACTTCATCTTTGAAGCCTAGGTGGAAGAGAGAATAGTATGAAACTGGTAGGACCAGAAAAAAAGTGAGAGGACAATAGGCTGATTTGTAATACTGGGGCATGAAAATTTCTAAAATGATACAAACATGTATCACGTTACCAAGTAAGAATCATAACAACATCAATTCTTACTATGCTCTGGCATTATGCTTTAAAAAACAGATGCTTTGGTCTTCATGTGAACTCTATAGGAAAGATAGCATTAGACTTCATTTTACAGATGAGAAAACTGGATTTAAGAGAATCAAATAAACTGCTTGAGGTCAAACAGCTAGTAAATGGTGGAGCTGGATCTTTAAGACATGACTATCTTCAAAGCCCTTGATCTTCATTACCACATACCACATTTTCTTGTTAAAAATTGCCATCTAATTAATTGAGAGTGTTTTGTTGGTAATATATATCAACCAATTGCTAATCCACATCTTCACTCTTTTAATATTCATCAATGACTTTGATAATTCAATTTTTAAATGTATGTCCAGCTACTTATCATTTTGTGAAATGGGCATCTTTAAGTTTATAAACAAATTCTTTATATATAATGTAGATTATGTTTAAATTGTTTATCTTCAGTCAGGTTGTGACCTGCTGCTGTATTAGTTTCCCAGGGTGACTGTAACACAAACTAGGTGGCTTAAAATAAGAGAAATTAAATTTCTTCTCATTTATGGAGAGTATGAGTCTGAAATCAAGATGTTTGCAGGGTTATGATCCCTCTGAAACATGTAGGGAAATCCTTCTTTGCCTCCTTCTGGATTCCGGTGGTTTGGTAGTAAACCATGATGTTCCTTGGTGGTAGACGTGTCACTCCAAAACTATCTTCACATGGCCTTCTCCCTGTGTCTCCATCTTCATATGGCCATCTTCTTATAAGGACACTAGTCATAGTGGTTTAGGAGTTCATCCTATTCCACCTTATCTTAACCAATTACATTTGCAACAAACCTACCTCCAAATGTGCTGATTTAAATATTTGTCCCCTCCAAAACTCATACTGAAAGTTAATATTCACTGTGGCAGTGTGGAGGGGTGGGGTCGTTAAGAGGTGATTGGGTCATGAGGGCTCTGCCTTCATGAGTTGATTAATCCATTCATGAATTAATGGATTAATTGGTTATCATGGGAGTGGGACTGGTGGCTTTGTAAGAAAGACCTGAGCTAGCATGCCCAGCCCCTTCACCATGTAATGCTCTACAGCACCTTAGGGCTTAGGAGAGAGTCCCCACCAGGAAGAAGGCTCTCACCAGGTCCAGCCCCTTAGCCTTGAACTTCTCAGCCTTCATAACTGTAAGAAATAAATTCTTTTTATTTGTAAACTACCCAGTTTCAGATATTTCGTTATAAGTAACAGAAAATGTACTGAGAACCAAATAAGGTTACATTTTGAAATACTGGAAAGTAGAACTTCAACGTATCTTTCTTCAGGGCACATAATTCAACCCATAACAACTGTACACATAAAAATCAACCTTTGTGGCCAAAGTCACTTCATGTTTGTTGCCATGTCTATTTAAAAAAAAGGAGACAAAGCTTTGCTAAAAGCTAGGCAAATTCCATGTACAGCATTCTCTTCAGTACTTAATCTATCTGAAAATACTGGATTTGAGTAGAAAGCAAATTATTCCTAATGGGACAGAATCTAACACCATGTCTCTTTTACATATGAAATTTGAACTTATATCATTGGGCATTCTTCGGTGGGAAGCAAATAGCTAAATACATTTACTCAAATTTCTTATGATTTTTTAAATTTCTGGTGTATTGCATTTTCCTTTTCTCATTTAGATAAGTTTCCCTAGAACACAGAGTCAAAGCTGGTAGGAGAGACTTGGGGAATTTGTTTTTCCTAATGTGCTTTATTATCATTATATTTTTATTACCTATATTGTAGATGAGATAGACTGAAGAGGCATTTCCAGACTAATTTTTCTTTCAGCTTATGTAATTTGGATTACTCTCCTTTCATATGAATCTAGTTGTAAGAATTTCTTAGATGCAGATATCAAAGAATTTTAATATTTAACTTGCCCCCAGGAACATGATGGCCAAGGTTTTATGTTTATTAAATTGGTCTGAAGGCAGGCAGCCCTTGAGTCAGATATGATACATGATCTGTATTTGGATATCATTAAAGCATGTACAAATTATGCAATTGCTTCATATGTCCATAACATGGGAATAAGACCCCTTAATTACCAAAAACAATGATGCTTTTCCAGCTTTTGGCTTTATTGACCTTTCTGCATATTTTATTACTTCTTTCCTCCTCTAGATTTTTTTTTCTGCTTCTACAACACAAGCCACTTGTGCTCGATATTATACTTAGCCTCCTCTGATGAATTTTCTGCTATCTACTTCCATGCTTTTGTATTTAATCAAAGATGTTATTCCTTTTGCCCTTGTCATAAATGTTTGCACTGCAAAATCAGTACATAGTTATATACCAGTGCTGCCCAAATCTATTTTCCTAACTCTAACATCGATGAAACTTTGACCTCAGTTGCCTCTTGGACAGATGCTGCATGCTTGTGGGAATTTTTGAATATAAAATGCACCAAATTCATTGTCCTTTTCACTGAAGTGCTTTTATAGTGAAGCAGATTTTACTTTTTCCTCAATTAACACCTTCTTCCATGTAATTTTACAATTTCCCCCACAAAACAATGCATGTACATCCCTGTCCTTAGATTTTGAGCTTGAACAATGGGATTACTTGCTTTGTGCAATGGGATTGGCCAATGGGATGTTAAAAGCAAAGGCTTTTTCAACATGTAGGGACTGAAGTATGCTCATTTGGTTAGACACATTGTCTTGTACCTTTGCTGTTGCCATAAAAATACCATGCCTTGGCTAGCTTGCGGGTCCAAGGACATTGTGAGACTCATTTAGCAGAGCTACTTGGCCAATCCACAGACCTTTGTTTAAAGTAGAGCTACACGGGTGAGCCCCAAAAAACTCCATAGATCCACTGACACCTGAGTGAATCCAACTGACAAAAGACAAGGTACTCCCGACAATAACTAAGATGCTTGAGAGATTAATTATTGTTTTGGTATGCCATTGATTTTTGTGGTTGTTATACAACAAAAGTTGTCTGCTACAAATATTGGTGCTTGAAGTGGAGTGCTGAGAAATAAAAAAACTAAAATATGTGTCATTAATTTTAGGGCTGGATGGTGAGTAATAAGGAAGCTGATTTAAGAAGCTTAGAAAATGGTAGACTGCAAAATTGTAGTCATAAGATATTCGTAAAAGCTGTCAGGTGTGATCATCTGGAAGATTGACATAAAGTTTAATTAATTTGTAAACTTAGGCAAGGTGGATTCCAGGCAGAGTACAGAAAGAGTGATCTAATTCCATTTAGTTGGATTGAATTAGGTGCTAGAAGGGAGAGATCAGAAAAGAACTATCCAGTTGCAGTAATAAAGAGAATGGAAAAAAAAATTGAGAGATCCTAAAATGTGCTGTTTGCAAAACTCCTTTTAAAATCCGTCAGCTCTCTAATCTTGCCAGACAGTAAAATAGCATTAAATTAAAATACAGCCTTGGGGCAAGATAAAATCAGGGTCTTTAAAATGTAGCTTAGAGACATAGACAAAATCAAGGAGTAGGTTTCCTGTGCTTTGTTAAGATGTTTGAAAGAATTTAGGTGGCCAGTACTACATCTTCTCAGAAAAATAAAGCTAGGAAAAATAGGCACAAGGAAGCTTGGTCCCTTAGAATTTTGATGGGCCAATAGCACTTAAAACACCAAAAGATTTGTGGAGTTCATAAATAGAGTCGATGGGAATAGAATACATAATAAGACTCACCACTTTGTCACTTTTGTAAATGTAGTTTACTGTAATCTCTCACATAGAACCCTCAGGGATGTTGGGACAACTAGCTAGACCACTACCAGCCAGGGCTAAAATGTAGACAAACTCATGGGCAATAGTGAATGTCTGGGCAGATTGGTCATGGACCTGGAGGATAAAGTTTGGAAGATTAGGACAAGGAGGCCTGTGAAAGAGGCATGTGGATGGTCACATGGGAGTGGGCATATAGTATGAAGATTTTTGTGTGTCTCATTTATATGTCCCAAAATAGATCCATCTTTAAAGAAGCACTTAACAACACATCAGATAGAATTACACATCCAACTGATATCAGCCAACTCCGTTATTGGCCAGTCATTACTGGCAAATTAAACAAATGAATGTGGTAGCCTTGGTGACAGGGATGGTAGCTATACATAGACACAACAGTATGGGCTCCCTGCACGAAGACTCCCACTCACCACTGTTGAATATCGCACCTGCCAGCAACAGACATCAGTAGTGAACCCTGGACATGGCAGCATACACTGAGGAGGCCAATGTGATGGCAACCGACTCTTGAATCCCTTCCATTCTGGAAGCAATTCCTCTTGATTGAAATTGACACATATTCCAAGGACACATTTTCCTTTGCTGCCCACAGAGCCTCAGCCAGCAACACTTTTGATGATCTACAGAGAATTTGAACCACTGACACCGAGTTCTGCACAATATCACATTAAACTAAAAGAACTACTTCACAGCAGAGAAGGTATAACAATGGACAGAAGACTATGGGATCTATTGGTGTATCACATATGACAGCATCCAGAAACTGCCAGCTTGATAAAAACAGTCGAATGGTCTTTTTTTTTTTTGAGATGGAGTTTCACTCTTGTCACCCAGGCTGGAGTGCAGTGGCACCATCTCAGCTCACTGCAACCTCTGCCTCCTGGATTCAAGCGATTCTCCAGCCTCAGCCTGCCGAGTAGCTGAGATTACAGGCACCCGCCACCATGCATAGCTAATTTTTGTATTCTTTAGTAGAGACGGGGTTTCACCATGTTGGTCAGGTTGGTCTCGAACTCCTGACCTCATGTGATCTGCCCACCTTGGCCTCCCAAAGTGCTGGGATTACAGGTGTGAGCCACACCATGCCTGGCCATGAATGGTCTTTTAAATGTGCTACTGAGGCACTAGTTTGAGGTAATACCCCATGAGGAAATAATTCTATCCTTCAGGAGAAAGTATTTACAGTAAATATTAATAAATAAACAGTGGTAGACCACCTAAGTCCAGGAACCAAGTGGTAGAAGTAGTATCAATAATCTTTAAAGAATTTGTATAAATTCATTTTTAAAAATCGAAAACCCCTCTGAAAAAGCAGGAATGGTTTTACTTCTAAAATTCAGTAAAACCAAATTTTACTTTTCATAGTTGGTAGGATGACTCTAAAATGGCTCCGGAGGATCCCTGTCTACTGGCCATCATGCTTTTCTGTGATAACTTTCCTCTTGTATATTGGTTGGACTTACTGACTTACTTCTTATAAATAGAATATGGCAAAAATTATAGGACACCACTTCCAAGATTAAATTTAAGAAGATAGTGACTTGTTCCTATTTATACTCTCTTGTCCTTTTCCGTGGTTTCTCTGAAGAAAGCCAGCTGTCATATTGTAAGCTCCAATATGAAGAGACCCACATGGGAAGGCGCAAGATAGAGGAGACCTCCAGGAAAAAGTCTGTGAGACGCTGAATCCTGCCAAAATCCCTTTTGTGGATTTATCCCAAGTCACGCCTTAAAATGAAACTATAGTACCAGCCTTGTGAGAGGCCCAGAGCCACAGGACCCAGACAAGCCACGGCTAGATTCCTGACCGATAGAAATTGTGAGTCAAAAACCATTTTTTTAAACCGCTAAGCACTGAAATAATTTTATGCAAAAATAAAATACATGTATATAGAAATTATCTTTTTGCTTTTTATATATTTTTAAAATTTTAAGTTTTTAAGTGACACAAACTTTAGCCAAACTCTACAGGTTCCAATGATAACTTGATTCCCATACACTTTGTCTTCTTCAGACTTTGACAAGTTTGGCTCTCCAGTTTCCACAGGAGAACTGGGTTTTGACTGAGAACTGGATTGCTTGGTTCATCCTCTCTATCCCTTGATTCTGACCATGCTGAAAAGTGCCCTGATTAATTTTATGTGAATAAGATAACCATGAGTACTATGAAGAGAATTATTGTGACATCAGTCTTCTAAATTTTTACTCTTTGTGATATTTTGTGTGCCTCTTCCAGATTTTTCACATGGCATCTATGTGAAAAATTCAGTCTAGATATATTCAAAATATTTTATTGATTTTATTCCCCTTGGAATCATTAATCCCACAGGAAGTGAGACCTGTTCATCTAAGTTGCTGAGAATATGAAGACTAAGATAAAGCACTCCTGTTTTTCAGAGTCACTACAATTAAGAAATCTGTTTTATAATCTGTATAACTCTAAGGTGTATAATATTCAGCCTAATTATCAAATGTACTCAAATGCTCATGAGTTTTTGCCTTGTTTAGGTTTTGCATGCCCATGGGGAAGATATTTTAATAGGCAACGTGACTTTTATGACACTCTGTTTTCTGATTTTCTTCCCACCTCTCACATTTTTCTTTCTCAAGGCTCCATCTAGTTGTATATTATATTATACTTAGATATTACATTCAATTCTATCCTTAGTTTCCTCTAAACACATGGTCTGGGTAATCAATGGACAGTTCAACATTAGCTGTCTAGTTGGTACAGTTTCCAGGAGCCTTCATTCAGTCTTGGTTCTTAAGACTTATGGCCTATACAGGATATGGTAAAGCTAAGTGAAAAGACTGGACACTTTGCACAAGAGACTGTGACCTCTTGGGTAACTGTACCCAAAAGAAAGAGTTTCATGACATCATCTTTCATATTTCTGGATATTCTGATAATGCTGAGCTTTTAGTTTGCCACTAACCAGAGGTATTACCCATTTTTTTTTCATCTCCATCTTAGTAATATTTCCCACTTTTCTGATGGTGTAGGAGGCTGAGAGTCAAGCAAGGGCAGGAAAACAAGAAATAGATGAAAACAAATGGTTTGCATCAGAAAACCAACAGATTAGAAATGTAGGTTTGGAAGGTGGAGAGAGCTTGGAG
Source organism: Homo sapiens (assembly GCF_000001405.40). Taxonomy (NCBI): domain Eukaryota; kingdom Metazoa; phylum Chordata; class Mammalia; order Primates; family Hominidae; genus Homo; species Homo sapiens. Next base: position 30,790,786 of record NC_000018.10, on the reverse strand, counting down.
AGAGTATTAGATGCAACAGGACTTGGATACGCCTTTCACAGGGCACTTATCAAGGACATTTGGGTAGAAAAGCAGTCCCTAAGGTGCCAGTCTGGAAAGTTCACTTTTAGCCATGACTTATATTCCTGCCCATTATTTGTATTTAGTTTATCCACAAAACCATATATAACATACTACTGGACCCATTCATACTAATGTTCCACAAATAAGAAATTCATGTACTTTTCCAAAGTCCACACATGTCCCAAACTACCTTATTCTTCCAAAATCTCTTCCGTTTCTTTGGCCCCCCTACTTCAGTGAAAGAAACCAGCCAGAAACCTGCGGACCAACCTCTTCTTTCACATCTCTATTTCTATATTTCTATAGAGTCTCATATTTTTACTGACTATTTCAATAATCTCCAACATGGTACACTAGTCACAATTTATTCCTTGCTGTTATGCTTACAGGATCATCTTTCCAAAGTCAGAAAGGAACTTGTCCTTTTCTTGCATTATATTTCTAAGTCACTCTCCACTACTTTCTGATAAAATGCATGTTCTTCCTATCTCTCCAACTTCACTAATGCAGTTTTTTTCTTGTTCCAGTCAACATGATACACTTAGGGTTTTTTGAATGTGTCATTTGGATACACATCCCGTGCTTTTGAATATGCTGTTTTTCACTGCATGGAATACTCTATCCTTGCTGTTAGCCTGCCAAGTTCATGTTTATCCTTCAATATCCAGCTCAAATTTCTTCTGTCCCCTCTGAAACCTTGATCACTATCTTTATGTGGTACCACTCTTACAGCACACTTTTGATAGCATGTACAATGCTTTATTTCAATCATTTGTTTAGATAGTATCTACCCTAGTGGGAATACAATTCTTGAGGGAAGGAATGTATCACAATTACCTTTCTATTGCCAGTGCCAAACATAGTACCTAACACCTGGTCAAGGCCTAATATGTTGGTTGAATAAGTAGATGGATTAATAGATGGATGGATGGATAAATGAAACTAATTATTTAAAAACAAAAACCATGTTATTTTTAACTATAGGTAATAAAAAAGGAACATGTGTTATCACTCTGTGTCTGGAATTGGTGGGTTCTTGGTCTCACTGACTTCAGGAATGAAGCCGCGGACCCTCACGGTAAGTGTTACAGCTCTTAAGCTGGCGCGTCTGGAGTGTGTCCCTTCTGATGTTCAGATGTATTCGGAGTTTCTTCCTTCTGGTGGGTTCGTGGTCTCACTGGCTCAGGAATGAAGCTGCAGACCTTTGTGGTGAGTGTTACAGCTCATAAAAGCAGCGTGGACCCAACGAGTGAGTAGTAGCAAGATTTATTGCAAAGAGCGAAAGAACAAAGCTTCCACAGTGTGGAAGGGGACCCGAGCAGGTTGCCAATGCTGGCTCTGGCAGCCTGCTTTTATTCTCTTATCTGGCCCCACCCACATCCTGCTGATTGGTAGAGCTGAGTGGCCTGTTTTTTCAGGGCGCTGATTGGTGCGTTTACAATCCCTGTGCTAGATACAAAGGTTCTCCACGTCCCCATCAGATTAGTTAGATACAGAGTTTGGACACACAGGTTCTCCAAGGCCCCACCAGAGCAGCTAGATACAGAGTGTTGATTGGTGCACTCACAAACCTTGAGCTAAACACAGGGTGCTGATTGGTGTGTTTACAAACCTTGAGCTAGATACAGAGTGCCGATTGGTGTATTTACAATCCCTGAGCTAGACATAAAGGTTCTCCAAGGCCCCACCAGAGCAGCTAGATACAGAGTGTTGATTGGTGCACTCACAAACCTTGAGCTAAACACAGGGTGCTGATTGGTGTATTTACAATCCCTGAGCTAGACATAAAGACTCTCCACGTCCCCACCAGACTCAAGAGCCCAGCTGGCTTCACCCAGTGAATCCCACACCAGGGCTGCAGGTGGAGCTGCCTGCCAGTCCCAGTGCTGTGTGCCCGCACTCCTCAGCCCTTGGGTGGTCGATGGGACTGGGTGCCATGGAGCAAGGGGCAGCGCTCATCGGAGAGGCTGGGGCTGCACAGGAACACACAGAGTGGGTGGGAGGCTCAGGCATGGTGGGCTGCAGGTCCGGAGCCCTGCCCCACCAGAAGGCAGCTAAGGCTCGGTGAGAAATCGAGCGCAGCGCCGGTGGGCTGGCACTGCTGGGGGACCCAATACACCCTCCACAGCTGCTGGCCCGGGTGCTAAGTCCCTCATTACCCGGGGCCAGCAGGTCTGGCCGACTGCTCCGAGTGCGGGGCCCACCAAGCCCATGCCCAACCGGAACTCCAGCTGGCCCGCAAGCACCGCACGCAGCCCTGGTTCCCGCTGGCGCCTCTCCCTCCACACCTCCCTGCAAGCTGAGGGAGTGGGCTCCAGCCTTGGCCAGCCCAGAAAGGGGCTCCCACAGTGCAGTGGTGGGCTGAAGGGCTCCTCAAGTGCCGCCAAAGTGGGAGCCCAGGCAGAGGAGGTGGGGAGAGCAAGCGAGGGCTCTGAGGACTGCCAGCACGCTGTCATCTCTCAACTCTTTCCCCAAATCAAATATTTTCTGTCATGTACAAAATGTAGTTTCTGTTTCCATTGCTTATTATAGATGCTTCTCATCCCAAAATAGGAGAATTGCCATTTAGCAGAGCACTCTGAAAATTGTCATTTTGTTGACATAGAATCTGAGGTGCTTTGAAAAGTAGAAGAGTCTGCTGTGTCCATTTTGACATGTAGATGCTCCGAGTCTGCCTATTTTCAGGGTCTATACTTACTCTTATTCAACAAATATTTATTGAGCTTCTACTGCCTTTCTGATAGTGATTGAGGATGAGATCAATTTAACTTATTTGAGCTCCATGGATCAGGAATTGGGTCATGAGCCAACCAGATGGGTAATCCACAATTTTGGATTTCTTAAAACACCTTGCCATCCAAGTATTCCCAGAAAAAAAAATGTTGTAGAAGAAAAAGGAAAAATATCATAGTTCTGCAATAGAAATAAAAAAGTATACTCCCTGATTGTTTTGCCAAATTTGATTCAACTCTTACAAACATTATTAGTATGTTTTTGCATAGATTTGCATGTCAATAATTAAGAATCAAGGTTATTTTTGCCCCATCATGTTTCAAAGTGCCCTGGAATTATGTGTAGCTTGACTTCTAAGAAAAGAGAAAGCCCCTTATTGAGCCCCAACAATGCTTTGCATTGTGATGTACATTGTCTCCAGCTACATCCTCTGTCACAGATGCAGATCAAATAAGATGTTTATTTCATACATTAAACTCCTGCTGTGGCTTATTTAGAAAGACAAATAGGATTGTAAAAGATACCTTCTTATTTAAGATGTTTCTACCATTTTGGAAATATTCTAATAATTTTGTTCCATTCATAACATCATTAATTATATAACCAGTTGTTTTCATCATATTTTTCCTATATTTACAATGTAGTCAGAAGGTTTTAAAAATTATTAAAACAAACATAATTTAAACTTATTTCTGTCTGAGATGGAACTGAAGTAAATAATAAATTGCTCTTTCTTCACCATAAATTCTTGACTAATCTCATACCTTCATTAAAATTGAAGATTTTAACAGAGTAACTAGACAACCTACAGAATAAGAGAATATATTTGCAAGCTATGCATCCAGCAAAGGTCTACTATACAGAATATATAAGAAACTTGGACAATTCAACAAGCAGAAACCAAATAGCCACATTAAAAAGTAGGCCAAAGACATGTACAGACACTTCTCAAAAGAAGACATCCAAGTCGCCAATAAACATGAAGAGAAGCTTAACATCAGGAATCATCAGAGAAATGCAAATCAAAACCACAAGGAGATATCATCTCACACCAGTCATAATGGCTATTACTAAAAGTCAAAAAACAACAGATGCTGTTGAGGCTGTGGAGAAGAGGGAATGCTTATACACTGTTGGTGGGAATGTAAATTAGTTTGGCTCCTGTGGAAAGCAGTCTGGAGATTTCTCAAAGAACTTAAACTACCATTTGACCCAGCAATTTCATTACTGAGTATATACCCCCCAAAAAATTTCACTATCAAAAAGAAACATGCACTTGTATGTTCATCACAGCCCTATTCCCAATAGTAAAGATGTGGAATCAACCTAGGTACCCATCAACAGTGGATTGGATAAAGAAAATGTTGAACATGTACGCCATGGAATACTACACAGGCATAAAAAGGAATGAAGTCATGTCCTTTGCAGCAACATAGATGCAGTGGGAGGCCTTATTCTAAATGAATTAATGCAGGAACAGAAAACCAAATATGCATGTTCTCACTTATAAGTGGGAGCTAAACATTGAGTAGTCATGGACATAAATATAGCAACGGTAGACTCTGGGGACTGCTGGGGGGCAGGAAGGGAGTGGGGAAAGTGTTGAAAAACTACTGAGTACTATGTTCACTACCTGGGTGACAGGATCAATTATACCCCAAATCTCAGCATCACACAACATACCCAGGTAAAAAGCCTGCGCATGTACCCCCTGAATCTAAATAAATGTTTAAGGTTTATTTCAAAAGTAGCATCTCTAGGACCCCCAATATAGTATCTTAAACAAAATACAAATCTGTTTCCCTCTCATGTAAAAGCAATCTGCAGGTGGGCAGCTCAGGATTAATATAGCATGCAGAATTTTTGGGACCCATGGATTTTATGGCTCTCATGTCTGCCATTTCTAGGATGTGGACCCTGACTTCCTAGTCTAATACGGCTAAGAGTCCAGCCATCTCTTCTGCATCCTACGCATTTCAAGGATTAGGAAAAGGCAAAGAAGAAGGGGTCAGAAGCCAGCAGAGCTGCCTTCTAAGAGGGCCTCATGGAAGCAGTCTCACACTTTCCACTTATATCTCAGTGGCAGAACATAGTCACATGGGCACAACCAGCTCCAGTGAAAATGAGGAGTAGACTTTTTTCTTCTAGACAGCCAAGTCTCTAGGAGCTATCTCCAAGCCCGTGAAAATGAGTGAGTATTGATGAAACTACTTAGGGAGCTCTATAAGTCTTTGACAATTTAGAGCCTTCAGCTTCCATATATATCTTAAAATATTGCCAAACAATGACAAAATTAAGGGGGAGCTTAACAATGACAAAGTTAAGGGGAAGCTTCTCTTTGTAACCATATCCCACTGAACAGATGAATAAACAACAGAACAGAATATTAACATCTTGCAACCCCTCTTAAAATAACAAATATAGGCATGAAACACAAGGTTTGCTAAAATCACAAAATAAAAGACAATCAAACATTGTGTGCTTCTTGATGGAAGAACACCCCACATGTATAATTTTCTTTTTAGAAAATCAAACCAAATCTGATGAAGCCTATTGATCCAACTTCCAATTTACAAAAAAAACACCAAAGACAGAGAAAAATATTAAGCATCATCCTATAAGGACATGATTAGCAAAACCCAAAGTAGGAACACCAAAGGATAAAAGAACTAGTTTCTTCCACAAGTGTTGAAGGACAAAAAAATGGATGAGAACTCTAGTGATGAAACATACTTTAAAGAAAGAACAGTCAATCACCATGTATGAAGTTATTTTAGCTCCTGATTCAAACCAACAAGTATAAAACAAGACCATGTAGATGTGGATTGACCCAACATAACTTTTGTGAGATAACTGGAAAGAAAAATAAAAAATAAAAAAATAAAATTGAAGGTTTTATTTTTAAATATTAACTGAGTTTGATAGCACAAAAGTGATACAAATTCAAGAATGGTAAGCCTATAGCAATGATCTAAACTTGCAGTAATCCTCTCTGCTCTCTAAGTATTAAACTAAAAACATGCTCCTTCATTTCTCTCATGTGCTGGAAGACAGATGGGGAAGAAGCTTCTTCAAAATCTCTCCTGCAGTCTTGATGCTCTAGGGTAGCATTGCTGTTCCTGAGCCTCTAGTTTCATAGCCATCAGATATGATATTTCTCTAAATACCTCAGAGACATACAGCAAAGTAACTGAAGGGATGCTCAGTTCTGTCTCACTCTGTGAGATTTCCTGGGAGGTCTTGTACTGACCTCTAAGGAAATCCATTCAACTTGAAAGCAGAACTTCTGTCTACCACTTAATGGAAAGAATGCACCTTCAATCTTTCGCCCCATGGAATCTTTGCCTCTATGGATTTATTATTTCCTGCTTTCCAAATTGATTCTGGACACAAGACAAAATCATAAAATTTCATTTTATCCTAAATGGAAATTTCTGGCATGTAATAAGAAATACTACAATAGCAAATATTAAAAATTGAGCAAAGTAGAAATCTTACAAAATGAAATACATATGAGGTTTTCAGGTGAGCACTATTTCTATGCTAATAAAGCTCAATAAATATTTGTTAAAATAATTAATTATTTTCTCTCTTTATTTCTTTTTTAAATTTTAGAAAGTTTAGCCTGTACAGTTCAATAGCTAAGGCTTTGAATTTTTCACAGTTACTAACTTGGAAGGCTTGAAAATGAGACCAGGTGGTTGAATCCAAGGCCTTACATTTGGGGTATTGGATTCCCCCAGGATAACAGTCTGTCAAGAAAACCTTTATGTGACACACAGCCCACATTCTTCTCCCAGGAATGGCATGGAGTGAGGCTCTGGAGGCTTTCTGCAGGAGCTACTCTAATGTCCTATGTGGATGAACAAACAATAGTGAAATTGCGAATGCACCATTTTCATGTCCTTTATATTGAGATGGAGTCATTACCTTTGAGAGATTTCTTCTGGTTTTATTTTGTTGGAGAGATAAAGATCAGAGATACTTCTTTACTTCAGTTTAGGGTATCAGAGCAGTGAGGAATTATGGTTCTGGCAAGCAAAATCTTTCCATCTGAGGATTTTTCCAATTTAATAAGATTCATTTATCCTTTACTTCATTAAGGTTATATTGAAGACAAAACATTGAATTTTGTCTCCATTATCTGCCTTCGCACATATGCTTTGAAACCTCCTCAAATCCTTAACATTCCTGTTTCTGTTTTAGGACAATTGTTTTTCTTCTCTAATCTCTCTAGCATTTTTACTCATTTTACCTCTATTTACTGTGTTAGTCTGTTTTCATGCTGCTGATAAAGACACACCCAAGACTGGGCAATTTACAAAAGAAAGGGGTTTAATGGATGTACAGTTCCACGTGGCTGGGGAGGCCTCATAATCCTGGTGGAAGGAGAAAGTTATGTCTCACATGGAGGCAAACAAAAGAAGAGATCTTGTGCAGGTAAATTCTTGTTTTTAAAGCCATCAGATCTTGTGAGACTCATTCAGTATCATGAGAACAGTGCAGGAAAGATCCACCCCCATAATTCACTGACCTCCCACTGAGTTCCTCCCACGACATGTAGAAGTGTGGGAGTTACAATTCAAGATGAGATTTGGGTGGGGACACAGCCAAACCATATCATTCTACTCCTGGCCCCTCCCAAATCTCATATCCTCACATTTCAAAACAAATCATGCCTTCCCAGCAGTTCCCTAAAGTCTTAATTCATTTCAGCATTAACTCAAAAGTCCACAGTCAAGTCTCATCTGAAACTAGGCAAGTCCCTTCCAGCTATGAACCTGGAAAATCAAAAGCAAGTTAGTTACTTCCTAGACACAATGGAGGTACAGACATTGGGTAAATATAGTCATTCCAAATGGGAGACATTGGCCAAAATGAAGGGGCTACAGGCTCCATGCAAATCTGAAATCTGGGGGAGGGGGGCGGTAATCAAATTCTAAAGCTCTAAAATGATCTCCTTTAACTCTATGTCTCACATCTAGGTCACATTGATGCAAGAGATGGGTTCCCATGGTCTTGGGCAGCTCCGCCCCTGTGGCTTTGCAGGGTATGGCACACCTTGTGACTGCTCTCAAGGGCTGGCATTGAGTGTCTGCGGCTTTTCCAGGTGCACAGTGCAAGCTGCAGGTGGATCTACCATTCCAGGGTCTGGAGGATGGTGGCCTTCTTCTCACAGCTCCACTAGGCAGTGCCTCAGTAGTGACTCTATGTGGGAGCACCAACCCACATTTCCTTTCTGAACTGCCCTAGCAGAGGTTCTCCATGAGGTCCCTGTTCCTGCAGCAAACTTTTTCCTGGCCACCCAAGCATTTCCTTCTATCTTCTGAAAGCTAGGCAGAGGTTTCCAAACCATAATTCTTGACTTCTGTGCACCCACAGGCTCAATACCACATGGAAGCTACCAGGGCTTGGGCTTGTACCTTCTGAAGCCATGGCCAAGCTGTACCTTGGTCCCTTTTAGTCACAGCTGCAGTGGCTAGGACTCAGGGCACTAAGTTCCTAGACTACACACAGCACAGGGACCCTGGGCCCAGCTCACAAAACCATTTAGTTTTTTAGGCCTCTTAAAAAGGAAAAGGGCTGTGATAGGAGGGGCTGCCATGAAGAACTCTGACATGCCCTGGAGACATTTTCAACATTGTCTTAAAGATTAACATTTGGCTCCTCGTTACTTATTCAAATTTCTGCAGCAGGCTTCAATTTCTCCTCAGAAAATGGAATTTTCTTTTCTATTGCATTGTCAGGCTGCAAATTTTCCAAACTTTTATGCTCTGCTTCCCTTATAAACTGAATGCCTTTAACAAAACTTAAATCATCTCTTGAATTCTTTGCTGCTTAGAAATTTCTTCTGCCAGATATGCTAAATTATCTCTCTCAAGTTCAATGTTCCACAGATCTCTAGGGCAGGGGCAAAATGCTGCCACTCTCTTTGCTAAAACATAACAATAGTCACATTTTCTCCAGTTCCCAACAAGTTCTTCATCTCTACCTGAGGCTACTTCAGCTTGGATTTCATTGTCCATATTATTATCAGCATTTTGGTCAAAGCCATTCAACCAGTCTCTAGGGAGTTCTAAGCTTTCTGACATTTTCTTTTCTTCTTCTGAGCCCTCCAAAGTGTTCCACCCTTATCCAGTTCCAAAGTCAGTTCCATAGTTTCAGGTATTTTTCCGCTGGCACCCCACTCCTGGTACCACTTTACTGTATTAGTCCCTTTCGCACTGCTGATAAAGACATACCCAAGACTGGGCAATTTACAAAAGAAAGGTTTAATGAGTTTACAGTTCTATGTGGCTGAGGAGGCCTCACAATCATGGTGATAGATGAAAGTCATGTCTCACATGGCAGCAAACAAGAGAAGAGAGCTCATGCAGGCAAACTCTTGTTTTTAAAGCCATCGGATCTCATGAGACCCATTCACTATCATGAGAACAGTGTAGGAAGGCCCACCCCCATAATTCAATCACCTCCCACCATGTTGTTCCCATGACAGGTGTGAATTGTGAGAGTTACAATTCAAGATGAGATTTTGGTGGGGACACAGCCAAATCATATCAATTTCCAACAACTTTTTTAATCCAAAGTATTAATTATGTAATACTTACCTTCTGAAAGCTAGAGTAGACAATTAAAAAGCTGTGGATTCAGGGTTGTTTAGTGTAGTTCAAAAACCATGCTGGCTCCATCCAAATTCCCTAGCAGAGTTGATATATGTATGCCCAGAATACCCATGTCCTCAGCCTGTGGCTAAGCTCAAAATAGTCTATCTATCATGAGTTTAATACAAAACCTAGAATTTGACTTAGCCTACTCAGGCAGTTACATTATGAAATGTCAGTTTCACAAACAGGCAAAGTGCACACTTACCACAGAGCCCTAGAGTACTGAGGGGTAGAAAAAAATTTGTTTTAATCATATATTATTATAGAAGTGTCACTTTGATGAACCATAGCAAATGCTTATCTCCTCACTTTATTGAATAGCTAGAAAATAAAAATTTGGGACTTTCCCTTCTTGTGAACTACATTAGATTTCCAAGCATTTTATGCAGAATTCCAACTCAGCTCTTAAAATATCAGTAACTGTCACTTTTCTGCAGAAACTATGCTCTGACCATAGTTACTTGTGTTTTCACATTTTGTCGGCATTGCTATGCCCTCTGATATTTATGATGCTTTCCCCTGCTCTTTCTTCATCCACATAAGGTCTTACTTTCTCCATGAATCCTTCTAGATGGCAGAACCTCTTCTTGTTATCACCTATCTAGATTTTAACATCTAAAGTGTTGTGTGTATTCTATAACTATGTGTTTATGTCAGCAATCTTGAAAGACTAAGATTTGCTTTTATTTTTGTTAAAAAAAGGCCTTCCCTGAAATGAAATCTCCACCTATGCATAATTGTGTTGTGGACTTAATTATCTTTTTTTTTCCTTAGGAAAAGTGTCATTTAAGTCAATTTTCTACCACCTTAAACAAAACTTCTACTTCACTCTACCATCTTAAACAAAACTTCTGAAGTTACTTTGATAAGTAAAAAACCCTCAAAATTCTACATTTTGAAAAAAAATGGAGTGTATAAACCTGAAGCTATTAAATATTAAAGTTATTTCTATTTTAGGAAAACAGATTCTTTCACTAAAAGGCTCTGACTCAATTTTAAAGGTGCCATATATTAAAGCGTTTAATATTTTAAATGATGTCAGAAAGATAATGTAAACAAACAACCCCATCAAAAAGTGGGCGAAGGATATGAACAGACACTTCGCAAACGAAGACATTTATGCAGCCAACAGACACACGAAAAAATGCTCATCATCACCGGCCATCAGAGAAATGCAAATCAAAACCACAATGAGATACCATCTCACACCAGTTAGAATGGTGATCATTAAAAAGTTAGGAAACAACAGGTGCTGGAGAGGATGTGGAGAAATAGGAACACTTTTACACTGTTGGTGGGACTGTAAACTAGTTTAACCATTGTGGAAGACAGTGTGGCGATTCCTCAAGGATCTAGAACTAGAAATACCATTTGACCCAGCCATCCCATTACTGGGTATATACCCAAAGGATTATAAATCATGCTGCTATAAAGACACATGCACACGTATGTTTATTGTGGCACTATTCACAATAGCAAAGACTTGGAACCAGCCCAAATATCCATCAATGATAGACTGGATTAAGAAAATGTGGCACATATACACCATGGAATACTATGCAGCCATAAAAAAGGATGAGTTCATGTCCTTTGCAGGGACATGGATGAAGCTGGAAACCCTCATTCTCAGCAAACTATCACAAGGACACAAAACCAAACACCGCATGTTCTCACTCATAGGTGGGAATTGAACAATGAGAACACTTGGACACAGGAAGGGGAGCATCACACACTGGGGCCCGTCATGGGGTCGGGGGAGAGGGGAAGGACAGCATTAGGAGATATACCTAATGTGAATGATGAGTTAATGGGTGCAGCACATCAACATAGCACATGTATACATATGTAATAAACCTGCACGTTGTGCACATGTACCCTAGAACTTAAAGTATAATAATAAAAAAAAGAACTTATCTTTTACATGCATATTAGGATAAGTCTGTGCCCACATATTCAAATCTTTCAGTTTGAACTTATTGATCAAAAATACATTATTTTAATCAGAATACTTATCAGAAAATTTGTAAACATAATAACCAATCCAATGAATAAAGAATAGAACAAATATAAACACAAAATCTATAAATAGTTTAAAAACCAAATAATATTTTGTAACAAAGTAGATATTCAGTTGTTTTATGTCTCCCATACTATAATGTGGGCAGGGTTCTATGTTTGTTTGGTCTTTCATTATATTTCTAGCACTAGATCATTGTCTGGCTCATAACAATCACTTCAAACTATTGATTGAAAGAATGGATGGATGAATGAATGAATAAATAATAAATAATTGTAAAAATTATTAGACATTTTGTGCTCCATAAAAGACCTCCACATGGTGCATCACACCAGTTTATTCTATGAATTCTAGTGAGTTTTTAAATATAGAATGAAAATATCTCACTTACATGACATAATTAACTAGATTTTCTGTTTAGTAATTTAAAATGTAGGAAGTTTAGCATAAATTTACAAATTATGATTTCTGTGCAATAATTACAAAGTTACTTTCTTCATCTTTCACATTCCTTTTGTTCTTCCTAAGGAAGTTAATTTGGACATTAAAGAACGTCTAAGTCTGATATAAAATTTATTGACCATACATTTACCAATTTATAAATCTTTCAGTCCCATTGAAACATTATGTATAGTCACTTGTGTTTTCACAAGTAATTATATATCACAAGTTTCACATATATATTTTAGGTGGAGTCTTGCTCTGTCATTCAGGCTGGACTGCAGCGGCGCCATCTCAGCTCACTGCAAGCTCCGCCTCCCGGGTTCACGCCATTCTCCTGCCTCAGCCTCCCGAGTAGCTGGGACTACAGGCGCCCGCCATCACGCCTGGCTAATTTTTTTATATTTTTAGTAGAGACGGGGTTTCACCATGTTAACCAGGATGGTCTCAATCTCCTGACCTTGTGATCTGCGTGCCTCAGCCTCCCAAAGTGAAAAACTACATTTTTTAATTAGCGTAAAACCAACTTTCTATGTTGTCTTAGCCTCAAGGTAAGGAACTTGCAAAGTAAAGAAAAATGCCCATAATTATAGTTTTGAGGTACTGGTTACAGTTATTATAATGTAAAATCAAATAAATATATATTTATGAAAAAAAATAGATACTTAAATCACATAAAATCTAGTCTAAGTACCTGTACCCCATTCTGGGAAACTTTGCCTTATGTTATTCACTTATACTGAAATAATTTTTATAAAGCATTTAGTAGCTGCTGTTTGACCACATTGGCATTTATAGCATACCTATGAAATGGTTATCATTTGACCCATCTCACAGAATGGGGAGGATAAGTAATTTGCTTAATGCCAGAGAGCTAATAAATGCAGAGCTAGGATTTAATTGTGGGTCTAGTTAACCCCAAAGCCCATGCTTATAGCCACTATCCACTGCCTTCCTGCCTTCCTGATTACCCTTTGACTTCACATCATGGATTTAACTCTGTATTAATATCCCGAATACCCACTTTAAGAAGAATTAATACAACAGATCTTTTGACCAGAAAATATTAATGTTGATATCCTAGAAATAAAGATTCATCATGAATGCCACTGTCTTGGTACAGTCTGCTAAGTTAGTCATATATTTCCAGAAATACTGGATTTCCTAAAGCAAAGTAAATAGCCCATCTAATACAAAGATATGAGGAACACTTATTTTCAAGTCCTAGTTCTGCAATTGTAGGTGAACAACCTGCCCTTTTTAACAGTATTTTCTTAATGGGTTAAGGAGATGTATGTATAAATGTATACCTTAAAATGTTGAGTGGGTTCAATAAGGCAGTATATGTAAGATAGTATTTAAAGTATTACTAGGCTTAGACTATTTATAGGAATGGTTGTTTGGATTACAGAATAAAATCACCTTCAGTATGTGTACACACTTCTATTATTAAATAAAAGATAAGTGCTGGAAGAGTTCATTAAGAGAAGCCCCAAGAAAGGCAGAACAGCAACAGGTTGAGAGCTGAGACCCTAGCCCTATAGTATGTGGATTCAAATCCTTGCTTTGCATTTACCTGCTCAGTGATTTTAGTAGCAAGTTATTTTAACTCGGCTCTGTCCCAGTTTTATTCTCTGTAAAATGGCCATCACAGTTCCTACTCATAAGGTTGTCACAGTATGAAAATAACTTAATACCATGCTTGGTGTTTGGTAAACATTCAGCAAATATTGGCTATTATTATTACTATTTCTGTTATCATCATTATTCTTTAAACAGGCTTGCATTTGCTTAGGAAAATTTCATTAGGTCCTAGAATAACTTTATAATTTAAATGTAACAATGGCTAAAGAGCATTTTCCTGCAGTGGACTGCAATCCAGTTGTTTCAAAACTATTCATATTTACTGTTTGTTTTCTTCTAATGCTTTTCTATTATTATTCAAATAAAAAATATCAACATAAACTAGACTTTTTGATATGTTCTCTCTCTCTCTCTCCCCTCCCAATACACACACACACGCACACACACACACACACACACATACACACACACACGTACATAATGGCACCTGGTCATTTTTATATTGTTCTTGGAAAAAATGCCCCTGTCAACCAATTGTTCATAATTAATTAGTGGAATTACAAGCATGTTTCCTTAAGTCTTTGAGAACAAAATCTGTCTCTGTTTTAAAGAAATAAAAGAGTATCAGTGTGAAAGCAAAGCCTATTAATTTAGATAAAGCATAGTTGAATTGGTTGCTATTTAACTTTTTCTTCCTATTTTATTGCCCCAATCAATATACCTTAAAGAATGTAAGTTTAAATAGGAGAATAATAACAGTAAAGAGAAAGGCTTAGGCTGACACGTGTTCATTACTATTAATGTTTAAATGTTCATGAGACTAAACTTAACTGGAAGATCTGATTTATACATTTTTTACTAGGTAGATAACCTCATTGACTTGCCAGAAGCCATAAAATAATTCAGGAAAAAAACCTAAAATTTAGAAAAGATACTCTCTAGCTTGTACTCATTATAATAAAGATGGTATATTTTTTATTCATCTTAATCAGCATTGTGGTAAATGTTGGGGAAACAAAATTGAATACAAAATCTTCTCTCAACCCAGAAATCCTCTGCACAAGGTTTACAAGTCAAGAAAGAAAACAGTTTTATTATTGAAAAAGTATTAAATCAGAATGTGATATGCATCACAGAAAATTGTCTGAGATTGCAAAGACAGAAAAAAACACACTTTTGCACTACATTGCATGTATATTCTCAAAATGCATTACATTACCACCCATTATATAGGTGTTCTCAAGATAAACAATAACTTTATCTCAAGTAACAGGATTTGACAGCACCATTTATTATACACAGTTTATCTTAAATTCACCTGGTAATTAGGGTGACTATTTGTGTTAGTTAACTGATTTTACACAAAGGGAAACCAAACTTCTCATATCTTTATGTCAGCAGGTGGTTTTGCAACTTGAAGCAAGGTGCTGAAAAAAGTTAAGCTCTTACCAATACCACCCCAAGGAACACACAGACTCTGGGAGACAGGGATGCCATCTATCTTGTTTACATTTCAATGAGATGGTTGCCAAGTCTTTGAGAAAGACATTCCTGGGTGCTTAAGCAGGCAAAAGGCTCATTTCATTAAAAAAATTATATATATTTTAAAGGGACCAAGTAAGAAATTACAATGATATGTTTTCTAAAGTGAATGCTCTAAGTTAGGAGGAAGAACATCTCTCCCCTTATTTTTAATAGAGAAAATGAAGTCTCTTGTTTTTAATTTTTATTTTCCCTATGTAAACGTAGTCCATATTTCTTTGGATCTTAATGGTAGCCCAGTAGGAAAGAAGTATGAATATCAGAACCTTCTTTATCATAAATACTGTGAATTTCACCTTTTTAAATTCCCAACTCATAGCAATATGCCATATATAAGACTTAGGGACTGCATTCCTGTTACCATTGTGAAAAATAAATTATAAAAGCTCAAATCTATTGTAGACTGTAACAGGTTAGACATTACTGAGTTAGAGAAAGAAAATCTTAGAATTCTCCGCCACAAAAAAAAATTAAATAAAATATAGATTTTATTTTCTAGCAAGAGAAGACTTCTCTTTCTTTCCCTCTCTCTTTCTCTATTTGCACAGACACACAAACACACAAACACATACACACAATCACATAATGGCACCTGAACTTCTGTCTGACAGGCTACAGTTTATATTTTCACGATGGAGGAGGCTCAGGAGGAGCAGGGCGACATCAGCTGTCTCCATTGAGAGCCCTGCAATGCCAGGTGTCAAGGATGGAAAAGAATGAGGCAGCAGGTTGATATCTCAGTTATAGCAGGAAGGGAGTGAGACCAGGGGAATGAGGTTATACTTACATTTTGAAAGAATTTTCTTTCAAAAGTACTTCTCTATTTTTTTTCTAAGCAATTCTCAATGTACCATAAGCAAACAAGCTAGGATGAAACAACAGGAGGTATATAGAATTGGGCCACATTATCAGTCCCAAATTTCATTAGATGTCTTCTACCTTTGATCATGTTTTACTTATTCTTCAATGAGCTTTGGTATTATTTTGTAATAGGACTTCCAGGTTCCTAGGCCTGCTGGGTGGCAACAGACTAATCCACTGACGGCTGGAGTTTACAGCAGAGAAAGGTTTTCATAATTGCAAAGTGCCTAATGAGGAAACAGGAGGAATTCTCAAGTCTCAAATTCATTTCCTCAAGGGGTTCTCAGTAAGGGTTTTTGAGGGGATCATGGAGGGCAAGGTGCTGAAAATTTTGGGGTGGTTGATTGGTCAGTTAAGGGGGATGAAATCTCAGGATATGGAAACTGCATTCTTCCATGAGTCAGTTTTCTGCTGGCCCCTCAGACCAGCTGGTGTGGGTAGTTTCCTTAGTATGTAGAACTCAAAGGAGCAACCCAGTGGAAAACTTATCATCTCACAAGGTCTTATATTTTATCTATAGAAGAGAAAATGAACAGAGTCTAGCAACAAGGGCTGCATTATGCTAGAATAGTAAGCAGCCACCAGCTATAAGAAAACAGGTCGAAAGGTAAACTGGCTTAATAATTGCTGCTGATTGTTGTCAACAAAAAGAGTCAAACTCTGTAAAGTATTTTAAGAGATTTATTCTGAGCTAAATATGAGTGTTACAGGAAAAAGGTCCGAATCCAAACCCAAGAGAGTGTTCTTGGAGTTCATGCAAGAAAGAATTCAAGGCAAGTCCACAGTGCAAAGCAAAAGCAGGTTTTTTAAGAAAGTAAAGGAATAAAAAAATGGCTACTCCATAGACAGAGAAGCTCTAAGGGCTTCTGGTTACCCATTTTTATAGTTATTTCTTGATTATATGCTAAACAAGGGATGAATTATTCATGCCTCCCCCTTTTAGGCCATCTAGGATAACTTCCTGACATTGCCATGGCATTTGTAAACTGTCATGGCACTGGTGGGAGTGTAGCAGTGAGGATGATCAGAGGTCACTCTTGTGGCCATCTTGGTTTTGGTGGGTTTTAGCCAGCTTCTTTACTGCAACCTGTTTTATTATCAAGGTACATAAGACCCATATCTTGTGCTGACCTCCTATCTCATCCTGTGTCTTAGAATGCTTAACCTTCTGGCAATGCAGCCCAGTAGGTTTCAGCCTTATTTTATCCAGCGGCTATTCAAGATGGAGTGGCTCTTGCACAAATGCCTCTGACGTTTCCCACTCCCTTTTACAAGAGAACCCTTAATCCTAAGGGGTGTTGAGGGATGAAGATCTATCTTCTGTAACTTCTTCAGGCTGAATAGGAGTGATGATATTCCTGTCTAATTATTAGGGTCTCTCATACTCTGGGTGGATAGGAGCTAGTCAGAAAGTGTTGGTATGGCAAGGGTCATTCATGACTCTTGAGTTTTGACAAAAGGTGAAATCTGGAAGATTAATAAGTGTTCAATTTAAGAAAACATTGAGTAAGCTTATTCTCATTCCTACACAAAAAGTACAATGGCAATATATTCCACAAGAGTAAAGCAAAATAAGTAAAATTATCCCAAGTAAACTAAATAAGAAGGCTTTTCATGAATTGGGCAACTGCTGGAACCAAGCTGATACGGGGTTGCTAGCCAATTCCAAAACATGATCAGAATTAGAATACTGATCTAGATTTTTACATTGCCCAAC
Organism: Homo sapiens; assembly: GCF_000001405.40. NCBI lineage: Eukaryota > Metazoa > Chordata > Mammalia > Primates > Hominidae > Homo > Homo sapiens. The sequence goes on along the minus strand of NC_000018.10, from coordinate 30,773,163 downwards.
TCTCTTGTTTTCTCTGAGAAGCAGTCAGAGATCACTTGTTGGTTCACAGGAATAAGCAGGGTTAGCCTAAATTGCAGAAACAAACTTAAAAACAACTGATGAGACAAGAATCTAATAACAAGTGTGCCATAGTTCTTGAAACATAATATTTCTCTCTCCAGTTTCCCATTTTTACTAAAGAGAAATCATGATAAAACTGATTTGCTTTATTATACTTGGCCTGATTATTTGTATAAAGTGCAGCAAGAATAATTATTTTTTACATAGGATTTTAAATTGGCTTTAATGGAACTTTGTTCCATAGAAGGAATCTCAGACGAGACTTTTTTAAAGCTGAGCCCAGCCATGGATTTGTACCCTCAAATAACTAAGAGTTGGGTAAATTCCTCTTCTTTTGTAGTCCCAAGATAACTTGGGGCTCCTGGACCTGTTAGAAAGTGACATTCTATACTTACCATGGTCAGAAACACTGTACAGGGACTGTGTAGGCAAGGTATGAGGCCAGCTCTCCAAGGGGCTTGTATTGGCTTTACAATCAAATTTGATTCATTAAAGGAAAGCATGCCATTCCAATTAAAGCCTTGGTAAAAGTAACCAATTTCTCTAATTGTGTCCTGTTGCAAAAGAAAACAGATTCTTACTGCACTTAACTATATTGCAATATAGTTATGCAAACAACTATATTGCTATAAGTTAAGAATGCTCACAAATAGTTTCCAAATTCTGGATAAATCAGGTAGAGAGAAACAAATATGCTCCAAATTTTGTTCACAGGAGTATACTTTACTCAATTGCTAAAAGCTTTAAATAGCTCAAAAGTTTCCTTGACTCTGAAAAACGAAACAAAGAATCAGCAACGTTTTAAGCAAAGTTAAAAAGATTACTTCAGACTTCTTTAGTTTATGCCGTTAACCCCTGTTCTGCTTGATATTTATGAACAATTCAGCTCTCTGTGAAAGTTTTTTCCTCTATTCTAACGTCACAGCCTCCAAAGTTATCAGAAACCTACACTTAAGAACACCTGCTAGAGTTCTATAGTTGATTATAAACCAACTTCTAAAGAGAACCGAAGCAAAAAAACAATTGTCAGTGGATGACAAAACGTGTTATAACAGCCACAGTCAAAAACACAACTGATAAATAAATTTGGTTACTTCTGTGGCATATAAAATTTGATGTAAACAATTATAATTATTAATAAAAAACACTAAGCCATATCAGAATTATAGAAGTTTTCCATAATTTTGGAACACATACCAATAACACATTTATACAAATATAGCCCAAAGAAAACCAAACACCATTTCATATTTGACAGTGCTTCCTGTCTGACTTTAATACCAAATAAGCCAAATGTCACTCTGTATTAGTGCATTATTGATGTCAAACCCAATTCTTAATAAAACCTTATAGACATATCTACCCAATTTTAATATTTGACCATAAGATAAGATTCTCATAAACCTTTTATAAGCCTTTATAAATTTTGTCAAAGAGCAGATCATAAGCAGATTTTTGCTCAAAGAAAAACCTACTGTGCTTTTACTCCAATGTTTAATTTATGGAAAAACTGAATTATACCCCTTTAACTTTAGCCAATATGTTCACACACAGAATTTCTTTACAAGATTAATTTTCACAAATCTTCCATAATTTGCTTAAACCATCAGCTTTAACTTAAGTTAAAACGATCCTTTAACCCTTTAATCTAGTCAAGAAAAATTCACATTCTCATGCCTTCTTATAATCTTTTACCAAAAACACATTTTACTTTCTTTACATGCCTTGTGTGTAGAACTGTTTTATTAGTAGTTTCAAACACATGTTACACTGTTAACTCTTAGCAACTTTTACTTTTGGTGAAAACTTTGGTAAGTCTGGGATTTTAATTATCTGCTAGATGTGAAGCCTACGACCCAGAGAGAAATGCAGATAAGGTCTAACTGTTTTCAGCATCTACCTTCATGTGTCCCAGGCCTTACCTAGAATCTAATGCTCCAAAATAAACTGAACAATTTCTAAAAGTCAAAGAAGCAGTTTATGACCTTAAAGCATTTGGCAAACCTAATATTTGACCTGCATAATTTAGAGCCAATGTTTACATTTTTATTTTACCAATAATCTTTAAAGTTGTTTGGGTTTCCAAAAAATTACTAATGTCACATGAACTAAATAAAAGGCATTCCACTTTTTATTTTTCTGACAAAATATTCAATTTAAGCATTTATTTTTATTGATCCAATTAAAGCTCATTCATATATAAATATTACAAACACAACACATATAAATACACAGACAGACAGAAGATAAACGACTCATTTTTAAAGCCAGGAATTGAACCCTAAACCTGGGCCACCATTGTGAAAAGAAAAAGCATGGCCACATGATTCCAAGTCAAGCTCCCAAGGACATGACCAACCAGTTTGCTGGCCATCTTGAACAGCAGGTCCTAAGCCCATGTCCTATCCTAAGCTACCTCTCTCCATTATAGAGCACAGAAAGACACACAAAGCACACCAAATTCACTACTACAGCTCCAGATTAGCCTCATGAATCCTTTTTCCAATTAATTAAACCTTTACAGAAGATAAACAGTGATTTTTAATATTCATTCAACCAGTTTGCACAGAAAAAGAGAGAGAGGAAAGCATTGCCTGTGGAATGATGGGGAAGGTGAGGTGCTCAAGAAGGCCAGAGAAAGACCCACCCATTGCAGTAACACTGAAAAGTTCAGGCAGCTGCTTCTCAGTAGCAAAAATATCTTTTCCAGCAGTCTCATCAGCTCTCACGTTTCCCCTTTTGGGGAGAAAGAAGCACTCCATGTGTCATGATCCTGTACATGCCTAATCCTGTCACCCACAGCCATCAGCAAAGGGTGCAAGAGAGATTAATCCAAAGAGAATAGCCGTTAACATCCCATAGTGCCAAACCCATTCTTAGTCAAAGGGGACTTTACTGAGAGAGGCCTCTAACCCCTTAAATCTTAGAAGGGACTCTAACCCTTCTAAATTGGGCCTCTAATTCAATCCCATTCTTTTCCCAGGTACCCCACCACTTACCCAGTTAGCCTTTGGGTCCAGGGTTTCTGCACTACAGTCGCTTCTGTGGTCATCAGAAATATGTTACATGAAAAGAGTCCTGATCCAGATCCCAAGAGAGGGTTCTTGGATCTCAAGCAAGGGAGAATTCAGGGCAAGTCCATAGTGCCAAGCAAAAGCAAGTTTATTAAGAAAGTAAAAGAATAAAAGAATGGCTACTCCATAGACAGAGAAGCCCCAAGGTCTACTGGTTACCCATTTTTATGGTTATTTCTTGATGATATGCTAAAGAAGGGATGAATTATTCATACCTGCCCCTTTCAGACCATCAAGGGTAACTTCCTGGCATTGCCATGGCATTTGTAATCTGTCATAGCACAGGTGGGAGTGTAGCAGCGAGGATGATCAGAGGTCACTCTTGTGGCCATCTTGGTTTTGGTGGGTTTTAGCCAGCTTCTTACTGCAGCCTGTTTCATCAGCAAGGTCTTTATGACCTGTATCTTGTGCTGATCTCCTATTTCATCCTGTGACCTAGAATGCCTTACCTCTCTGGGAATGCAGCCCAGTAAGTTTCAGCCTTATTTTACCCAGCTTCTATTGAAGATGGAGTTGCTCTGGTGAAAATACCTCTGACATGAAGACCATGACTCCTGACACAGCCCCAGAAGGCCCTGACAACACGTGCTCAAGGTGTTTAGGCTACAGCTTTGTTTTATACATTTTAGAAAGACATAAAATAACAATTAATACACATGAGGTACACAGTGGTTGGGTCTGAAAGTTGGGACAACTAGAAGCAGGGGCTTCCAGGTCATAGGCGGGTTAAAAGATTTTCGGATTGGCAATTGGTTGAAAGAGCAAAGTTATTATCTAAAGATCAGGAATCAATAGAAAGGATTATCTGTGTTAATATAAGAGGTTGTGGAGACCAAGATTTTTTTTTTTTTTTGAGATGGAGTCTCGCACTCTCGCCCGGGCTAGAGTGCAGTGGCATGATCTCAGCTCACTGCAACCTCTGCCTCCTGGGTTCACACCATTCTCCTGCCTCAGCCTCCCGAGTAGCTGGGACTACAGGTGCCTGCCACCATGCCTGGCTAATTTTTTGTATTTTTAGTAGAGATGGGATTTCACTGCGTTAGCCAGGATGGTCTCGATCTTCTGACCTCGTGATCCGCCCGCCTTGGCCTCCCAAAGTGCTGGGATTACAGGCATGAGCCACTGGGCCTGGCAGAGACCAAGCTTTTTATGATGCAAATGAAGCCTCCAGGTAGCAGGTTTCAAAACTCTTCTCAGATCTAAAAAGGTGCCAGACTCTTAGTTAATACTCTACTGGAGCAGGGAAAAGACCTGGAAAGGGAAGGGGATTCTCTACAGAATGTAGATTTTTCTCACAAGAGACAGCTTTTCAGGGCCACTTCAAAATATGTCAAAGAAATATATTTTAAGGTAAAATACTTCGATTTCTTTCAGGGCCTACTATCTGTCGTGTGATGCTATACTAGACTCAGGTTGGAATCTGGTATTTTATTACTACCAAGAGACTTCCTTGTCAGTTTTAAGATCTCTGTTTTACTGTTAATGCTGGGTCAGTTGTGCCAAATTCCAAAGGGAGGAAGCTATAATGAGGCATGTCTGATCCCCACTTCCCATCATTGCCTGAATTAGTTTTTCAGGTTAACTTTGGAACTCCCCTGGCCAAGAGAGAAGGTCTATCAGTCAGTTAGCGGGCTTACAATTTTATTTTGGTTTACATTGTGCTGTAAGCCTAGGTAGATTTTTTTCTCCCCTTAATCAATTTTATACTTTTCTAGGGGACGGTTTCAATTTCAGCAGTCAAGCTCTGGCAAGTGTTTCCCAGGCTGAGTTAACCTTTTCTCTGTGCCTAAATTTGTGCATATTTATTATAACAGATGGTGTATAACCACATAATAATTTCTGACAGTTGAAATTTGGTCATTAGAACAAAATTAAGTCAGGATAAATTCCAAAACTATATCACACAATGGAAGGTATTCGGACTATGAAACTGGAGGTTGTATTTATATACCAGCTTTGCCATGCACCAACTTGCTGCATAATTATAGTATCTACCTCCATGGGTTACTGTGAAGGTTAAATGAAATTGTGTGATGAGCACGGTATAAACTATAAAGTAAAAGTAGATCTGAATGGAGCTCAAGAACTGTTGTTGGGGTAAGTACATTTTCAAAGCCTTTCCAGGACTTAACATTTCATGCTTTGCTGATTTAGGATTTAAGGTAATATTGCAGGATTACTTTCTTTAATTTCCATAGTCTTTTTTATTCATTCTAAGTATTTATACTTCAGTTTCATTTGTTGAATTTTTAAATTTTATACTGCATGGATACTAACCTTTGTGAGTGGAACCAGATTAATTGATATCCATTGATGTGTCTGAGATTTAGTTAAAATTGGAAATGGGCCTATAAAGACATCTGGCATGAAAAATAAGTTGAAAGCATGATAGCTCTTTGACGGTAAAATGTATTTGATTTAGAATTGCTAAAAGATATCATTTTTTAGAGTTTCTTTAAAAGTTGGAACAATAGTATAGAAATTTGATTTTGCCTGGCTGAGAAACAAAGTGATAGATTCTATTTAGGATGAAATATTATTTCTTAAAACACTTTTTCTCTGTGAAAATGGAAAACATTGTGTATAGCATCAATTTCTTTTCTAAAAACATATTGGAGGATGCTAACATTACTTTTCTGATAGGGAAAAGGCAGGCTTTCCACTTTCTACAGAATGTATCCTCTTGACAATTATGCCACATGCTTAGATATACCAAATAAATTAGAACACTTGCCCTGGAGATGCCAGGTGTGTTACAGTAGGTAGCTAGTCAGACATGAGCAGGGTGGGAGAGTCCCCCCCACCACTAGGAATGTCAGGCAACCATCAGGTGATGGTCAGGTGGTTATTAAACTGCCTCTCTAAAATTATAATTGGTCACAGCCAGTGCCAGGGAAAAGCAGTCTCCCAATTGATAAAAACACCTAAAACTGGCAATCAGCAGCCTCCTAAGATCTCAGGAGTTGGGCAAGTGTCCTCAAGCATACTCATTAAGAGGCAAAATGGTGGAGTTTAACTGGTATATGACCTTCTATATGAACGTCTATGGATATTTGACTGGTAAGGGAAGAACGCCTCAAGTGAGCCTGCATAGAACTCCAATAAACACAACATGCATACTCACCTCCCAAGTGCTGGTAGGCCACTACACATGCACACAGCTTACCCCAAGGGAAGAATCAGGGGTAAAATAGTTAAATCAATTATGTTAGCATAATGTAAAATAAAACATAAAGAAATGTAATGAAAGTTCGAAAACAAAGTTACCAATGTTTTACATTTAAATGTAGCTAGTAAAAATTCCATAACTGTGATTTTAATATCAGGGGTTCCATCTTGAGACCAAGTAAGAATCAGATGAGCCTGGGCATGTCTAGTAAAATAAAGAATAAAAGCTTGCGTTAAAGCAAACTAAACATGTCCTGAGAAGGACTCCATACTTCTATATTTGAGTCCTTGTAGATGACCTGCAACCTAACTTAGTGGGTAGACAACCCTAACTTAGGAGTATGCACCTGTAACAGTGGCTGAGTCTTGGCCAATTCCAGCAGCCATACTTCAACCACTCATACACTGCTGAGTGTTCAAACTGAGTTGAAATGAGGTAAATGCCAACCTGTAATCAATTCATCTGTTTCTGTACCTTACCTCCAATTTCTGTATGTCACTTCCTTTTTTGTGTCCATAAATTTGTTCTGACCAGGAGGCATCACTGGAGTCTCTCTGAATCTGCTGTGATTCTGGGGGCTGCCCAGTTCATGAATCATTCATTGCTCAATTAAACTCCTTTAAATTTATTTTGGCTGAAGTTTTCTTTTAACACTTGGTTTGTTGCCAGTGTTCCAGCTACGTCAGGAATGAGTTATCTCTAAGGGAAATTTATTCAATTGGAAGAAAGAAGTAGCCATCATCATTGCATATAATTTAATGAGAAGACTACACTTTACAAGTACATCATTTTTGATATTGAATTGTTTGGCCCAAGACCATTATTATGGGGGCAGAGTCAACACTACCATGAGTCTCCATTAATAAAGCTGAAAACAAATCTATAACTCATTCTCCCACTTTATCACATGCTGCTCTCAGAAAACCGTAAGTTGTAGGGACCACAGAAGTATTTGATGGCACACTGGTAGACCCTGTAGTGCCACCCCTGCCTGAAAAACATGGTGCTGGATCAAACAGATGCATTGCTAAGCATATGTGAAGAATCAGAGTATCACAGAAATACTGAGAGAAAAATTTCCATGGAGCTGGTGATCTTTTGTCAAAGATATTAAGCCAATGATTGAGAAAAGTGAAGTTATTCCTCTTAATATGAGGCAGAGGCCTCAGGAAACTGGAAAACTCTCTAATAAATGACTGAATATCCCTGTCTTTTAAGAGGAAATTGTCTGAAGAAATTCTAATGATTTGTGTTTGGCCATTTGCATGAATATCTAAGAGCCTGGGCACTGGAGGAAGGCTGATGTTGGAAGGGTCTCGAAGAAAGTAGTTGGGTGGATTGACCTAGGTCTAGGCTCCTAAAAACTCTTAAGCTAACACATAACACATATTGCACAATATGGAATTTAGGCTTCTGAAAGCTGATTAGATTCCTGAAAGCTCTTGAGCAATCACATAAAACATATCGCACAATATGGAGTTTCCAACACCCGTTGAAATGCTCATTGCTCATCACAATGAGTCTCACTCTTTGGATTTCTGAAAGTATTGATGGCACCGACATATAGGGTTAGGAGAGCAAATTCAGCAACTGATTACTTCTTACCTGAGGGATGATTGGAGAAGCAATCTCTAAGTGGATGTGATGAACTTGGTTCTAAATTCATATTAATCCTAAATTCACATTAATAAAAATCCTAAGGAAAGTACACACTAAACTTTAGTATGTGCCTAGTAATCTGCTAAGTACTTTAAACAGATCATCTACTTTATTCCTTACAATTATCTTATAAAATAGGTATTGTTACTATCTCCTTTAGATAGTTGAACAACTGAGGCTCATAGGAGACCAAAGACTTGCCTAAGATTTCAGCATGTTTTAGGTACCAAGGATTGTGCTAAACACTTTACCTGCATTATTAAATTTAATCTTTAGAGCTGCTATTGAAAATAATGAATTCTGAGACTTCAGCTATGCAAATGTACCTGGACATATTTTCTTAAATATTATTTTTTAAGCACAGATTTACAATTCAGATGTGTTGCTAAGTGGTGTACATTAAGATAATAACTAAACTTTCTGAAGTTTGTTAGTCCAAAATGAATCCACCTTCTTTCTGCAAAATTAGAGCTCTTAAAATAACTGAACAATTCTTAAATAATAACTTATAGGAAAGGTATAAACTATAGATTACATTATAATAAATATTTAAAAACAATAAAGCTTGGCTGCTCATAGTTGGTTATTTTCTAAATTCGTTTTTTTCTTATTTATTTTATTATTTTTTTTGAAGGCACACTTAAATATGCTTCTTTTATCCTTGTAGAACTAATTAAACATTGTTAAAAAAAAAAGTTCCAGAGATGAGTAAACAGAATTATTTCATTTTGATATTACTACCAGCAACTAGAGAAGGAACAAAGACCCAGTCTGGATACTTAACTCCATGGACACAAAAGGTGAAGGGTTTTTAAGTGCTGTGGTGGACAAGCACTAGGGGACATTTAGTGGGTTATTGACGAATGGGAGTTGTGGAGCACACTATGTTATTCCTGAGTGTGAGACTGTGTTTCTCTGTGATTAGGTCCTCTGTGTTTGCTAATTGGTGCCCATTCAAGTTAGTCTCCTACCCTCCCACAGTCCCCTTCAGTATTTACATTTCAAAGAGATTGTTTCCAAGTCCTTGAGAAAGACATTTCCTGGGCTGTAAAACTGGTAGGCTGGGAGATTTACATTCCTTTCAAAGCGGCAGAAAGAATTTACAACTACAAGTTTTCTAAAGTAAATGGTAAATGCTCTAAGAAAAGGAAGGTCACGGACTTACAATCAGGAAGAAACCTATTTAATGTGTCATCAAGCTGAGGGGATCCTTAAGGCTGTGTTGGTCATCATTACCCTGATGTTTCTGGTTGTAAGTAAATACTTCTCAGCAGTGTCTATAGCATTTTGGTGATCCCCCAGTATTGTGTCAGCTGCAGTGGTAAAAGAGAAGCTCCTAATGTCCTTGTTCTGGCTAAGAGATTTTTCCAGCTCTCAGCTTTTCTACAAATCCAAGCAAACAGAGTTTGAGACTCAAGATTTATTTTTGCTGCTTTTTATCAATCTCTGCATTTTGTGCTACATTTAACCCAGTTATGCTTGGCTGTTCTGGAGGCAGCCTCTATTTTTACTCTGTGCCAACATTGAGACAATATTTTTATCAAATTACAGAAAGCTGATTTTGCAAAGTACCAGTGAATAATGTAGATTTTACTAAAGAATTTTGAGAGAAACAAAGGAGAAGAATTTAGGTCACATGAAATATACAATTCTAATATGCCTCACAAGCCCTCTACCCTTCATCCCTTTTGAACTTCCTGAGGCCATCTGTCCTTCTCTTGGAACAGATAAAATTCCCTTACAGTTTTCTCAGTGACAATCCCAGGGCCAGGAGAGACAGTGTCTGAATGTGTCTATCAAAATGTGCTCTCCACTGTTCCATCTTCTCACACAGTGGTCCCTTCCTCTAGGAGATTTTTCCACTAAGATAAAACAGATAGTTTCCTATCAGGTACATTTAAGTGCTTCTTCTCTAAATATGAATAGTAGTTTATATGTATTGAATATGAATAGTACTCAAACTTATAAAACTTGAAAGGAAAGTCTAAGGAAAGAATATGACTACATAAATTTTCAGCCAGGGCTAACTCACTGCTTCCTTGACCTGGGAGTCGCCTGTGAATTCTGGCATTTTCTTACCATGCATAATTAAATTACATTTCTGAGGTTCTCAGTATTCTGCTAAAGCTCTAAGGCAAATCATCTCAATCTTTTCCGAGTCCTTCCTTTAATATGGTCAAAGTTCAGTTTTGATCCCCTTTAATGAAGAATTAAAATAGGTGTCATAAAACAAGCCAGATCATACAAAATTTTAAATGTATCCTAATAGTCTAGTGACTTCATAAAATCTTTGTGCTTTTATTCTTTTTTTGAAAAGAATGTGGCAAAGCGAGATTTTACTGTTCAGGGATAAGTAATTCACAGATATTATTTTCAGGTCGTAACAGAGTTATTCAGCATAGCAACAGTTTTGTAGGAGCTGTTCCTAAGAAAATTATGGGCAATAGGTAGTACATAGAAAGAAAACCAAGACACATAATAAAAGGATAAAACCCAGACATTACATTGTCATAAGCTTCTTAGTGTCAGTAGAATCATACTTAGAGAATGAGGGCAAGGTATTCTCTTATGGCAAAAAAGTTCAGATCTTCTATTTTCTTTAAAATGGAAAGTTTATAAGACAACTACTGATTGGTTAAAAATCTCCTACTAGGAAGGACAATTTCCATTGTGTCAATTTGTACTCTGAGGACAATTGAACATTGTATCATTAACAGGCTTAAATTCCTAGACAAATCCAGAAATGCTGTTTTAATCTATATATATAGCTGGTAAAGTGTATAGATAGAATAAATTGCAATGGAACAAAGTTCATTATTTTTTTTTCCTTTAGAATATCACTATCCAGTCAAGATATTAAATAGATGACATCTTTACCTTGATGGGCTAATTCCACAGATGTAAATTGTAATAAAATTTCAGGAGGATAACTTAGAATAGGTAGCCTGATCTCTTATATCTCTAATTGGGTATCACAAAATAAGAGGGAAGATATAAAAACAGTAATATAAAAATTCCAAAGAAGAAATGGATCTGTGAAAAATGTAACCTAAGACCATGTATATTTTACCAATTCCTTATGAGAAAATTTAAAGTAATGTCCACCCAATTAAGGCAAATGGAGAAATAGAAATTTAGTATTGCAAAAGAATGAAGTGGAGAGCACCGGTTCACCACCCATCTTCTTGACTTGCCATCATTCAATCAGAGAGGCAAGCAGAAATAAATAAATAATATTTTTATGCCAGGAAAAATAATCTTTCCCAGGAAAAATGAGATGAATAAGACATGGCCAGTGATAGCAGTTTAAGGCAGCATAAAACAAGGACATTTTGAGAAGGAGAAAAATTTCATCTAGCAGTCTCATATTGAAAGGGATGTAAAGAGAGGAAGAAAAGAAGGAAAGAACAATTATAAATCTTCCACGGCAAAAATGTTGGACCGTATAACTTCCTTGCAACTTTTGTAATGTGGAGAATATAAAGGAAAGACACATAGATGGTATATCTTGTGGAAGTGGTCCACGGGAAGAGACAATGGCCCAGGGCACAGGTGATGGCTAGGAGAAGGCTTGAAGTGAGTAGGGTGGTGGGGAGATGTGCAGCTAAGATGGTGTGAAACACATGTTTGGGGATGAATCTCATTTGCATGTTAAGAGCTGCCTGTGTATAATTTATTATAGTAATTTGGCCTTTGTAAGCCATTTTTGATAATTCTTATATGTGGACAGAGCCTGTGGAGAATGTAACAAATGTCTCTGAGTACATTTGTTAGATTCCCACCCTTTCAGAACTGTGTTGTACAGCACAGTGTACAATATAATGTATAGCAAGAAGCTGGGTACCTAAAGGTAGCTTGTAAGTAGTAAAATGTTGCACAGGCAAGGGACATTCTCATAATATTTCACTGTTGTTTTTGATGTTTTTTTTGTTTTGGTAGAGATGACGGTCTCACTATATTGCCCAAATTGGTCTTGAACTCCTGATCTCAAGCCATCCTTCTTCCTCAGCTTTCCAAAGGGTTGGGATTACAAGTGTGAACTACCACACCTGGCCTCACTATGTTTTGAAGTGAGCTTTTGGGTCTTATTTCTTTCTCACTTTTCTTTTTAAAAAAGATTAACTGTAGTATGATGAAAATCAGTTACTTCAAAGCTGTTTAATAACTTAGAAAAGCAATATTTATATTTTCATACCTTAGATTTTTATATATCTCATGTTGAACATTGTTATATAACTCAAAACTTATTTTTTATGGGTTGAAACTTTCATTTTTATAGTATTTTATCAACATTTTATGCCGACATAATTTTAAAGACTTCCTTGCTTTAGCTTCAGGTAGAAAACATATTGGAAGCTGCAACAGATTTCTAAATCTCAATAGGACCCATATGGTGTAAAGCAAAAGAAAATAACATAATGAAATAAAGAACTTAAAAAAATCAAGCCATTTTTCCCATAATCTGTGAATTTAATAAAGGAAAAAATAATAGAAGGAATTAATTTTATTTTAAAAATTGCTAATGAGAATTGATCTAGCAGGTATAATAAATCCAGAAAGATTTTGATTACACAAAAAGTTATGTCCACTTTTGAAATATTAAAGGGGTTTGTTTTTTGCTTTTAGCTTTCAGCCTAAGACTTCAAGATAACACAGCTGAGGTGGATATACATATCTTTAATGACTCATTCACTGATGAATGTAATTTCTTTCCAATAAAACAAGTGGTGTTTAGAATTTTACACAGCAACCAGATTCCACAAGTGCTGCCTAATTTAACACAGCATTCATCAGAGAATGTGACTCTTTGCAAACAAGAAATAACATTTAGAAAAATACATTGTAATTAAAACAAACTTTACAACTTTACTACAGCAATTATATGTGGAGACCCAACTTTTCTTCTATGAAAATGAGGTTTAAGTGGCCTGGCCTGCCAACCTCACATATGGCATAAACAACAATAACAACGGCTCATCATCTTTAATAAATAATATGTTCAACTTAACATTTTTACAAAAAGTTTATTTAGTCAAGACTCACTTATGGATGTCAATATAAAATTAAATCTAAATTTCAAATAGATCATGCTTGAGTTGTATCCTGACCACCAGTTGAAGGAAACCTTGTCAGGGCACAAAGGCAGATAATGGTCTAATGAATTGGGTGGCAGTAAAGAGAGGTGGGTTGTACTTTCATGATGGAGTACGTCTGCCAATGTTGACTTTGCATAAAATTGGTCATGTTTTAATTGTAAGGATATGCAACAATTTGTTTTTGCATTTATCTGTTAATGTACTCTTGCATTATTTTCAGTTTGGGGCTATTGTGACTAAAGCTGTTGTAAATTTTTTTATACATCTTATAACTGATAGATGATTTTATTTCTCTTGGGAAAATGCTTCAAAGAGAGAATGCTGTGTCAAAGGCTAGGCACACACATATATATACATATGTATGTGTGTAATATATGTGTATGGGTGCACATACATATATGTGTGTGTGCGTGTGTGTTTTAAAGGGGTTTTTATGAGTTTCTACTTCCTCTAGCACTGATGGAAACTTCTACATGCTCACCATTTGACTTTGCCAGTTGTATTTGTTTGCTTGCTTATAATTCTAATGAATGTAAAGTATTCAACGTAGTTTAAAAAATTTCATACATAATAATAAACATATTTATGGAATGCATGTGATATTTTGATACATACAATGTTTAATGATCAAAACAGGGTAATTAGGATATTCATCACCTCAAACATTTGTCATTTCATCATATTGAAAATATTTCAAATCTTCTCTTCTAGCTATTTTGAAATATATAATCTATTATTGTTAACTATAGAGACCCAACTGTGCTATTGAATACCAGAACTTATTTGTACTATTTATCTATAGGTCTACACCCATTAAGCAACCTCCTTCATCCCCTGACCGCACGCTTACTGGTCCCTTGTAACCATCATTACACTCTACATCCATGAGATAAATTTATTTAGTTCCCACATAAGTGAGAACATGTGATATTTGTCTTTCAGTGAATGGATTATTTCACTTAACATAAGTGAATATAATTCAGTTCCATCCATGTTGCTGCAAATGACAGGAATTCATTCACTTTTTTATTCTCTTGAATAACTGAATAGTATCCCATTGTGTATATATACACACAGACATTATATATACATTTTATATATAATATATACATTATATATGTATATAATGTAAACATTATATATAATATGTATATGTGTGTATATAATGTATATATTATATATTACATTATACGGTATATATAATATATAATATATACATTATATATTATATAATATATATTATATATTATATAATATATATTATATACATTATATATTATATAATATATATTATATACATTATATATATTATATTATATATTATATATTATATATTATATATTATATATATTATATATTATATACATTATATATTATATAATATATATTATATACATTATATATATTATATATTATATATTATATACATTATATATATTATATATTATATATTATATATTATATATACTATATATTATATATTATATATATTATATATTATATATTATATATATTATATATTATATATACTATATATTATATATTATATATATTATATATTATATATTATATATTATATATATTATATATTATATATTATATATATTATATATTATATATTATATATTATATATATTATATATTATATATTATATATTATATATATTATATATTATATATTATATATAATATATACATTATATATAATATACATATTGTATATATTATATAATGTATATATTATATGTATATATTATATATAACATGTATATATAATATATACAGATTTGTGTGCATATTATATATAGATATTATATATGTATATATTATATATTATGTGTGCATATACATATTTTATATATATACATATATGTGTGTGTATATATATACACACACACATCGCATTTTCTTTATCTTATCCATACATTGATAGATACATATTTATTCCATATTTTTGTATTGTGACTAGTACTGCAATAAATATAGGGGTACAGGTATCTTTTTGATATACTTTGCAATAATAGAATTGCTGGATCACATGGAAGTTCTATTTTTAATTGGTTGAGAAATCTCCATACTGTTTGTCAAAATGGCTGTACTAATTTATATTCTCACCAACAGTATATGAGTTCCTTTTTCTCTACATTCTCAACAGCATTAGCTATTTTTCTTCTCTTTGTGTTAACAGCCATTCTAACTTGGTTGAGATCATATCTCATTGTGGATACTTTGATTCACAATATCAAATTTGCTTAATTTTCCTGATTAGTAATGCTAACCATTTTTAATATATCTGTTGGCCATTTGTATGTTTTCTTTTGAAAAAGTCTATTCAGATCTTTGACCACTTTTCAATGAGATTATTTGTTTTTTGTGTTGTTGTTGTTAATTTGCATGAGTTACTTGTGTATTCTGGATATTAGTTCATTGTTAGATGAATCATTTCCAAATATTGCCTCCCATTTTACACGTTGTGTCTTCACTCTATAGATTGTTTCTTTTGCTGTGAAGATTTTTAGTTTAATATAGTTCCATTTGTGTATTTTTTGTTTTGTTGCTTGTACTATTAAAGCCTTAGCCAAAGATTTTTGCCTAGACAAATGTCCTGAAGCATTTCCCTTGTCTCCTTCTACTAGTTTTATAGTTTAGGGCTTACATTTAAGCTCTTAATCAACTTTGAATTAATTTTTATATATGGTGAGAGATAAGGATCTAGTTTCCTCTTTTGCATATGGATATCCTGTTTTCCCATGCAATTTAATTTATTGATGAGGATGTTCTTTCCCCTCTTGGTGCATTCCTGGTGAGTTTATTGTACATTCTTGGTGCCTTTGTGGAAAATCAAGTAGCTATGAATATGTTCGTTGATTTCTGAGTTCTATATTCTGTTCCACTTTTCTACTTTTTTTATATCAATACCATAGTGTTTGGTTACCATAGTTTTTTAGTATATTTTGAAGCCTGGTAGTGTGATGCAATCAGTTTTGCTATTTTTCCTCAGTATTGCTTTGACTATTCAGGTTCTTTTGTAGTTCCATTATGAATTTTAGAATTGCTTTTCTATTGATGTGAAGAAAGTCATTGGTATTTTGATACAGATTGCCTTGAATTTCGTAACTGCTTTGGGTAGCATGATAATTTTAAGTTGATATTAATTATTTTTATTCATGAGCATAGATGTATTTCTAATTGTGTCCTTTTCAATTTCTTTCATCAGTGATTTGTAGACTTTGCTGTAGAGGTGCTTCATCTCTTTAGTTAAATTTATTCTTAGGCTTCTTTTTGTAGCTATTCTAGGTGGGATTGCTTTCTTGATTTCTTTTCAACTAGTTATTGGTGTATAGAAATGCTACAGATATAAGTTAATTTTTTATTCTGTAACTTTACTGAATTTGTCAGTTCTAACATTTTCTTTGGTGGAGTCCTGAGATTTTTCTATATGTAAGATTATGTTATGTACAAAGAGGGATAACTTTACTTTCTCTTTTCTAATTTGTATGCCTTTTATTTGTTTCTTTTGTCTGATTGGTCTAGCTAGAATTTCCAGTGCTTTGTTGAATCAGAGTGATAACAGTGATCATTCTTGTCTTGTTCCAGTTCTTAGAGAAAAGATGTTCAGATTTTCCACATTCAATATGATGTTTGTTATGAGTTTGTCATATGTGGTCTTTATTATGTTGAGGTTTGTTTTTTCCATGCCTAAAATATAGAGAATTTTTATCATGAAGCAATGTTGACTCTTATCAAATGCTTTTTCTGCGTGTACTGAGAGTATCATGGTTTTTGTCCTTCATTGTGTTGATGTACTGTATCACATTTATTGATTTGTGTATGTTGAATCATCTTTTCATTCTTGGATAAAAGTCTACTTGAGCATGATGTATTGTCTTTTTGATATGTTGTTGGATTCAGTTTGCTAGTACTATGTTGAAAATTTTTGCATCTATGTTCATTAGGGATATTAGCCTGTAGTGTTCTTTTTGTGTTGTATCCTTGTCTGGTGGGTTTTGTTATTAAGGTAATGCTGGCCTCATAGCATAAGTTAGAAATTATTCCTTCCTCTTTAATTTTTTTGGAATAATTTGAGACCAGTTGGTATTAGATTTGTTTTAATGTTTGGAAGATTTCAGCAGTAAAGCTGACGAGTCTTGGACTTTTCTTTTGTGGGTGATATTTTATTATTGACTCAATCTCAGTACTCATAATTAGTTTGTTCTTGTTTTCAATTCCTTTTTTGTTCAATCTTGATAGGTTCTGTCCAGAAATTTATCCATTTCCTCTGGGTTTTTCAATTTGTTGGCATTAAGTTGTTCATAAAAGTCTCTAATAATATTTTGTATTTCCGTAGTATCCATTGTAATGTGTCCTTTTTTTGTTTCTCATTTTATTATTTGAGACTTCTTTTTTGTTTTTTTAGTCAAGGTAGTTTATCAGTTGTTCAACTTTTCAAACAACCAACATTGTTTTATTGATTGTTTCTATTGATTTTTTCGTCTCTATTTTGTTTAGTTATGCTCTCCTCTTTATTATTTCTTTTTCTGCCCTAATTTGAGTTTTGGTTTGCTCTTGCTTTTCTAGTTCATTGAGGTGCATTGTTAAATTGTTGGAAATTTTTCTACTTTTCAAAGGTAGGCATTTATTGCTAGAAACTTCTCTCTTAGCACTACTTTTGCTGTATCCAATAAGTTTTCATATATTGCATTTCGATTTTCGTTTGTTTCCAATATCCTTCAAATTTCTTTTTTTAATTTCTTTGTGAACTCGATTGTTCAGGAGCATGCTGCTTAATTTCTATGTATTTTTAGAATTTCCAAGTGTCCTTTTGTTACTGATTTTCAGTTTTATTTTATTGTGGTCCTAGAAGATACTTGATATAACTTCAATTTTCAAACACTTGTTGAAACTAGTTTTGTGGCCTAACATATGTCTATCCTAGAGAATGTTTTATGCACTAATGAGAAGAAAGCATATTCTGTAGCTGTTGGGTAAAATGCTCTGTAAATGTCTGTGAGGTCCATTTGCTTTACAGTGAAGATCAAGTCTGATTAGTCTTTGTTGATTTTCTCTCTTGGTGATCTGTCCAGTGCTGAAATTGGGTGTTGAAGTCTTTGTTATTATATTGAATCTTATATCTCTCTTTAGTTCTAATATTTGTTTTATATATCTGGGTGCTCCAGTTTGGGGTGCACATATATTCACAACTGTTATATCCCCTTTTTGAATTGATTTCTTTATTATTACATAGTAACCTTCTTGTCACTTTTAATTTTTTTATTTAAGTATATTTTTCTTTTATAAATATAGCTACTCCTGCATGCCTTTGGTTTCTGCTCATCTGTAGTATCTTTTTTCATGCCTTCCTGTCTGTTGTAAATATGTCTTTACAGGTGAGGCAAATTTCTTGTAGGTAGCATATAGTTGGACCTTTTTCTTCTTTTAATCCATTCAGCCAGTGGATATATTTTAATTGGGTAATTTAAACCAATTATATTCAAGGTTGCTATTGTTAGGTGAAGACTTACTCCTGTTATTTTGTTAATTGTTTTCTGATAGTTTTGTATATCCTTTGTTCCTTTATTCCTTTTTTATTGCTAACCTTTACAATAATAAAGAGGTTTTTATAGTGATAACTTTTGATTCTTTTCTCTTTTTCATTTGCATATCTGCTCTAGCAGTGGGTTTTATATTTTCATGTGTTTTCTTGATAGCAGATATTTTCCTTTTACTTTCATATATAGGACCCTCTTTAGTATTTCTTATAGGATCAGTCTAGTAGTGATGAATTCCCTCAGCCTTTCCTTGTCTTGAAAATACTTTATTTCTTCATCATTTTTAAAGGATAGCTTTGGTGGAAACAGTATTCTTGACTGGAGATTTGTTCTTTCATCACTTTGAATATATCATTCGATTTCCTCCTAGCCTATAAAATTTCTGTTGTAAAATCCACTGTTAATCTGCTGCGGATTCCCTTGGTGTGACTTGATGCTTTTCTCTTGCTGTATTTAGAAATCTCTCTTTGTCTGTGACTTTGAGAGTTTGACTATAATGTGCTGTGTAGAAGACATTTTGGGGTTGAATCTATTTGAAAATCTGTGAGCTTTTATTTTTTTTAACCTGGATGTCTATATAATGAAATATTAGGGAACTTTCAGCTATTATTTTGTTGAATATGTCTTCTATGGTTCTGCTGATCTCTTCTTCTTTTGGAACTTTCAAAATTAGAATATTTGTTCACTTTATGGTGTCCCATATGTCACACAGGCTTTCTTCATTCTTTTTAATACTTTCTTCTTCCTCTTGTGTTTTTTGTTTTTTGTTTTTTGTCTGACTGGGTTATTTCAAAAGACCTGTCTTAAAGTTCATACATTCCTTATTCTGCCAGATTTAGTCTTTGCTGAAACTCTCAATTGCATGTTTTATTTAATTCCTTGAATTTTTCATTTCCAGGATTTTGGTTTTGTTCTTTATTTGTGATATCTGTCTCAGTTGAATTTATTTTTCAGATTATTAATTGTTTTCTTGGTATCTGTATTGTCATATGTGTTCTCTTGTATCTCACTCAGTTTCTGTAATATCATTTAGAATTCTTTTTCATTCATCTCATAGATTTTCTTTTGGGGGGTATTGATTATAGGAGAATTATTGTGTTCCTTTAGAGATGTCATATTTCCTTATTTTTTAATGCTTATTGTGTCCTTATGTTGATATCTGTGCATCTGGTGTAACAGGCACTTCTGATTTTATGGATTGGGTTTTATAAGGAAAGACTTTTTCTTTATATGTATCTGTATTGTTGACTGGCTAAAGTGCTTTGGCTTTGATTTTGGGTGGGTACAGTAGTGTAGTTCCCATACAATGTATTTGGTTCTAATTAATGTTAGTGGTGTCTGTGAGTTCCTGAGTGGCTTAAGCTGCTGCTGTTTGTGGAGGCTGAGGTGAAGCTTTGCTGGGGATATTCCTTGGGCACCAGTGGTGATGGTGGTGAGCCAAGGTTGTTGGTCCTGTGGTCCCAGGTAGAATATGTAGGCACCAGTTGTGACAGGTCAAGGTGAGCCAGTCTTTGGGCTTCCAGGTGACATGCCTGGGTGCCAGTGGTGGCAGCAGCAGATTGTGTGGGCAAGTCCTTGGGCCCCCAGGTAGTGATCGTGGTTGGTCACTTGTGATGACAGCAGTAGGTGCAGATCAATCCCCAGTCCACTGGATGACATGATCTGGTGCTAGTGCCAGCAGTGGTGGGCCAGGTACATCTATCCTCAGGGCCTCTGATGGTACAGGCAGATGCTAGCAGGGATGGCAGGAGAGGCAGAGTTGTCTTCAGGCCCTGGGATAGCAGTTTGGCTGGTCCACAAGCCTTCTGAAGGCCCCTGCGAGAATGCAGAGGACCTGCCACTGGAGGTGGCATGCTGTCAGTGGCAATGTCCTTGGGCAGGCAGCTTTCCTTTTATACTAAGGGAAGCCTCTCTGATATGCTATACTACCTGTTCTCTGGGACATAGGGAACTGTGTGAGATAGAGTGCTGGGAACCTGGCTACACCACTGGATTCAGCTGATAATATTATGGGGCAGCCTTCTGCATAGATGTGGGAGAATATCAGCAGGACTCCAGGGATGTGGAGATGCAGGGACTATTGCACCCCAGAGAGAATGTAGTTTGATGTGCACTAAACTCTCAAAATGACACTGTGTTGCAGCTGCTTGGAACCCATTTGGTATGTGGGAGCCAGCAAGAACTCCCTATCTAAAATAATGCCATCCTATGGACTCCAGTCAGTGAGGTACTTATACTAGTCTCAGGGCCAACAAGGGCTGAAGGGCTGTTCCATAGTTAGGATTGCAGGAGTCCATGGTAGAAATGCGGACTACTGGGGGTCTCTTTTTCACTTTTTCCCTCACAATGGGCAGTTTCTTCTGGCTTCAAGTTGATCTCTGCTGGGCTGGCTGCTTCGCTTTCCTTTTCTTCCACACCTCAGAGTTTTCATGTCACTTTCCTGAAGAATTCCAGTGTCCTCTCGTAGCTGCTGTATTCATTATGTGCTTATCCACTAGCTGCTTTGGTATTTCTTTGTAGAGGAAATGAGCATCAGACACCTCTAGTCAGTCATCTTGAAGCCCTACCTACCATATCTTTTTTAAGTTTAATAGCAAATAGAAATCTATGCATCTTTTATTAAGTATATTTGCTAAGATTTCTGGTGGTAGAAGTATTCAATTAAAATGTTTAACTGACTCTAGGGGCCCAAAGAATGAATATTTGTATTATCCTGTAGAAGCTTATGATTTCTATTTTAAATTTTTAGTAATTTTCTTGACTTTTATGGCCTTAAAATGTTGTTCCCACTGTTGAGAATACATTTATAATAGTGAACTGGCAGTAGGTGGTATTAGGTCTTTTGCCCTTTTGAATTTATGTTTTTGTAAGTTTTTCCACAATGACAATAGAAAATCCATTTGCAATATTTCAAGCAGTATACATTAATGCCCACAAACTCAAAGGAGACATGCTATCATAAATTAAAATAGATTGGTGTAATATTCATATTACATATTCATATCCATATGAATATGAATAGTCATATCCCAGTCTAGCTACTGGGAATAGACACTAGTCTCCACTGCATGCATGCATCAACACTATTTCCTTTAATCATTTTGGGTGGTCTTTCCTTGCCCTTAGGTAGTTTTCTCATATATGTAGGCTGATCAGTACTCAGTAAGTGAGGATGTCCTTCTACATATCTCTAGAGCCCTCTTGTCACTGGCACTGTACCCTACCAGTTTTAGCCTCTCTGGTCACCACTGATTCTCAGCTTCTCAGATCTTCTGTTGAGTTCCCCTTGCATGCACCATGGCCTGCAAATATTCTCAGTTTACTAAGCTAGGACAATCATCGGGTCCACATTGTTTTCTGTCTGTCAGGAATCACTTTCTATCTTTGTCTGATGTCCAGTGTCTTGAAAAACTTGTTTGATTTATTTTGTCAGTTTTCTTAGTTATTCAAGGAAAAAAGGGTAAATATGGTGCTTTTTTGTTCATCTTGTTTGGAAGTGTAACTCAGCATCCTCATTTTATCTGATCTGTAAATAAGTTGTATAATATTGCAATGATCTCGTTCTTGAGTATTCTGTGATTTTGCAGGTCTCACCTCCATAACTATCTGTGTATGTCAGTTCATGTGTGTGTGTGTGTGTGTGTATGCATGTGTGTGTAATTTTCTTTAATTTCTAATTATATGGCTATAGATATATGTTAAGGCATTTATTTTTAAAATCAGATTTAATAAGTTATGATTTAAAATAAAATTGTGCTTTTAATCTATTGGTTTTAAAATTTATCAAAATATGTAATCTTATTAATTTTTTAAATTGTCTTCTTTTGTAGTTGCATATTTTCTATTTCTAAAATTAATTATTGGTACCTTATCTTAGCCTGGATTTCAAAAAAATAGAACCCAAGAAAATGGTTAAGTGTAAGTACTTTATTAGAGAGTGCAATTCAGAAAAGAAAGCTAAGGATAGAATGAATGAAACACAGAAGTAGAGAAAGAGCCAATACAAAGATGCATTATTACTTTTATTTTTTATTTTGTTTGCCTTTTTTTTTGAGATAGGCTGTTGCTATGTTGCCCAGGCTGGAGTGCAGTGATGTGATCAGGATTCACTGCAGCCTCGATCTCCTAGGCTCAGCCTCCTGAGTAGCTGAGACCACAAGTATGCACCACTACGCCTAGCTAATTTTTTATTTTTATTTTCTGTAGAGACATAAAGATGCATTATTTAGTTGCCTGTAATTATGGGGGATTAATTGTTACCATAATAAATGTGTTTTTGAAATATCCACCTTGGAGGAGATAATAGGAAGGATTTATCTACCAGTTCCTTTCACCCATTGTAACTTCTACACACAGCACCAAACAGTATACACAAATACAAATTTGTTACCATTGTCAGCCAAGAAATTATCCCGATACACATTTCTCTCTTGATTTGTGGCCCCAAGAATTTTGATGGCACTTACAGGGCTTAACTTTGCATATCAAAAGAAATTTTTGTGTATATTATCTAGCATGACCAACTGTCTTCGGTGGAAAGGTTTCCCTGCCATGTTGTTAGAAAATGAACAGAAATGTACATATTTATAGTTTTTCCTTTTTGTGATTTTCTGGTTATGAAAATAAATCAGCATAAAATGATCAAGATTTATTTTATATTCCATATTACGTTGGATTGAAAAGCTTGCCGTTAGCAAGCAGACATAGCATGGTCATTAGTGTAGCATGACAGGAGGGTAAAATAATCTTCCTTGCTAAGAAAAAGATTTTTTTAATAGTGTCATTTGATTTGTTTTGATATATTTAATAAAATCTTGCCCTTCTATTTCTATTTCTTAAACACTCAGAGTCACAAATGAATTATGATTTTCTAATTTGCCTTAATTTTATTTCCACTGCATAACAAATCAATACTCCACAATTCTGTCAGAGATGCTCTTCAATAAATTAAACTTCTTCAGGTTTTGGCTTCTGTGTTAGTGCATTCTCACACTGCTATAAAGATACTACCCAAGACTGAATACCTTATAAACAATGGAGGCTTAATTGACTCACAGTTCTGCAAGGCTGAGGAGGCCTCAGGAAGCTTACAATCATGGTGGAAGTAGGAACCTTCTTCACAAAGCAGCAGGAAAGGGAATGAATGGGAGCACAAGAAAAACTGCCACTTTTAAAACCATCAAATATTGTGAGACTCACTCACTATCATGAGAACAGCAAGAGGGAAACTGCCTCCATAATCCAATTATTTCAGGTCCCTCCCTCAATACCTGAGGATTACAATTCAAGATGAGATTTGGGTGGGAACACAGAGCCAAACCATATCAGCTTCCAAACAGCATTCACCAATAAAAGGCTCTAAAGATTTTTCAGGAAACGGCTGATTCTAAGGGTTGGCCAGAGCATATGTAATGTAATCATAGAATAGCTTGTGATGACAGAAAGTACAGAAGTGCTCAAAAAAGGAAAAATGGGCCATGTCAAAGAGACACCAGAGTGAACCTGAAGATGCTCTTGATGTTCAAGTCTGGAGCCATTTACAAAAACAAAATAAATAATGATAGTAATGGAATAAAACCCACAGAATAAACCATACATCTATGACTCTATATTCATTGATATGGTTTGGCTGTGTCCCCAACTAAGTCAAATCTTGAATTATAGTTCCCATAATCATCATGTGTGGTGGGAGGGACCTGGCAGGAGGTAATTGAATCATGGGGGCAGTTTCCCTCATGCTATTATTATGATAATGAGTAAGTTCTCACTAGATCTGATGGTTTTATAAGGTGCTTCCCCTTTTGCTCGGCTCTCATTCTTCTCTCTCCTTCCTCCTTGTGAAAAAGGACGTGTTTGCTTCCTCTTTCTCCGCGATTGTCAGTTTTTCTGAGCCCTGCCTAGCCCGGCAGAACTGTGAGTCAATTAAACATTTTTCCTTTATAAATTACCCAGTCTCTGGTATGTCCTTATAGAAGCATGAGAATGAATTAATACACTCATAGAAACAAATAATTGAAGAAATAATGAGGGGCAAATGAACAGCTCTTTGTTATAGAATTCCAATTAATAAGTGTAGAAGAAATCATGGAACTAGAAATCATCATGAAGTAACCATCATGGTAATAATTTTTTGCAGGCAAAAATCGTAATCAAAATCATCATAAAAGTGGTGACTTAATGCATAGTATGAAGTAGGATTTTTACATAGATCCAAAGTATCACCCCACAAATAATTATTAATTACAAAGGGAAAATAAAGAAGAAATTTGCCATATGACAACTCTAGTGTATACAGATAAGATGTATTGCAATTGCGTACCACCTGATGTATCCATTGAGAAAGGTACAGCATTAATTTAATTATGAAAAGCCATTAAAAAATTCTAAATTGAAAGACAATCTAAAAAATAACTAGTATTCTTCAAAGAGTGTCAAAGTTCATGCATGATGAAGAAAGACTGAGGCATTGAAGGAAACTAAAGAAACATGAGCACTAAATGAAATGTGGAATACTGGATCGGTTCCTAGATATGGAAAATGACATTAGTATGGAAATGAATGAAAGTTGAGTTAAGTTCCATAGCTTATTTAAGTTCCATAGATTATTTTATTATTCCATAGATTATTTATTTAACACCAATGTTAATTTCCTGGTTTCAATAACTGTATACATTAAAAAAATGTTAACTATGAGAAGATGAATGACGGAATATAAAAAGTCCCTGTACTATTTTTTTAGGTTTTCTTTAAATCTAAAATTATGTCAAAAAAAAATTTGAAAAAGTGAAATGTTGGAATACCTCATGATCTTCTGCAGAATAAAAGCCAAATTGCTTAGTCAAACAATCCAGATCTCAGGTTATCTGGGCCCTACCCATTTTGACACACTCATCTACTCTCAAGCAGTCTAGGCACATGTCAAACTCCAGATACCCCAAGTTGTTTGCAATTTCCTCAGCGCTCGACACCTTCTTTTACTTAAAGGCTTTGAACATATCTTTATTATGTTGAGAGGCTCATTTCTTCCAGTTTATTCCATGATAACTTGAAAGATCATTTAAGACTTAATGCAATGATTTCCTCCTTTATGTCAGGGTAGCCTAAACCATTTCTGTTCTCATAATACCTGTGGTTACTTCTCTCCTAGCAATTGCACTAGGTTGTAATTTATGATTTACTTCTATGTTCCTTTTATTACCCTATGAATGATTTAAAGACAGGGATAGTGTTTTTTATTATGGAGTTTTGATGCCTAGGAATACCTGGGATACAGTAATGACACAAAAATGATTTATATAAGGAATGCTTATGTCTTATGTAAAGTGCACCAATGATAGAGAGTAAAATTGCTTCTATTTTATCCTTTTTAAAAGGATGATGATATATATTATTAATACCTCACTAAAGATGAAACTGAAGACCAGTTTAATATATTTTGGGGTCTCTTTTATCATTAATAATGCAATTCTGAAGCCATGTGATCTCACATACAATAAAAAAAGAAATCATACCTCAATCAAACCCTTCATTGGCAGTTATAGACTTTAAAAGTTAAAATCAGGTGAAATTGCCTTAAGTTAACCTTAATGCTGCATTAGCTTAAATGTATTATCTGACAATATGCGATAAATTTGTTTCTTGTTCCATTCTTTCTCTTTGCTCTCATGTGTTTGGGTTCTTGATTGATTATCTGCTAAGTATGAATACTTAGAGGTCCTGCTTTGCTTCGTTAATACTCTGGATGTTCTATGTTATGGTACAGAGGACACGCATACACATTGTGGAGCCAGACTGCATGGGTTAAAATTCCAGCTTGGTCACTTACTGTGTGACCATGAGGAAGTCAATTAACCTCTTCGTGCTTCCATTTCCTCTTTTACAAAAAGGGAATAATAGTAGTAATTAACTCATAAGATTATTGTGAACGTTAAATCCTGCTATACAAAAAGCACTTAGAATAGTGAGTAGCTCCCTAAAAGGCTGTTTAACTTATTTTGATATGTGAACTTTCATATCTTTAAAGAGAATTATAAGGTTGTGGAGGGTAGAAGAAATAGTCTATCTGGATCAGAAAAACATATTCCTTTCCAGTAGGCATGTTTATTTTGGAAACATCAGTGAGTGTCTACTTGTAGTTAAATATTTATTGGCAGAAGCACTATGTTGAATAAGAAGTTGACTTTCACTCTGAGTAAATAGCCACTTAGATTTTTGAAGGTCTGTCATTCAAATACTTTATAGATTGAGAAACATCTATATTTCTTATTTCTCAGAATACTTGTAACTTGTTCATGTGACAATTTACACAAGAATGAAAAATCATATTTTGCCCCAACTCATGCCAGACAAATAGTATATTTAAAGGTAGCTACTGTGATACAACATTTTTACTATTTATTGTACCAAATAAACATCTTTGTGTAGCAAATATATGTTCAAACAAAGTCATCAAAACACTAGACCTGAAATGAGAATTACCTTGAAGTATGACTGTGGATGAGTTAACTATTAGAAGCTAGTTTTTTCATCATTAAATTAACCATATCAAAGTGTCCCACAATGCATTATTTAAAACCTATGGATCCAGTCATGTCTAAATTCAAATTTAGAAAAATAATGAGTGCATACATCATATATTGTTTAATACCACGTAGGATCTGGGGCAGCACTCCACAAAGAAACACAGTAATATATTTGCAGTGATTCATGAATATCTACACTAAGTGGGAAAAGTAAGAGCCGTAAACTGCCTCACAAAAGCTCATAATAGTTTTGCCTTTAAAAGAGTTCTGGCAACACACTTTACAATAAATCATAAAACTTTTGGTCTTCAGAGTTTTTGGCTTTTGAAATAACAGATGAAGGATCGTATACCTATGCTTGTCTTCTACAGAATAAAAGGCAGTTCTGAAGATCAAATGAGATCATTTTTAAAAGAAATCCATAAATTATAAAGCATTATATAAATGTAAGGCACTATTATTACCTATGTACTTAATGCTATGATTATTTTACAGGGCTTTACTGAATATGAGGAGCTGAGAAATAATTTTTCTTTATGCTAGGTTTGAACCTAGTTTAAAGAAAGGAAGAGATAAAAAGTTACATCCTAGGAGTGTATGGTGGTCATACTACTTAGATGTCATTGAAATCAGCATGAATTTATATATTTTGTAGGCATTAAAGTCACCTTTCTTACTAAAATAATGTTGGCACATTTCTGCTCCTGTAATGTGCTTTATCACTCAGAGGTCCCAAAAGCTTAGAATTTGGCTGTGTGTGGCGGCTCACACCTGTAATCCCAGCACCTTGGGAGGCTGAGACAGGCAGATCCCTCGAGTCCAGAAGTTTGAGACCAGCCTGAGCAATGTGGTGAAACCCAGACTCTACTAAAAATACAAAATATTATCCAGGTGTGGTAGTGTATGCCTGTAGTCCTAGCAACTTGGGAGGTTGAGTTGGGAAGATCACTTGAGCCAGGGAGGTCAAGGCGGCAGTGAGCCATGATAACGCCATTGCACTCCAGCTTGGGTGAGGGAAGTGAGGATCTGTCTCAAAAAAAAAAAAAAGGCTTAGAATTCATGCATTCATTTATTCTTTTGAACACTGCTACCTCTGAGTTATTATGTGTGGAGTAAATATTCAGTGGCATGTCACACTGGCTCAAAGACCTGAAGGAAGTGTTGGTCGGTAGTTGGAGATATATAAGAAATTGAAAGGTGGACAGTCTAAGGTAACTAACCTTCTAAGCCTGGGGTGTGGAATGGAAGAAAAAGGGGTGAGTCCCAACAAGTGTGTAGGAGTTGAGTTAGGAATATTCTACTTATGCCTCAGTGAAGGGTTTTGTTTTTATTTTATTTTATTTTATTTTATTTTATCTTTTTTTGAGATGGAGTCTCACACTGTCACCCAGGCTGGAGTGCAGTGGCATGATCTCAGCTCAGTGCAAGCTCCACCTCCCTGGTTCACGCCATTCTCCTGCCTCAGTCTCCTCAGTAGCTGGGACTACAGGTGCCTGCCACCATGCCCAGCTAATTTTTTGTATTGTTAGTAGAGACGGGGTTTCGCCATGTTAGCCAGGATGGTCTCCATCTCCTGACCTCGTGATCCTCCCGCCTTTGCCTCTCAGAGTGCTGGGATTACAGGCGTGAGCCACCGTGCCCGGTCTCATTGAAGGGTTTATAGTTTATATTTATATAGACCGCCCCCCCCCCGGCTAAAAATGATTTCTAAGCAGAGAAGTAACAAAATTTGCTCTTCTCTAGAGGGATTTGGCAACTATGAAGAGTAGATTGGAGTAGGAAGAGGTTGGATAGGGAGACATGATAAAGTTATTTGAAAAGTTGGCAGGAGATAAATGGATCTTAAATAAAATTCTAGTTATTTGGAAGGAGAGGAGAGGAGAAATGTGAGAGAAAATTCAGGAAAGGAATCAATTCAATGTAATAATATACTGTGGAGGATGGGGAGCAGTTCAAAATAATTTTATGGTTACTATATTTGAACTAGAGTAGACAAGAAGAATAGAACAAGAATAGAAAAAAAACAGAAGGTTGAGATAGTTTGAGGGAAAAATAAATATAGTTATGAATATGTTGAGTTTCAGTAATGTATGGTACAGGCAGGTTGAGATGTCTGGTAGATGTAGATAAAATAATACAACTATTTCTTATACAAAAATAACATAAAAACTTATAATGCTGATTCAAAAGTTGCAGCAACAATTCCTGACAGAAAATTCAACAGAGAAGATACTGATAGCCACTATGAATGATAATCATCTCTGATTATTTTGTCTGCTCTTCAGTAGCTTCCAAGTATACTATCTTGTGGGGCTTGGCATCAGTTTCTGTTTGCAGTTAAAAATTCTTTCTTTAAGGACAGTCTCCCCTAATTTGTGCATAGAGTAGGCATGAGGGAGTGTTGGGGAAAATTAATTGAATCCTCTTTCTCCAAAGTTGAAGAATTAGATTCATGGTTTGGATATTGTTTGTTTATGTCTATCAAAACTCATGTTGAAATTTGATCCCTAACGTGGCAGTGTAGGGATGTAGGGCCTAAAGAGACGTGTTTTAGTCATGGGGCTAGACCCCATATGAGTAGATTAATGCCCTCCTGCTGAGGTAAGTGTGAGTTTTCACTTTTGCAAGAATGGATTAATTTCCCAGGGAGTGGGTTGTTAGAAAGAGTCTTGCTTCCTTGGATTTGCTCTTTTGCTTCTTCTCTCTCATATGATCTCTTTGCACAGACTCACCTCCCTTCCACTTTCCTCCATGAGAAGAAGCAGCCTGAGGCCCTCACCAGATACAGCTGCCAAATCTTGGACTTATCAGTCTCCAGAATCATAAGCAAATAAACCTCTTTTCTTTATAAATTACCCATTTTCAGGTGTTTTGTTTTAGCAATACAAAGTGGACTAAGACATCCTTAACATTTGCTTAGTAAAAACTATTTATAAATGTCTTTATTTTCCAATTAGTCCCCTTTTACTGATTATTTTTATTTTAAACCTTGGGTTATTACATATCTGTATGTCAGTCACTTAAATAAACATAATTAGCCTTGCTAATATTATTTAAATTATGTTTTTATGACATGTTGTGATATTAAGATATGTGTATTGAATTCTGCCAAGTCATAATTTCTAAAAATCCCATGTTAGAAAACACAATTTTTAGATACTCCAGTAAAATTCTGTTAATCCATTAGTCACTTAGGTATACATGTAGTTATTTTGGTGTTTGGGCATTTTAATAAAAACAAAAACTATATATATCACATACATTTCAGATAAATATATATTTGGCTCAATTTCAATACATCACCAATAGTTGTATAGAATTTTTCTGTTTGAAGTTTACATTTTTTTCTTTTAAAGCATGGATGCATCATTAAGAGTTTTAAATCTGAAATAATTTTTCTTTTGCCATCTCATTTTACACTTTCAAACAGCTTGGGAAGAGATTAATAACTCATTTTATATCACTTCTTGGCCTTGTGGCTAAGATCAAGTGTAATAACTCATTTTACAGATGAAAAACAGATGCTAAAAGATTAAATAGGAGATATGTGACAAGTCCATCTTTTAGTTTTAACAAAGTACAGAGGAAAATAATTAGCTCTTAACCTATAATAAAATCATGTTACCAAAAAATGTTAACTGCCTTGCAAATAGCTCTGAGAATTCACTGCATGTATAACCTTTCTTTTTTTCAGTTGATTTAACCTTTGGTGTACCATAAAAAAAAATCAAATAGTGTTGATTGTAAGAAGATCTATACAATGACAAACTAATTCCTTCTTTGAGTTTTGTTCAACTGATTATCTTCGTCTGTTTCTCTCTACAAACTAATTCCTTCTTTGAGTTTTGTTCAACTGATTATCTTCGTCTGTTTCTCTCTACAAACTAATTCCTTCTTTGAGTTTTGTTCAACTGATTATCTTCGTCTGTTTCTCTCTGTTTCTGTCTCTCTCTTTCTCTTCCTCTTTCTAATGTTTCTGATAAATGAAGCAGAACAAAACAAAAACTTTTACATTTTATTTTTCTATTAAGGAATTATTATTCAGCTGCAAATCTCATGTTTAGGAGAAAAAGAGGAAAGTTAAGAAAAAGAAAGCATATTTAATATTGCGTCCTTTCTTTACCTCTCCTGATTTTCTCTTCCCTCTGTATCTTCCTCTGTCTTTTGATTTTTTTCACTCCTCAGATTTAGAGTGATAAATCATGGGAAGTTTCACCTATGACACCAGAAAGATGTTATTCAAAGGAAAGAGAAATAAAATATTTAGTGCTTTGACACAGTCTGTGATCTGGTCCTTTTTATTGCTGCAGTTCACAGTATGTTAAAAGGGTTTTATTAATGTGGTTTTGGGCTAAACACAGACTTCCCATACAGTGTTTTGTATCTGTACAATCTTACTTTGGAAAATTTTCTATGTAATTAATTATTTAATGATTTAAGTGCTATACAATTTTTGTCCAAAATTTTACTTATTTATTTTTTAAAACATATTGCTGATCACCGGCTTGATAGTAAACAAATCAATATCTAAGCATTGTAGATAAGTTATGGGGTGTTCACACAAATGCCCTTGTCTTCTGTTTTCAAAGTCCAGATTAATTTTCTACGGAGAGGCTTGTCAAGTCCCCAAGGAGATTGTTTAAGTGATCAGGTGGCCATCTCTTTTAAAGGAAGTTCATTGATACATTTCTTTCTATTCAACTGTAAGTGTGTGTGTCTGTGTTTGTGTGTACTAATTTAATGAATGTCCTTGCTTTTGACCAGCAAAATGACATTATTGAATTAAACTATTTGGTGAATATCATATTCTACATAAGCTTAGCAGTAAAATATTTTTTATGATTATGGGTTGTAGTTTTTCTCCATTTTGAAAAATGGTACTACTTTGATCAAAGATAATGGTGGTTTATTTCTCTAAATTATTAAAAATAATTTCCAGTTGTAGAAGTTGGTATTTGTTACATACATTATTGTGACTGTTATAACTGACTACAAATAATAATAATGAGAAAAGTTATTATATTTATGTTATTAATTCACAATCGCCTCATAAATAGTATTTCATGATTTAATATAAGACAATATGAAATTTTCAGCAAAAAATTACCTTTAGTTCAATGTGATTCAATCTACAATAATCTAAAAGCTAAGGTAAGTTAACCTTGAGGTAAGAGGTAAAACAGAAACATACCCACAATGGTGTAAGTGCTAACTGTACGTTTTCCCTGAGCAGAGAATGAATCATCTGTGAGTGTCAGAATTGGAGAATCTTTACTTCTATGTTTCCAACATTTGACAGTACTAGACTCAGAAATCAACTACTAACAAAAAATTACAAGCAATTCTTTGGCGTTGAAATAATGATTTTAATCCTAATCTTAATATTTTGATTTATTTTTATTACCCCAAAATATTTATAGATAAATCAATTAAAAATTTAGTCATTAAAACTACATTGTTAAAGGAAGACACAAGAACATGGTTAAAGAGGATGGATTAATACATTAAAAAATGAGATGAGCTATGTGGGGTGATAATAGAACTAACGAGCAAGTTAATCACTCTAAGAACAAGCCATTGCTTTCATTTGCTTCATCTGGTGGGAAGTTTAAATAGACGACTTCTTTTTTTTTTTTTTTTTTTTTTTTGAGACAGAGTCTTACTCTGTTGCCCAGGCTACAGTGCAGTGGCGTGATCTTGGCTCACTGAAAGCTCTGTCTCCTGGGTTCACGCCATTCTCCTTCTCAGCCTCTGAAATAGCTGGGACTACAGGCGCCCGCCAGCACGCCTGGCTAATTTTTTGTATTTTTAGTAGGGATGGGGTTTCACTGTGTTAGCCAGGATGAAAATAAATGACTTCTTAAATTCTCATAAGATCTAGGATTCTATGGCTCTGCAATTTAATATACTTTATTATTTGGGTATCTGACTAACTAGAATGTTTGAGAAGCATATTGTGTCTTCGGGGCCACTACAATAATGCTCCCAAGGCATCTTACTAAGAGGAACGTTCATATCCAAAATACCCAACTTCTTATTTTGGTATAAACAGATGAGGATGCTAAAATGTCAAAAGCTAAGCAATATACAACAAATATTTGCTGATAAGTTAGGTTTCTGCCCCATGTCTAAAATGGTATCCAAAAATTATCGATGTATTCCTTGTGCCAGTTAATGCAGACAAACTAAAATTTTGAATAAAAATAACAACAAAAATGGAGGCATTGATTGATAGACTAAGTTAAATTATGTTGTTCCTTTTTGTCATACAGACCTAACCTATTACTTAAAGGTACTAAATTGAAGTGTTAGACATTTATTAACTTCAGTCACTTAGGGTATAATTAAATTGACATTATTCCCAGGAGTCATATGTTCTAAAAGGCAGCCCAATGACGAAAAGAGGTTATGGCTATCTCTAGCTACCACATTCCCACCATTAGACAGTAACTTAATTCTGATGGGTGCTTAATCCGTTAGCATATAAACTTATGAAACTACAAGTCTAGGACAATGGAACATAATTTAGGTAAAAGATAAAAGAACTACAAAAAAATTCTATACTATGTGTATTTTAAGTTTCTTCTTTGCATTTGTATTTTATAGAATATATACACAATACATACCTAAAACATACATGTTTGTGTGTTTATATAAACATATATACATATATATTATATATACATATATATTAATTATACATATACATATTATATATGTTTGTACATAAAATATATTTTAGATCTTCTGTGCATTAGTTTACTTTGATTTTCAAATCACCCTAAATTATGACTCCATTCAATAGCATATTTAGGAAGTATTTCTAAGTGACCATATAGTATACTGCTACATATATATGAAATCAAAGATGAAATTAAATTGCTATTTCTTGTTCTAAATTTTTCCTGACCTGGGATAAATCTCTTTTACATCAGTTGTCCTGGTATGATATTGTTAAAGTCCCCTTTATTCTCAAAAGTGTCTCAGTTTGGACAATTAAGTCTCCCTTGTAACAAATACACAATGTTAGTTATTCCTTTCTATCATACATTAAATATGTTACTGAAGTCTTTACCCGTGAAAAGTTAGAAGGCCAATGGTGGTCTTAAGGCTTCATATCAATGTAAAAGTATGTGCGATTTTTTTCCATGATTTCAAGTGCATTTTATCATGGTATCATATTAAAATTTTTTCCAGAGGTCTTCAATCAAATTATAAAATTTTGACTTTCCCTTTTCCAAAGGTAATGAGTAGTCAAAACATGATTAGTCCAACCACATTAAGGTCAAATTGGATGTTTAATGCTAAATACAGTGTTAATAAGATACTTTACATTGTTTGACAAAAATTTCAGAAAATATTAATGAATGTTCTAACTTTATATTAATTTTATTCTGTTCTTCATAAATTCTAAATTGCATTAAGTCAGATTGGGGGTGACTGATATAAAAACTAGTTTATATTCTTTTTTATGCAACTTCAGAGTTTTTAGGAAGAAAATGAGCAATAATAGGCTGAAGACAGCAAATAACGATCATCAATTAAGGACAATTCCCCTTTACAGAGCATTCAGATAATTGACAGAATGTTGTGTTCACTAATTTGATCAGGTAGTTTATTTTTTTCTAATTCAAATGATCTCTGCAGTAATGACCCTTTGAGAAATAACTATTCTCTTTGAGATTTTCTGTGCATTAGTTATTTTGATTTTCAAATCATTCCAAATTATGATCCCATTTAATAGCATATTTAGGAAGTATTTTGAATTGACCATATGTTATACTGCAAGAGTATTTACATGCAAAATCTAATTGATATGAAACAATGATGGAATTTATTTAAGCTTGCTCAAAGACAAAGGATTTGTACTTCTAAGTGTGTAGTTTTAACGTTCACCACTATATTTAATCACACCTAAGAAACAAAACAAAATAAATTCCATAAAGTTATATCTGTATATTTAAGAGTTGGTGGGGGAATATTGTGCATTTTTCTGTGGCTGTTTGTGTATGTGCCTATGTGTGTATGTGCATGTGTGTAATTCATATGAATTATTTTCACGTGTTAATGTTGAGTTAGCTTATTCTGATATTAATTAAAATTGGAAACACCAAGTTTCAAGGAACCTACCAAAGTCAATTTTCCAGGTTTTTGGATGAGGCAGGATCCTAAATGATTTAGTGAGTAGAATCAATTTCTGAACTCAGGAGTCATTTTCAGACAGATTATTTAATATCATTAAGGTTAGAAGAATTAGCTTTGTTTTGCTTTTGTCACTCAGCTGCATTCAAGGATAGAGTACTCCATTTGTGTGAAATGTGATAGTGAAGACCCTTAAAGTAAGAGAGGTTATACTTACTTATCTTTTAAGTTTTAAAATCATCTGTTTCCACAATAACTGCATCAATACTATCTATATCTGTGGGCTATTGTGATGTTTAATTTCATGAGTCAACTTGACTGGGCCATGGGATGCCCTGATATAAAATTAAGCTTTATTTCTGGGTGTGTCTGTGAGGTTGGTCCTGAAAGAGATTAGCATCTGAATTGGTGGACTGAGTAAAGCAGATAGCCAATGTGGATGGACATCATCTAATCCCTTGAGGGCCTGAGTAGAACAAAAAGGCTGAGGAAGGTTGAGTTAATTTTCCATCTGTCTCTTGTGGGAGATGAGACATCCTGCACTTGGTGCCCCTGGCTCTCAGGCCTGCAGATTCAGGCTGAAATCCACATCATCAGTCTTCAAGCCCTCAGGCCTTTAAACTACACCATGGCATTCCTGGATCTCTAGGTTGCAGATAGCAGACTGTGGGACTTCTCAGCCTATGTAATCTCTTGAGCACATATCTTATAATAAATGTCTTATATGTGTGTATATATATGACCAATTTTACACATACATACATATATATATCATTCTCCAGAGAAACAAAATCAATAGGATATCTATTTTTTTTTAATTTTACTTTAAGTTCCAGGATACATGTACAGAATGTGCAGGTTTGTTACATAGGTATGCGTGTGCCATGGTGGTTTGCTGCACCTATTGACCCATCCTCTTAGTTCCCTCCCCTCGCCCACCACCCCAAACAGGCCCTGGTGTGTGTTGTTCCCTTCCTATGTCCATGTGTTCTCATTGATCAACTCCCACTTATGAGTGAGAACATGCAGTGTTTGGTTTTCTGTTCCTGTTTGCTGAGGATGATGTTCTGTTTGCTGAGGATGGTGGCTTTCAGCTTCATCCATGCCCTTGCAAAATATATGATCTCATTCCTTTTTAATGGTTGCATAGTATTCCATGGTGTATATGTACCACATGTGCTTTACCCAGTCTATCATCAAAGGCATTTGGATTGATTCCATGTCTTTGCTATTCTAAATAGTACTGCAATAAACCTACATGTGCATGTGTCTTTATATTAGAATGATTTCTATTCCTTTGGGTATATACCCAGTAATGGGATTGCTGGGTCAAATGGTATTTCAGGTTCTATATCCTTGTGGAATTGCCATACCATCTTCCACAATGGTTGAACTAATTTACATTCCCATCAACAGTGTAAAAGCACTCCTATTTCTCCACAGCCTCACCGGTATCTACTGTTTAACTTTTTAATAATCACCATTCTGACTGGCATGAGATGGTATCTCATTGCGGTTTTGATTTGCATTTCTCTGATGACCAGTGATGTTGAGCTTTTTTTCATATATTTCTTAGCTGCACAAATGTCTTCTTTTGAGAAGTGTTTGTTGACATCCTTTGCCCACTTTTTGATGGGTTGTTTGATTTTTTCTTGTAAATTTGTTTATGATACTTGTAAATTCTGGATATTAGACCTTTGTCGCATGGGTAGATTGCAAAAATTTTCTTCCATTCTGTAGGCTGCCTGCTCACTCTGATGATAGTGTCTTTGCTATGCAGAAGCTCTTTAGTTTAATTAGATCCCATTTGTCAATTTTGGCTTCTGCTCTAATTGCTTTTGGTGTTTTCGTCATGAAGTCTTTGCCCGTGCCTATGTCTCGAATGATATTGCCTAGGTTTTCTTCTAGAGTTTTTATGGCTTGGGGTTGTACATTTAAGTCTTTAATACATCTTGAGTTAATTTTTGCATAAGGTGTAAGGAAGGGGTACAGTTTCTGTTTTCTGCATATGGCTAGGCATTTTCCCAGCACCATTTATTGAATAGGAGATCCTTTCACCATGGCTTGTTTTTGTCAGGTTTGTCAAAGATCAGATGGTTTTAGATGCGTGGTGTTATTTCTGAGGTCTCCATTCTATTCCATTGGTCTATATGCCTGTTTTGGTACCAGTACCATGCTGTTTTGGTTACTGTAGCCTTGTAGTATAGTTTGAAGTCAGGCAGCATGATGCCTTCAGCTTTGTTCTTTTTGCTTAGGATTATCTTGGCTATATGGGGTCTTCTTTGATTCCATGTGAAATTTAAAGTGTTTAATTCTGTGAAGAATGTCAGTGGTAGTTTAATGGGAATAGCATTGAATCTATAAATTACTTTGGGCAGTATGGCCATTTTCACAATATTGATTCTTCCTATCCATGAGGATGAAATGTTTTTCCATTTGGTTGTGTCCCCTTATATCCTTGAGCAGTAGTTTATAGTTCTCCTTGAAGAGGTCCTTCACATTCCTTGTTAACTGCATTCCTAGGCATTTTATTCTCTTTGTAGCAATTGCGAATGAGAGTTCATTCATGATTTGGCTCTCTGCTTGTCTATTGTTGGTGTAAAGAAATGCTTGTGATTTTTGCAGATTGATTTTGTATCCTGAGACTTTGCTGAAGATGCCTTTCAGCTTAAGGAGTTTTTGGGCTGAGATAATGGGTTTTTCTAAATTAAATATAGAATCATAACTGTAAACAGAGACAATTTGACTTCATCTCTTCCTATTTGAATACCTTTATTTCTTTCTCTTGCCTGATTGCCCTGGCCAGAATTTCCAGTAGTATGTTGAATAGGAGTGGTGAGAGAGGGCATTCTTGTCTTGTCTTGTACCAGTTTTCAAAAGGAATGCTTCCAGCTTTTGACCATTCAATATGATATTGGCTGTTTGTCATAAATAGCTCTTATTATTTTGAGATATATTCTATCAATATCTAGTTTATTGAGAGTTGTTAACATGAAGGGATGCTGAATTTCATCAAAGGCTTTTTCTGCATCTATTAGTTAATCATGTGGTTTTTGTCTTTGGTTCTGTTTATATGATAGACTATGTTCATTTATTTGCTTATGTTGAACCATCCTTGCATCCCAGAGATGAAGCTGAGTTGATTGTGGTGGATAAGTTTTTTGATGTGCTGCTGGATTTGGTTTGTCAGTATTTTATTGAGGATTTTCTCATCAATGGTCATCGGAGATATTGGCCTGAAATTTTCTCTTTTTGTTGTGTCTCTGCCAGGTTTTAGTATTAGGATGACACTGGGTTCATAAAATAAGTTATGGAGTAGTCCTTCCTTTTCAATTGTTGGAATAGTATCAAAAGGAATGGTACCAGCTCCTCTTTGTACCTCTTGTAGAATTTGGCTGTGAATCCATCTGGTTCTGGATTTTTTTGGTTGCTAGGCTATTAATTACTGCCTCAAATTCAGAGATTGTTACAGGTCTATTCAGGGATTTGACTTCTTCCTGGTTTAGTCTTGGGAGAGTGTATGTGTCCAGGAATTTATCCATTTCTTCTAGACTTTCTAGTTTATTTGCATGGAGTTGTTTATTCTCTGATGGTAGTTTGTATTTCTTGTGGTCAGTGGTGATATCCCCTTTATCATTTTTTATTGTGTCTATGTGATTCTTCTCTCTTTTCTTCTTTATTGGTCTAGCTAGTGGTTTATCTATTTTGTTAATTTTTTCAAAAAAACAGGTCCTCGATTCACTGATTTTTTTGGAAGGTTTTTCATGTCTCTATCTCCTTTAATTCTGCTCTGATCTTAGTTATTTCTTGTCTTCTGCTGTCTTTCAGATTAGTTTACTCTTGCTTCCCTAGCTCTTTTAATTGTGATGTTAGGGTGTCAATTTGAGCTCTTTCTAGCTTTCTGATGTGGGCATCAGAAAGTGCTATAAAATTTTTAGTGCTATAAAATTCCCTCTTAACAGTGCTTTAGCTGTGTCCCAGAGATTCTGGTATGTTGTGTCTTTGTTCTCATTAGTTTCAAAGAACTTCTTGATTGAAATACCTTGATTTCATTATTTACCCAGGAATCCTTCAGGAGCAGGTTGTTCAAGTTCCATGTAATTGTGTGGGTTTGAGTGAATTTTTTAATCCTGAATTCTAATTTGATTGCACTGTGGCCTGAGAGACTTTTTGTTATGATTTCAGTTCTTTTGCATTTGCTGAGGAGTAATTTACTTAAAATTATGTAGTTGATTTTAGAATAAGTGCCATGTGGCACTGAGAAGAATGTATATTCTGTTGTTTTGGGGTGGAAAGTTCTGTAGATGTCTGTTAGGTCCACTTGATTCAGAGCTGAGTTCAGGCCCTGAATATCATTGTTAATTTTCTATCTTGTTGATCTGTCTAATACTGACAATGGGGTGTTAAACTCTCCCACTATTATTGTGTGGGAGTCTAAGTCTCTTTGTATGTCTCTAAGAACTTGTTTTATGAATCTGGGTGCTCCTGTATTGGGTGCATATATGTTTAGGACAGTTAACTTTTCTTGCTGAATTGATCCCTTTACCATTATACAATGCCTTTCTTTGTCTTTTTTGATATTTGTTGGTTTTAGTCTGTTTTGTCAGAGACTAGGCTTGCAACTCCTGCTTTTTTTGGCTTTCCATTTGCTTAGTAAATTTCCCTCCATCCCTTTATTTTGAGCCATGTGTGTCTTTTCATGTGAGATGTGTCTCCTGAATACAGCACACTGATGGGTCTTGACTCTATCCAAATAGCCAGTCTGTGTCTTTTAATTGGAGGCATTTAGGCGATTTTCATTTAAGGTTAGTATTGTTAGGTGTGAATTTGATCCTGTCATCATGATGCTATCTGGTTATTTTGCACACTTTTTGATGCAGTGTCTTTATATTGTCATTGGTCTTTATATTTTGGTGTGTTTTTGCAGTGATTGGTACCAGTTTTTCCTTTCCATATTTAGTGCTTCCTTCAGGAGCTCTTGCAAGGCAGGCCTGGTGGTAACAAAATCACTCAGCATTTGCTTGTCTGGAAAGAATCTTATTTCTCCCTTACTTTTGAAGCTTAGGTTGGCTAGATATACAATTCTGGGTTGAAATTTCTTTTTTTAAGATGTCGAGTATTGGTTCCCAATCTCTTCTGGCTTACAGGGTTTCTGCTGAGAGGTCCTCTTGTTACTCTGATAGGCTTCACTATGTAGGTCATCTGGCTTTTCTGGGTGTCCTTAATATTTTTTCTTTCATTTCAGCCTTAGAGAATCTGATGATTATGTGTCTTGTGGTTGATCTTCTCGCGGAGTATCTTAGTGGTGTTCTCTGTATTTCCTGAACTTGCATGTTGGCTTGTCTTGTTACATTGGAGAAGTTTTCCTGGATAATATCTTGAAGTATGTTTTCCAGCTTGTTTCCATTCTTCCTGTCTCCTTCATGTACTCCAATCAATCATAGGTTAAGTCTTTTTACCTAGTCCCATATTTCTTGGAGGCTTTGTTCATTCCTTTTCATTCTTTTTTCTCTAATCTTGTTTGCATGCCTTATTTCAGCAGGGTGGTCTTCAAACTCTGATATACTTTCTTCTGCTTGGTTGATTCAGCTATTGATACTTGTGTATGCTTCACAAAGTTCTTGTGCAGTGTTTTTTTTCAGCTCCATCAGGTCATTTACGTTCCTCTCTAAATTGGTTATTCGAGTTAGCGTCTCCTTTAAACTTTTATGAAGGTTCTTAGCTTCTTTGCACTGGGTTAGAACATGCTCCTTTAGCTCAGCAGAATTTTCTATTACCCATCTTTTGAAGCCTACTTCTGTCAATTCATCCGTCTTATCCTCTGTCCAGTTCTGCTGCCTTTCTGGAGGGGTGTTGCGATCATTTGGAGGAGAAGAGGCTCTCTGGCCTTTTGAGTTTTCAGTATTTTTTGGTTGGTTCTCATCTTTGAGTTTGTCTAGTTTCGATCTTTGAGGCTGCTGATCCTTGGATGGGGTTTTTGTGGGAACTTTTTTGTCGTTGATGTTGTTGTTGTTGCTTTTCATTTGTTTGTTTTTCTTTCAATGGTCACTTCCCTCTTCCGTAGGGCTGCTGCTGTTTGCTGGGGGTTCACTTCAGCCCCTATTCATCTGGTTCACTCCCACACCTAGAGATGTCACTCAAGGAGGCTGGGGAGCAGTAAAGATGGGTGCTTGCTTCTTCTGGGATCTCTGACCTTGAGGGGCACCAATCTGATACCAATAGGATTGCTCCTGTATAGGGTGTCTCACAACCCCTGTTGGAAGGCCTCACCCAGTTGAGTGTCATGGGGAACAGGACCCATTTAACAGAGCACTTTGTCTGTCCCTTGGTGGAGGTTCTGTGCTTTGCTGGGGGAAAACCCACTCATTTGGGCCACCTGGATTCATCAGAACTACCAGAAGGAAAGGCTAAGTCTGCTGGTCCACAGAGACTGTGGCCATCCCTCCCCTTAGGGGCTCAGGCCCAGGGAGATCAGGGTTCTGTCCCTGAGCCTCTGGCTGGAGTGGTTGAAGTTCCTGCTGGGAGGCCCACCCAGTGAGGAAGGATAGGTCAAAGTCAGGTGTAAAGAGGTGCTCTGGACACAGTCAGCCACAGCTGGTGTGTTGGGCTGTGGGGAACACCTTTTGGGACCAAACCAACCAGCCTCCCTGGCTCCAGCAGGGGAAAAGTGCAGCGTGAAGCTATAGAGATGGCTGCCTCCCTTCCACCACCTAGGAAGCTTAGCGTGTTAAGCAGTTATTAGCCCCAGTGCTGGCTGCTGTCCCTCCTCCAAGGAGCTCAAGTGGCTTAGACAAGCAGCTGCAGCTGTGGTGCTTGTTACCCCTCCCCCTGGGAACTCGGCAGGCTTAAGCAGATTCCAGCTGAGAGGCTGTTGAGAATCTATGCAGCTCTGGGGTTGGGACCCTAGGCCCCGGTTGCATGGGTTCATGAGTAAGATCTTCCAACCTGTGGGTTGCACAGTTCTGCGGAAAAAGCAGTGTTTCCCCAACTGGGTAGCACACTCACTCACCACCTGTCTTGGCTGGGGGTGGGTCTCTCCTGCCCTGTGTGGCTCTCAAGTGCACCACCGTACCACACTGCTCTTCATTCCTCTCCGTGGATCATGACAGCCACCTACACAGTTCTGATGAGAGAACCTGGGTACCTTGATTGCTGGTGCAGAATTCACATGCTATTATGGTTCTTTTCAATGGGAGCCTTCGATCACCACTGCTTCTAGTCGGCCATCTTTGGATATCTGTATTTCTACACACACACACACACACACACACACACACACACACACAAAATAAATTGATTTTAATACATTTAAAATATATTATATATAATAAAATTAATATTATATATTATCTTGGCTCTGCTTCTCTGGTGAACTCTGACTAATATAGCAATTTAGGTTGAAATGATACAACATTGTTATAGAGGATTTAAAGGCTTTTTAGCTAATTCAATTATGAAAGAAGACTTGGAAAGATATTCAAAGACACAAATTGTTTATGATTCATGGTATATAAAAGCGATAATAAATAAGAGTCAATAAAAACTCAGAATATTTTCTGATAAAAGTTGTGGATCAAGTTATATGGTCTTGTAAGGCAAAGATGTATTTAGGTTACATGTCACAAATGAATTTATATTCCTACTTGAAAGCATTCTTAGGAGCTAATTTGATAAAGAGGCGAATTGCAATGAGTGGTAGTAAAGGTTTATATAACTATACTAATAACATTAATATCTTAATTGAAAAGCTAACTTGCTCAAGAGTCAAATCAGGAACAAATTCCCATTCACAATTGCCGCAGAAGAATAAAATACCTCGGAATACAGCAAACTAAGGAAGTGAAAGATCTCTGGAAGGAGAACTATAAAACACTACTCAGAGAAATCAGAGATGACACAAACAAATGCACAGGAAGACTCAATACCGTTAAGATGGCCATACTGCCCAAAGCAATTTTTAGATTTAATGCTATTTGCATTAAACTACCATTGACATTCTTCACAGAACAAGATAAAATGTTTAAAATTCATTTGGAATCAAAAAAGAGCTTGAATAATCAAGGCGGTTATGGGCAAAAAGAACAAAACTGGAAGCACAACACTACCTAACGCAAACTATACTACAGGGCTATAGTAACAAAAAACAGCATGGTACTGGTACAAAACAGACACATAGACCAAGGTGGCAGAATAGAAAAGCCAGAAATAAAACTACACACCTAGAAGCATCTGTCCTTTGACAAACCTGACAAAAATAAGCAACGGGGAAAGGATTCCCTATTTAATAAATGGTGCCAGGAGAACTGACTAGCCATATGCAGAAAATGGAAACTGGACCTATTTCTTACAACTAATACAAAAATTAACTCAAGATGGATTAAAGACTTAAGTGTAAAACCCCAAACTATAAAAATTCTAGAAGGAAATCTAGGCAATACCATTCAGGACACAGGCATGGGCAACGATTTCATGATAAAAATGCCAAAATCAATTGCAACAAAAGCAAAAATTGACAAATGAGATCTAATTAAACTAAAGAGCTACTGCACAGCAAAAGAAACTATCATCAGAGTGAACAGACAACCTAGAGAAAGGGAGAAAATTTTTGCAATTTATCATCTGACAAAGGTCTAATACCCAGAGTCTACAAGGAACTTAAACTAATTAACAAGAAACAAAGAATCCCATTAAAAAGTGGGCAAAGGACATGAACAGATACTTCTCAAAAGAAGACATACATGTGACCAATAAACATGAAGAAAAGCTCAACATCACTGATTATTAGAGAAATGCAAATCAAAACCACAATGTGATACCATCTCATGCCAGAATGAGACAGACATATTTGACCCAGCAATCCCATTACTGGGTATATGCTCAGAGAAATATAAATTATTCTATTATAAAGTCACATGCATGTGTATGTTCTTTGCAGCCCTATTCACAATAGCAAAGACATGGAATTCACCTAA
The DNA here is from genome assembly GCF_000001405.40 of Homo sapiens. NCBI lineage: Eukaryota > Metazoa > Chordata > Mammalia > Primates > Hominidae > Homo > Homo sapiens. The sequence goes on along the minus strand of NC_000018.10, from coordinate 30,728,920 downwards.
ATGCCCCTCAATAGACTGGATAAAGAAAACGTGGTACATATTCACCACGAAATACTACGCAGTATAAAAAAGAACAAGATTATGGCCTTTGCAGGGACATGAATGGAGCTGTAGGCCATTACCCTTAGCAAACTAACATAGGAACAGAAAACCAAATACTGCATGTTCTCACTTACAAGTGGGTGCCAAATAATGATAACTCATGGACACATAGAGTGGGACAATACACATTGGGGCCTTTTGGAGGGTGAAGGGTGGAAAGAGGGAAATGATCAGGAAAAATAACTAATGGGTGCTAGACTTAATACCTGGGTGATAAAATAATCTGTAAAACAAACCCTCATAACCATGCTTTCTTATGTAACAAACTTGCACTTGTACCACTGAACTTAGAATAAAAGTTTTTTTTTAAAGGAATATCTAGCTTCCTATAAAAGAAGAAATGGGCTTTGAAGCAAGCTATAGATAGACAGACAGATAGAGAGATCTTCTTATCCTGGACATATTGCTTAGTTGTGGATTTTGGATAAATCTTTAACTTTTCTGACAATAATTATAAATAATAAATATAAAATGGAAATTATAAGGCTCTCATGAGATGGTGTTTTCTTATTTTTGAGGGGATCCAAATTGATATTGATATATATTTCACTTTATTCTCCAGGTCCAACTTTCCAAACCACCTTTCATTTGCTTTCCATTGGCATGACTCTTTCCCTACTCTTCTTGGCCTAACTTCTAACAGCCCTCAAAATGCATCTCAGAAATCATCTCTCTTGAGAAAGTTTCCTGACCTCATTCTGCTCTCATAGCATCCCATGCTTTGCTCTGGTAGAAGACTGCTAAATGCTTTAATTGTTTACTCAGCTCTTACCCTCTCCACTAGACTGGAGCTCACTGAAGAAAGGCACTCTTTTGTATTTATTTATATCTTAAGTGCCTAGCTCTCTGCCTGACACTTAGTAGGTGCTAAACCAGTATTCATTCATTTCTTGAACAAATATTTACTGCACATTATTTATTTTTGCCAGACACTGTGCAAGGTACTGAGGGCACAACAGTGGACAAATATATGCTACACTCCTCCCCTAGGGCTATTAGATTGGTGGGAGAGACAGAAACTCATTAAACAAATAATTAGGTAGACATATGTCTGCAATCAGTTCTTAATGCCAAGAGCGCAGTCAGTTCAAGAAACTAGAAGAAGGCCAGTGCAGGAGAATAGGGAATGGAAAGGAATATACATAGCAAGAGACGAGGCTGGACAGCCTGGAGGGCCTGACATTGGAATTGAGGTCTTTGGATTTTAAGGTGAGTGCAATGGTCAGGCACAGGAGGTTTTATGCAAAGTGAGTGGCACAAATGTTTTGTGTTTTAAAAGTACTTTTCTAGCTTTTGAGTAGACAATATATTGGAGGAACTCTAGAGTGAATGAAGAGAGATGAATTAGAAGACCATTACAATCATGCAGGTAGGCAATAATGGTGGCTCAGACTAGAAGCCTAATGTGGAATTTGAAATGAATAAACAAACACAATATATATTGTGAATACATATATAATTTTTTGAAAAAACTAATGCTATTACTGAAATATTAGGCTAGGGTACATGTAAAAGATCTGGTTACATTTCAACTTTTCTATATGTTTATCATTCGATTATGTACTGTACTTCCAAATTTAATAAAAATTTGTTAAAATTAAACATTTTAATACACTAAGCAGAAAATAGAACAAATGTTTTCATTTCCATAATTAGCATATGCAACTATTACATATTTTTATTGGTTAGGGAATTCAATTATGGTAAAATATAAAGATATAGGGCAAACATACTTATAAAAAAGACCATTTAATTCTTTGAGAATAATTACATGAGTATTTAGTGAGTGTATGCTGTGCAGGAGCTGGCCCTCATGAGACAGCTCATTCTTCATTTTTCAGATGAGGAAAGTAAGGTTTGGTGCTACTATCGCCTCATATAGACAGCAACAGTATTTATAGTTGAACCCCAAGAAGAATTTTCTGATTTGGATAACTGGGGAATGTTATTTTTTCCCTATTCACATGGTAACAGGAAGTGCAAGAAAAGCCAATGCACTTACATTGAGAAATATAACTTCTTTGTTATTTGATGAAAAATGCACTAAGTTTAGAGTAATTAAGGCCCAGATGAATTTTAAAATACAAGATGCATGACTTTTACATGGAAAGCCATTTTAGGAACACAGTATCACTAACTAAGAACCAATTTTCTGCTTTTATATGCACATGGAGTCCATAAGCTTTTTTTGCAAGTCTGAGGACAAAATTTTATTTAGAAATGTCTTAGAACAAAGCATGAATGTATAACTATTTAGCAGTCTCTTCTTTCCTTCGCTTGTAAATCACAAATGCCATTTTATTTAATCCATTTGAATGACAGCTGTAGTATGTATTTAATCTCAACTCTTGGCAAATTAACAGTAAGCACATATCCTTGAATAAAAGTTAATTTCTCACAGTTTATCATCCCGTGGATTACAGACATCTGCTGTAGGAACAATGCACTCTAATACTGAGCCATATCACACTGACCTAAGAAAACATTTTGATAATGAGTGACAGAAGACCAATGAACTATGGAAAACCTTTCCTTATAGAGTAATAACATGAGTTTTACAAGAAATTATTTTTGTGCCCTTTTTATACAAATATTTAAAGCTACTACACCCTTATCCCTTATAGATTCAGAACAATGAGATTCTAAATAGCACCTGATTAATCTGTGAACTTGGAAATTACTCGAAATGTTGCCGGCTGCTGACTTGAGTGTCTCAAATTGTCAAGACTAAGTAGAATGAATAAATGGGAGTAGAGGGTGGTCATTCTAGTTCATGCTGATATCCTCATTTTGTAGATCTCACTAAAAATCATTTACTGCACAGTCTATTGACAAATACCAGTAGATTGACAACAGTTGTGCAGTTTTATTGGTAGTAAAAATGATAAAAGTTAATTTTTTCAGTTTTATTAGAGTCAGGCCTCTAGCTCTAAGACAATATGCATTTCATACCACTCTCAGAGTATCAGGAAAATATTATTTGAGTAAATTTTTGTTGAAAACCATAATGCCCATACTCCTACAAAGTAATCACTATATCACTCACTCAATGACTTGTACAGGAATTAGCACTTAAAGTGTTAGAAACGTACTGAACTATTCCATTATCAAATTTTGAGTTTCCATAGGAATTAGACAATACCTTCCATTATCAAATTTGGAGTTTCCATAGGTAGTAGACAATATCTTATAAATGTACAATACTGTTATGAGATTTTCAAATAGCCAAGAAAGTATTGAAAATTTAATTTTAGTAATTTAGAACTTCTGCACATTCTAAAGTAAAAATTTTTTAAGCAAATGAGTGGTGATTCAGTCCAACCTAGCTTTTTGAGTAATTAGGAAAAGCTAAAGTTTAAAGATTTGTATTCAAAAAAAGGATAATTATATATGTTAATATTAGGAAATGTCTTCTGTCATGTTGCAAAGCTGTTTTCTACTCCATTTCATTTATTTACAAGACCAACTCAATCTTTCTGGCCAAATATGAAATAATACCAAGTCAGATCACAAAGAACAAATAGGTTCTTTCGTATAATTTTTCTCACTTAGTCTTTTTTGTGATGTACATTTTTTTACTGCCCCATTTTTTTCAACAAAGAGAGAAAACAGTTCTAAGCTCTTCAGAAATCCTCCATTGTTTATTAAACAAAGGCTCAACCCATTATTAAAGACAGAAGACCTAAGATAATCAAGTCCCTGTGTACCTCTCTGGCTTTCATTCTTTCGCTCTTCTCCCTGAATTTCCACCTCTCTATCAAAATACATGAATAAATAGATTAAAATTTTAAAAAATGTTACATTTCTATAGTCCCTATATTTTAGGCTGCATTACCATCTATTTGCCTTAGTTTGCAATGCTTCCGTGGCCAGAAAAATACTTGACCACCCTCTGTTTTCTTGATATCAGACATTCCAGTATGTAAAATTACATCTTATTGGAGATTTCATCTCTAAAGTGTACTTGCCTTCTCAATGGGTTGATTGGCCATTGTCTTTTTCTTCTTTGTGTATTGTATAACATTTTAGTGCACTTATGTATTTAAATGTTGTTTCTATTCACCTGGAATGTCACTCTCTTAGACAAGAGAGACAAGGTTTTGTTTTGTTTTTGTATCCTCAGCACCAAAGTATTAGCTCACAGTTCATAGTGCATTAAATACAACTATATTAAAGTATTAAATGCAGGTACAAGTGCTATATTGAATCAGAAGTGTTGTTAATGAGGGTAGAAAGGCTCCCAGCTTAAATTTAAGAAAGGTCCCAAATGAACTATTATTTTTTTCTGACAGTATTTATTAAAATGTGTAGAAAAACAAAAATTAGTTTTCAAGTCAAAGCAAAAATTGTAAAGTATAAAACTAAAACAAAACAAAAACAAACTAAAACAACTACACAAAGCTTTGTTTTCTTGATAAGGTTTGCTTTAATTATGTGATCTAGATGAAGTGTTGGCTTCCTGGAGCTTATTTTTAAGCTCACAGCTACTAATTTTCCCAGATTCTTTTAAGGCTCTTCATTTGGTGATGTGTTCCTTTATTGAAACTAAGGAGTCTCCATCCAAAACTAACTTTTTTACCCAAATGGGTCTGTATCCAAGACCCCAAGCTCATGTTTTACTTATTTCTACTTCATTCGTTGACCGTTTTACTGATGGAATGTGTCCCTTTAATCTCCTGGGGTTTTCATTAATTCAAACAGATCTACTTTGTAAACTACTACTTTTTATTTTTAGTTTATTGCTAAAATGTCTTTTGTAATTGTCTTTTCTTTCAGAAAGTATGGTGTGTGTGAATGTTTGTGTGTATTTTTAAGATTAACTTCTGGTACTTATTTTCTGCATCTTTATTTGCTGTAACAAAAATATTCATTAATCAGTTTGTCAGAGGATGTTATTTTCATAGCATAGAATGTCCTTTTTTTCTTCTGACTTCTGAAGTATGGTGGCTACCTTCCTGAATGACTTAAATCTTACATGGTGGTATGATATTAATCGCTATGAGAGAGGCAAAATCTGCAAAATCACAAGTTAAAGATAAGCCTGTTTTGGGGCAATTTACTATTCAGACTTTGTGTACACCCTGAGAGTAATTTGTATTGCACACAATGACAATAACTCGTTTATAAAATGCAACAAAAATGCACTTTGATTCAGTGTTTAGGGCAGCAATTCACAACTAGCCATATAATTAACACCATACACTAGAAACAATTTTAACACAGGTACTAGTCGGAATTGGGCCCTGCTAATTGCATCAGATCTCTGCTATCTCCTATTAGAGGTAATTCGTCTATTTTGCTTAAAACTTTCAAGAGCTGCTGTAAGTCTTTATGTGATTAACAGAAGATGAATCTTGAGTAATTAACAGTTTCAGTGAAGAAGATGATTTACATATTTCAAAGAAAATCTAAATTTCTGACAACAAATCTTGGATAATATCTTTAAAAACTAATGATTTAGAGGGGTGACATCAGCAAGATAGCGGAATGGGTAGCCCTAGACCTTCCTTCTTCCCATGGAGACACTAATTCAATGACAATACATAAACCAGTTTCTACGGTGAAATATCTAGAAACCAGTTAAAATGTGTCCGTACACCAGAAAACTGCTGTATCGAAGTTACTATGAAAATCTGTGTCATTCTCTCACCATAGTTCCTCTCCGAGGATGGTGCCACGTGATCAGGAGGAAACTCCCAGCTCTTGGCTTCTCTCTGAGGAGGGAAAAGAAGACTGGACTCTATGTCCAATTCTCTGACTTTTCCAGTGATGTCCAAAAACCTGGCTTCTGTCTTCTCTTTGAGGCCTGACAGGACCTGCCATACTATACCTGCTTGGAGGCCACTGAGAACAAAATAGCTGGGTTATGTGCTGCTGTTCCAGAAGACAGATAGTACATCAGAGAGACACCAATGCAGGTTGGCAGTCTCTCTACCAGGACAAGAAAGAATAGAATGTGTATCCAATATCCTGCTTTTCAAGGGGCTGTCTGAGAGACTAAATTTCTGTCTTGCCTCTTTGGGAGTATGGATGAGATTTGACATACTCTAGTTGCCTTGGGATCACTGAAATCAAAACAAAGTTGGGTGGTTGCAGCTTCAGATGACTTATGGTACACGAGATAGACATCAAAAGAAACAAGAGATTATTATCTCCTGAGAAAAAGAGCCACAAATTCCTCTAATTAGAAATGCACATATACGGGTTGAGAAGATGCACATGCAGGGAAAGGTTTGAGAGGTTCTCAGAATCTGTAGTCAGGCTGATTGGTGAAGGTATTTTCTTGTATGAAGCCAGTTCAGAACGATTGGGAAAGGTGGTTGTTTTTTCAAATATGCAGATGACAACACAAAGTTACGAGATACAAAAAAGAAAAAATGGGGAAATTCATCCAATCAGAGGGCCAAAATAAATCTCCAGAAACAGGGCCTAACGAAATGTAGGTATATAAATTATCTGTCAAAAAATTTAAAAACCTTTGCAGCAAAGAATGCTTAATTATCTCAAAAATAAAATAAAATAAAATGAGGATTTCAACAAATACATAGAAAATATCAAAAAGAACCAATATAATTTTTGAAGTTAAAAATATAGCAACAAACCTAAAAACTCACTAGAGGGGTTAAACAGCAGAAGAAACAATCATTGAACTTGAATAAGTTCATGTGTGAAATTATCTAGTCAGGAGAGCAAAAAGAAAAAAAATTAAAAACAGCGATGAAAGTCTAAAGGATGTACAGGGTATCAATGAGAAGAATTATATACATGTATGGCTACTTTAGAAAGAGAAGTTATGGACAGAGAAAGATAAAGGGTAGGAAAGCTTATTTAAAGAAATAATGGCCCCAAATTTTCCAACTATAGGAAAGAATATGGAAATATTTCCATTAAAATGGAAATTCTCTCTTTATTTTTATATTCTAACTTTTACTAGAGATGATGTTTGAAATACTTTTGAATAAAAAAATTATTTTGTAATTTGCACTGAAATTTATCTGGCAATTTTATCTGCATTCTTCATAAAATGAGACAAGGTTCTCATTAATGCCCAAATTCTTTAAAAATATTAGCCCCACGTTTTTTTTTCTTACCCCAGAATGCACTTATCCCAGATTATACTGTGACCCAGAGGAGGTAGAAGGGAGACTGATGGAACTGATTTTGCTTTAGGATGAAATGGAACATAATATAATCTTCTTTTAAAGATTCCCATGGTTTAAAAGAACACATTCAAGGAACTTTGAGTTTTCATCTTTTAACCTTTTATAATATTTTATACTGATGATCTTCCCATTCTTTTGATGCTATTGATCACCTCTTTAACAGAATATCTTTGTTTTATATTCCCTCAATATTCTACTCTATTCTAGTTCTTATTATTTTCCTTCTTTTGTATTCTCTTAATAATGTAAGGTTTCCTGAGGGTTATGAAAAATATATTTTATTCTATTTCTTTGGGTAAGAGGCATTTTTTTCCAGCTATACACTGGAATCTAAGAAATGTTATATTTTCATCCTGAAGCAAAATCGATACCATCAGTTTTGCCTTCTACCTTCTCTGGGTCACACTGTAATCACCAGTTGATCTTGTGCTAAAATGCTGGGGGAGAGGGAGAAGCCAGATTTTGGTCACAGAGGTGACTGCCTTTGCTGTGCACATTTAGTAACTTGCAGTTGAACCTTCTGATCCAAAAGGACTCAGAAATGGCTCTCAGAACAGTGTACTCCACTGACTTAGCACGGTCACTGAGCAGTTTTCTAGGCATTGGGACTTACTGTGTCCCCTACACAAATGTCATACACCAGTGCTGATGCTATGAACTGAATGTGTTCCCCCACAAAAAATTCATGTGTAGAAAACTTAATAATCAATGCAACAGTGTTGGGAGGTTAAGTCTTTTTATTGGTGTCTTATTTTCTTTCTCCCCATAGATTCATTCCCCATGAATCTATTCATGAGGTTTTACCCTCATGAATACATTAATATTATCATAAAAGGGCTTAGCAGAGGGAATTTGACTCTTTTTTGCCCTTCTGCATTCTGTCACGTGAGGATGTAGTGTTCCTTCCTGCTGGAGGATGCAGCATCAAGGCACCATCTTGGAAGCAGAGAGCAGCCTTCACCACACACCAAACCTCCCAGCACTTTGATCTTGGGCTTCCAAGCCTCCAGAATGGTAAAGGAATAAATTGCTGTTCTGTATAAATTACCCAGTTTCAGGTATTTAGTTATGGCAGCACAAAATGGACCAAATGACCATGACACCTATTTTTGGGAGTATGTAAGTGGCACTGAGTCTCTATGACTCTGTGGAATTCTCTTATCCAGTATCATAACCTTGTCTTTAAAGTATCCCATCTGCTCTTTTTAATGAAAGTCTTTTACTTATTAAAATTCCTGCATTATCCTCTTCTCTCCTCCAATACCAACCATATTTTTCATAATTGAATTCCACATCTTTCTTTTATACCTCTATCTCTTTTAAGGGCACAATGGAAATGCTTTTGAAAGTATTTTTATTTTCTAATGTGTTCTCCTAACCACAACACCTAAATGAGTATCTAATTCACTGAAAACTTATTATAAAGGGCTGTTTAGTACATACATGGATTTATGAATTCATGAATTTCTGTATTAATTTTGATTGTTTTTCTTTTTTTGTTCCTGAAATCTGCTTTAGAGTTTGTGAATAATCTTTCAAATGTAACATTTGTATTCCCACCATCTCAATCATAATTTACATCCTTATTAAATTTTTCTTTTGATATTACAACACCTCTTACTATCACTTATTTCTAGTTTTTTCTAATCTCATGAATTCTATCCAAAGCATCAAAATTAACTTTCTGAGCATAGGTCAGATTTCAATCCTGTGAATATCCAATACAAACAAGCCAAAAAGCTGAAAACAATACACAAATTTAACTAAAGTTAAGTGACAGAATCACAGGTTACTCTCATATTTATTTATCAGGTTTTTCTATACCTTCTACAATTACCTTGTATACTTGCATAATAAAATTAATGAAACATCCTCAATTCCTTAGTTATTCTTTATGTAGGGCTAACTAAATATTGGCCATCAACGGAGTAAATAAACTCAGTGTATCATGAGGAACTAGAGAAAACATGTCATGGAGGACTGTTAAGAATAGCATATTTTATTGGGGAATTGATTAAAAGATAATTTACAATGATTTAATTGATATATTCCTTTTATCTGCTGTAATGATTATCTATTGTTCAGAGTTTGTGAGGCAAAGCCTTTTCTTTTTGATTAAACATAAAAACCTACCAAAACATAGATCATAGTGCCTGGTATGTTCTAGGAATTATTTTACATTTTGGGAAGGCCAAGGCAACTCCATGTTGGATGATAATCCACTATGTTGACTTCTGATTAACCTCAGTTCTGGGAAGGCCTCTTAAGATTTCCCATAAATCCTGTCCTTAGGTCAAACAATCTTGATATTATTGTACTTCAGTTGTCTTACACATCCCTTCTGAATCACCCTTCCCCTGTGGTATATAAGCTCTTGGTCTGGGGTGTAATAGTGTGGGGAACCACCATCTTATTTAACTGCTGCCTGAGATACAGACATGGCTTCTGTTCTAAGTCCTTATTAAATGTTTCTTTCTAACAAACTAGGTTTCTCAGCCTCTGTCTCAGCCTTGCTGCTTCCTTGGGCTTTTGTGGGCAGGTTTACATAAACTTGCCCACCACAGAACCCATGTTAAGAATATAGCAAAAGCCAGGTGTGGTGGCTCATGCCTGCAATCCAACACTTTGGGAGGCCCAGATGGGAGGATCACTTGACCCCAGGAGTTTGAGGTCAGCCTGGGAAACATAGTGAAACCCCATCTCTACAAAAAAACTTCTAAAATTAGCCAGGTATGCTGGTGCATGCCTGTCATTCCAGCTACTCAGGAGGCTGAAGTAGGATGATCACTTGAGTCTGGGAGGTTGAGGCTACAATGAGCTGTGATTGTGCCATTGCACTCCACCCTTGGTGACAGAATAAGACCTAGTCTCATAAAAAACAAAAATAAATAAACAAGAAAAGAATATAATCAAGTTTCCTGACTTCATGAGTTCTTACTTAGTGAGGGAAACCAAACATTAAACAAACAAATTACTAAATAAGATAATTTCAGATGGTGCCGAAGAAGAAAATAAACAGATACAGATGATAAATGCTGGGGAAGAAGAATGCCACTACAGATTCCATGGTCAGGGAGGGCCTTTCTGAGATGTGAAATTAAAGCCAAGACAGAATTACAAAAGAAATGCGGCCATGTAAAATCTGGGGCATGTAAATCTAAGGAAATGTTAAGGTCAATGGTTTATAATTCATCTCCCTAATTAAGTGAGAATAAAAATGATGTTTAACTTGATAAAACAGTTAGTACAAAGGGCCTGAGACCTTGGTGTGTTAAAGGAACTGAAAGAAGGTTTATGGTACTGTACAGAGAAAGGAAGAAGAAGAGGAGGAGAAGAAGGAGGAGGAGGAAAAGGAAAAGAAGAAGAGGCTGGAGACAGGAGACTGCCATGTGGAGCTTCTAGACTATGATAAAAATATTTGATTGTACATATGATGAGAATCCCTTAGAGGATTTTAAGCAGAGGAGTGGCATAACCATATCTATGTTGTAAAGCCTCATTAACTAGTGTTCGGAAAACAGATTGTGGAAAGATAAGAGAAAAAGCAGAGGAATCAGTGTGAGACTCTGAGAGGTGTCTAGGAAAAAATAACACAAATATCACATAGCTCAGGAAATAGCTCAAAATAACTGGCTGGTTTCAACATTGAAATCAATGTATGTAAGTATAACAGAAATGCTCAATTCTAAAAAAATATTATCTGCTTGGGACAAATAAGTACACTTTTTTGCTTTATTTATTGAGATGTGTGGGGCCCTGAAATGAGAAAGGAGAAAGATTAAAAAGTCCAGTGACAATACTTTAAAAAATTTAGCTGGGAGAATTTTATGCTTTCATTACTTTTGACCTTGTTCCCAGAATTGACTTATTTATGTGATGCTAAATATTTGCATTAATATATATTATAAACTCAATGATTTCTTAAATGATGTCAAACATCTAGATATTTAATGAAATGTGCAAGTTAACATAAAGGACTGACTTATTTTTTTTCAGAAAGTTTTGATATCATGGAAACAGAATATACTGATTTCATTTTCTATAATGTTAAATATAGTCAAAATATATCAAATTGTCAAATGTTTTACATTTTCAAGGTACTGATTTTGTGGGCTTTGTTTTATAGACTCCTATATCTTATTTATAGGCTATAAAATATATTCAAAAGGACTAAGATAAACACACTCCTAAGGCTTAATTTCCCCCATTAAAAAAATCACTTTGAGATATTTTTCATTCTTCTTCTTTTGACTGAACTTGACTTGTCTTTCCTGAAAATTAATGGAACTTGGTCAGCTGAACTTTTCTCAATTCACATTTCACATTTCACTACTTTGGGTTCCTTGACAAACACTGAAGTTACATGATTTATTTGAAAGGAATAAAATGATCTCACACATGGCATACATAACTACATGTTGAAAAACAAAAAGCCTAGTAAAGAATAAAATATATAATAAATGACACTGTTCAATGACAGTGAAGGATTACTGTAGGGATTTTTGATCTATGCAGGACTAAGGATTTGATTCTGGAAGTGGAGGCTACTTGTTATGATTTAAGGCTGCCAATGTCTCTCCCAACTCTTACTCCCTCTTTTCAGTTATAATCATGGACCTGGAAACGAGCTTGACAGACTAATTCAGTTTCCTTAATTTTCCAATCAGAAACATGAGGCCCAATGTGTTAAGCAATAAAAGTAGATGACACTAGAACCCAACTGTTGTAGTTAGAGTTACTCTAGGAAGCAGACAGAAAAAAAGAATTAGCATGCAGGAAATTTACTGGGGAGTGTTCAACAAACGTGGAGGGATGAGAGAAACAGAATTAGTCAGGGAGAGAAGTTGAGCTGCAATGCAGTCACAACAAAGGCTTCAGCTCCAGAACACTGGGTCTCGGATGGCCCTTGCAGAGGTTGGCAAGGTGCCGTTTATGAACCTCTATCCATCAGTCACGAGATACAGGCATTAACGAAGGAATGAGAGAGATGTGAGGCAACTCTTTTCAGCCAAAGGCAATTTCTGAAGGAGCTCCATTATAGTTATATGGGACCGCTGTAGTATATGTGGTCCATCATTGACCAAAATGTTGTCATGTGGCACACGATGTTACATAGCCTGATCTAACTCCTTCAGGATCTCCATATTGAACTAAGACATCTCTGATATGTGCCAGAACTGGTCTTACCAAATTTCAGGGAAAAAGTATAATCTCCTATTGCACTCATTTGTGGGGTACCCATCTGTTTTGATGAATCTGGGGATGGCTTCTGAAAGCTGCACTGTGAATCTGTTAGACAATGTTCCCAGTCCTTGCTTCTGTACTGTCAGTCTGCTGAAATGTCCTAGATACAGAACTTGGCCCAGACCCTGAAACATAAGTACCCAATAAATGTAAATAAAGCCTCTCTTGCCCCTCTTTCTACTCCCACCTCCTACTTTGGGTTAAGACATACCTTAAACCTGTCCCTTAAATAAGTCTTTTGCTGAACCTTGGTTATCAAAGCCCTGAGTGACTCAGACATAATAGTAGTAGGTAGGTTTGTGGGGCCTGGAGGCCCAAGTGTGTGGGGACTGCTCTGAAACCTGAAATGGCCATGGGTACCCCACAAATGAGTGCAATAGGAGACTATACTTCTTCCCCGAAATTTGATAAGACAAGTTGTGGCACATATCAGAGATGTCTTAGTTCAATATGGAGACCCTGAAGGAGTTAGATCAGGCTATGTACCATCGTGTGCCACATGACAACATTTTGGTCAATGATGGACCACACATACAACAGCGGTCCCATGTAACTATAATGGAGCTGAAACTTTTCTATTGCTTAATGACCTTGTAGCCATCATAATGTCCTAGATCAATGCATTACTCACACGTTTGTGGAGAGCTGGTGTAAACAATTCTACTGCACTGCCAGTTGTATAAACGCCTAGCATATACAATTATATACAGTACATAATACTTGATAATAATAAATGACTATGCTACAGGATTATGTATTTACTATACTATACTTTTTATTGTTAGGGTGTGCTCCTTCCATGTGTCTGTGTGTGTGTGTGTGTGTGTGTGTGTGTGTGTGTGTGTGTGTATCTCAGGCAGGTCCTTCAGGAGATATTCCAGAAGGAAGCATTGCTAATATAGGAGATGACAGCTCCATGCATGTTATTTATTGTCACTGAAGACCTTCCAGTGAGACAAGATATGGAGGGAGAAGACAGTGACATTGATGATCCTGACCCTGTGCAGGCCTAGGCTAATGCCTGTTTGCATCTGAATTTTTAACAAATAAAATTAGAAAGGTAAAAGAAAATAAAAAATTTTAAAATTTGAAAAAAGCTTATAGAATAAGAATATCAAGAAAATATTTTTGTACAGCTGTACGTTGTGTGTTATTTTAAGCTAAGTTATTACAAGAGTCAAAAAATTAAATAAATTAATAAGCCTATAAGGTAAAAAAGTGACAATAAGCTAAGCTTAATTTATTCTTGAAAAGATAATAATATTTTAAAAAATAAATTTAGTAAAGCCTAAGTGTACAGTGTTTATAAAGTCATCAGTAGTGTACCGTAATATCCCAGGCCTCCACATTCACTTGGGACTCACTGACTCACCCAGAGCAATTTCCATTCCTGCAAACTTCATTCGTGATAAGTGCCTTATACAGGCATACCATATTTTATATTATATTTTTACTATTTTTTCTATGTTTAGATATGTTTAGCTACATCAATACTTACCATTGTGTTACAATTACCTGCAGTATTCAGTACAATAATATGCAGTACATGTTTGTGGCCTAGAAACAGGAGGCTATACCATACAACCTAGATGCGTAGTAGAGTATATGATATAGCCTTGTATAGAGACACTCTACGATATTTTCATAATGACAAAATCACCTAACGATTCACTTCTAGGAACATATCCCTGTTGTTAAGCAATGCATGACTATACTTGCATGTTTACGTCTAAGCAATGTCTAGTTCTAGATGTGAGACAATGGGAATGTGAAGAAGCCTGCTGGAATGAGTTTTTTAGCAAGATAGACTGGAGGCTAAAGGACCCAAATTTAAACCAGGACCACTCCCTACAACTTCATCCTCAAAGAAAAATGCGTGGGGAAAACAAAAAGAAAATTTGATAGTAACTGGTTAACAATTATGTCACCTTTTGTTTTAAAAACAAGTTAAATTTAATTTAGCCTTTAAAAATGCCTCACCGGGTTTGTGTGTTTAGTCCCAAATAATCCATGTATACATATAGCAAGGAGATGGCCGAAGTTGCCATAGCAAATATTACACATTAGCCCAATCAACATTATTTCCAGAATATGGAGCAGCAAACATTGCTATGCCACCAGGACTGAATTGAAAAGGTAAATATCTCAATTCAGGCAAGCTGCTATCACAGCTCTAAAGTGAAGTATAATAAGTCCCTGGATATCTTCCTTGGAGCATTCTTTTTGGAGCTCACTATAGCTTCTCTTCGCTCCTGTTTGCACAGGGGAAATTTGATGAAGCACTATCATTGATTTACCAGTCATTATGTGAGGTATATCTCAATCCAAAACATAGGACATAAAACATTTCATGATTCTATATAACTCTGTATAATATAAAGCCAAATATATTAATCCAGTACATTCAAATGTCTTTCTTCTCCTTTGCTCCACCTTGCTCAGTCATTTTTCTCCTCATCTCAGGTCCTCCAGGCAATGCAACTTCAGCTGGGAACTGGTGGCTTCTCTAGTATTTGTAAACATCTTCTCACCTTGATCCACATCGATAGGAACATGTTCATAGCAAAGAAAAGGGTCAAATAATATTTCAAGAATAGCATGTGCATGGCATTACAGATATGAAAAAGGAAGATAATCAAAGGCTAAATATATGGATTCAGACCTGTGTGGTCATACAGAGAGGACACATGCATCATGAAATGTATTCATGAGGAAGACGAAGGAACCCTCTGAAAAGTATAATCACAAAAACATCAAGACTGTCCTTCCTATCCAGGAATGTCCCCCACAAAGCAGCAGGGGAGAAAAGAAGGTTCATGGCTGGCACCCTTATAACAGAAGACAGATTAACAAGGGAAAAGCAATATCTAACAAATGACTCAGAACAAGGACTCAAGAGTCACAATCCAAACAAATGATTTTCTCCTGCTAAACTAAATTTGGAAAGGAAGGGACATGAAGGAATATTTACCTTTCACTCTCAACTGGGCACTCCAGGCACAGATCCAGGAGAGCTGATATTAGTAAAATATTTTTACCTCGTTCCCAGCTTTTTGTCTGTTGTCCCAAGACCTCATCTGCAGGTACATGTGTGACTGCAGTGTCTCAGCTGTCCTATGTTGGGTGCCAGAAACTGTAAGGGAGAAAGAATAATAACTTTCTTTGTTCTCCTAGATCAGGAACTCAATTTAAACGGAGCCAATTCAAATTTGTTCAAAGAGAGTGATTGGGCTCAGAAGATAGTTATCACTAAGTGATATTCAGTTTTTCTCTGCCTCAGGCTTCTAGAACATGAGCTTGCTTGTTGGATGAGAAGAACCTGGTAAAGAAGCCATGCAGTGAAGCTGTAATATCATCTCATAGATGCACTAAATCTGAGGGGGAAAATAGGGAAATTTACATTTATGAAATGTCTATAAATATTGATTGCACACCTGCGCATTTGTGTGTGTATAAAGAAGACATTTTATATTTTCATTTATGTGTATTATATAAATATATGTTATATTATATATAATATATAAATATGATGCATGTGATATTACACTTTATTGATAGTTCTTCCAGTCAAGGATTTTTTTTTCTCATTTGGCAAATGAGGAATTAGGGAAAGGATTAACTGGCCCAAGTTCTCCTAGAATTCATGGCTTCAAGAATAATGATGTGAACGGCCCTGTTCACTAGGAGTGAATAAAAGAGCTGTCCTCAGAATAAACAAATGATTGAAACTGTGAGGTGGAAAATACAGTCACTTACAGCTGTTCACAATCACTTGAGGAAAACCTCTCCCATCTGCTTGAAGCATAAAAGAGGAACTGAATCCAGCCCATCAGTGATTCTGAGGCAGGGCGACGATGTGTGTGAGAGCTCATATTTTGTTAACAGTTATTATGACTCCAGCTGTTCCAGTCTCAGGAAATAAGTATTACATTAGATAATTGATGATACAGAGAATCAAATGGAAAGGTGATTCATTATTGTGCTGACAAGAAAGAAGGTGTTAAAAAAAACCCACCACACTGATAGGTGTATTTCTTAAGGGCACGAGAGTAAACTGAAAGAGCTCTCAAAAGTCCCACCTAGAACGAGCTGAGCAACAAAATAAGTGAATTAGTATTGTATTATAAACCAAAGTATGAAACATATATTATGAGTCCATTCTGATATGTACATATGCATAAGTATTATATGTTATTGACTACATAATAAATGGAGAAGATAGGCACCTCTCCCATGAAAAGTATTTCAATTAAGTTATGTAGATACTCTATTCTCAAGGAAGTTCTCAAGAGTAGAGCTCTCTACTCCTTAGCATGGCCGCTCACGGTGACCTCCTTCCAAAAAGGTACCACATCAAAATAGGGATAAAGGACTAACTTTACAGTGGAAAAACTGTCAATCACTACCACATCCAGGAGATCAAGGTCAACATCAACTGTAATATGTCATGTTGATAGCTTTAATATGATGTAATGACTGTGGCACTTTACCTTTGAGGTCTTTCTCCCATAACACATCTAATTATGAGAAAAACATCAGACAAATTTCAATAGAGGGGCATCCTATATGCCTGAATGTAGCCTTCAGCACTGTCAAAGTCATCAAAAAAAAAAAAAAAAAAAAGAAATTCTGAGAAGCTTCCAAGAGAAGCCTAGGAAGACCTGACAACAAATGTAAAGTGGTATCCTGGATGGTATCCTGAAACAGAAAAAAGACATAAGGGAAAACTTAGGGAATCTATATAAAGTATCAGCTTTAGTTAATAGTGATGTATCAATATTATTTCATTAATTGTGACATGTGAAATATACTAATGTAAGATGTTCGTAACTGGGGAAATAGTGTCTTGGGTGTATGGGAATTGTCTATATTATCTTCAAAACTCTTCTGAAAACCTAAAGCTTTTCTAAAATGTAATGGGAGTTATAAATAGAAAAATTAATCCATGAAAATGTCTGTGGGATAATAGGAAAAACTTGAAGACATAACAATTATGTATCCAGTGTCATGACACTCTAAAAACCAGAACATGTTTTGGAAAACAACAACAACAATAGGAACACAGCAAAATTTTGATGATAGCTGTATTTAGGTGGTATGACTATGGTGATTTTTCTCTCACATTTATCTGCTTGCCAACTTTCTTTAATGATGTATGTTGATTTTAAAATAAAAAGAAAAGAAAGGCAAGAAGATGTTTTATGGATAAAAGAACTAAGAGGTGCATTTGTTCTAGATGCAAGGATGTGCAAAGCGGAGACCTAGCAGTAGTCCTTTGATAAAACATATTTCAAGGAACACACAACACTGGCAAAGTCATCAAATAAAATCAAAGCAAGAATAAAATCAAAGCACAGCTATATTTGCAGCTAATGCCTATATTTAATAGTTACCTCAAAGAATAACTTTCATTTTTTGTGATAGACAGTTTCAGACTTCCATAAGAATTATATCTGTGAGTACCCTTCATACTGTAAATTATAACTCTATGGAAAGCATGTGAACTTATCCTGGGCATTACCTTCAATGATAGCTGCTATGAGTTTCCCAAGTAAAAACACCGTCTGTTTTTATATCTTAACATTAAGTTTATATAAGATTTTAAGTATCTAATATAGTTTACTTTAAAATGCATGCTCATATTCCTTATCTTCTATTGCTTACACATCTGCATATATGTGCATGGTAGTTGTAAGTGAGGCCCCTCTCTAATAATAGCAGCCAATATATTCATAAAGTCCTCTGATTGCCTCGATATCTCTGGTAGTAGACTCCATAAAAGTGTATTTGTTAGAAATGATACGTAAGCATCCCAGGAAAAGAAATTTTAGAAGTGTCATGTTCTTTAATGGAGGTTCATTATAAGCTATAAAGATGCTCATCAAAAAATATAAAAGTAAGTCTTCTTACATTTTGGTTAGATCCTATGCAAACAGAAAAATGAATGCTTCAAGCACTGTACACTGAAAAAAATATCAGAAAGTTAACACAAGTAGTCAAAGGCAGCTCAATGATTACCAGTAAGCATTTTTTGTTAATTGCCGAAAAGTGATCGATGACTAAGGTACATGAATAGTCAAGGAATGAATGAATCATCTTTAGATCTAGTGTTGAATGAAAACTACCAAATTTGTCTTTCTTAGGTTTTATGTCTTTTTACATATTGAATATCCAAGATCTCTCAGTTCAAGTTTACCCCAAGCTCACATGTATTTTTTAAATTAATGTATGATTATCTCCATTAAAACCACTTCAACATAATCATTTTAAATGTGATTTTTTTCCTGGCCAAATTCATTTTATCATGCAGTACATTGCCTTAATAATCTAATAATGAGCAGCATCCTTGCTGCTATCAACAAGATGATGTGGTGTGATCTTTTTAATCAAAGATGTCGCAAATGAGAAAATCAGATATAAAGTAGGAAAATGGATAGTTTTCATTATAAAGCTAGCATCAACACTAATTAGGTTGTGTATACACAACTACATATCAAAGCATAGAAATACACATCATGAAATTCAACACTAACTAGCTGACCTTTCAGTGTCTTTTTCAGCAGTCCAACTATGACCTTTCCAGATTACACTCCTGAACTTGCAGCATGCCACTGATTGCCAAATACGTGCATGTAATGAAAGCAGTTGCTGGGATGCCATAAACTGTTTCCCCAGCCAGAGATGACAACCTCTTAAAAGCCCTGAAAGCTTTATTGGAAATGATTCTGTTTACTTGTAGGAAGCAAGGCTTCTTGCTTGAAAAGACTAATCAATTCTTTCATTTGATAGAAAGTTTAATTGAAGACAACATCCAGAGGTGAAAATATTGTTCAACTAGCTGCTTCTCTTGCCAGTTTGTCATATTAATTGGGATTATCCTAATATTTTCATTGTTGAATTCACTTGACAGAATCACTAAATTACATTAAAGTTGCTTAAGCATGAATTTTGTGAGAGGCAATCTTTTTAAATTTGGGCAGTATGTAGGAAGCATGAAACTGATATATTAGAGGGATAATTTCACAATTCTCTAACAATGCAATATAACAGCAACTTCCATCTACCAATGAGGTGTGAAACTCACCTCATACTCATATTAATAACGTGGGTAATTAATTTTGAAGCAAATATTTACTCTGAAGTTGCCATGGAGTATTTATTAATCATTTTCTACTATGTCTGCTTGTCTCCCATGAGAAGGGGAAGGATTTTTTAATTTTTTTTGTGCATGCCCAATTGTATAATTAACAGCATGTATCAGTTAATAAGTTACTAATGAACAAAGTTTCAAGAATGTTAAAAAACAAAAGCTGACCAGGTGCAGTGGCTCATGCCTGTAATCCAAGCACTTTGGGAGGCCGAGGTGGGCGGATCACAAAGTCAGGAGTTCGAGACCATCCTGAATAACATGGTGAAACCCCATCTCTACTAAAAATACAAAAATTAGCTGGGCATGGTGGTGCACGCCTGTAATCCCAGCTACTCAGCAGGCTGAGGCAGGAGAATCTCTTGAACTCGGGTGGTGGGGGTTGCAGTGAGCCAAGATCTCACCACTGCACTCCAGCCTAGGTGATGGAGCAAGACTCCATCTCAAAAACAAAAAAAAAGGCTTATGGAATTTAAAATGCCTCCATACACTCTACATTATACCATTCCATCAATCTATTAGGCACTCTTCCTGGAACTTTATACTGTATCTATGGAAACTTCTGCCAGTGGGGCTGCCACATCCTTAAACTCTATGGAAGGATAACTGGACAACATTCCTCTTATTTAGTCTCTAGTGTCTGGGTGTGATGTGCTCTGTTGCTTATCTTCTACCCATGCAATCAAGGGAGAAACTTGAAAGGCATGGGAGAGTCATGGGAAGTCATGAATCACTTATCTCTGAAATATTTTTCAAACACGTCTTGCATTTTCTGTTTTACTTCAAAGCTATGTTGTTTCACATATAGGCTATACCACCAGACTCACACAGCTATCCCTACCTTCCTCACAGTGCTGTTAATTGACCTACCTAAAATTTATACCTAAATTTCAGCACCATTTTGAAACTCCATAATTGTTTCTGATATAGTACCCATAGGTGTAATCTAAGCTGCCTAGCATGACCTGCAATGATCTCCATCATCTGAGTCCTATTTGTCTTACCTCTTTCCTTCATCCTATAGCCTTCTCTACTGAAAACATCACTTAGCACTTGAACATATATCTCCTCTTGCTTGATCCATGCTTCCTCTGAATTCTCTAATCTGCTGAAAATATCCCTCATAACTTACTCCAAGCTTCAGGTATACTTCCTCCCCTGAAGGCAGTCCACTTGAGACCATTGCCTTTCTCTAAATTGTTTACTTTTCCTGTGTGATAATCATGCCTTTAGCATTTTTCTTTATTATTGCTTTTTTTTTTACAGAGTATTTGCTTCCTTCACCAGTGGGTCTCTTAAAATAAGGACTGCATCTTATTCATCTTATTCATCTTTGTAATCTCAGTACCCAGCACATGACCTGACACACACTAGTTTCTCATCAAATGCTCTTGGATGGTAGAATGTATTACAGTTGTAGAATACATTTTTTTAAATCTATGCCTTTTGGTTAAAATCTTTGTTTTTAGGATGGCCAGATAAACTTCTCTTAATCATAAACGTTTTCCAAATTGATCAGCATTCTTAATTCTAGTCAGCAAAGCTCATTCTGGATGTTACTTATATAAGGATAATCAACTCAAAGATAACTTAGCAAGGAAAAATGCTCAACCACATGACAGGGCTGCCCTGGCTTAAGCACCAGGATTTCTGCTGCCCGGAGGCCTAAAACCCATTGTGGAAGAACCACTTCTGCCACTGTGGTTCCCAAAAGATCTGCTCTTTCCATCTCACACTGTTCATGGTTACACCTGATAGATGTGACGCTAGATTACATATATGAACTAGGCTGAGGAGACTCTTGGAAATGTAATTTTATCTTTCTAGGCATCACATTACTTGAAAGCAAGTTAGAAGATGAAGGGTATTGAGGAAGCCAACTCACCGTATCTTCTCAGCCTCTTTTTTTTCTGAGACAATAGAAATCAATTTATTAACTGTCCACAACTGTTTCCTTTGGGATCTCGGGTGCTCAAAAGAACTGACAGAATTCTGAGAGTCATGGGGTAATGTTTTTACAATGTTTCCTGCCAGCACACGTTATTGGTTTCTAAGAGAGACTAAAATATTCATCTTTGCCTACTTCCCAATTCCTTACTCACTACTATTCCATCCACATGATTAGGAGTGTTTATGTGAACACATTGAGTCCAAGAATGCACCTGAGCCTTCCGTGGCATCGTCCCTCTCAGGCATTGAGTCCAAGAATGCACCTGAGCCTTCCGTGGCATCGTCCCTCTCAGGGTTTTAAAGCTGCAGGAATTCTTTGCTAGCTCAGTGTGAATCTTCAGCACTGTCACATGTTCAAAAAAGTGATTTTAGCTCTCTGTGAAATTCAAGGAAAAACTCTCTCTTGGGACTCTGGCACTTAGTTCCAATAGTTCCTTGAGGCTCTTCATTCATCTCTTCCTTAAACCTTGTGGTCAAATGGCACAGGGGCTGCTTGTGCTTGTGAGCGGCTCTCTGCTTGTTAAGCCTAGGGAGTTCTACCAGGCAAGGATTACAGGAGTACTTAGAAAGAAACACAGTCTCTTTCAGGATTTCTAATCTTCGGAATGCTTTCCCAACATTCAGATTTTTCCCTCCATATTATCTTGGTAAGAGACAGTGGTCTTTCTCATAAGAAAGGAAGGTCACTTAAGCTTCCTGCTAGCTTAGGAAAAGACTCCCACATGACCCAAGGTGTTGTGTGTGGGAGAAACTACACAATGATACAGAATACTTTTGCCCGAATTGGTTCTCTGCACGTAGAGTTTTGTTGCGGAAGATGTTTAAAACCATTGGAAGTGGTTAGAAAGGGTTGTGAATTTAAGCGATTTAGGATTTTGCTCCACTGACCAAAAGATTTCTCTTATTGGTTAGTAACTACACATATAGTATTATGTTATATATATTAGTATATTTTATATACTGTATACACATGTGTTTTCCTAATGTCAACTTTAAATAATAAGATTCAGAAAATATGATTAGGTATAGAGTTAATTTGAGCACAGCTTGATGATGGACGCCTGGAAACACCATCTCCAAATGGGGTCAGCAGTCCAAAGTGGAGAAGTTAAGATTACTACATTTCCAAGAAGATTATTACTTCATGAGGAGGGTTAGTGATCTGAGCGGGTCTTATCTCTGGGATCATGTGGTTAAAGGCAGAAGCTGTAGCTGCGTGCTGCATGATTCAGGCTGTATAGCCATATCCCTTTCAAGGCTCAGAAAAATTTAAAGTTCCAACAGCTTTAAATTTGAATTATTTTGTTCGAATTTTTATTTACACTAGTCAAGATCTCCTTTAAAATAACTAATAGTGGAAACAAATAGGAGAAAGCAACCACAATAGAAAAGCTTGAGTTTGTTAGTGCACATTTGAAAGTAAATCTGCACTTGTAATTTATACTCAGACTTCTCTTAGAAGTTTAAGAGCAATTAGAGAGTTGCTATACAAATGCATCTTGCCATAAATCACATTAGTGTATGTGAACTCAAATAGCAATTATTGCCTGCAGACTTCATTTGGTAATTAATCTATGTAATCTCATGTCTCTCTCATTGGTTGTTGTGTTAAATTATTATTTAAATATTTTGATGATGCTTAATTCTTCATCTGTTTCTCAGTGATGATTCTCTAAGGACAGAGACAGATTTTTTTTTTTTGTATCCTCATATTGCCCGGTTCAGTTTTTTGAAATCAGGTAAAAACTCAATAAATATTTACCAGTGAGGTTTTTTCATAGCATGTATTGCTTCCATGCTATTAGATTAAATCATAATGTGGCAGAAAATGTTATATCTCCCAGGGTGCCTTTAAGAATCTAGTCTTGATTTCATCTTATTCAGTTTCTTTAATTTTTCTATAAGTTAATCATTGCCCTGAGATTTTTATATGCATTGAAACATTGGACAAGCTGTTAACACTATTTCTAGGTAGAGTATTTATGGATAGTTTTAATTGTTTATTTTATACTTTTCTGCATTTTCCAAATTTCCAGTTATTATATTACACATTATTTTGAAATCATAAAAGGTATGGTGAAAGCTATGCATAACATGGGTTTCTAGCCTTGAGGAACTTACAGTATTTTATGGACAAGGTATACCTTTGAAATATTTAGAAGAAAATGTCATACATGTATACAATAACATTTTATGTTGTCAGCATAGATTTTATACAAGGCAAAAACACAAGAAGAGAAGTCACAGAAAAGAGAGAAAAGGCAGGAACAGAAGTTTATTTAAGGAGACAAGACAAATTTGTCACTGAAAGCTACTTAGGCTTTAATTGGCTAGAGGGGAGGCAGGCTAGACAGCAGGCCAGGCCAGTAAATAAATCTATTACTTCACCAAATTATTTTGATTTTTTTCTAGTACACTCACTTTTCCATTTATCTTTTCTTATGCTTTAATAATGACTTACCTCTGACTATTTAAAAGAGTCTGAATTCTTTATCAATTGACAAATATCTATAATTTATTTCTCTGCATCCCAAAATTAAAAAAATTATTCTTAATTTTTCCTTAATCTTACTAGTCTTAAAAGAAGAGATGTTTGTTTTTCTCAATGTTAATATCTATGAGGTGCTTTAAATCCTATTTCCTTGTCTTTTTTTCTTCAGAAGTGCAAACTTCTTTCCATCTCTCTGTGCCATCTGTTCTTTCACTGAGCTTCTGTAGCACCATACAATTCTTTGTGCTCTTCTTTTTGATGACACTAGTGACAGTTCTCCATGTATTTGAGAATATGAATATTTGTATTATGTCTTCTGATAGATTGTTGGTTCCTTCAGGATCAGGGTTATATTTAACATATCCTTTTAACCTCAGTAGTCTTGCATGTGATATCTACTTTGTAAATACTCATTAAATACATGAAAAGCTATGTCATTTTTTTCCTGTCTTTTTCTGTTGATTACTTTATCTCTCAGCAATTTCTATAATTCTGCATATGTAACTGTTTCTGTTACAAATTGGGAAACTGAGACTCAGAACAGCTATGTAATTTGCTCTAGATCAAACAGCCAGTAAGTGACCAGAAAAGAATTCAAATCTGTTTTTCTCCCTAAATCTATAGTCTATATTTTTATCATCATATGGATTTCCTCCTGTTTCTTTGCTATCTAATCTCAGCTCTGATATTTTTTGGGCAAAAGTGTGCCCACTTGAATATCCCAATCTTCTTTTATCACATTCCTCAAGGATAGACACTATTAATATATCAGGGATCATTTTTTTCAAATGCTTCTAGGAGTGACAGCTCTTATAGCAACCACATATGTTTTTCTTTGCCTCATAAGATTTTATTTTTTATATTGGGTGACTGGTGAGGGGCTAGATAATTTTTGGAGGGTGGTTAAGGTTGGCGTTCCATCTGTTCTTGGTTAGACTTGGTGTGCTTGATGCCTCTCTTTGTGGGGTACTGATCAAAAGTAGAAGAGTTTAGGATAGAGATTGTGAGACCTTAGATATAAGCAAAGCAGCTTGGTGTGACAAAGTATGGCAAGGGCTGAGAAGTTGGCCCTTTTCCCATCTGCTCCTCCTCTCTATGGGTAGTTACTTTGGGGGCATCAGGAAGCAAAGCCTGGCAAGGACAGGGCTGTTCCCATCATGACTCTATTAAGTGTGATCCTTGGTACTCAATTCTGAAGCAGAAAGCATTTAAAGAAGCACAGTTCAGAGATGTTAAAAATAATTAAATAGAAACTCCACTCTCCTCTAACATCTCCTGGAAGCAATGAAAGAAAATGCAATTCACAAGCCCTCCTTTTTTTTCCTTTCCCATTTTTCAACATGCCCAGGTGTTGCAGACCATCTTGGTCACCAAACAGCCTCACAAAACTGTCTTTCTAACCCTCTTCTCTTGTGCCCCAATTCTCTGCTCGCCCTTAGACACCTACTTTGTGCTCTTTTAATGCAGACTGATTTAATCTACTCTTGGAAGATCTGCTCGACTCTTGCTTTTCCTCTCCTCCTTCCACCCCTTACCATCCTTTTTATCTGCTTACTGAAGCTGCCTGAAAAAAATTTCCATGACGTTTAGACACAGAACAAATCTTTCTTAAGAGTGACGATGATGAGTGAGGAGGAATTACTGATTAAGCTGGAAATGCCAGGTTTCTCTTTGGCTCATTGGGAGGGGAAATAGTGTGTGATCATATTAATATGTTATATACCATCGCCCTAGGGAAAGCAAGGATAGTGATAAAATATACAAAAAGCTTTGCAGACTGTGGACATGGAAAAATAGGGCCAGAGCAAAAAGGAAGGAACCACATTGATGTTTACTGCATGCTGTAGTTGTGTTAGTGTGTAGTGATATTTGACACCAGAGCTTTATATCAGGTGGGCTAGCTAGGGAGTTGCTTGCAGCATGAATTTATAAGGAGCATGAAATAGCTTCGAAATAAATCAGAAACGATACCAGTTCGTATATTCGTATGCAACTCCTTTCGTCACTGTTGAGATGTAAAGTAGCTCTTTTCTTCTTGGCGTAGAAGATGTCTTCAAATAGACCTTTAAAAAGCAAATAAAATATTTCTGGCTGGCCATATTTTACTGCATAGTTGTTGAACCAATACTTAAAAGAGCATCAGTTTAAAGGAGCTCTAAATTACCTTCCTGCCTGAGGTACTTATATCATTTTCTAGTCTTCCTGAAACTCGTTTTGAGTTCCAGAGATAAATGGAGTAATTTTGATTCAGGCAGTCAGGGAACAAGGACAAAAGTCTTACTATTAAATAAGCAGTGACTATCTCTCTAGCAGAATTTTGGGTTAAATTAGTATAGGCAGAACATATTTAAAAATGGATAAAAGAAAAGGACATTAAATAAAGAGACATTAAATTATTGTTTTAAGAGTAATAGGAAAGACACAAGATATTAAATAATAAATACGTGGCAAAATCTATTGGAATTGTGAATCTTGGAATTTCTTAAATAAAAGACATGATAGAAATTGATTAACCCCTTCTTTACAAGGGAAATGAGGGTGAGGAAGTTTAAGCTCATTTAGCTATACATACATTTGTAAAGTGTGTTTTATAGACAAATATATTATTATTTTATTTCTTTTTGTTTTATTTTTAACAAAAAAATATATATACACGTAGTTCAAAAACACCAATGGCACTGCAAGGCTTATAACAAACTCAGTAATCTCCTATTCACATCTATCCATTCTCCAGAGGCTTTTTGTGATTTTAAATTACATGCTTGTATTCGTTCTTCATTATTTTCAAGTCTTGACATTATTGTGAACTTCCTGTTACTTGAACTGATGGCTTTTTCTTTCCCTTAGACCACTTGCTCCACACACACTTTCTTTCCTCCATGCTCTTAATATGGTTGTATAGATTAGTTTTGATCAGTGTTATTTCATTGTTCTGAGTTTGTAAATATTGTTCACAGTTGAGACACATAAAATGCAAAGATTATATATATTTTCCTACAATGTTCTATTTTTCCTTAGAGTTAATAATTGTTATATATGTTTATGTGCCTGAGTTTTTTAAAAATTTCTATTACTAATTTATCGCTAAGCTTTCAAATGGAATTGCCACACTTCTCTGAAAATATCAGTTCAAAAGAAGTCTTTTCTCCCATATTTTTTGTTAGTGATTATGGCAGAGAAATCGCATTAATTGACCCAATTTTCCACATTTCCTTGTATCCACACCCTTTGATAGTGATCTCCCATACTATCCATGGGCTTGACCATGTGGGTAAACTGGCCACGAGAAAAGTAGCAAACTTGGTGCAAGAAACAGCTTAAATAAGTGCCTGTACAAATCTACTTACCCTCATGAGAACTGGCCTGGGTTAGTCTGCCATTAAGATGTGAAAGAAATATAAAGAAGACCTGAGCTCAGCTCAGGTCTATAATGCAAGACCATTACAGAATAATCAGCCCCCAGCCAACCTGCCAGCTGGCTGCATGCATGAACAAGTCTAGCCAAGATCGGCTTAGCCTGGTCCACTGGTCCACATACATGGAACTGCTCAGCTGGTCTGTAAATATGTGCGAAATAAAGTTTTTTAAGAAATTAAATTTTGGAGTGGAATTTACTCAACAATATTTAATTAATACAGAGATATTACTTCTAGAGGCTTCAGCTTTGCTTGCATCTTGACTAGTGGTCTTTTAAACCTGTTGTACAGCTATTATCTCTGTTATCCTAGGATGTTCTTTTGCCATCTTGGGAATTCCCTTTGCCTATCTTTTATGTACTTTGGAGACCCTTTTCTCTGGGTCACATATACTTTGCTTTCCTCCTTCATTTTGGTAGAGCATATCCTCCAGTAGCATCTTAAGAAAACATTTTTACATTGACAATTTCATGAAACTTATCAAATCTGGCTTATTTTTTCTCTCTTATACTTAAAACAGTTTGATCAAGCAAGCACTTACATGTTAAATATCATTCCTAAGAATTTTGAAAGTAATTTCCTTTTAACTTCTAAGGTCATTATTAAGGAAATGTGAATAAATTCTGATTTCTAGTCTTTATGTTTTTACCTTTCTGAAAGCTTTTTAGCTCTTATTTTTATCTCAAAATTCCGAAATTTCATGATATATGTTTTGTTATGAAGTATATTTTACTTATTGTATAAAGCAATTAAATGGTTGTTACTATCTTGAAAATGATCATTTTTAAATCCAGTATTTTTTTCATTATTACTTTAATTATTGTCCTGCCTCTGTTATCTCCCTCTGGAACTCCTAGTTTTAAAATATTAGACTTTCTGGATTTTTTTTCAGTTTTCCATCTTTTTATTTTATTTTCTGAAGGAATTTTTAACATATTTCCACCTCTCCATTGGATTTAAAAATACTTATGCTATATTGTATTTAATTTCTAAGAGCTTTTTCTTGTTCTCTGAATATTTCTTTTAAAAACACTTTGCTCTTAATGGGTGTAAATCTTCTTTTAGCTCTCTGAAGATATTCAAGTTTTTAAATGTTCTCTCTCCTCTTCATTCCATTATCTTTACTCTGCTGATTCCCTTTGTTTCTTTTTCTTTTTGTTTTTATAAGACTCTTTGTTTTTTGTTGGAGACACTCCTTAACTCTTTGATAATCCTTGATCCTGTTGGAGACACTCCTTAACTCTTTGATGATCCTTGAGTGTTCGTTTATGTTTAGATCCACATAGTAAAAAGTAGGTCAACAAGTCTGAATATAGAAGTAAATTTTGGTGAGTTGAGGCTTTCCTAAAAGTGGTAGGGCCAGGACAAGGCTGATTTATTGACTATTTCACATCTGTCAGTGTCTATGTGGCATTCTCTTGGGTTTGTTATTTTGTCCAGCGAAAACTCCTTTAACTATGTGGATAGACATGATAAATCTGGCAGGTAGTGCTTTGGAATGAGCAAGATAAGAGGGGTAGAGGATCTCAGGAATTAGTACCTATACTTCCACTTGATTTCTTTGTATTGATATATTTCCCTCTGTCCCCAAACCCCCTCACCATCACTCTCAGCTCTGGTTTGTGTCAAAGGCTCCATATTTTCTCTCAGTAAGTCCATAGAATAAAATGTTTGCTTGATGGGAAAGGGATACTTTTGCAATTAAAGGGCCTCAAGAAGAGAATCTTGGATATAACTGCTCTTATAATGCTGTGCAATCACATCACATATCTTGGGTTTTTTGTCCCACTCTTCAAAGATTTCCTCATGCTTGCAGTCCTTTAGGCCTTCTGTGGTTCCAGGCAGGCAATCAGACGGATTTCCTCTAGTCACCCCCCTCTTCCAGCATTCTCTGCTCTGCTCAGTCGGTTGCCATTTCCATCCGTCTGCTATTCAACTTTCAAAATGTTGAAGACATCTCACGTCTTATTAACTTCTTTTCTCTCTTTGTCTCTCTGGGTCTATACCATTCTTTTTAATTTATTACCATCATTTTTGTAGGACTTATGGAAGGGACACACATTTTTAATATGCCATAATTAAGTTTTAAAACCCTAACTTAATGATTTTATGCTTCAAAGTATACATAAATATTTATGTAATTATGTCATTTTTATTACTATAGCTAAACAAAGTTAGACTAATTATTAATAATTATTTGAAAGTAGAAAAAATAAATATTACTTTAAATTATGTACTTTTGTAAGCCATGGGAGCTGTAAAGTTAGATAAATATTTTATTTGTCCTTGGAAATACATATATTTTAAAGATAGATTAATTCTAGGAAAATAAATGTGGGCAAAACTTACCTGTTAAGCAAGGTCAAACTTGCCCACTACTAATTTACTAATATATAATAAGTAAATATATTACTTTACATGTATATATAAGTAAATATAGTATATTATATATGATTTACTAATATATAATAAGTAAATATATTAGTTTGGTCTGCATGTATTATTTCCTAACAAAATTGGGAGTAGTGACTATTTTAACCTACTATTTTCTCTGTAAATAATGTTTTCTCAGAACCTAAGTTAATGAGGTAAAGCTTGGTGATCTGCTCATTAAAATTCTAAAAATAGAGCAAGTGACAAATGTGGTGTCAGAATTTTCAGGCAAGGGGAAAACCTATAGAGCTAACAGTGATCAATGCCCATTTCCAATGTCACGACACTACATACTCATTTAATGAACCTCTTATCTGTTAATTACTACCTTTCCCTGGATTGAGATTATTACACTTTCTGTGAATAAACCTGTGACAATATTGAATTTTGTTCATAATTATTTGCACTTTGCTGATTTTTTTGGGTGACCCGACATGGAATTCATTTTCCAAAGCTGTGAAGAGCCTCTGTTAGAAATTCAAAAATAAAAGGAATAGCCTTCTCAGGAAAAATCTACTATGAAGGAATATCTTAAGAAACAAATTAATCCTTTTGGAAGAATTCAGTGCAGTAACATTGTTGCCGGTGATTTTGGTTCTGAAATGTTCTCTTTTATGTGTTCCGTGAACTTATTAAAAATGTATACTCCAAGACCTGTCTCTTTTGAATTCTAGGTACACTAAACAGGTAGGTGCTGTGAAGTGAGCTTTGAAATCAAAGAGATCCAAGCTTGAATATCAGGCCTCCTGTGTATTAAGTGTATGACTTTGGGAGAATCAGTCACTCTGAGACTCTGTATATTCATCCTTAAAATGGGGCAATGTCCGCTGTCTCCTACTAAAGAAAAGAATCTGATGTAAGACTGATTTTGCTGTAGATTTGAAATGCAGTGCCAGTGCTGGGCATGCTGCAGGTAATCAGTCAAAGAAAAAACATAAAAGCCAAAGTTTCTAACAATACAGATTCTAAAAGCTACAGGTTTAATTGACCCAAATCATAAATGCAGATAATTCAGTGGATAATAAATTCAGTTCTTGATTCCGGCTTTCTACTGGGAGTGGATTTGTTTTTCTGAATTTATTAGTATTTGAATCAATTGTTTTCACCAGTTAGTAAAGGGAATGGATATGTTTCAGAATCAACTGGGGAGCATTTCCAAGCTTTATTCCCTATTTCTTAGCCCAAGAGATGCTGACATATTGATGTGTCCTGTCAAAAATTTATTCTTTCAGGCCTGGGAAAGAAACTTCTGAAACCCAAAACTTTTAAGACTTTCTGAAATCGTATCTTAAGAATGTGAATTCTTAAACAAGAACTATACTTGTTTTCTATTATGTTTGGATAAATGATAAAGTCTTTTCACTAATTTCATGATTTATGACATTATATAGCTTCATAAAACTAAGTACTCAGATGTTCATTGTATATATCCCAGGGCCATAAAAATGGCAAATTCTAAGCAGATGTATCAGGGCAGAAAAAAATCAAGAACATTTCTTTAAAACTTGACATGGCAGTAAATGAAAAAACCAAGTGTGTTTACAATGTTCAGATAGTGCCACAATGTTAAAATAAATTCAATCCCTTTTGTCAATGTATAAATTATAGATGTTCTGGGTTAAACATAATTTATTTTTACTGCTGCTGCTATTACTGCTGCTACTATTAATAGCACTACTGGAAAATATTTATTGAGCCATTACTATGTATAAAGTACTGTGTTAAATAATTTTACCTGTATAATATCATCTCATCCTTCTACCCATATGAGAGAGTTCCTCTGAAGAATAATCCAACATAGCAATTCATGTCATCCTTAAATTATCCCATTACCTTCATCAGCAGACCCTCCGACTTATATTAGAATGTACTCAAAAATGGATGAGCTGAACTGTGTCATCCTGTAATTTTTATCCAGTATCCTGGTTTTGCCTCATTGTCTTAGATAGAATATATCTAATCTTTTATTTGGTATCAACATTTTTCAAATATTTGAGCACAATTTTACATCTCATTTTCCAGATTAATATTTTCATTCTTTCTGAAATGATAAGATTTTGAACTTGCTTTGCACTTGGTAATTCTCCACTTAATGTATTCCATTAAAATTTTTTCTTTGTCTTATAAATGTTACCTGAAACTGGGCATAACACTTCCGTATACAGAAGCCATAGTTTACTTGTGTTGGACTTGGTTCTACTTTTTCCAGTCTAATGTCATGGCGGCTCTTTTCACCTCAGCTCCAAACACCTATTAGGAGTTGTGTTATTCATATGTCCTTCTTCATCTCATGATCTGCTGAAATAAGCAAGAGTGAAAATATGTACGTATAGCTATATTTGTAATATCTGAATTTCCAGCTTATATGTAGTTAATTACCATTTAATTAAACTTTTAGAATTGATGAGTATTACATACAACTTTTAAAAAAATTATTGAAAAGTGAGGTGCAGTGCTGCCTCTGCTGCTGGTGCTAGAGATTGTGACTCTGCACAGGTGGCCCCTATGTCTCAGCTTCTTGCCCAGTGCATGTGCCCACCCACTTGCCAGGCCAGCTCCCACCTCCCGCCACAGTCACACAGCTGCCGCCAAACCCACAGCACCGCTGCTCGCCCTCCAGCCTTCAGACTTCTGACACCTGTTCATGCCACCCTTCCACACAATGAGACTTCTCTCTGACATAGGAAACGTTTGTCTAGAAACCAGTTTCATTTCAGACAGATCTGTGAAATATGTATTTTGGAACCTCCTCTAAGATGGTTGATTAGATGCAGCCAGGAGGAACATCTCCCACTGAAGGACCAGGGCATGGGGAAAAGTGGTGCACGTCTAGCAGATCTTCAGAGGGAAGGCACTGAGAGCAGATGGAGGGAAGACATTGATACTGGGCTGAAAGGGGAGGAAGCTGGGAACACTGCATGGGGCTACTGCATACTAGGACTGGTTATTGGCCCCCAGTGACTCCTGTGGAGGGGGTGAGTTGAACAAGCAAGAAGCAACTCCCTCTTGTCCCAGGCCTCTAGAATCTTGGCAGAAGGAGACCCAACAACTCCTACAGACACTAGAGTTGACAGGGAAAGCTTCTCAGAGAAGTGACAGGAGCAGAACTCCAGCCAGTGTGAAGCCCAAAGGGTTTGGTGCAGGAGCATCTGTAGTGGAGCATGGCCAGGGATGCCCGTCTTCCTAGGCTTGACTTGCTCCCATAGGAGACTTTAGGCCTAGGAGAACTGTCAGATTTGAACTCTGCAGGGCAGTCTTGCCTTTGAGACGGGGCCAGCCCAAACTGAGGACCTCTCAGTCTGCTGGCCTCTCCCCAGGCCTCAGCCTGGATGTGCTTCTTTGCAGTGCAGCCCCCAGGTACCTCCTGGGGGCTTGCATCATAGATCCTGCCCTGGTGGACTACATCTGACTGGAAGAGTCCTCCAGCAGAGCAGCCCTAGAAGACATGCACCAGCCTGCCTGCATCCTCCCTCTACTGTAGTCTCCTCTGTGCCAGTTTTCTCTGCAGGGAGTCACCCGTGGACACCTCCTACATTGCTTTGCCTGCACAGATGTGGGCACAGGCAGACCTTCCCTTCCTTGCCCTGCCAGTGTGCATGTATGCAGGTACCCTGCCATGCCACTGCTGCTGGCATGAGTGAACCATGCCCCTGCTCCCCTCACCACATCATCACTGTTGTTGGGGCATTGCCAAGCAAGGAGCCTGCCAGCCTTGGCCAACCCAGTGCCCCACCACTATGTTGACACTGCCACTGGCCCAAAAATAGGCATGGAAAACAATGTACCCTCCCCTGACCTGAGCAGCAACATGCCAGCATGAATGTGCACAAAGGTTGCACACAGTTCTTCATCTACCAGGGGCCCACCCCTGTGTTAACACCACCACTGGTGCAACCACATGCATAGTTGCCAGTGAGGGCCCCATCTCAAGCCATACTGCCACTGTTGTTGCTGTGAACACCTGCATGAAAGTCAGCACCCTGGCACCTGTTAGCATACTGCCATAGCCGACAAGTGCACACCCTGCCACGCTGCCACTAGCCACTGCTGCTTGCACCAGTAAATAAAGACAGATCCCATTGCCGCTGCCCTACAAAGTGCTTTGGCTCACACCATCCACTGGAGTGTTGTGACCAGCAGTCTGGGAGCAATTCAGCCTCTCCAATACATCAGGTTTCTAACCTAGAGGAGCCTGAGAACAAAGCTGGTGCCCTATACCAGTCCCCCAGAGTTAGAGCATGCTGTCCATACAATTCAGGAATCCTGAGCTGAAGCTTGGCCCCCTAAAATCTTCCAGTAATGAAACCTGTTGAGCAAAGCCACCTTATAACACAATCAGATCCTGAAGTTCATCAACTAGAATTTAAAAAGAAAAAAAAAAACCTCACCCCAAGGACAGCAAATTCAAAGACTGAAGGAACACCAGCCCAAAAGGATGTGAAATAATCAGCCCAATAACTCTGACAATTCAAAAAGCCAGAGTGCCTTCTTTCCTCCAGATGACCATGTTAGCTCTCTAGCAAGGGTTCTTAACTGGACTGACTGAGATGGCTAAAATGACAGAAATAGAATTCAGAATATGAATAGGAGTAAAGATCATTGAGATTCAGAAGAATGTTGAAATCCAATCTAAGGAAGCTAAGAATCACAATAAAATGATAGAAGAGCTTACAGACAAAATAGCCAGTATAGAAAAGAACATAACTAACCTGATAGAGCTGAAAAACACTCTACAATAATTTCACAATGCAATCACAACTATTAACAGCAGAATAGACTAAACTGAGGAAAGAATCTCAGAGCTTGAAGACTGGCTCTCTGAAATAAGACAGTCACAAAAGAATTGAGAAAATAATAAAAAGAAACAAACAAAACCTTTGAGAAATATGGGATTATGTAAAGAGAATGAATCTACAAGTCACTGACATCCCTGAAATAGATTCAATTAATGGTGCTGGGATAACTGGCCAGGCATATGCAGAAGATTGAAACTGGATCCTTTCCTTACACCATATACAAAAATTAATTCAAGATAGATTAAAGACTTAAAGGTAAAATCCAAAACTATAGAAACCCTGGAAGACAAGCTAGGCAATACCATTCTGGACATAGGAACATGCAATGATTTCTTGACAAACTAAAAGTAATTGTAACAAAGCAAAAATGGACAAATGAGATCTAATTATATGAGCTTCTGCACAGCAAAAGACACTTTCAATAGAGTAAAGAGATAATCTACAGAATGGAAGAAAATATTCACAAACTATGTACCTATCAAAAGTCTCTAATATCCAGTAACTATAAGGAACTTGAATAAATTTCAAGAGAAAAACAATTCCTTTAAAAGTGAGTAAAGGACATGAACAGACACTTTCAAAAGACAAACCTGTGGCCAAAAAGCATATGAAGAAAAGCTCAGTATCACTGATCATTAGAGAAACACAAATGAAAACCATAATTAGATATTATCTCACAAGCTTCAGAATGGCTATTATTAAAAAGTCAAAAAATAATAGATGCTGGCAAGGCTGTGAAGAAAAGGGAACACTTATACACTGTTGGCAGGAGTGTAAATTAGTTCAACAACTGTGGAAAGCAGTGCGGTGATTCCTCCAAGAACTACAAACATAACCATTTGACCCAGCAATCCCATTACTGGATATATACCTCAAAGGAATATATATTGTTTTATCATAAAGACACGTGCACGTGTATCTTCACTGCAGCCCTATTCATAATAGCAAAGACATGGAATTAATCTATATGGCTATCAGTGGAAGACTGGATAACAAAAATGTGGTACATATACACCGTGGAATACTTTCCAGCCATAAAAAATAATGAGATCACGTCTTTTGCAGAAACACGGATGGAGCTGGAGGCCATTATCCTTAGCAAACTAACACAGGAACAGAAAACTAAATACTGCACATTTTCACTTATAAAAGTGAGCTAAATGATGAGAACACATGGACACAAAAAGGGGACAAACAGACACCGGGGGCCTACCTGAGGGTGTAGGGTGCAAAAAGGAAGAAGAGCAGGAAAAGTAACTATTTAGTACTGGGCTTAGTATTCAGCTGACAAAGTAATCTGTACAACAAACCCCCATGACACGAGTTTATCTATTTAACAAAGCTGCACGTGTACCCCATACCTAAAACAAAAGTTTAAGAAAAATTATTAAAAAGCTGACTAACATTTGCTTTGGAGAATGTAAGCACAGGCAGATGTTCAGACATGCTTCCATGACATCACTGATGTTTTTTGACTTCATCCAACTCTTAGGACTTTAGAAACTAATTGATGTGCAACAAAATACACACCAAAATAAATAATAAACACAATCATGGAACACTGAAAACCAGCATGCTGTTGAATTGTACTAATGTGAGTAAAAAGAAATGGCATTCTAAAAAAATTCTATAGACAATTTTTTTAAAAGACCAATGTGTCCAAGTATATATACATATACATAAATAAATTCTTAATTTTAAGGAATTAACATGAGGTCTCCTGTAGCAAGTCTATTCATACAGTTAATAGATTACTTTGACAAAGTGCCACTTGCATGGGTATATGGAAGTTGATGAAAAAACCATTTTAAAATAGTTTCCAAAGCTTTAGCAGCTTTCATCATTTTTGTCTTTTATCATTTTCCCAGGTTATTATAAAAGAAAATAAAGAGCCAAATATGAGTTCCCTTTGTAGAAACAGTCGAATAAGTACAAAGAAAGTATTTTATAAAGCCTCACTTTTGGCTCATAAAATTATATACTTTGGATGGAATTGGGCCTTTATACTTGGTCTTTGACTTCTTTATTATTGAAAAAAAAAAGGAATTTCTAAAAAGAAAAAATACCCTTGGGATTTGTTTCCCTCTGTCTATCTAAAGTATTTTTACTGGTTGAATGAAAACATATTTATATCATAGGTGGTGCATTTTTTCCTGAAAAGATTTGTTTCTTTTGGAGCATCTCTATTTTTATATTCTTCTTTTTAGTACAATATACAAACTTCAAAATATAGCCTTTCAGCATATTTCTTTCTGCTCTGCATAACACTGAATGTCAGCTGTGATTCCCTAGTTAATTCTGACTCTATACCATGAAATGGCCTTTCATGATTGCTTCTTCACAAATAGATAATATTTGGTAAGTGGCCTGTCTGTAACTGAAAATTGTCAAAAATATTTCTATTTGCAAGTTAAAATGCACACTGGTAGGAAAATATCCGAGAGCTGTCCAAAGCCAATTGTTTTTCCATCTTATATTTTTCATTTTTAAAACTTTATGTCCCTCACTGGGGTGTACTTGAGGGTGGAAGGTGGGAGGAGGAAAAGAGCAGAAAAAAATAACTATTGGATACTAGGCTTAATACTTGGGTGATGAAATAATCTGTAAAACAAATCTCGTGACACAAGTTTACCTATATAGCAAACCTTCACATGTGCCCTGAACCTAAAATAATTGTTAAAAAAATTATGTTCCTGTCATTTTATTTTTAGCTCTTACAGCATTTCTCTAATTTATTTATGTAAGATGAAAAATCAACTCATCGGCGATTAGAAACTTCTAAAATATCTTTTGTCAGTTGTATCAATGCTGCTTATTTATATTACTGAAAATGAGAGAACAATGGAATTACCTTAGAAGTTAACACACAAGCATGAAAAAGAGGTAAGAGGTGGTGTCCAGCTCAGAATGCTGAAGGCCTGGACTTAGTACACATTATTTTCCTCTGCATTGACATATTACTTTTCCTCTAGTCTTTCTATGTCTGGGAAGTAACTTTATCTGGTTGCCCCTGTTGGCCAGCCATGTAAAAAGGATTTGTTGGAAGAAATAGTTTTGAACATCTAAAGATGAGGAAAGTCAAACTTTAATGCTCTCTGTCCCATCTCACTTTGAATGGTCAAGTGCACGTGGTGGGAGATTCAGTAAATGTTTAAAACTTAAAACCAATACTCTTTCCTCTTTCATTAAGTGTTTATTTACTCAATAAACGTTTACTTAACATGCCTACCTTGTGCCAAGAATATATAAAGTACCATGAAGATAGATAATAAAATCTTATAAGAAATTTATGGTTTAGTAGAGACAAAAGTAGAAACAAATGATTTAAAAATATTATGGGAAGTACAGTGACAAATATGTATAAAATATTTGTAGGAATAATAAAGATGTGTACTTAACCCATCATTGGAAAACTAGAAAAAATCTCTTGGGATATATAATATCAGAGTCAACTCTTGCTTTAATTGGTGATTAGACCAAAGGGGTAGGCCAAGAATTCCAGTCCTAGAAAGCAATCTAAATCAAAAGTCTAAAATATAAACTAGCTTGGTATATTTCACCTGCTTCAGAGAATGATAGATGATAAGTCTCGCCAGATAGCCAATATTCACAAAATAGATAACTTTGTATGCCATCTTAAAAACTTTAGAATTTATCCATAGAGATATAAACAAGTTGAAATTTTATATAGGGCAGAAAACGTATTAATTTGGTATTCAAGAAAGGTAACTCTATCTGTTTGGTAGACCATGAATTTTAAATAAACTGAAATGTAGGCAAGGGCAACACTTAGGGCACCTCCCTTGTAATCCAGTGTGAGTTTTGGGGGATTGAATTATGACACTTTTGCAGTTAAATTTATTGTGTTTTATTTTTGTCAAGCAACAACCTAACTCCTGGAAATACAATGTTAAACAAAATTGGACACATTCCCTGTTCTCATGACTATTTTAGCATAGTGAGAGAGACAGATTTTAAAAGGAAATCACATAAATTAGGAATTGGCAAACTGTAGTTCCCAGGCCAAATCTGACTAGCAGCTTTGTTATGGGTTGAATTGTGTCCTCTAAAAATGATGTGTTGAAGTCCTAATCCTCAGTACCTCAGAATGTGACCTTATTTGGAAAAAGAGTCTTTACAGAAGTAGTCAAGTTAAGGTGAGGTTATTAGGTGTGCCCTAATTCAATATGACCAGTGTCTCTGTTAAAAAAAATGTTTATAGGGATACAGAAACAGACAAGTACAGAGGGAAAATGACATGAAGACCCACAGGCTAAGACTGCTGTGTGACTGAAGTGATGCATCTATAAGCCAAAGAATTGTAAGGATTTCTGGCAAATACCAGAAGCAAGAAAAAGCAAGAAAGTGTCCTCTAGCTCTCTCATAGAGAACATTGCCCTGCTAGCACCTTGATTTCAAACATCTCTACTCCAGAATTTTGAGACAATATATTTCCATTGCTTAAAAACACCAGTATTTGCCACTTTGTCATGGCAGGTCTAGAAAACTACTAGATACTTGTTTTTGTAAATAAGTCTTATTAGAACACAACCACATCTTTTTTTATATATAATTTGTCTTATATAAGCAATGGCAGCCTTAGTTGTGATGAGAGAAGGGGAGATGGGAGTATTGAGATAGTGAAGATCTTCATGGCAAGATCCAAAGCACTACTGAGTGTTAATTCCTGAAGGTGGTGGTGGAAAGATTCCTACCATAGGGAGTAGCCCGTGTGTGTTAGCTGGAATTACCTTCAGAGGAATGCCTGGGGCAAATACCTCCTTGCAGATGTTTTTCTTAGTGATCCCAGGGAGCAAAAGTGAGGGAATAGAGAGTGAAAACAAAGACAGAGAAAAGTCCAATCAATAGAAATAAACATTATTGTGTTGGTTCCATGGGAAGCAACTAGTATGTGATACTGCCGTGACCTTCTGAAGTGCATTTCAGAATTCTCCCTATGAGTATTCAAATGCTGGCATTAGGGAAGGCCCTAGACAGTGAGTTCTATCAAATACACCTGTTGAAAGCTGATCAAAGCATGTGCTGACCATGCCATGAGAAGTGGAGAGGAGCACAAGTGGTGGCTGAAACAAGGTGTTCAATGTGAAGTCTCTACAGTTGGAGGTAACATGCTATAACTGAGGTCTGGTGAAAAGTGTTAATAAAGCTACAATACAGAAAGTGTTGTGTTACACAGAATCAAACGTGGCTAGAGGCAAAATAAGGCTGAAGAGTGAGAAAGATGTCAGATAACAGAGTTCTTTATTCATCAGATTGAGAATTTTATTATTTATTCTAATACCAATATCAAGCAATTGAAGGATTATGATGAAAAGTCTGACACGGGTTGGATTTCAGTCACCATTAGCTTCAAACACTACTAGCTTCAGACAGTGCTGGCAATGGGCAGCCCACTAGGAAGAACGGATTGGAAAAGGGAGAGAGAGAACACAAGGAACCTTTGAGAAAGCTCTCCAAGCAGTTTGGTTGAGGGAGGATGGTAGCTGGCCTACAGTGACAGGGGTGGAAATGGAGACACATACACAGGTTTAAGAGATATTTAGTATTTAGTAGAATAAAATGACACTTGGTAATAAATTAGATGTTTGGGAAGTCAAGAACAGCACACAAGTATCTGTTTTGTGAAAACTGATGAATGTTGGTGCCAGTAAGTGACGAGGGGACTAAAGGAAGAATCAGATTTAATATAGAAGCTTGAGATACCTTTAAGATACATAAATCATTATGTCAATGAGTCAGGTGGACATATAAATATGGTGATTAGAAGAATAGAATGGGATAAAAATAAATTTAGTAAATTTCTGCATAAAAAAGAAGTAAATCTCTCTGTGTGAGTGGAATTTATTGAAGAGAGACTATAGAATGAGAACAGAAGAAGGGCTAGGACAATTCTTCAGAAATGTTTATATTGATGATCAGATAGAGAACGACAAGTTTGTAAATTTAAAAAAGACAGATAGAAAAGGAGTGTGCAGAGAATATAGATCCAATAAATATTTGTGAGATGAAAACAGGTTAATCTGGAAATTGATTAGAATTGAGGTGCTCTTGAGAGAGAAAGAATGGCCCCCAGTTTTCCAGTTCGCATGACTGGCCAGATGATAGCTGAGATGGAAAGAAGATGGTGTGAACTTCGAACGTTTCGTATTTGAGATAACTGTGAGGCATCTAAGCACACATGTCCTTTCAATGCTCCAGGCTTTAAACCGATTGTGCACTGGCTACCAACTTCACCGAGTCCCGTGACACAGAAAAACCACACATACAGCAAGTTACATGAAATGGGTTTATTACTTACAGACAGTTGGCAAGGAACAACCAAAATCCTAAGATTCTGTGAGCGAGTCCCCTAGGGCTCAGGAAAGCTGCCCAGGGCAAATGGAGTCTTGACTGTGCTGCCCACTTGCACTAAGGCTGAGGAACCGTGAGAAGCAGCTGGCCCCAGGTTATATACTCAGGGGAATGTGACTCACTGGGCCAAAGCATTAAAGGACACCCTGTTTCTAAGAGAGAAATAAAACAAAGCCTGGGCTGTTTCACCCAGTTCTTCCCAATCTTAGGATCTTGCATTCCCAGGACATTCTAGAGTTATTCTTAGGGACAAGTGAGAAAAGAAAGAAAAGTGGGTCAGTCCAACACCACCAGGAGAAGTGTCCTGCCTCAGATATTACCCTAAGCATTTTATGTATATTCATATATTAAATGTCTGAACAGATACTACCATTACCTCCATTTTACACATAAGGAAATAAAGTTTCAGTGATATACAGTAATTTGCTCAGAATCACATAGCTAAGGAGTGAAGTCAGAATTTAAATCTATGCAATCTGGCTGAAGAACATTCTCTCTTAACCACTATTTAAGACTTATTTTATTATATAAGTCTAAAGATAGGGTAGAAATAGGATGTGGATATAGAAATTGAATAGTAGCCAATATAGATTAGTGTTAAAATCATGAGAGCAGATGAGGAAGAGCAAACAGAATACAAGAGCAGGTGATCACAGAACCCCAGGAGAAAAAAGCATTTATAGAGATGGCAGAGTATACATTTTTTTTAAGTGACAGAATAGAAATTATTGGAGGAGTACAAGGAAAATCAGAAGTAGAGAATCACAGAAGCCAAGGATGTAAGAAATGCTTAGAAGGAAATGAACAAGTAGCAAATGCAGTTAGCAAGATCCAGTAGAATTAGGATGAATATGTTCCTGGGATGTAGGAATCAGGACATCTTTAGTGACCTTAAAAAGTTCTACTTTGGGAGTATGTTAGTGATAGAAGCTGAACTATTGGAGTTAGTTGAGTGAAAGTGAGGTGAGAATAAAAAATGCGCTCACATCTTTTAGACATTTGTATGAGAAAGCAAAAAGATTGTTCAGGAGCATAAAATGGGTACACGATTAAAAGAGCTATTTTTGAAGATGAAGTAGAGATTTGGATGTGTTTATAGGTTGTAAAAGGAACAACTGAGGAGGGAACTGGGCTGATAGAACAAAGCTGTAAAAAAATTAAAAGGATAGGAGTTCTTGATATCAAAGGCACTGGTAAATGAACCACGGGAGTATGAGGCAGATTGCATTACTAGCTTATATTTCCAACTGAGGAGCAGGGGTAAGGATGGCAACAATATACAGTTGATCCTTGAAAACATGGGTTTGAACTGCACACGTCCTCTTACATGTGAAGTTTTTTCAACAAAAGATGCACTGAATGTTCCTGTCTCTGCTACTTCCCCTTCCACCTCCTCCACTTCTGCCACCTCTGAGACAGCAAAGCCAACCCCTCCTCTTTCTTCTTTTCCTCAGCCTACAGAATATGAAGATATTGAGGATGAAGACCTTTGTGATGATCCATTTCCACTTAATAAATAGTAAATGTATTTTCTCTTCCTTGTGATTTTAATAACATTTTCCTTTCTCTAGCTGACTTTATCATAAGAATACAGTATAGAATATAAAATGTAAAATGAGTGTAAACTGTTTATGTTATCAGTAAGTATTCTGATTGACAGTAGTTAAGTCTTGAGGGGCTCAAAACAGTTGTAGATTTATTTGAAGTTAAAATGAAAACAAACTTAAAGATTATGATTTGAGGTTGTCTGCTGAGAGTGAAGTTGGTAGAGGTTGAAATGGCTTGAGAGGAGAGGTGAATTTTTGGAATAGTTGAAGGGAATGACAGAATGAGATAAATAAGAATAAGTAAAATGACTGATAGGCCCATCTAAGATTGTAATTGAAACATATTGCAATTTTACTGGTACTATATAAATGTCAGTTTAGTTATAATCTATATAAAAGCATTCAGTAATGGGAATAATAATTTAAAAAACCCCCAAAAAACAAAAGGGGTTCTATTGTTGATTCAAATGACCCATGGGTAGAGTTTTGCAGAAGAGTTTCAAATAAATAGTAAAGCTTCAAGAAA
The DNA here is from genome assembly GCF_000001405.40 of Homo sapiens. Lineage (NCBI taxonomy): Eukaryota > Metazoa > Chordata > Mammalia > Primates > Hominidae > Homo > Homo sapiens. Next base: position 30,685,733 of record NC_000018.10, on the reverse strand, counting down.
GTGCAGTATATTGTTGACAGATTAGTTCAAATGTTCAGTTACAGATTCCAATATTAAAAAACAAACAAAAAAAGAACGAAGAGCCAAGTGGGTATTATACTTGGATAAGAACCTGGCAATCTGGGGATTGGAAGTTTCTGAGTTTGATGGACAAGTGTGTTGAGAATGACATAGTTGTGCAGCTGGTATTAGAGTTTAAGATTTCTGCAATGCATTGGTTATGGATGTTAACAAGATAAAAGGCACAGTTATGAGTAATGAAGGAAGGGGTGGGTGGCTAAAGACTGGAAATTTAGGCTGGGCAAGGTGGCTTACAACTGTAATGTCAGTGCTTTGGAAAGCTGAGGCCAGGACCAACATAGCAAGACCTTGTCATGAAAAAAAAAAAAAAAAAAAAAACCCAGGCTGGCATGGTAGGGCGTGCCTGTAGTCATAGCTACTCGCTGAGGGAGGAGGAGGATTGCTTGAGCCCAGGACCTCAAGGCTGTGGTGAGCTATGATGCAGCCTTTACGCTCCAGCCTGGGTGACAGAGTGAGACCCTGTCACACAAAACAAAACAAAATTTAAAAATCTGGAAATGTATCAACTCAAAAATTTTAAAAGGAGGGCTTTATTTCTTAAGAAGGATTACAACCTTTAGGCAGGAAACACAGCCTCTGGCTAAATACAGAAAGCAAGCACTTCAAGGAAGGGAGGGGTAATAGGAATTTAAGCTGAATGGTTTGGCCTAGTATACATATTCAACAGGATATAGGAAGAGCTGTGAAGATTCATGAAAAGGGGGTAATGTGCCTGAATGTTAAGCAAGCTACATGTTACATGCATTCTGTGTTCAACTTTGAGTGGAGAATTAACATTCAAATGTATTACAGTTAGACCCTATGTGTCAAAAGATATTTTCAGGACAAAAAAGGCACTCAAGTGTACAGCCTCTGTAAACTGGCCATAACCAGTCCGTGTTTGGTGGTCTTCTCAGGAGGAAGTTACTGTGATTTCAAGAGACTGATTTGTCTCTTGTCCAGTTGAAGCTATAGTTATGGCTTTTGGAACAGGGGCCTCAGTTTGTCAGTAACTGCTGGTTGGCAAGTGCAGCTGTTTCAAGATTGATTATCTCAAGTCCAGTGCTTGTTTAGCACAGAAAAAGGGGGAAAATACCTTGTGGCGATTAGAACATAATTCATTCTTTAAGTGCAAGGGGTATGACTTATCCCTTGCCTGATATAGGCTTGGTCCAGTCTGTCGGTCTTTTCTGTATTTTAACATTAATTACGGTCAGTTATGTCTAAACCACAAAAGGGAGGGAGTTGTAACTAGGAGTGTCTTTTCTTCTGTCCCATCATCACCAGAAATTCAGTTTTTAAAGTTTCTCTGGGATTCACTTGGCCAAGCGGGGATCCATTCAGTCAGCTGCAGGGAGTTTATAATTTTACTTTTAGTTTACAATTAAGAAGACTTAGGATTTGGAATTTAGGCTTAAGATTCTGTTTGGAAGGTGGTATTTACAGGAGATGGCCATAAGCCACCTACTATAATTCTGCTCAATGAGATTGCCCAACTCCAGTCATATGATGGTACCTTTCTAAGAATAATATTGTCTCTTTTTAAAAAATCCTTATAAGGAATAGGGAAGACAAAGAGTCTGATTCTTAAACATGAGATAAAACTGGCTTATATTCATGTACCCAGTCCGCGGGGATGAGCAAGAGAAGTACAACCACATAAATATCCAGTTACTTAAGTTGGTCAGTTCTAAGAATAAAATATGATGAGGTTTAAAGTGTGTGAGCTATCAACAATGATAATTCCATCTTAACAGCTTGAGTAGATGCTTCATTTGGAGGTGAAAAATCAATATGACATACAAGCATCTAACTATCTGTAGAAATAAGCATCACACATGTACATTGATTTAAACCACAGCTCTTCAGCTTAATAGCTGTTTGACCCTTGGCAAATTAATTAACCCGAGGAATCATAAGTTCATCAGTCTGAATGAAAATAATAATACCTATCTCAAGGTACTCCCTTGTCAGAATTAGAAGTAGTACATGCCCATAGCATACACCATGCCTACCACACATTACTAATTCAAAATATTTGTTTGAATTGGAAATAATAGTAGAAATTACATTAGTACATTTCTTAAAATATAGTACATATAAAAGATGTATTCATTATTTTGATTGCTAGAATAAGACATCAATTTATCAAATTATGTCCACACATTTTGGAAACTTAGGCATCCCCCTCAAACCATTATGTGTCCAGTCTTCAAACATAATGAAATAGTTTTCTGAAATTATACTAACATGGTAATAAAATAGCTAAGTAGTGACTATTTCTCTATGTCTTCAAACATAATGGAATACTTTTCTGAAATTATCCTAACATGGTGATAAGACGACTGAATGGTGACAACAAAATGAGGAAACATTGATAAACCTCCTTACATGGTGGGGCAATTTGGAATGGGTTCTCTAGTGTAAACAAGTGGTGTACCTCAAAATATTTTTTCCCCAGTTTACTGCCTCTGGGCCCTTCTGGGTCACAAACAAAGCTTGTTACCTATATTGGGATAGGGGTGAGAAGTCTGGCTGTATCTGGACTCAGATCTGTTCCATTTTTCTTTCAAGATTCTCTTTCCAGGACCTCAGTCCCATTCTTTTTTGGATCTCAATCATAAAAGAATGTATTACATTCTTTAAGGCTTTTCTCTCAGACAAATGAGTTGGATTGCCTAATACAAATGTTTCTCCCTTGGAAACTAACAAATACTTATTTTTCTTCTTTGGATATGGGTCTGCCAAACCACAAACATTACAAACACAAATCCCTATTTAGTTTCCTAGAAAAGAGAGGAATGTTATTTCCCTCTTTATTTTTTTTTTCTGATGTGTCTTCACATCTTAAGAATGAACAAAGGGATTTACTTATAATGTCTTGCTGAAGAAGAAAAACAACCACAGAGTCAAGTCTTCAATGGGAGACCATCAATTGCTGTGACAGCACTGTTTGGTTTAAAAGTTCCAAAACCCCGATTAAGGTTTCTTACATTTCCTCTCAAGCAGACCATTTTGTTCCAAGATTATTGAAGGATAAATACAGCACAGGCAGATTACATTGCTCTTGTAAAGATGTTTATTTATTTCTCCCTGCTTCTATCTTAAAATTTACCAGAGAACAAAAAGATATAGGAAGAGGGAGAGCACTTTGGAAAAGTTGCCATAGTTTTGATAAGCTGAATGAGGGAAAGCAAAATGCTCCAACGGAAGAGAAGGTAAGTCTGTTTAGCTTTGTGGAGTGGTGGGCTTTGAGTAGTGGGCTTTGAGTAGACAGTGTGGCTATTTTTTATGGAGTTTGGAGGTGGAAATGATTCTCAAAACTGTTTCGTTTTTGGGTGCCATGCTCCAAGTCCCACCCAATTATTTGAGCAGATGAGTTGCAAAAGGGCAAGCAGAGCAGCAAGTGTTTATTCCAATTAAGGGAGAAAGCTAAAAAGCAAGAATTAATTAAGCAATCATGTCAAACAATTTAAAATGGAGGTTTTTAACCAGAAGTCAATGTAAATACCTTAAGCAGTCTGTGGACTTTTTATTAATAATATTATAAGTAGAATTGTATGTTTGTACAAAATTTCCAGTTTTCTAGTGGAAGGGTCACAAAGTTCTCATGAATCAAGACTTTAAGAATGACTGCTGAAGGAGGTAGGTTTGATATATTTTGGTAAGGCAGGAGGCAGCAGTGTAGGGTGAGGGTGGATGTGAGATGTTAGAAAAAAGTCTGCACAGGCCAGATTATCCAGAGTGACCCTGAGTAGGAGGTACCCAGAATCACGGGATTCTGGCATGCAAAGCCAAGCAAAAGCAGTGGATTGCCAGGGATAACTGGTAAAGGCTCTGAAGAGGCAGCAGATTCTGGGTTTGGTATCTGACAGAGATAGCTTGACTTGTGTCTGAGTTTTAAAAAACTTTGAAAGGTGTACTGAAAGGAAGAAGAGAAAGAAGCTGGATGGTTACATAATGTGTTTAAGTATCCTAAGGTATAAGATGAAGCAGGATAAATAAAAAGACACAAATGGAGCACTTAAATATTATGAAAATAATAGCCCTTAAAAATTTTTTGAAGATTATTTAAAAAATAAATCCCAGTACATTTTCTGCCACATCTTCATGTAGAAATAAACCTCTAAGTAATAGAAAAACACAAAAAGCCCCCACAGTTTCAAACTTAACCCAAAATAACTCATACTGTGGAATCCCAAGGCACAATATATCCAGTAAATTTACTTTTATAACAAATATCTAAAATGGATGATCATGATTAAGAGTATATTTTTTTGCAGTATGACCTGATCCTTGGAGTTCCTAGCCCTTGTAGACCAATAAATGAACAAAGATGAAGCTTTTTGAGAAATAGTCCTTAATGACTGACCAACAATATTTCTAGTATTTCCAAGTAACCTCCATGTAAAATTTATTTATTGTTTTATGTTTCTATCATTTTTATTTATTTTTATAAGTTTTTTATGACTGTGGAATGAGGAAACTCAAAGTAAGCATGGGCTTAGAGTCTTGGAACAGGGATTAAGTTTACATTAAAAATTTATTTACAGAAAACATGGGGCAACTCCCATAGTATTAAAAAAAACCTCAAAATCTTCAAAATACTCTTATTTTTATATTAATTTAGCTTAAATAGCATGAACAAATCTATACTAATTATGGCTGTTAATATACTGGTTGCTTTATGTTTTAGTTTGTGTATATTTTGTAAATAAACATGATAAAAGAAATAATCTAACACTCAATTTTACTCTTTTCCTTAAAAAACTCTAATTTTTTGGGAAAACTCTGAAATGTTTTTCTATTAGTACCTCCTTTCTCTTCTTTGCACTAAAGTCTTCACATCTGCAAATAAAATGTCATTATTAGTGAATGGCTGGCAAATGGCTTGAGCTGTCTAGTACATAATCAGCCACTGCTGGCTTGATGGTTTTATTCTACAGAAAAATATTTGTAAAAGGTTTGTAATGATCCTCCATTTCAGATCATTTTCTCCATGTGAATGCAGAGTTCTTTCAGATATAGGAACTGCATTTGTATCTATGTCTGCAAGTGTGGTGTGTTTAAGAAAACCAGTAGTAACAGGAAATCAGAGAGCTAATTATAAATCATTTATTAAAACTCTGTCAATCATAAAAGGTAATTTTTCTACCAGAGGGGATTTCTAATTTTTCCACAAGTGGAAAGTCTTACTTATAACAAGGACTGTTATAAGTAAGAATGTTTAAACAAACATTCTGAGAAGATACATGAATTATTAAATTCATTCCGTAAAAGAACAATGAGTAAGACATGCTAATACACTTATAAATTGCCATAGTTTCTCCAGTGCTATTCATAAGTAATAACATAGGGCAGGGGTCATTCATTGTACATCTGCAAAACTGGTACCATAACAAATGATTTGTCTCTAAATTTTCTCTGACTTTCAAAATGAAAATAATGAGCGAATAAAGAATTCTAGAATTTAAGAGACCATAAATAATATATTTTAAGGATAGATGAGTGAGGAAGTCATGAAGAAAGAGAAACATGACAGGAAAAGAGTCCAAAGGAATTACGAGGCCTGCACTCATTCAGAAGAAAGGGCCAAAGCTAGCCTAATATTATTTATCTAGCGTTCTTTTAACAGTGTCACAGTTCAAGCCACTACTTTTAAAATGTAAGGATTGCCTCTAAAATGTGCAATAGTGGCTTCTGTAACACATCAATTCTGAAATTGTATAGCTTAATTAATACAAGGTAATTTTTATTCTCACTCACCTCCAGAAGTCCAAGGCTTCTGGAGGTAGGTATGGAAAGGGCCTCTACTCCAGATGGTTGTTTAGGGATCCAAGCTGGTGGAGGCTCTGCTAACTTTAGTGCCTTACTTCCCCAGTCACTCTGTACATTGAGATAAGAATGAGAGAGATAAAGAGCACAGGGTCATGTGAGCTAAGACTAAAGGGAGCCTTTATCACTGGTGTCCATTATAACCGGCCAAAACTCTATCACATGGTCACGTCTAACTACAAGAGAGAAGGTAATCTCTCCAAGTGCTTAGAAAAAAGAGAATTTAATTTGGTAAATAGCAACTCTGTGTCTGCCTCACATATGTGTAAGGAGAATTTTTTAAAACATTGTTAGGCCTTTTATATATAATAGTTCCTTACTTGCCAAACTTCAGTGAGCGTACATGTCATTTGGATATTTTGGTATAATGCAGGTGATGATTCAGCAGGTCTGGTTCAGACTCTAATTTTTAATAGATTCCCAGGTAATACTGATGCTATCGTTCTACAAATTTCAGGAACTATGTGGATATCGTGTGAAAACAAATCCTAAACTAACAAACAAAAATCACAGACTCTGTGAGATGAAGTTTAAGCCCTCTAGTCATCTTGCTGTTTTTCTTAGAATATATATTTTCCTTCTTTGTGTCTTGATTCTGGAAAGCAAAGTGAATATAATAATACATAGTTTCTTCAAAGCTCAGAGAAATCTGGAGATTTATGAAATAATAGGTACAAAATTCTGTGGCCTTGTTTGGGGAGAGGTATTAGAAATATGTTAGCTATTAGCTTGTTATTAGATTGTCATTGGCTGGAAAAAAATAAAAGCCCGTGCAAAGAAGAGGAACCCTTTCCCCTGCATGGGACATTTTTGCTATTATTGTTTCCATTATTCCATTTTGACATTTTCACCAATGCATACAGCAATCTAGCTGTACTATACATACAATCAGCTAGCAATATTATGACTCTCTTTTATCTTTATAACACATCTACTATAATATAGAAATTTAAGAGTTTAAAATATGTGTATGCATGTGTGTGTGGGGTGTGTGTGTGTGTGTGTGTGTGTGTGGTGTGTGTGTATGTACATCTACCACTTGCTTCAGCAGAAGCATACTTATTATACGATGAATAGGATTTAAGCTTTCACAAAGCCTCAGGTGATCATAGACCCTACAAAATTCATGAGAATTGTCTCTGTTAGCCACATTTACTCCGTATCTTTCTCTACCTTGAAATAAATAAATATCTCTTTTCTTTTTTTCCCTGTAGCTGAAGCCATGAAGCCAAAGCCATCAGGATTGGTGGATTCTTTGATTTATTCATTCATTCATTTGTGCTCTTTTTTATTCCCATGATAAGCTGAAAATTAGCTGGAGAATAAAACTAAAAGGGAAGAAAAGGACAAAATGGATGTATTAGTTCATTCTCACACTGCTATAAAGATACTCCCTGAGACTGGGTAATTTTTAAAGAAAAGAGGTTTAATTGACTCACAGTTCTGCATGGCTGGGGAGACCTCAGGAAACTTAGTATCATAGCAGAAGGTGAAGGAGAAGCAAGCACCTTTTTCACAATGTGGCAGGAGAAAGAGAGCAGGAAGGAAGCCACACACTTTTAAACCATCAGATCTCAGCAGGTTAACACCTCTAATCCCAGCACTTTGGGAGGCCGAGGTGGGCGGATCACTTGAGTTCAGGAGTTCGAGACTAGCCTGGCCAACATGGTGAAACCCCATCTCTACTAAAAATACAGAAAATTAGCTGGGCATGGTGGCGGATGCCTGTAATCCCAGCTACTTTGGAGGCTGAGGCAGGAGAATTGCTTGAACCTGAGAGGCAGAGGTTGCAGTGAGCTGAGATCACGCCATTGCACTCCAGCCTGGGCAACAACAGTGAAACTCCATCTCAAAACAAACAAACAAATAACCTATCAGATCTCGTGAGAACTCACTGCCACAAGAACAGCATGGGGGAAACCGCCCCCATAATCCAATCACTTCCCACCAAGTCCCTCCTTTGACAAGTGGGGATTACAATTCAAGATGAGATTTGGGTGGGGACACAGAGCCAAACCATATCAATGGGAAACTGTATCCTTCTCTGAAACTCTGAAGTTTATAGACCACTTTCCCATTAATCTGGAAGGCCATGTTGGAACACTTTCACAAAGACAAATTAAGAATTAGGATTTTTTTCTCCTAAGGGAAAAAAAAACAGAGTAAAATATGGATAAAAGTCAAGGGCCTAGTGTGTATTCTTATCCTTTCTCTTTGTTAGTCTTTTCCAATGAGTTAAAAAAGTGCCAAGTGAATAAATGTCAAATGTGAAATTTTGAATAATAGTAATATCAAGCATCAGGTATGTTTTGTCCTAAAATCTTATGAAATAATTATTATAAAGTATAAATATTGTCAGCATATCTCATTCATTTAAAATGATTATTTTTAATAGCTGGTTTAGTTGCTAGCATTATTTGAATTATTCAGGCAAGTAGAAAATTTCATCTGGATATATACAAAATTGCCTCAGTCACTTGGAAGCTAGATTTATGACCACAGTTTATTGGTTTAATAACACTCATAATACAGTATACCATAGTTAATTTAATTTGAGCTATAACACATTTCTGAAAAGTGGACTAGATCTGATTATATTGTTCCAATTTCATTGATGAGAAAGGAAGATTATTTAGTTGAACTAACTCAATATCAATTGTAGTACTGTCAATAGAAGACAGAGAAGTAGTTTGGTTTCCTGATTCCAACTTCAAAATTACTTTAAAATTAGATTGATTAAATCAAATTAGAATTTAATCTCTAATTCTCTTTTGTTGATTATGTGAGTGTTCTTTAATTGTATAAAGTAATGTAGTTTCAGGATTTTAAAATAATCAGTGTACAGGAAGGTAATTTGTAAAAAGTGAAAGTTAAAATTTCTCCTATCCAATCTTTCTGAACAACCAAAATTTCAATTCCAATTTCCAGAGGTATGTGTTAATAACATTTTTATGCATATACCCCCAGGAATTTTCTGTGCATATATAGGCATATATATGTGGATAAATATCTTCAATTTGCTTTCTAACAATGAAACCACTGTTGACATAATATAAATTGTATAGGTTACACAGTTTAATAGCCTTGTTAATAATTAAAGTCCTGCTAGATTTTTTAAGTTGAATAAGACTTTATATTTGGATTTTTTCAAATACATTTAATTTTAGAGTATTTCTTAATATGAGAAAGCTACACAGTTATAATTATTCTTTCATCATACACACAAACATACATACACATATTCCCTTGTCTATGTGAGAACAACTCTCATTTCAGCTTTCTAAAATCATAAAAACCATTGAGATAGGTGAATTCCCTTAATCACACTTCTCTCATTATGCCTTGCTGCTGAAAGGTAGCAGATGCTGGGCTCATTGTCCAAATTACACCAGTAGCTGAATGTAGTGCTGTTTAGAGCGCAGTCACACTGAATTCAAATCCCATCCAAATACATCCTAAAAATGTTGGTTTGAACCCTAATTAGTTGGTGCAGGTCCATGAGCCACCCAGCGAGGCTGTAGAGGTTGCAGAGTTGCATTATTCTTTCTTAGTGAGCCTTTTCCCTACCTTCTTAGCAGACAGACGAGTCTCTTATCAGAAGGAGCAGATGGCAGCGTGAGTCTGTTTAAAATTGCAGACATGTGCTTGGAGAACAGTTCCTAGAATTTTTTTTTGTTAGAGTGTATTACATAGGAGGACAATTGGTGTTAGAAGTCTGGGGAAAAACTTCTGAATTTTGGCTCAGAAATGTTTCTTGGGTTTTGCTTTAATAGTTCTGCAATGTCAGAATTGAAAATAAGACAGCTTATTGACCCTTGGTATTCTGATATATGGAACACTGATAACCATTTAAAATTTAAGAATTCCTGAACTTTAAACCGGTAAATTGTGCCAAAATAACTTATTAATTCTGGCTTTTAACAGTTTACAAGTTCTTTCACACTCAGGATTTTATTTAATTCTCAAGACAGATCAACTTTTTTAAGGTCTTTTTTACAGATAAAGAAACTGAAAATCGAAGTGGTAATGTGGCTTCTTCTAGGACACATGGGTAATAAACAGAAAATCCACAAATTAAAGATACCGGTTAAGATGCATCTAATAAGTGAAGTTAAAACTGTAGGTAGGTAATTACCACCTGTCAATCTTTGTGGTGGGTGCTTTATATCCATAATATCTTATTAGTCACAAAATTGCTACAAGGAAGGAATTGTTACCTCCACTGCATTAATGAGGTTACCATACATCACTTGTCCAAAGCTGCCTTTCTAGCAAGGGGTAGATGTTTTAAGCCTAGATCCATTCAATTCTAACTTTCATATTCTTTCCATGATAAATATTAACATGATAAGTGAGAGTGGACTTCAGACTTCCTGAGTAAGAACGTGATACCTGCCAAGACTGATGGGACTACTGCTTTGGTCTTGTAGCTCTTTTCAAAGAGTAGTAGTTTAATTATAGTGAATAGTGTTAGTATCTGACAGCAAAATAGGCTTTTGTTACAGCCAAAATGTGAACTGACGTGTACTTTTGTTTTTGATATTTTAAACAACTATTGTGCAACTACCTTTTGTGTGTTAATATTTATGGTATACTTTCAACGTGCACAACGCTCAATCATAAGCACACCAAGAAACTAAATACCTAGTGCCTTATCCTGAAGCAATATGCTAAAATATAGTCTCACTGCAAATTGGGATAATTGAACACACCTCAGAGGGGTTGTGGTAGGTGAAATAATGACCCTCAAAAATATCCATGTCCTATTCTCCCAGAACCTGTATGTTAGGTTACATGGCAAAGATGAATTATAAGGTGGCAAATTGGATTAAGTTTGCTAATCACCTGACCCTAAAATGAGGGGAGTAGCCTCAATTTTACAGTTGGGCCCAATGTAGTCACAGGGGTCCTAGAGCAAAATGAACTTGCAAAGAAAGATTTGTTTTCATAATGATTCATAAGAAGGCAGCATGAGAGAGTCAGAAAGAAATGAACTGCAGAAAAATGGTCCAAGAAATGCAAAGTTGCAAATTTTGAAGATGGAGGAAGGGGACCACAAGCCAAGAATTGTGGGTGACTTGTAGAAACTGGCAAGCACAGGAAAACAGAGTTGCCGTTAGAGCTTCCAGAAGGAATGTAGCCCTGACAACATCTTGATTTTACTTTAGTGATATCCACGTCAGACTTCTATCCTACAGAACTGTAGTCAAAAAAAAAAAAATGCAGCTGATTTAAAAATGTTCTAGTAGCCAAAGAAAATAAAGCATAGTTAAAATACTAATTGTTACTTATTAATTCTCTATTATATGCCAAGTTATCTATCAGTTATCTTACTTAATTTCCACAACATTTCTGTATTAGTTTCCTATTGTTTCTAATAAAAATTACCATAAACTTTGTGATAAACAACACAAATTCATTAACTATTGCACCTTTTTTGTTTCTTATAAAGTAGCACAAAATTATTATATATAACTCATATGGAGTGTTTGTATGCACATGTGTTTTGTATAAAGAAACTCATGTACAGTCAGTAGGTTTAAAATCATATCTATCAATCTATTACTTTATTGTTTTATTTAGCTATAGAGTGAGAAAAGTTGGTTAATTTTTTTAAATGTTAAGGGGGAAGAAAGACAAAACAGGTCAAAGAAAAAAATAAATTTAAACAAAGTTACCATATATACATATATATATAGAGAGAGAGAGAGAGACAGAGGGAGAGAGAAATAATTGATTTTATTTAACATTTTAGAAAATCCATCAGAATTATTTGTATTACTATTTGTTCTATTTAAATTTAAACAAAGTTACCATATATATATATACAGAGAAATATTTGATTTTATTTAACATTTTAGAAAACCCATCAGAATTAGTTGTATTACTATTTGTTCTATTTATATCATTAGTCATTAGTTATTTAATATTTTATTAATTTTTTAATGAAATGAACTGCTAATTGAAGAAGTTTGCTATGAGTGAGTTAAAAACAGAGGCTTAAATAGAGATGTTGTGGGGTTGATAAAATGTTAGCAGATAGATATCACAAGATCTGTCTTTTATGCTCTTTTAATGTTCAGGAATGAGAAACCAAAAGAAAAAAATATTATACACTTACTATGTGCCAGCATGAATTTATAAATCTAGGTCTTGTGGATATAACAGCAAACAATGGAGACAAAAATTGCCATCCTGCTTGTGGTGAAGACAGACAATTAATCAGACAAGGAAAGCAAATGTTTATTTGTCTTAAGGCAACATGGAATTCAATGCATTTAAAATTCTGATGGTTAATTTTGTAGAATTGAAAAGCCTGATGTTTAGTCAAGTCTAGAGTGAAATAATGGCTTACTTCTCTGAACTTACATTGAAATGAAGCATTTCACTTAAGGGAAACCTCTTCCCGTAAAAGGTATTATTTGTTTTTAGGTTCTACATTACAAAAATTTAAGTAGAGTTTGAAATTTCATATAGATTCTTTAAGGGACTTTGGGACAGGGTATAATAATCATAATTTAAAATTCGATGATTATTCAGGTCCATATTTATTACAAAGATTATCTCTGAGACTAACACTGAGACAGAGGCTGATTAGCTTTACACAAATGGCCACAGACTGTTATGCTTTTATAACTCATATACTTAATCCAAACTCTTTCTTCTCTCTCTTTCTTGATTATTTTATGGCAACTAATCGGTATACCTGGTTTTCGCAGTTCCTTTGCACTGTCGTTTAGTGACTCCATTTCTAATCTTGAATTTGAGATAACCACATTTGGTAATTTTGGATTTAAAATACAGAGTGTAGGCCTTAAGTAAAAGCTTTCCAAAAAGTGCTCTCCAGATGTAAAGGCATTAGTCCATACATTTTAGGTCATAGATATTTGCATTATCAGAGAATTTTGTGTTATAGTTCTATGATCCTGGTTTATATTTTTATTGCTGAGGTTGCCTACAAGTGAGGTAGGTATGCATGGATAAATTCTGGTTGACTCCTGATGTGGTTTGGCTCTGTGTCCCTACCCAAATCTCATCTTGTAGCTCCCATGATTCCCACATATTGTGAGAGGGACCAAGTGGGAGATAATTGAATCAAGTGGGTACATCTTTCCTGTGCTGTTCTCATAATAGTGAATACATCTCAGGAAATCTGATGGTTTTAAAACTGGGAGTTTCACTGCACAAGCTCTCTCTCGGCTGTCACCATCCATGTAAAATGTGACTTGCTCCTCCTTGCCTTCCACTGTAATTGTGAGGCCTCCCCAGCCATGTGGAACTGTAAGTCCATTAAACCTCTTTTTCTTCCCAGTCTTGGATATGTCTTTATCAGCAGCATGAAAACAGACTAATACAACTCCTCAGACACAACTCTACTTAAACATCATTTGCAGTCAGAATACTTGCACAAGTTTTGTTCATTTTAATTAGATATTGTGCAGATGGTGAATTCTCTACCTCTAGATCCAGAATTTGAAATACAGTCTTGTTAAACAAATTTCTTAACCCAGTTTCCTGAACCACCAAACTATTTTTCCTCAATTTGTGTGGCTGAAGGGTTTTCAAGTTAGGATCCATTCTACATATGATGAATGAATAAATTTTATTTTATCCAAATACATTCTGTTGGGAACTTCCAAGGGGCCAGTTTTAACTAATTCTTACTTTTGCTCTTTGTGAAGTCTTCAAGTGCCCACCATAATTTTCACTCCTTGGAAGATGAGATCTTCCTTCACAAAATTCTAGAATTCTACTCTGGACAAATATGACATACAATGAAAAAATAGATTAAGAACAACAAACAATCATAAAGGAAGCACCATGATTTTAAGAAAATGCCAAAAAAATGAAAATAAGATGTTTTAGACTGTAGTGAATATTGTTTTAGCTTATAACCGTAGAATACCATAATGAAAGACATTTTTTTTCTGCCACTGTTATCTAAGTAATCAAATGCATTGTATGATTATGCACGTGGCCAGGCAAATTAAGTTAATTTCCTAAAGAGACATCTTCAGAAAGGAAAAGAACTAGGGTGTAAACTTGGGACTTTGGCTCCTAGTCCAGACTTTGTTTATATCATACCATAGTATCTTGCTCCATTGCAGAGCAATTTTCATACTAAGAATAGCTGCAATGTTTTTAAATCTGTTTGAATTCTCATGTCAGTTACATAATGGTAGCTATGTTTAATTTAATTTAAGAGTTCGGGAAGCTAAAGTGAAGTGAATTTCCCCAAAGGCCACATCTCAGCTAGGTTTTTATTAGTTCAAAATCTTTATACAATGCTGAAAATAAAAACCACTCTATTTATGTTATGTAAGTAGCTGAGGATAGAATATGTAAAAAAAAGTACTTTGAAAGATGCAAATTCCATTGTTTTATTTTATTATTTTACCTCTTTTAAGAAAAAGACCTAACAATAGACAGGAAAAAACATATTTTATCTGAGCCTGAACCAATCCTGCTAAATTTCTTTTACTTTGCATAAAATCATTACCCATTCTCACCCAGACACCTGACCAAATTATGTTCCTGATTAAGACAGAGACTTGCTTTTGGCAAAGCAAGCAATCTGACATATTCAGGACTCAATTAATTTAATTGCTGGATTAATGCATTATACGTTTGCTCTCTAGCCATCCACAACTTTTCTGATTAGTTTTTCTTTCATATATAGACAGTTTCTATTTCAGATGACTGGTTTTTGGAAGCTAAAGGAACTGGATAGCTAAGAATACCATTTAATCTGATCTTTATTTCTATTTTTTAGTTGTTGTTTATCTGGAAATATGGATTAATGCCTCATTGTAGAAAATATAATAATCTTAAATTTAATATTTATGATAGGAAATCAAAATGCCTCGAATATTATTTCACTAGTAATTGTGAACCTCCTTCCCCCTAGACTTTATTTCTCTCTGAAGTGACTTTTATCAGGCATTGGGTACTACCTCTGACTCTATCTGTGTTTCATAAGTTTCTGTGGTAAGTCCGAAAAAAAATGTCTGTATACATTTAACTTAGCTCTTTCCTCCTAATTATTTCTGGGAATAATTACCTGCAGAAAAGGTTTACCCTATGCTGCTACTCACTGTGTGGGAGGCTCAGTGGAGCAAGACGTGTTTCTGTGGAGAGACCCAGAGATCCCCAAATATACCAAATTCCATTGAGTAAATCTGTGTAATTTGAGGAACTACATTAGCAAGCCATCTGACCAAATAGTCCAAGCTGTGTCTCCAATGAGAGTTGATTGTAATAATGATGGCATTAGGATCTCCAATGTTTCCCTGTTGATATGCATCTTCTCTTGATCTCTGTCTCTATCTCTCTCACAATTATGAACCTGGAACGGCAAGTATTAACTTCCTACAAAGGTCCTATCCAAAATCGCTAACAGCCAGTCCAGTACCTATAGGTTGGATAAGAGCTAGTACTTATCCACACATAGTCCTCGGCACTTAAGGACAATGAAAGTACTAAATGTTAAAGTTTGGGGATATAGTTAAGGAACTACTGAGAGGGGATTTTTTAAATTTTCTGTGTACTTATCTATAAAAACCCAAAAAAATACTGAAAATAAGTAAGCAAGAATGGTGAAAACCAAAAAAAGCAAAACTAAGAAAGGAAGAAGAAAATAATAAAATAAGAGCCCAGCTAGGGGGAGAGGGAGGATATGCCTAAACACCAGGCTATCTGATTCCCTAAATTGACAGCACACACTTGTAACAGATTATAATCTATTCATTTACTTAAATGTAGAAAACTTCATCTCATAGGAATATTAACATCTTATTTTAATAGATATATTTAAGTAAAAAGCAGACATTTTTCCTAATCATATTTACAAAAGGTATCCATCCATCCATCCATGTGACTTTACCGCATTCATTTATTTATTTAATAACTATCTCTTTAGCATCCCTGTGTGCCAGATTTTACTAAGCTAGACACTAGGGCCACAAAGATGTACAAATTATGGTCCCAACCTTCAGGAAACACATGGTAAAATGAGTCCAAGTGGCTCAACCCTCATTTTAAATAATACAATTTAATTTTCCCCATTTCTCTTATGAAAATCAAAACATATTTTGCATATAAAAGTACACAAGTAAATTCTGAAGCCTCATCTTGGAATTGATGTGTCCAAGAATAATTTTTCTTGAGTCAGAGCATAAAATTTGTACATTAGGGAAATTTTGATTTCTTATTTCTCTTGATAAAAAACAAGTTTATTTTTTCTAGAATTCATCCAGATTGATATGTTCATAAGAATACCTTATGAAAACTCTTGTCTGCTTTGTTTCTAGTTTCTACCCCTAATGAGTATAAATTGTTTTGTCTATTTGATTTGCTATTTGATTTTTATTATCTATTTTTCAATATATATATATATCTAGATTGTGTATTGATAGGTTTGGCTGTGTCCCTACCAAAATCTTATGTTGAATTATAATTTCCATAATCCCCATGTGTGATGGGAGGGACCCAGGGGGAGGTAATTGAATCATAAGGGCAGTTTCCCTCATGCTATTCTTGTGATAGTGATTGGGTTCTCATGAGATTTGATGGTTTTGTAAGGGACTTTCCCCTTGCTTCACTCTCATTCTTCTCTCTCCTGTGCCAGGTGAAGAAGAATGTGTTTGCTTCCCCTTCTGCCATGATTGTAAGTTTCCTGAGGCCTCCCCAGACATGCAGAACTGTGAGGCAATTAAACCTCTTTCCTTTAGACATTACCCAGTCTCAGGTATTTTTTCATAGCAGCATGAGAATGGACTAATACAGTAAATTGCTACCACAGACAGTGTGGTGCTGCTGTAAAGATACCCCAAAATGTAAAAGTGACTTTTGAACTGGGTAACAGGTGGAGGTTGGAACAGTTTGGAAGGCTCAGAAGAAGACAAAAAAATATGGGAAAGTTTGGAACTTCCTAGAGACTTAAAGGGCTCAGGAGACAGGAAGATGTGGGAAAGTTTGGAACTTCCTAGACACCTGTTGAATGGCTTTGACCAAAATGCTGGTGGTGATATGGACAATGAAGTCTAGGCTGAGGTGGTCTCAGATGGAGTTGAGAAACTTGTTGGGAACTGGAGTAAAGGTGACTCTTGCTATGCAAAGAGACTGGTGGCATTTTGCCCCTGCACTAGAGATTTGTGGAAATTTGAATGTGAGGAAGATGACTTAGAGTATCTGGCAAAAGAAATTTCTAAGCAACAAAGCATTCAAGAGGAAGTAAAGCATCAATTTGGAAAATTTGCAGCCTGACAATATAATAGAAAAGAAAATCCTATTTTCTGGGGAGAAATTCACTCTGGCTGCAGAAATTTGCATAAATAATGAGTAACTGAATGTTAATCACCAAGACAATGGGGAAAATGTCTCCAGGGCATGTCAGCGACCTTCACAGCAGCCTCTTTCCTCACCAGCCAGAGGCTTAGAAGGGAAAAATGGTTTCATGGGCTGGGACCAGAGCCCTCTGGCTCTATGCAGCCTAGGGACTTGGTGCCCTGCGCCCCAGTTGCTTTGGCTCCAGCCCTGGCTAAAAGGGGCCAACATATATTTCAATCAGTTGCCTCAGAGTGTGCAAGCCCCAAGCCTTGGCATCTTACATGTGATGTTGGGCCTGCAGGTGAGCAGAAGTCAAGAATTGAGACTTGGGAACCTTCGTCTAGGTTTCAGAGGATGTATGGAAACACCCGGATGTCCAGGCAGAAGTTTGCTGCAGGGGTAGAGCACTCATGGAGAACCTCTGCTAGGGCAGTGCCAAAAAGAAATGTGGGGTCAGAGCCCCCACACAGAGTCCACACTGGGGCACTGCCTAGTGGAGCTGTGATAAGAGAGCCACTGCCTCCAGACTCCAGAATGGTGGATCCACCAACAGCTTGCACTGTGTGCCTGGAAAAGCTGCACATAACACCAGCCTATGAAAGCAGTCAGTGGCTGGGCTGTCTCCTGCAAAGCCACAGGGGCAGAGCTTCCCATGGCTATGGGAGCCCACCTCTTGCATCAGTGTGACCTGGATATGTGAGACATGGAGTCAAAGGAGATCATTTCAGAACTTTAATATTTGACTGCCCCGCTGGATTTCAAACTTGCATGGAGCCTGTAGCTCCTTTGTTTTGGTCAATTTCTCACATTTAAAATAGCTGTATTTACCCAATGCCTGTACCCTCATTGTATGGAGGAAGTAACTAACTTGCTATTGATTTTACAGGCTCATAGGTGGAAATAAATTGCCTTGTCTCAAATGAGACTTTGGACTTGGACTTTTGGGTTAATGCTAGAATGAGCTAAGACTTTGGGGGACTGTTGGAAAGGCATGATTGTGTTTTGAAATGTGAAGATATGAGATTTGGGGGGAGCCAGGGGGGGAATGATATGCTTTGGCTGTTTCCCCAACAAAATCTCATCTTGAATTATAGTTCCCATAATCCCATGTGTAGTGGGAGGAACCCGGTGGGAGGTAATTGAATCATTGGGCTGGTTACCCTCATGATGTTGTCATGATAGTGAGTGATCTTTCACAAGTTCTGCTGGTTTTATAAGGGGCTTTCCCCACCTTCACTCTCATTCTTCTCTCTCCTGCTGTTATGTGAAGAAGGACATGTTTGCTCCTTCAAGATACGCAGTCTCAGGTATTTCTTCATAGCAGCATGAGAATGGACTAATACATGCATCTTTGCAATAAATCAGCTTTGTTTTTGATCATCTCTACATTTGTTGTCATTCTCTGCACATTCTTGCCCTTATTTTTACTACTTTCTTCTCCCTTTCTTAGATTTACTTTTTTGATTTGCACCATTCTTGCTCATTTATTTTCAGTATCTTTTGTATTCTTGTAGATAAATATACACAGAATTACAAAATCCTCTGTAACTAGTGACTTAAATATATCATCCCAAATTTAACAGTTAGTGCTTTGATTGTCCTTAAGTGCTAAATATCTCTTGTAACTAGGAAATGTTTTTTAGTTAAAAATGTAAGGCTGTTATTTCTTATTTTCAGACATCACATTTAATTATTTATTTTACGATTTTTAAATTAACTTTTACTTCCTGTTGAACTTTTGCTGCAGGACATAAATATTGTGCACATTGTAGCCTTATTGAACCCTTCTTTTTTAGCCTAGTATATAGTCTATTTTGGGAATGCTTTGTGTAGGCTCATATGCACTCTGTGTTTGTTGTGTGAAAAGTTGATAGTCAAACTTATCAATTTAGATTTTTTACCTTTCTAATAATTTTTTCTTAGTTTATATTGCTTGATCTATTCACTTGTTAGTAGGAGTATATAAAAATGTCTAATTATAGTTGTTGATAATTTTTCTTATTTTGCATTGTCCTATAAGTTATTGTTTTAACATATAAAGCTATATGAAATGATATATTTTCATTGGCAACATACCCTCTCAATAATTTTTTTTTTCAGTATACATTAGTCCTCTCTTATATAATGATTCTGTCATTTTAAATTCTATTTTGCTTGGTACTGAAATTTCTACCTTAGTTATTTTATTTGGTTCATCTTTATATTTTCAGCCTTTCTTTTCTAAATTCTGTAAATTTTCTTTTAAATAGTCCTCTTGGGGGACATAAATTGCCAAATCTTGTTATTTATCTAATTTGTGTGTCATTTTTATCAATTGTGTTCAATTTATTTACACTTATAGATGTTACTTAAGAGTCATGTCTATCATCATCTTTTAATTAATAAATAATTTTTAGAGCAGTTTTTAGCATCACAGCAAAATTACATAGGAAATATAGAGAGATTTCTTATATCCCCTATTCCCACACACTCACAGCCTGCTCCACGATTGATATTTCACACCAGAGTGGTACATTTATTACAACTGGTAAACCTACATTGACACATCATTATCACCCAGAATTCATAGTCTACTTGAAGCTTCACTCTTGGTGTTGTACAATATATGGGTTTGACAAATGTGCCTATGATTGTATTATCATAAAGAATAATTTCACTGTCCTAAAAATCCTCTGTGTTCTGCTATTTATCCTCCCCTACTCTCTACCCACCAGCAACCACTGATCTTTTTATTGTCTTCATAGTTTGCCTTTACCAGAATGTCATAGATGCAATTATACAATATGTAGCCTTTTCAGATTGGCTTCTTTCACTTAGTAATATGCATTTAAGTTTACTCCATGTCCTTTCAGCTTGATAGCTCATTTATTTTTAGAACTAAATAATATTTCATTATCTGGATAGACCACAGTTTATTTATCCATTCACTTTTGAAGTTGCTTCCAAATTTTGGCAATTATGAGTAAAATTGCTATAACTATCTGTGTAGAGGTTTTTGTGTAAGCATAAATTTTTAACACATTTGGGTAAATGCTTAGGAGCATGATTGCTGGATCGTATAATAAGACCATGTTTAGCTTTGCAAGAAACAACCAAACTGTCTTACAATGTAACAGTGCCATGTTTACATTCCCAGCAGCAATGAATGAGCATTCCTGTTGCTTCACATCCTCACCAGCAATTGATGCTAGTGTTTTGGATTTAGCCATTCTAATAGTTGTGCATTTTATTAATTTTGTTTCCTTTTTTCCCCTTCAACTTTTATTTTAAGTTCTGGGGTACACGTGCAGGATGTGTAGGTTTGTTACATACTAAATGTGTGCCACAGTGGTTTGCTGCATGGATCAAACTATCACCATGATATTAAGCCCAGCATCCATTAGCTATTGTTCCTGATGTTCTCCCTCCTGCTACCCCACACCCAACAGGCCTCAGTGTGTATTGTTACACCCCCATGTCCATGTGTTCTCATCATTCAGCTGCCACATATAAGTGAGAACATGCAGTGTTTGGTTCTCTGTTCCTGTGTTTGCTGAGGATAATTATTAGAGAAATGCAACTCGAAATGCTTCCAGCTCCATCCATGTCCCTGCAAAGGTCATGATCTCATTCCTTTTTACAGCTGCATAGTATTCCATGGTGTATATGTACCACATTTCCTTTATCCAGTCTATCATTGATGGGCATTTGGGTTGACTCCATGTCTTTGCTATTGTGAATAGTGCTGCAATGAACATATGCACGTATGTATCTTTATAAAAGAATGATTTATGTTCCTTTGGGTATATACTCAATGGGATGGCTGGGTCAAATAATATTTCTGCTTCTAGATCTTTGAGGAATTACCACACTGTCTTCCACAATGGTTGAACTAATTTAGAGTCCCACCAACAGTATAAAAGTATTCCTTTTTCTCTGCAACTTCAACAGCAACTGTTGTTTCTGGACTTTTTAATAATTGCCATTCAGAGTGCTGTGAAATGGTATCTCATTGTGGTTTCGAGTTGCATTTTCTCTAATATTCAGTGATGTTGAGCTTTTCTTCATATGTTTGTTGGTCACAAGAATGTCTTCTTTTGAGAAGTGTCTCTTCATGTCATTTGCCCACTTTTTAATGCGGTTGTTTGTTTCTTGTAAATTTGTTTAACTTCCTTGTAGACTCTGGATATTAGACCTCTGTCACATAATAACTTGTAAAAACTTTCTCCCATTCTGTTGGTTGGTTGTTCATTCTGATGATAGTTTCCTTTGCCATGCAGAAGGTCTTTAGTTTAATTAGATCCCATTTGTCAATTCCTGCTCTTGTTGCAATTGCTTTTGGTATTTTTATCATGAAATCTTTTCTCATGCTTATGTTCTGAATGTTATTGCCTAGATTTTCTTCTAGGATTTTTATAGTTTTTGATTTTACATTTAAGTTTTTAATTCATCTTTAGTTAATTTTTGTATAAGTTGTAAGTGAAGGGTTTAGTTTCGATTTTCTGCATATGGCTAGTCAGTTCTCCCAGCACTATTTATTACATAGGAAATCATTTCCCCACTGCTTGTTTTTGTCAGCTTTGTCAAAGATCAGATGGTTGCAGGTGTATGGTCTTATGTCTGAGTTCTCTATTCTGTTACATTGGTCTATGTGACTGTTTTTGTACCAGTACCATGATGTTTCAGTTACTGTAACCTTGTAGTATAGTTTGAAGTCAGGTAATGTAACACCTCCAGTTTTGTTCTTTTTACTTAAGACTGTCTTGGTTATCTGGGATCCTTTTTGATTCCGTATGTATTTTTATTTTATTTTATTTTATTTTATTTTATTATTATTATTACTATTATTATTATTATTTTTGAGACAGATTCTCACTCTGTTGCCCAGGCTGGTGTGCAGTGGTGCTATCTTGGCTCATTGCAACCTCTGCCTCCCAGGTTCAAAAGATCCTCCTGCCTCAGCCTCCAAAGTAGCAGGGATTACAGGTGCATGCCACAATGCCCAGGTAATTTTTTGTATTTTTAGTAGAGACGGGGTTTCACCATGTTGGTCAGGCTGGTCTTGAACTCCTGATCTCAAGTGATCCACTCTCTTCTGCCTCCAAAAGTGCTATGATTACAAGCATGAGCCACCACATCTGGCCCCATCTGAACTTTACAATAGTTTTTTTCTAATTCTGTGGAGAATGTCTATGCTAGTTTAATGTGAATAGCATTAAATCTATAAATTACTTTGGGCAGTTTTGCCATTTTCATGATATTTATTCTTATTATCCATGAACATGGAATGTTTTTCCATTTATCCTCTCTGGTTACCTTGAGCAGTGGTTTGTAGTGTTCTTTGAAGAGATTCTTCAGTTCCCTTGTTTGCTGTATTCCTAGGTATTTTATTCTTCTTGTAGCAATTGTGAATAGGAGTTCATTCATGATTTCACTCTCTGCTTGCCTTTTGGTGTATAGGAAAGCTAGTAATTTTTGCACATTGTATCCTGAGACATTGCTGAAGTTGCTTATCAGTTTAAGAAGCTTTGGGGCTGAGATGATGGGATTTTCTAGATATAGGATCATGTCATCTGCAAACAAAGATAGTTTGACTTCTTCTCTCCCTATTTGATACACTTTATTTCTTTCTCTTGCCTGATTGCCCTGGCCAGAACTTCCAATACTGTGTTGAATAGGAGGGGTGAGAAAGGGCATCCTTGCCTTGTGCTGGTTTTCAAAGGGAATGCTTCTAGCTTTTGTCCTTTCAATATGATGTTGATTGTGGGCTTTTCATATATGGCTCTTATTATTTTGATGTATGTTCCTCCAATACCTATTTTATTGAGAGTTTTTAACATGAATGGATGTTGAATTTTATTGAAGGCCTTTTTTGCTTCTATTAAGATAATCATGTGGTTACTGTGTTTAGTTCTCTTTATGTGATAAATTACATTTATTGATTGGTGTATGTTGAACCAATTGTGTCCCAATGATGAAGTCAACTTGATTGTGGTGGATAAGCTTTCTTATGTGCTGCTGGATTCAGTTTGTCAGTATTTTACTAAGGATTTTTGCATTGACGTTCATCAGGGATATTGGCCTAATGTTTTATTTGTTGGTGTTGTAACTCTGCCAGGTTTCGTTATTAGGATAATGCTGACCTTATAAAATGAGTTAAGGAGGAGTCCTTCCTTTTCAGTTGTTTGGAATAGTTTCAGTAGAGATGGCACAAGCGCTTCTTTTTACCTCTGGTAGAATCGAGCTGTAAATCCATCTGGTCCTGGGCCGTTATTGGTTGGCCTATTTATTACTGCCTCAATTTCAGAACTTGTTATTGGTCTATTCAGGGATTCAGTTTCTTCCTGGTTCAGTCTTGGGAGGGTGTATGCATCCGTGAACTCATCCATTTATTCCATATTTTCTAGTTTATGTGTATACAGGAGTTTATAGTATTATCTAATGGTTCTTTGTATTTCTGTGGGGTCACTGGTGATATCCTCCTTATTGTTTCTCATTGTGTCTATTTGATTCTTCTCTCTCTTTTTTTTAATTAGCCTAACTAGCAGTCTATTATATTAGGTTGGTGCAAAAGTAATTATGGTTTTGCTCTCACTTTCAATGACAAAAGCTGGAATTATTTTGCACCAACCTAATATTATTTAAAAAAAAACGAGCTCGTGGATTCATTGATTTTTTAAGGGATTTTCATGTCTCTATCTCCTTCAGTTCCACTTTGATTATGGTTATTTCTTGTCTTCTGCTAGCTTTGGAGTTTGTTTGCTCTTGTTTCTTTAGTTCTTTCAGTTGTGATGTTAGGATGTCAAACTGAGATCTTTCTAGCTTTTTGATGTGGCATTTAGTGCTATAAATTTCCCTTCTAGTACTGATTTAGCCACATCCTGCAGATTCTGGTATGGTGTCTCTTTGTTCTTATTAGTTTTACAGAACTTTTTTATTTCTGCCTTAATTTCATTATTTACCCAGCAATCATTCAGGAGCAGATTGTTCAATTTCCATATAGTCGTGTGGTTTTGAGTGAATTTCTTTGTCTTGAATTTTAATTTGTACTGTGGTCTGAAAGACTGTTATAATTTCAGTTATTTTGCATTTGCTGAGAAGTGTTTTCTTCTGATTATGTGATAAGTTTTAGAGTAAGTACCATGTGGCAATGAGAAGAATGTATATTCTATTGTTTTAAGTGGAGAGTTCTGTACATCAGGTCTGCTTAGTCCAGAGCTGAGTTCAGGTCCTGAATATCTTTGTTAATTTTCTGTCTCAACGATCTGTCTAATATTGTTAGTGGTGTGTTAAAGTCTCCTGCTATTATTGTGCAGCAGTCTAAGTCTCTTTGTAGGTCTCTAAGAACATGCCTTATAAATCTGAGTGTTCTTGTATTGGGTGCATATATATTCAGGATAGTTAATATCTTGTTGAATTGACCCCTTTGCCATTATGTAATTCCCTTCTTTGTCTTTTTTTAATCTTTGTTGATTTAAAGTCTGTTTTGTCAGAAATTAAGATTGTGACCACTGCTTTTTTTTCTTTTTCCATTTGCTTGGTAAATTTCCCTCCATCCCTTTATTTTGAGTCTATGTGTATCTTTGCATGTGAGATGGATCTCTTGAAGGTAGCACACCAATGGGTCTTGACTCTAACCAGCTTGCTATTCTGTGTCTTTTAATTGGGGCATTTAGCCCATTTACATTTAAGTTTAGTATTGTTACATGTGAATTTGATCCTGTCATCATGATGCTAGCTGGTTATTCTGCAGAATTGTTCATGTGGTTGCTTCATAGTGTCACTGGTCTGTGTATTTCAGTGTAGTTTTTGTAGTGGCTGGTACCAGTTTTCCCTTTCCAAATTTAGTGCATCCTTCAGGAGCTCTTGCAAGGCAGGTCTGGTGGTGACAAATTCCCTCAGCATTTGCTTTTCTGAAAAGGATCTTATTTCTTCTTTGCTTATGAAGCTTAGTTTGGCCAGATATGAAATTCTGGGTTAGACTTTTTTTTAATTTAAGAATGTTGAATATTGACCCCCAATCTCTTCTGGCATGTAGAGTTTCTGCTGATAGTTCTGTTGTTAGTCTGATGGGCTTCCCTTTGCAGGAAATCTTGCCTTTCTTTTTGACTGCCCTAAACATTTTTTCTTTCAATTCAACCTTGGAGAAGCTGATGATAATGTGTCTTGGGTTGATCTTCTCACGAGGTATCTTACTGGGGTTCTCTGCATTTCCTGAATTTGAATGGTTGGCCTGTCTTGCTAGGTTGGAGAAGTTTACCCATATGATATCCTGAAGTATGTTTTCCAACTTGGTTCCATTTTTCTCATCCTTTTAAGGTACCCCAGTCAGTTGTAGGTTTGGTCTCTTTACATAGTCCAATATTTCTTGGAGATTTTGTTCATTCCTTTTCATTCTTTTTTCTCTATTCTTGTCTGCCTTGTTTCAAAAAGATGGTCTTCCAACTTTGATATTCTTTCTTCTGCACGATCTATTCTGCTATTGATATTTGTGATTGCACTGTGATGTTCTCATAGCATGCTTTTTAGCTCCATCGGGTTAGTTACGTCCCTTTCTAAAAGGGCAATTCTGGCTGTCAGCTCTTGTGTTGTTTTATCATGATTCTTACCTTCTTTCCATTGGGTTACAATATGCTCCTTTAGCTCAGCAAAGGTCATTATTACCCACCTTCTGAAGCCTACTTTGTCAATTCAGCCACTTCAGCCTCAGCTTACTTCTGTACTCTTGCTGGAGAGGTATTGCGGTCATTTGGAGGAGAAGAAGCATATACTTATTTTTCATTTGCTCATTCTTTTTGAGTTTTCAGCATTTTTGCATTGATTCTTTCTTATCTTTGTGGGATCAGTTTTGTCAATGTTGTTGTTGCTTTCAGTTTGTTTGTCTTTCTTTTAACACTCAGGCAACTTTCTGTAGGGTGGTTGTGGTTTGCTGGAGGACTGTTCCAGATCCTAGTTGCTTTGGTTTTTCCCTTACCTGAGGTATCACCAGTAGAAGCTACAAAACAAAGATAGTAGCCTGCTCCTTCCTCTGGGGGCTCTATCCTAGGGGGTACTAACCTCTTGCCAGCCTGGACGGTCCTGTAGGAGGATCCTGGAGATCCCTGTTGAGACGTCTCACTCAGTCTGGAGGAACAGAGTCAGAAACCCACTTAAAGAAGCAATCTGGCTTCTTTTTGGTAGAGCAGGTATGCTGCACGGGGGGAGAATCCTTCTTTGTCCAGACGGCCTAGACTCTACAGAGCCAGCAGAAAAACCGAGTTGACTGAATGGCAGAAATGTCGGCTGCCTCTCCCACTGTGGGCTCCCTCCCAGGAAGAGACCAGAGAGCTGTCTGCATAACCCTGGCTGGAGTTGCTGAAATTCCCAAAGGGAAGCCTTGCCCAATAAGGAGGGATGGATTGGGATCCCACTTGAAAAAGCAATCTAGTCATGATCGGACAGAGCAGCTGTGCTGTGTTGGGCATTCCTCCTCACCTGGACTACCTGTGAGGCAGGGGAACAGGGTCTGGAGGGAGGGAACCTAAGGCCAACTCATGCTGACTGGATATCAGAGGCTACTCCCTTTCCAATCCCTCCTTTCTCTGCACGGTAGTTGCTGCATAGCAGTTGCAACCCCTCCTTTTGCTGTGTGGTAGTTGCTGCATGGCAGTTGGAAAATAAAAATACCTCTGAGTGGTCCCCTCCTGCAACCAGTCGGGCTGGTTGTGGGCCTTCTCGTCAATCAATCAAGCTGGTCCTGGGCTACTAGACTAAACCAATGGAAAACCTCTAGAGGGCATATAAACCCTAGAAAATTCTGTAACCAGCACTTTTGAGTTGCTTGCTCAAGCCCACTCCCACCCTGTGGAGTGTACTTTTATTTAAAATAAATCTCTGCTTTGGCTGCCTTGCTTGTGCATTTTGTCCAATTCTTTTTCTGAAACTCCAAGAACCTGGACAACTACCCTCAACCAGTAACACCCAGACTCTCTGGAGCCAGCAGGCTAGTATGACTGAGTCATCCTAACTGCAGAAATGGTGGCCGCCCCTCCCTCTGGGAACTTGTACATCTCAGACAGTCTCCAGTCTGTTGCACTTGTTGCTGAAATTCCAAGCCAGTGGGTCTTAACTTGTGAGGTGCCCTGGAAGTGGAGTCTACAGAACAATGCTGTTTGGCTTCCTGGATTCAGATTCCTTTCTAGGGGAACTATACAAATGAATCCCCTGCCTTGCCAGGATTTGCAGGGCCAGAGATTGTAAAACTCCTGGGTTTCTGTGTGAGCCTGAGTGACCACTCTGCTGAGACCCCACCCAGCTTTGTGTATCGAACCCAAGGTCCTGATGTTGTGGGCTCATAAGGGTTCTCCTGATCCATGGGTTGCAAAGATCCAAGGGAGAAGCACGGTTTCCCGAGGTGGGGGGGCGGGTTGCACAATCCCTCACCACTTCCCTTGGCTGGGGATGAGGGTTCCTTTGGCCCAACACCACTCCTGGGTTGCCATCACCCCACCATACTTTTCTTTGTGAGTCGCACCATCTGTCTAGTCAGTCTCAATGTGAGAACCTGGACATTTCAGTTGAAAGTGTTGAATTCACTCATAATTTTCATTCTTCTCCATGAAAGCCAAGGACCTCAGAAGCTTCTACTCAGTCATCTTGGCCCCTCCATTATTTTTTTAAATTTTCAATTACTTAATATAAGATGTTAAACATCATTTCATATACTTACTTTTCATTTGTTTACCTTCTTTCATGAGATATCTGTTAAGGTCTTTTGCCAATTTTTTAAGCAGGTAGTTTTCTCATTGTTGAGTTTAAAAATTATATGTATTTTTTGGATAACAGTCCTTTATTAAATGTTTTTTGCAAAGATTTTTCTCCCAGTCTGTGGCTTATCTCTCATGCTTTTCATGGTATCTTTAACAGAACAGAAGTTTTTAATTTTAATGAAGTTCAGTTTAACAATTATTTCTTTTATGAATTGTGCCTTTTTTGTTGTATGTAAAAAGTCATTGCCATACTAAAGGTCACTTAGGTTATTGACTTTATTATCTTACAGGAGCTTTGTAGTTTTTCATTTTACACTTAAGTCTGTGATCCATTTTGAGTTAAAATTTGTGAAGGGTGTAAGGTTTATGTCTACATTTTTTTTTTTACGTATAGATGTGCAGTTTTTCCAGCACTATTTGTTGAACATACTTTTTTAACATTGTATTGCCTTTGCTTTTTTGTCCAATATTAGTTGACTATACTTATGTGGGTTTATTTCTGAGTTCTTTATTCTGTTCTACCAATCTATTTGTCTATTATTTTTTCCAATACAGCACTGTCATGATTACTGTAACTTTATAGGAAGTCTTTAAATCAGATAGTGTTTTCTCTAACTTTGTCTTCCTTCAATATTGAAGAACTATTGAAGACTATTCTGGTCTTTTATTTTGTGATATGAACTTGAAAATCAATTTGTTGATATCCACAAAATACCTTGGGATTTTAACTGGGATTGTATTGACTCTATAGATCAACATGTCTTGATAATATTGAGTCTTCCTACCCATTAACATGAGGTTTAACTTCATTTATTTATCTTAAAAATCTTTCATTACATTTTTGTAGTTTCCCTCATATAGATCTTGTACATACTTTGTCAGATTTATAACTAAGCATTTCATTTTGGGGGATGCAAATTTAAATGGTAATGTGTTTTTCATTTTAAATTCCACTTGTTCTTTGCTGTTGTATAGGAAAGCAATTGATTTTTGTATATTAATTTTGTATCCTAACTTTGCAATAATTGCTTATTAATTCCAGGAGTGTTTTGTTGATCCTTTAAAATTTTTCTTAATAGGCAATCAAGTCAAATGCAAAAAAAAATACCTTTTTTTCATTTCTTCTCTCTCTGTATATCTTTTTATTTCTTCTCTTGCTTTATTCCATTAGTTAGGACTTTCAGTATAATGTTGGGGAAAAAAATTGGTGAGAAGAGAAGTCTTACTTTGTTCCTTATCTTAGCAGAAAGGTTTAAGTTTCTCACTGTTACATATAACATTGCCTGTAGTTATTTTGAATATGTTCTTTGTCAAACTGAGGAAGTTTGCCTGTATTTCTAGTTTCCTGAGAGTTTTGATCATGAATCAGTGCTGGATTCTGTTGAGTGCTTGTCTGCATTGTTGACATGATTATCTGATATTATTCTTTAGTCTCTTGTTATGATGGATTGCATTAGTTGATTTTTGAATGTTGAACTATCTTTGTGTATCAGTGATATGTCCAACTTGGTCATTTTGTATAATTCTGTTTATATATTGTTGAATTTGATTTATTAATATTTTGCTGAGGATTTTTGCATCTTTGTTTATGAGAGTGATTGTTCTATAGCTTTTTTTGGTAATATCTTTGTCTGGTTTTGTTATTTGGGTAATAATGATGCTGGCTTAACAGAATGAGTTATGAAGTATTCTCCATGCTTATATATTCTGGAAAAGATTGTAGAGAATTGATATAATTTCTTCCTTAAATGTTCAGTAGAATTTACCAGGTTAAGTTGCCTGGGTCTGGGTCAGATGTTATTTTAGAAGATTATTAATTATTGATTCTACTTCTTTAATAGATACAAACCTATTAAGATTGTGTGTTTCTTTTTGCATGAGTTTTGACAGTTGCATGTTTCAATAAATTGGCCAATTTCTTCTTCATTATCAAATTTGTGGGCATAGAGTTTTTATAACATTTAATTTTTATCCTTTTAATGTTCATGAGATATGAATTGAAGGTCCCTCTTTAATTTCAGATATTAGTACTTTGTGTGGTCTTTTTATCTTAGTCTGGCTAGAAGGCTATTAATTTTATTGATCTTTTCAAATAACCAGGTTTTGCTTTTGTTGATTTTTTTCTATTAATTTTCTTGTTTTCAATTTTATGTATTTCTGTTCTAATAATTATTATTTCTTTTCTTCTGCTCACTTTGTATCTAACTTGCTATTCTTTTTCTATTTTCCTGAGATATAAGCTTGGGTAATTAACTTTAAGTCTTTCCTCTTCTAATATATGCATTCAGTGTTACATATTTTCCTCTAAGCACTTCTTAGAGGAAAATGAAAATTATATTTTCATTTTTACGAATTTCAAAATAATTTAAAATCTCTCCTGGATTTTGGCTTTTACCTATATGTTAATTAAAAATGTGTTGTTTAATCTCCAAACATTTTTATAATTTTCAACCATCTTTCTGTTATTGATTTCTAATTTAATCTCATTGTGATGTGACAGCAGTCATAGTATGATTTCTTTTCTTTTACATTTGCTAAACTGTTTATGGCCCAGAATATGTGATCTATCTTGACGAATGTTCTATGTTAGCTGCAGAAGAATGTATAATCTGCTGATATTGGATGAAGTCTATAGATATCTATTATATCCAGTTGATTGATGATATTGTTGACTTCAATTATGTTCTTACTGATTATCTACATGCTGGATCTGTCCATTGTTGATAAAACAGGTGTTAAATTCTCCAATTGTAATAGTGAATTCATCTATTTCTCTTTGCTGTTCTGTCCTACTAATTTTTGCCTCATTTATTTTGATGCTGTGTTGTTAAGTTTATACATAGTGAGGATCTTTATGCCTTCTAGGAGGATTGACTTTTTTGTCATTATGTAATGCCCTACTTTATTCTGGGTTCCTTTCCTTGCTCTAAAGTCTGCTCTGTCTGAAATGTATACAGCTTTCCTGCTTTAATTTGATTAGTGTTGGTATGGCATATCTTTATTCATTTACCTTGAATATATATATATACATACAGCATGTATTAAATATTAATTGTATTAAGAAGAGATATTCTCATTCTGTTACCTTAATATTATATGAATGGTTAAATTTAACTTATTTTAAGTACATAGCAGTAGTCTAATCTGAGCAGTATGTCCTTGAGGAAGTGTGTTTATTCTTTAATTTGGAAAGCAAAAGTCTTTAAACTGCATACGATTGTTGATGTTTTTAACCACGTGCAAATGTTTGTAAAGACTAATACTTCTTATTTAAAATCCAAGTAATAAAATACTATTTAAAAAATTGTGGGCCTCAGTAATGTTTTTATAATAATGTAGCCAATTACAACATTATTTTTTCCAACTATAATAGAGGTGTATACTAATTAGGCTTCTGTGCAGCCTAGAATCAGAATCAACGAATTCTTCAAGTTGTAAATAGATCTCCTTCTGCCTCTTAAATATAACTACTTGGCTACCATTGTTGCCTACAAAGAGTTGTTATTGCGGAGCATCAAAACCCAATCTGCAATCAGACTATTTGTGTTTGAACGCTGATTCACTGATTCCTAACTTTATGATTGGGAGTATATACTTAAGCTCAATTTCTTTATGAAATCAAGATCAGAATGCCACCTTAAAGGATTATTAGAAGGAATAAATATATTAACATTTGTACTTGGCTTACATATGGTAAAAGCAATTTATGTGCTAGCTATTTCTACAACTATGACTACCACATATATATATATGTACACACATATATATATATATATATGTAAAGTGAATTTCTTGTAGACAACATGTAGTTGGGTCTTGTTGTTTTGTGATCTACTCTGTGACTATTTCTATTTTTAATTGGTATATTTAGACCGTAAACAATTAAAATGATTATTAATACAGTTAGACTAAATTGTGCATTTACTTGTGTTCCATTTATCTCCATTCTTAGATTGCTATCTGTATCTCTTTATTTTTATATATTTATTTATTTTTATTTTTATGTTCGGACACAGGGTCTCACTCTGTCATTTAGGCTGAAGTGCAGTGGCAGAAGCACAGCTCACTGCACCCTCAAATTCTCAGGCTCGGGTGATACTGCCACCTCAGCCTCCTGAGCAGCTGGGACTACAGGCATGCATCACCATGCCTGTCTAAATTTTGTATTTTTTGTACAGATGGGGTTTCTCTATATTGCTCAGGCTGGTCTCAAACTCATGGGCTCAAGCAATCTGACCACCTTGGTCTCCCAAAGTGCTGGGATTATGGGCATGAGCCACCATGCCCAGCTAATTATTTATTTTTTAATGGTTACCCTTGGTTTAAAAAATGAATCCTTAAATTGTCAAAATAATTAATTGTCACCAGCCATGTTGACCTTCTCAATATTAACTCTTTTCTCCTTCAATTCACAGAGACCTCTCTGCTGTTTGGGATATCATGGTTGCTCTGTGGTTTAGAAATTATCTTCAGACAAAAAGATGGGAAGACTTTAGACTCACCTTTTTTTTCCCATTATTTTCTGAGACACATTTCTGTGCTATCTGAAAAAAAGTTGTGTGTGTGTGTGTGTGTGTGTGTGTGTGTGTGTGTGAGCATATATGTATGGTAGGAATTTAAGTCTGATACCAGTGACTCCTTTATAATCGGAAGTAGTTGTATTCAATGAATCTTTTATTTTAGGTATTTATTTTTTAGTTTCAGAATATTATCTCACTCTCTTTCAGAATTTCTATGTGTCTGTTGAAATGACCCATTTCTTCACCATTTCTATTTATCTTATTTTTTGTAGATTATTTAAAATATTTATAACAGCCATTTTTGTCCCTCTGTCTTATTCTAATATCTTTTCACTGTCATTTTGTTCCTAGTAACTTCTTTTTGTTTCTTGTTTTTCTCTCATATTATGGTTAATATGTTCTTACCTTTTTGGTTGTGTAGTAATTTTTTAAATTAATAGTAACCTTAAAATTTATACACTTGTCATTGGTGAAAATACATTACGGATACTCTGAATTGTTTTCTTCCTCTGAAGCTGAGGCTGTTAAATTCCTTCAGATTGGCCTGTTTCCTTAGAAACTTGCTTCAGGCTTTTCAGGGCAGATTTATTTAGTTCTGCCCTTTATCTTGAAGCATAGCTGCTTTTCCTAGGATACTGTCTTTCTGATAAGGTATGACACTTCGGGGATTTCTCCTACTACTTAAGTCTTGAATTACAATCTTTGTTTCCCAGAACCAGGAAAGCAGCTCTTGCAGCCTTCTGGCTATTGCTTTCCACTTAGATCCTAGGAAACTCACTCTGGCATTGCAATTGAGGAGTCAATCAAGGATTGAAGTGAAATTTTATGCAGGTTTTGAGTCTCCATTCTTTTCAGGATTACCTCCTTTTTAATTTCCATTCATTCTTGCATACTCACACTTCAATCTCTGACTCTTCCTTCAAGTAAAATTGTTGTTTTCTGCTTGAGCTCTCTCTGTTGTTCACACAGACAACTGGAGGGTTTTCTTTGGTAAAAAGCTGGTCTTACCAAGTGTCCTTCTCGTTTCTCAAGGGTCGTATCCCTTTCAGGTTCTGCCTGCTTTGGTTACTCTCCAGAGCCTTCAACATTTGCTTTTTAAGATATCCCGTCAGAGTTAATATTTATAATAATCAGGAGGATTAGTCCAATACAACTTAACTCCATTCTAACCAGAAGTGAAACATAAGGCTTCTCCACACTATTTGCCTCTTACCCTAATAACATAAGAAACTTAATTTGCTACATCTCTCATCAATTCCTTATCCCTTCTTGACTCTAATGCCATGCTAATATATTATGGAGAATTAGTTTCTGGTTCTCATAAATACAGTAGTTCCCCTATATTCACGGAGGATACATTCCAAGACCCTCATTGGATGCCTGAAACCGAAGATAGTACAAAACCCTATATATACTACTTTTTAATTTCTTTATTCTTCTTCAAAATTTCACAGTTAAATCTGTTCTTACCATAGGTCTTAGCATCCTCAGCACACAATTCTTTTTCTTTCTGGATTAAGTCAAGAACTTTCACCTTTTCACTTAAAGGAAGCACTTTATGGCTTCTCTTCTGCATATTCAAATTGCCAGCATCACCTCTCATTCACTTTGGGGCTGTATAAGTAAAATAAGTGTTACTTGAACAGCAGCACTGCCATAATGCAACAGTTGTAGGTCTGATAACCAAAATGGCTGCTAAGTGATTAACTGGCAGGTAGTGTATACAGCACAGATTTCAGCATGGATTCTCTGGACAGAGGAATGATTTATGCCCCAGGTAGGATGGGGCAGATGGTGTGAGATTTATTATGCTCCTCAGTATGGCTTGCTATTTAAATCTTATGAATTGTTTATTTCTGGAATTTTCCATTTAATATTTTTGGACCATAGTTGACTGCAGGTAACTGAAACTGGGGAAAGTGAAAAAGTGGATAACGAGGGACTACTGTATGCTTTTGTAAAATTATTTATTTAAATTAAAATAAATTCTACTAAATTCTTTACATAACCAAATTATTTGCCAGATCACATTGTTTTTTCTTGTATTCCTTTTCCTTCTTCCCTGACGACATTTTTCAGGAGTTCTTTAAGGAGATCTTCCATGGCCTGCAAATATCTTTACCCTCAAATTTAAGTAATATTTTAAATGAATATGAACTTCTAGGATAAATGTTATTATCTTTTGTTTTGGATGTATTATTACTCCTTTGTATTCATGAATCTAATGATATGGTTGAAAATTCTGATGATAATCTGATTATTGTTTCTTGGTGATTTGTTTCATCTCTGTCTTTAATGGTTGAGAATTTCATCTTTTTAAAATTCTAATTGATAATATTTTTCAATCCAACTCTTAGATATTTATTTTCTTTAATCCTCATAAAACAAATTCATTATATCTTCCAATATTCCTTCTCTCATTTCTCCTATCATTTTTCTCTTTCTTTCATGTATCTTCACTTCTTTTTTATTTATTCTTCATATGACTATTTTATGTTCTTTCTTTATTGAAGACTTCTACAACCTTTTTATCATTATATAATTATTCTTCTATATCACAAATTGCTTCTTCAGCAATATTCTTCTTAATGTTTAACCATCTATTGAATATTTTATTTAACTACATTTTAATCTGTATCCAACTTTTTTATAGCAGCTTGTTCTTCCTTCAGGTTTCTATTGTGTTATTTATATTTTAAAACATATTTATATCCATATTTTTAAAGTCTTGCTTTGGCCACTCCATTGATTCTGCTTCTTTCCTCTGCTATTATTAAAGACATCCTACCAGGGTAGAAAATTCAGATTTGCTTAAAGAGATGATTTTGTTTACTGTCTTTCTTTTATAGGACTGCTGGTTCTCAGATGCTTCGAGATTTTTCCTTATAAATTCATTGTTTATTTGCTTGAGACCATTTACCATATTACCTACTAATTACCTATCAAGGAGATAATAAAAGCATAGATTCTAGGCTGTGAAACTTCAGCTGAGTTGGGTGTAGGGGTCAAAACAGCAGGGTGGAGAGTCCCTAGAGTTTCATTTGCTCTCCTGTCAACTACAAATCTCCCCAGCTCAGCTTCAGGCCAACACTCAAGCGGTTAAGTGTTGGCTGAAAATTTTTTTTACATAATTACTGACTCTTTTTCTTTCTTGTCAGTTAAGTCGTATCTGTTTAAATTATATCATTTTATGTGTCTTGATAAAATGAAGAGTTCAAAAAATATGAAAAAAAATTTCCAATTAGCAGGATATTTGATATTATGTAAACCAAATGTGACTATGGTGTATTAATTCCCTACTTGATTTCCTAAATTATTTCTAAATATTTCAGAAGTTTCCTGTGTTTTAGATATTAAGACATTCTACCTGGTGATACAGCACGTATTAAATATTAATTGTGTAAAGAAGAGATATTCTCATTCTGTTACCTTAATATTATATGAATAGTTAAATTTAACTTATTTTAAGTACATAGCAGTAGTCTAATCTGAGCAGTATGTCCTTGAGGAAGTGTGTTTATTCTTTAATTTGGAAAGCAAAAGTCCTTAAACTGCATACGATTGTTGATGTTTTTAACCACATACGAATGTTTGTAAACACTAATACCTCTTATGTTTAAAATCCAAGTAATAAATCCACTATTTAAAAATTGTGGGCTTCAGTAATGTTTTTATAATAATGTAGCCAATTATAACAATATTTTATCCAACTATAATAGAGGTGTATACTAATTAGGCTTCTGTGCAGCCTAGAATCAGAATCAACGAATTCTTCAAGTTGTAAATAGATCTCCCTCTGCCTCTTAAATATAACTACTTGGCTACCATTGTTGCCTACAACAAGTAGTTATTGCGGAGGTTCAAAACCCAATCTGCAATCAGGCTATTTGTGTTTGAATGCTGATTCACTGATTCCTAACTTTATGATTGGGAGTATATATTTAAGGTCAATTTCTTTGTGAAATCAAGATCAGAATGCCACCTTAAAGGATTATTAGAAGGAATAAATGTATTAACATTTGTATTTGACTTACATATGGTAAAAGCAGTTTATGTGCTGGGTACTTCTACAACTATGACTACCACAGACATCATCACTACTGCTATCACTAATGATATTGCCACTAATATTATCATTTTTAAAGACATCCTACCAGGTTAGAAAATTCAGATTTGCTTAAAGAGATGTTGCACAGAGTTATACATTAAT
Source organism: Homo sapiens (assembly GCF_000001405.40). NCBI lineage: Eukaryota > Metazoa > Chordata > Mammalia > Primates > Hominidae > Homo > Homo sapiens. Next base: position 30,649,053 of record NC_000018.10, on the reverse strand, counting down.
TGATATTCTCTGTAAAATTTAATAACATTTGAAGTAATTATAAAAGAGAATACTTCATTGATAATTTAAGATACCAGAAATGATTTGTTTTGTAAACATATATTCGTAGAGATAAAATTATTTCTATAATTTTTTCTAACTATGAAGAGAAATTCCTATGATTTATAAACTAAGCAACTAGCCCTGGAAAAACATTTAGATTCATTAAGATTATGAAAAATGTATAGCTTGAAAAACGTAAGCTGTTCAGGCTTCATGAAACATAATAAATGACACTTTGTGTTATCTATGAACAGAGAACATCCTCTTTCATTTTGTAGCCTATATAAAAAGTATGATAATAATGCAGGGTAAACTACTAATATGAGAAACTAACAAGAATCGTGTGCTATAGACAGCATAGTAGATACTTCTCACCCTTGCACATTTCCAGAATTGCATTTGAATATTACTTTTCAAATGTTTATTCAATTGCTTTTAAATAAATGCATTTTAAAATTCTCACTAACTAATTGTATATTTACTCTTTATAACCTGTTTTTACCCTGGAATCTAATAATGATCATGTTCCTAAACCAATGCTGCTCCACATTTATTGACCTATGAGAGGACAATGCTTTTGACAAGTAGACACTTTCATAATGTTGGATCAGTCTGAGAATTCTTTTCCTTTTTTTTTTTTTTGTCTGACAGACTTTCACTGCACGCCATTCTCCGGCCTCAGCCTCCTGAGTAGCTGGGACTACAGGCGCCCACCACCATGCCCGGCTAATTTTTTGTATTTTTAGTAGAGACTGGATTTCACTGTGTTAGCCAGGATGGTCTTGATCTCCTGACCTCGTGATCCACCCGCCTCGGCCTCCCAAAGTGCTGGGAATTCTTGTGCTGAGATATCATCTACATGATTTCTGCTGAGTAGATAAACAGCCAAGGCTAAATGGATAACTTTGGATCAAAAGTATTACCACTGGAAATCTCTATTCCTTACCTATACAACTTTAAATAAATTGGCATAGGATGTTCTTTTTAAAATTTTGCCATTTATGAGTTTTAAAATTTGTTCTTAAAATGTATTTTGTTTGCTTGTTTGTGTGTGCGTTTTAACCATAAATATATAAATTTCCCTTTATTCTGGAAAGATTTACAGAGTGATCACCATGTGCCAGGTGTAGGGGTAGGAGCTGAAGCTGTCGAGAACAGAATTGACCCAAATCAAACATTTAAAATACTAACAGCTCAGTGAGTCCTTCATGAGTAAAGTTTACAGCTCATAAGTCTAACTAGATGAAAAATATTTTATAATTTTGATTACATATTGGTTTTCTTACCTCAATTTTTTTGGAAAATACCAAGTACTTTCCCTCTTCCTATCACTTTAATATGGAAATATCTTTAAATATTTCTCTTTTGAGAACACATATACATATAGTAGTATATATATAAATAATATATAATAAATACAAATATTTAATAGTTTACAAATCATTTCTATATGGTGTCTCATTTCATTTTAATCTCATGACATTAAAGCATTATCTCTTATTAATAGATGAAGAAATAGAAGCAAAAGAACATCTAGACACTTGCTCAAAGTTACACAGATAAATATTTTTCATTCCAATACAACCTCAATTAGAGTAAAACCTGTGTCTCTTTTTATCTACCATTATAGTAGCACCTAGCACAGTGCCTGGCATAGTTAAGGTGATAGATGCATATTTGTTGAATCAAAGAAGAAATGAAAGTTTAAGTCCAAAGCTTTTTCTTTACAAAGTGATGAGGGAGGGACATATTTAGTATTTTATATATATATATAATATATATATTAATATATAAATATATATCATATATTAAATATATAATATATATATTTATATATAAATATATGTTTATATATAATATATATTATATATATAAATATATACTTTTTTTTCCTAGAGGCCAGGCACCATGCTGTGTTTTGTATTTATTTTGTTATTTAATCCTTTAAGTAAACAATTTATTTAAAAGATAACTACTTTTGCCTTTATATCACAAATAGAAAACTGAGTTTAGCAAGATCGATAACTTGTTTTAGCTCCATAGCCAGTATCAGCAAGACGTGATGTTTAAACTAACATTTCTTATATCAAAACCTGTACAATTTTTATTATATTATGAGATATATGAACTAAATAGATATAAAATGGACCTGGGGAGTATTTTAAAATTAATATTGGATGTTTTTACTTAATTCAAAATAGGTGTTGAAAAGTACAAAAGTAATTGGTCTTTATTCAGAGAACTGTGACCTGACCACTGTTTAGGTCACTGACAAATCAGCATGTTGTAACGCTCATTAATGTTAGTGAAGTTATTCATAGTAAGTAAATAATTAGTAGAATTTATTTTAGAAACTTCGTTATTTAAGATCAGTTGCTATGCTCTATGTAGATTAGATATGTTGTTAATTATTTAAGAGAACAGAAATAATCCATAAAATGGTCATAATTAAGTAAAAAGGAGTGTTGCTTTTTACTTATACTACTCTATTTGTGGTAGTGATGAAAAGGAGGACTAAGTTTGAGATTGATAAAGGAATACAAAATATTGAAAAATGTTAATTAGGAATTCTACTGCTATCAGAGAAAAACCAACAACAATGAGAAGAAACTAGTCAATAAATACTTTTTTTTGCAATTTAGAATCTTTCTTCTATTCATCCTTTAACTTTATTTAAAAATGCACCTTCTTCTTGAAGATTAAATATATCTGTTGAAAATAAACAGTGAAAAGTTAAGAGATCACTTTCTCTGGCTTCTCTGCAGATCTGGAATCTACATCTAGGTGTCTGTATTGGCTATAAACATGCATCTCTGAGTATGTGTGTATGCATATACACACATATGCATGCATATATATATATTAGATGCTCATGTTTTCATTTACTCCTTAGACATTTTGAGGTTTCTGTTTTGTTTTGTTTTTGTTTGTTGTTTGCCTAGGCTAGCTTCGTGATACCATATCTTTCCCATTCTAAAATAGAAAATATGAGAATGAAGACATATTTTATTTCTTGTTGTCGTGCTTTGATTCTGATAAGGGAAGATGTATGCCTCTTAAAAATTATTGATAAAGCAGAAATGTATTATATATTTTAAAAAGGTATTTCTAACTGAAGCATTTTGGAGGAAGACTACAGGCTTTAGGGTGATATTTATAGATAATGTTTTTGGTAATGGAGAACTTGAGTCTGTAATACTTCTTTTCAGGGAAACATGGAAAGACTTCAATTAGATAAAGTTAAAGAGACTCACCTGTGTTTGAAATAGCCTCAGGTCAGCCATAAATAAATGGAAATCCATACTAGTTCGATGGAGTTCTAACTCGTAACTAGTTTAACATGTGCAACAGCAACTTGCCATCTGATGTGCAGCAGGAATAATAGTGTGGACTGAATTCTCAGGATAGATCATATTATCACACTGAATCAGGACAATGGCCTATCTGGGGCTGCAGGGACTGTGGATCACAAATCACTGAGGTAGCTGAATCACTAAAATAGCATCAATGTAATAAAAAAGTAGCCCGAAAAATGAATGTATAATATTATTCTGTGGAGAAAGCAGTTGTTGAAATTTACATCTAAACCACCTGATATCGCACAATCAACAATAGAAGATTTCCTCCAAAATTTTGTTTATCAGGGTCAGCCTCAGAAATTTAATAGAGTGGCTTTCAAGTGATTTAAGCTAGACGGTTCTGTTTTCCATGGCTTTTGCACAGAGAATTGAATTTATGGACTCTTCATGCAGCAGTGGCTATTACATGCAAGGTGCCAATGACTACTTGATTATCTCGGAAGGACCTCAAAGCTAGTTGGGCATTAAATAGAGGACCTCCTCAAATGAATGGGATCAGAATATTCAACACAGTTTATAAAGTGTGACAATTCTATTGTGTAAGTTTGAACAACAGCCAGTGTTGGAAAAAAAATCCATGAGAATATCCAAGAGAAAAATAGCTTGGCAGGGCTACTGACCATAACAAAATATAGGCTTCATTATTGGTAGGAGAAAAATGTTAGGAGATTACACATGGAAGCTTCTATCTTGAAAATTTGAATTACGTTCCATAGAATTTGGGACTAGTCCCCAGTAATGTGAAACTATTGTGGCATATATAATATTGGTAATGGCTGGCTCCAGATTTCATGCAGAAAAATGTCTCCATGATTCAGTTAGAAAAAAAAAGTATAGATAATATCTCAGCAACTCCAAATAGAGACCATGATGACCTTTACTTTCTATAATAGAAAGAATTGTGTATACCGTATGCAAGAACAAAGGACAGATTATTACCCTATCCTTTTCTATGGAGGAAGGCTTTTTTTAAAACAAACTTTAAATTTAGAACAGTTTTAGATTTAGAGAATTATTGTGAAAACAGTAAAAAGAATTCCATATACCCCATACCCAGTTTTTACTGTTAGGAACATCTTACATTAGTCTGATGCATTTGTTTCAATTAATGAACAATTAGTTGGTAAGAGCTAATGTTCATATTTTATTCAGATTTCCTGAGTTATTATCTAATCTTCTTCTTCTGTCCCAGGATCCCATCCAGGATACCATATGTCATTTATGTGTCATGTCCCCTTAGGCTCCTCTTGTTTATAAGTTTCTCAGACTTTCTTTATTTTTGATGACCTTGACAATTTTGTGGAACACTGGTTAGTTATTTTGTAGAATCTGTTTCAATTGGGATTTGTCTGATATTTTCTCTTCATTAGACTGGGGTGATATATTTTGGGGAGGAAGATCACAGAGGCAAAGGGCCATTCTTCTCACTTTGTATCAAGGGTACATACTATCAATATGACTTATCACTGTTAATGTTAACCTTCATCTCCTGACTTGAGGCAATGTTTGTCAGTTTTCCTCACTACAAAGAAGTTGCTTTATAGTGTGAGAACTTTAAATAAGTTCTCCTTGCATTCTATATTGTTCTCTTTGAAAGAAAGTTACTCTGATATTATGAAAAATATATTTGGTTTTCCTTCCCTTTTCCTGGCATACAATGCCCCAAATCCTTGAGCTCTCTAAACTGCTGTCTTTTGTGTGTGTTTTTTGTCTGATAGGTTCAGAGTGAGGGCTGGTCACCAGAAAGACCAAGGCGGGATTACAGGGTTGGAAATTTCAGCCCAAACCTCAACTTCTGGGGAGAGCAGAGGAGCTAAATGTCAAGTTGATCACCATTGCCAACAGTTGAATCAATCATGCCTATGTAATGAAGTGTCCATAAAAAACCAAGAGGACTGGGTTTGGGAGCTTCCTAATAGCTGAACACATGGAGATTCCTGGAGAGTGGTATGCCTAGGGAGGGCATGGGAGCTTGGTGCCTCTTCCCTTATACCTCACCCTATGCATCTCTTCATCTGTTTCCTTTGTAATATCCTTTGAGAACTGACAAAACATAAGTGTTTCCCTGAGTTCTGTGAGCTGCTCAGCAACTTAATAGAACCTAAGGAGGAGGGTCACGGGACTCTGAACTTGAAGTCAATCAGTCAGAAGTTCCAGAGGCCCAAACTTGCAACTAGTATCTTTTGGGGGAAGTTTTGGGGACTGAGCCCTCACCCTGTGGAATCTGACACTGTCTTTGGGTAGACAGTGTGGGAACTGAATTTGAGAACATCCAGCTGCTGTGTATGGGGAAAAACTCCACACATCTGATCACAGATGTCTTCTTCTGTATTGATGATTGCTGTTGTATGAGAACAGAGGAAAACACAGTTTGAAGAGTTTGTCTCTAGAGTCACAGTGTCCAGCCCATATTTAAGGAGCAGAGATTATTTTCCACCTCCTTAAAAGTAGAGTGCCTATAAGATTCTTATACACTGGAGAGTTGTCTTTTTTGTCCCATATATTTGTTTATTTACTTATAACGGATAAAATCATGGATATCTTTGACATACTGTGGGTTGTAATTCAACACCATTTTACTTATTTTGTTCTTCAAGTTATTCCAGCTTTGGCCATTGGGAGCTCTTTCAACTGGCTTTGACATACTCCACCATTGTTTTATTTTGTTTTTTGTGTGTTTGTTTTTAGCACTTACTTTCTGGCACTGAAAAATGACCCAGGCTTATCTTGTATACTTCCTTCCCAAATCTTAGCATCACTTAATTCTCTGAGGAGTCCTTGTTCCTTTTCATTGAAGAATGGTTTCAGAAACCAAGTTCTTGGTGGTAAGTGTGCTCTTACAACTGAGTTGTCAGTGCTTTCGGGCTCTCTCAGCTGACAGGGCAAGACGATGTTTGTGTGTGTATGTGTGTGTGCATATGTGTGTGTGTGCATATGTGTGTGCTTACCTATAAATATATCCATATGTAACCATCTGCATTAGTTTAAATTAAATATTAGATGTATTTACATGAGAGGTTACCTTTTGCATCCAGGACTATATGATGATGTTCAAAAACTGCATATTTTTATGTCCTTTCTGGAGCTCTTTGATAAATCTATTTTATATAATGTTGCTTTGGTCTCTAATTTTGTTAAAAACTAAAATAAAAATATTTTCTACCTGAACTCTCACTACTTTCAGTTTAAGTAAACTGTTCAGTTTTTACCTACTAGAATCCAGGGATTGAGGAAATACTTTTCAAAATATGATGGCCTGAGACCTCTGAGGTCTGTTCCTCTAGTAGGGGCAGTTGTTGGAAAATCAGTTTATACTTTCCCAGCCCTTAGGATACTGGTGTTTTCTTCCAGGAATTAGATTTTTCTTTTTTTATCGTAGCTTTGCAGAGTTCTTAAAGACCTGTGGCTTTCCAACCTCCCAGCATATTAAGTCACCTGGGTAACTTAAAAGAAAAAAAACAGTACTGATATGACCCACTGATCTCAAACCAAATACAGTTTGTGTAGGATGAGAGGCTAGAATTATGTTTCTGAAAAACTCCCTGAGTGATTATATTATACAACCAGAATTGCCGATAGCATTGTTATATATGACCTTCAGCCTCTTTTGTTCCTGAGATTACATGAATTTCTTATTTTAATTAATATGATCTGCCTGTATTTTATTATGAATATGGGCAATACATGCAAAATAATCACAGCTCTAAAAGTTATCTAGTACCTGAACAATTAGATTAAAGAGAGTTTGCTTTATTTGCTATAGACCCTTTTATCTTGGCACCATATAAACCCAATTTTAGAAAATAGGCCTTGTAACCATTTGAGAAAATGAAATTGTAAAACTGTTGTTCCAAGACTCAAAGTCAAGTCATTGTGGGTGATTGGAAATTCTTCCTATATTGGCAAATTACATACTCTTTGTACCTACTTCGAGATAGCAAGATTCAGCTCTTAAAAAAAAATCAGGAAAAGACTGTTTCTCCACCTTCTAAGTAGAATAGTATCAAAGCAAAGAAACAACATGGGTTGTTCTTGAAGGTCTTCAGGGAAAATTTTAGATCACTTTAATAATATATTCAGGTATTAAATATGGCCCCAGGTCAGAAACCATTGTAATCTAATGACTGAAAGCATTAAACTAAAAGCCTCTTTAGATCTTAGTTCTGAGACTCTGTAAAAGCGTTTTTGATACAGAGAAGTCATAACACATCCATATGTTTTGGTTTCTCCATATGTAAAAACAGAATAACTGCTGCTTCTTCATCAGATGCTGAATGGATCCACAAGGCAATTGCTGCCCCAAAGACCACTAGGGTGACTACATAGTAGAAAGAGAACTTTATTGGTGATATTAGTTTGCAAGCCAGGAAGAGACAGTCTCCAGCATGGGGTGAAGGTGCTCTCTCTTCAAAAAGGGGAAGGACGGGTTGGGTTTTGTGCCTCCTCAGGCTGGTATCAAACATATTCAGCAGGTTTGGGAGGAAAGCTATACATATATGAGGAGAGCCGAATGCGTGTAATTGGGTAAACAAGTATGTAACATACATCCTATGTTCATTCTGGGGAAGGTTTTAGTGTTAAAATAAGGTGGAATTTGCGTCTTTATGTCAAAAGGTGAACTACAGGATACAAAGAAAATGTGTGTGCAGCCTCTATAAGCTGGCTGAAACTGGCCTAAGATCTGCAGTAGTTTATTAGAAAAGACTTTTTTGTAAGGTTGCTGCTCTGTACAATCAGAGTTGTAGCTGATACCTCCTATTGTCGGGAGTTTAGCCCTCAAAATTTAGAAATTTGCCATTCCAGCCAGGCCCTAAACCCTTGACTCATAACTTTGTTTCCTTCTTTTGGGCCCATCTTAGTTGATAGAGGGGTCTCTTTTGGTCTCTCAGATCACACAATCTGTTAGAACAGCTTGTCCCCAACCTTTTAAGCATTAGGGACCAGTTTCGTGGAAGAAAATTTTTTCCATAATTTTACCATAATGTAGAATCAGTGGGAGCCCTGAGCTTGTTTTCCTTCAGCTAGATGGTCCCTTCTTGGGGTGACAGGACACAGTGAAAGATAATCAGACATTAGATTCTCATAAGAAGCATGCAACCTGGATCCCTCACACGCACAGTTCCCAATATGGTTTGCACTTCTATGAGAATCGTATGCTGCTGCTAATCTGGCAGTAGGCAGAGCTCAGGTGAGTGACGGAGAGCAGCTGTAAATACAGATGAAGCTTTACTTGCTCACCTGCCGCTCACCTTCTGCCGTATGGCTCGGTTCCTAACAGGCCATGGACAGATACCAGTCAGTGGTCCGAGGGGTTGCAGACTTCGTATTAGAAGACACTTCAGACTGTACAGTAATAAGGCCCTCTACAATGTATCACAATGGCAAATTGTTCTTGCTTTTTATTTAATCCAAATATCTTTTATTATTTAAGGATATTTCCTCCTGGACAGTGGCCTGAAGAATTTGTTTGCCACAGCTTATTTGCCATAAGATCCTTCCCAATAGTTTGGCCCAGTGTTTTCCCTTCTGATTGCAGCCATCATTTGTCTGTGGAATCTGACTCTAGAACTCTCTTTCTGCACTTTCATGCATGTTGTGAACCTCTAAATGAACCCAGACTGTTCATGAAGGCCAACAGGGCCTACTATGAACAGCTTTTAACAGCTGATTTATGCTGTTAAAAGAGTGACTTCATCTTAGTTTTATCAGTTTTTGCTCTCCCAGCTCTCAAATTCCATGATTCTAATGGTACATGTGAAAATTCTGAGTGGGTTTAGTTTCCTCATTATAAAGATCTCTGACCCTATCACATGCTAAATAAAGGTAAGTTGGATAAAATCATATTAAGAACCTTTATTTGAGGGTTTGATTAGGAGGTACAGTACTCCCTCACATATCTGTAATTTCTTTTCAGTTATCCATGGTCAACTGCTATCCCAAACTATTAAATAGAAAATTACAGAAAAGAAAACTTCATAAGTTTTAAATTTCATACCATTCTGAGTGGCATGACGAAATCTCATGCTGCTCTGTTCTGTCCCCTGGGATGTGAATTACCCCTTTGTCTAACTTATGCACACTGTGTATGCTCCCTGCCTCTTAGTCATCAACATTCTCTGCTCCTTATATCCAACTATTGACGACGATGTGGCTTTATGATCCAGGATAGCCCAAAGCAAATGACCCTCCTTCTCACATACTGTCAGAAGATCAGTGGTAGTCTAAAGCTATGTCACATTGTCTATGTCTGTCACCTCACTTCACATCAACATGTAGGCATTTTTTCATTCGCATCATCACAAGAAGAAAAAGAATGAGCACAATAGAATAAGATATTTTGAGAGAGAGATAACATTCACATAACTTTTGTTACAGTATATTGTTATAATTATTCTATTTTATTATGAATTATTGTTGTTCATCTTTATCTGTGCCAAATTTACAAATTAAACTTTACCATAGATTTGTATGTATAGGAAAAAAACATAGTATGTATAGGGTTCAGTACTAGCTGTGGTTACATGTATATACTAGGGATCTTGGAACATGCCCCCATGGATAAGGGGAAAGTTCTGTATTTAATTGGAGAGTTTTCTCTATGAGTTCGACTGAAGGGCTTCACTTAGTGGAGAATGAAGTAAGGTGACAGTGTATGGAAAGTGCTGCTGAGCTTCAAAAACAAGCCTCTTTTTTTGAGCACATTATTTTTACAGTTTCTTCCAAGGTAGTTCTTAACTCAGAACATTTGAAAGCTATTCCTCTGTAGGAGAAGACAGTGACACACAAATGGAACTCAATACTTGCAGTAGCACACACAGCTCAAGAGAATGTTTAATGTAGGGCAGAAAAAGTAGCTCTGACTTTTACCATTGTCTTTCTGTACCAATCATCTACACATCTGACAGATTAGGACGGCGGTGTGTGCAAAAGTAGTTTCAACAGACATGATTCTAAAGGCAGGATTGGACTATAATTTTTATGCCACTAAAATAACCTGTAAAACACATTGAACAATCAATCATGCCATAAATTGTACATTTGCAAATATTCCTGGATACTTGGAATCTCCCAAGCTAGAGGAAATTTTAACACCAGAGGTAACTGGCCAATCTTGCAGAAGGAGAAAAATTTGATTAAGAAACACTAAAAAGGGATTTGGAAGATATGGACATCTGAACACGGGTGCAATATGGGGAAAGAATCTCAGCATTCCCAGTCTGAAAGGAAACTAAAGACGATCTTTCTTTTAAGTTGAACAATAGGTTTATTTTTAGAGAGTAACTATAAAACAAACTGTAACTGTGCTTTCATTTAGTACTTTTGAAAGTGTTAAGCTGGTGTCAGGTACTTTTAATATACCACTTCTTGCTTTAAGTAGGTCCTATCTATGTCCCCCAAAATTCACCTGGCTTTTTCACCTACATCTTCCACCTATACCCACTCCCCACTATATCAGGCTTTTGATAATACACAGAAATGGACTCACCTAACCCATTTTCTTGGAGACAAATCAGAATGTGAAACTCCAATCAAAAGAGGATTTGAGATCCCTTGGCAACCTCATCCCTGTGTTTAGCTAGACTTGGGTCACAATTTGGAGTTTGGTTTTGACTTACAACCCTCAGCAGTGTGAGGAAACAAAGACATAGTTTTCACGGACTCTCTCTGCTTTACTGTGTTGCAGACTGACTTTAAGCTTCAGCCTACGAGCAACACAGACTTAGGTTTTATCCAACCTCTGCTAGGAACCACCTTTCTAACTGCGGATGAGCCACGTGATCATTAAGAATATTACCCCCAGAGGATTAGCCTTAGGAAATTTATAAACTCAGGTAATATGTATACCTCGTAGAAGGGAGACACTCAGTAAACAGTAATTATGTGATGATAGTATTCACAGATTATGTATATTATCCAAAGTTGCCAAGAATGCAGCTCTGCAAATAAATCACTTGGTACCTAATGTCATATTGGCAAATAATTAACTTCTTGGTTTTAATCTTTGACTCTTTTGCCACCTGCTCTCTGGGTCCTCTCCATGGCTGAACTTCCCTTCTCAACTCTATCAATCTAGGCTTTCTCTGTTTCCTAGTTCCAGGTTACAGTGATGTACCATGAAAGAAAACACTTTCAAACCTAGAAAGATACTCTGAGGTAAGAAAACTTTTAAACACTGTAAAAGATCATCATTCTGGTTTATTAAGGTTATGGTACTTTGTCTAGCTGGCTAGCATTCATTCATCACTCTTACCCCTATAGCTAATGCAGCCATGATACTCAGCTTATTCTTCCTACCAAATTTGCCTTAATCCCATTTACTTTTTCCTTCCCATCTACCTCCACAGAAGGCCATCATCTTGCAGTACTGCAATTCTTTGTGAACCATTCTCCCAGCTTTCATTCCAGCTACCTCCCTCCCGTCATTCCTCCCAGATCACTTCAAGATGCTCTCCTTGCTTTCAGGATACAACAAAGTCCTGCTGCAGCCTTCATGTCTTTCATGGCCTGACTTCTGACCACAGGCTCATCCTCTGCTCCTCTTCCTTTCAGTCTAGGCACCCCAGTCCCAGTGTTTTATCTTGGTTCTTTCTGCAATGTCTTTAGGATGGATTTTTTTTTTTTTTTTTTTCTGAAATGCCCACTCTTCTCCTCCTCCTCCTCCATCATTAGAGTTAATTTCAGTTCATCTTTTGGAATTTAGCTCAAATAGTATTTCCTCAAGGAGTGTGTCCCCAACTTTCCTGACCTCCCCAAAGCAGCCAGGTCTGCAGTTCATGATAGGTACCTAGTGTACTCTTGTCTTGTTGCAGCACTCATTACTACTGCCATTTAATAGTCAATTTTGCAATTAGCAGCTTAATAACTGTCTCTGCTGCTGGGATGTAGCTTCAAGAGAGCAAGAACTGTTTAACTTTCTTTTCACCATCTACATTTGTAAAACTGTTATAATAGAAGCTTCTGCTATGTAGAAAAAATAGATGACGCAGGAAAAGTGATTGGTATGGGTTAATTGTACCCAGTAACAGCATGCACCAAAATAATATTACTATAGCTAGTGTGTTGTATGGTGGAGGAGGGAGTAGGCTGTATGAATGAGAGAGCAGGTTTCTACTCATTGATTGTCTAGAAATGCGTTATCAAGAGGTGAACTCACAGACGGAAAGGCTGGAGCTGCCTTGACAAACTGAGATGAGCTTAATTCTAGAACAAAGCAGGAGTCCATGCATGGAATTGAGCTACAACATTAGAAAGAAACTTACATGGTGAGTTATTGCCACAATATTGAAGTGAAAGAATTTTAAAACCTCAAGTCTGAGGTTTGAATGTCAGACCCATGGAACTGTCAGCAGACCTGAGCCCTGTACTGGGTAAGACGTGGACTTACCGAAGGAAAAGGGTGACCACCAAGAGAAGATAAATAAGCTGAATTATTTAAATTCATCATTAAATAAGTTGAAGTTCTGGTACTGCAAAGTGCAGGAATCCTCAGTCCTTAGTAGTCTTGGGAGAAAGAATTTGGCCAAGAGGCCAACTGGCCTAAAAAGATAATTTATTGAAGAAAAATAGAGGGCAGAGAGTTTATTTAGAGAGAGAGTACACTCTGAATAATGAGGTAGACTGGGATGCTGAAAGAGAATGAGCCAGCAGCAATCCCAAGAGTACTGCATTGGGTTTTCATGATGTTGGATTTTTTCTTGAAGTTCCTGCCTCTGTCTTTGCTTTTTTTTTTTTTTTTTTTTTTTTTTTTGAGACAGAGTCTCGCTCTGTCACCTAGGCTGGAGTGCAGTGGTGTGATCTCGGCTCATTGCAACGTCTGCCTCCCAGGTTCAAGCGATTCTCCTGCCTCAGCCTCCTGAGTAGCTGGGATTACAGGTGCGCACCATCACGCCCAGCTAATTTTTGTATTTTTAGTAGAGACGGAGTTTCACCATGTTGGTCAGGCTGGTCTTGATCTCCCAACCTTGTGATCCATCTGCCTCAGCCTCCCAAAGTGCTAGGATTACAGGCATGAGCCACTGCACCCGGCCTCTGCTTTTTCATCTTTATTTTCTCACTGCAGCCTTAAGTCCCCACTTTTGCCCCTGTCTAGTTCCCCCCTGCCTAGTTCCTGCCCAGAGTTGTGGGATTTTCCCTTACTATTAATTGATGAGCATGCATGGGCCCAGTGTTGGATACAAATTCTACCTAATGGCAGCATTGCTTATTACCGACACCCCAGAAAGGGTGTATAACAATCAAATCTATACTTATTACACCTGTGTATCAGTCTAGACATGCATATTCCTGGTGGTCTCTGGGGTGTGAGATTTTCCAGACCTCCCTTTTCTCAGGGTCTCTCCTCCTGCTCATGTCTTGCCATCTACCTACTCTAATAGTTCTATGCTAAAAATTTATTTTAAAGTCAGGTACTGTGGAAGGATTATTTGAAGAGGTCTACTCTTTTCACAAGGAAGCTTCGGTGTTGTCATTCTCTTCATTGATGGTAAACTGCCTACAGAGAAAGCTTTTTGTGTTATATCAACTATTGGCCAAGATTAATGCCACATGAAAACTGCAAAAGAGAAAGCCACTAAAGAGAAGTTATTCTTAGTGATTGGGACCCTCTGGCCTTAAGAAAAGGCAAATTCTATCAGATTAAGAGAATCCAGACAAGTGTACTTCAGCTACTAAAATTTCTCTCCTGTTAAAGTCATTGAAGAATTTAAAAATAGTCAGCAGCAGTGGAGTAAAAAGCTGTAAATATTTTGAGACTCTAAATGTTTCTGAAGATCCCCAGTCTTTCTTTAAATGCAGACAAAGGTGAAATAAATTTAGTTTTTTTAATACCACTTCTGTATTTGGTCCTGCAATCCACATTTACTCTAAATTTTTGTTTTGTTTTATTTTAATCTTAAAGTAGTCTGAAAGTAGTAGTATATTATTTCTAATTTGTTATGACTAATAATAAATGTACTTGGCATTTGAGAGCAAGTTTATCCATCTTCAAAAGCTGTGTTCTGATTTTTTTCTCCCAAAGGTAATAAAAAAAACTTCTAAAGTTTCTTCCAATTCTAAAATTCTAAAAATATATTTAAATTGTAGCATTAAGAATCTTCCTTCTGGCAAAACTTCAACATGTTTAAATGCAATTCTGTACATATTCCTTCCTGCACCTGAAAAACTGAAAGTGGTTTGAGAAAAAACATAAAAATGCTGACAGGACTCATTTTAAATTCATTATTACAAACCTCAAAGGGGCTTTACTCCTTCCAGGCAATCCTACTCTATACTTCTCTGGTAAATTCACTCTGTCATTCAACTCTTATTGGCTCTTCTTTCCTCAAAGCTCTATAACCTTGTCTTTCTTCTAACTCTAAGTTACTAACCATGCCATTCATGAATAGAAAAATTGGAAAACTTCTAGATGTGTATAATTACATGTTGACCAACTCAGCTGTTATCTGTACATTTGTTTTCTCTGTATTATGTTATAATGAATTGACTTACTGCCACAATCTAATGACACCAAGCTCAATCTGCACATTGCATTCTAATATCTCATTAATTTTTGGATATTCCTCCTTAAATAGTTTCTTCTCTCTCAGTTATTATCAATTTTTTTCATATCTACTGGAACATTGCAAGGACTATGTGTATGTGTATATGATAGAGGTAGGAGGCAGAGAAATTCTAGGCAGACAGAGGCAGGTCCCTGTCTTGAAACTCCACCTTCAAGCCAAAAAGCCTGAAACCCATGGCCCAAAGTGAAAACTTCTATTCCTGTTTGCCCACTCTCTCCCAATTGGTTCTTTCTGAATAATGTATTTTTACCAGCCAAATATTGCCTTTTCCAAAACTACCTACTGCTCACCCTGCCCCAATCCTGTGCCTATAAAGACCCCAGACTCAGCCAGTAGAGAGAGAAAGACCCCTGGAATTTGGGGAAGGGATAGCTTGACTTCAGAGAAAAGATGGGTGGACTTCGGGGAGAAAATGGCCTGACTTTGGGGAAGACTACCTGCCCTCCCAATCCCCTCTCCAGCTCCCCTCTCCACTGAGAACCATATCCAGTAAAGTTCTCTGCTTCACCATCCTTCAAGTGTCCATGCAACCTCATACTTTTTGAACACCAAACTAGAGCTCGGGAATCATTGAGTGTAGATACCCAAAAAGGCTGTCATACCAGCTATTTGTCCTCGCCAATGGAGGGCAGCTGCCCCATGTAATGAGGCAAGGGGCCAACTGAGCTGTTAGCACACAGTCATCCATGAACAGCAGAGCTAAGAGAACACTGTAACACTCCCTCTGGGGCTTTGGGGTCACAGGCACCTCCACCTGGGTGCAGTTGTGGGCCCCACATGGAGCTTGCTCCTGCGTCAATGCCCAGAGTGGCTGGCTGGGTACTGCACTCACTCAGGTTCTCACTCCTTCAAGAGGTTGAGTGCGGTGGGCCAAGTAAACATTCACCCCTGTCATGAGTCTGACAAAGAGGATGAGAAAAATCCTGCATCATCTGGGGGCTTGTCTGGGATTCCTCAAATGGGTGAGTAAATGCAGATCTGACTCTTCATGTTTTCTGCAAGACTTCTTGTCCTCAGACTTTCCTCTGAAGGCTGATGAAGCACCAAACCTCTGAGGGGCCAGGTAAGGGCAAATGGCACAACTGTAGAGGACAGGATGTGACCCTGCCACCTCTCTCTTTTTCAGGTGAAAGGGCTGTTTGCTTTGTTTCCCTTCACAGAGATCTAGCCATTGTGTGGAACTGGAAAAAGGTCCTGGGCAACCAAAGGCCTCTTTCTGAGGCCACTCTTCAGTGTTGCTAGAAGGCCTGTAGACTGGCCCTGTCCTCAACCCCCGATAAGGGTGTCAGCCAAGACCCCCAGAATTTTTAATGGTATTTTTCCTTCCTTCTTTCATGGTTTGAAATGGCTTCTATTTCTTTTTCTTTTTTTTTAATAATATTAATGGTGTGACTGCAAACTGCAGAAACATTACTGGGTAGAATGAACATTTGGCCCCGCCATCAGACATGCAGTTCAGAACAATGTGATTTCTGTCTGTTCTTACAGATGCATTACCCAACCCCATCCCAGCAGCTGCAGGTGCACAGTGGACAGATGGGTACATATCAGCTCTCTGCTCCTCCCTCCCCTCTCAGCTGGAATGTGTGGCCAAGGCTGCTGTGTGCACACACTGTGCCCAGTGACCACCTGGAGTGGGAGTGAGCCACGGCCACAGCTTGGGCCCCAGGGCTGTCTCTGAGGCCAGGGGCCCTGCACAGCCATCTGGCCAGCATTTCCTACCCACTTCCCCCTCCTGCCACATGACTGTGGGCCTTTCCTCTCCTGGCCAAGGGGTCCATCTCAATCTGAATCAAAATAAGGGAACACCAATTAAGAGTCTCTCCCTATTGAAAGAATCCATTTGCATAGAGAAAGAAGTGTTTTTCCCCCCAGGCACTGTCCCTGCCCTGCACTTAGGCTTTCTTTTTTCTTTTCTCCACCACATGAGGAGTTAACACAGCCCTGCAAATGCAGGGAGCTTTTCTATGCAAGAGGTTTTTTTCCTACCTTAGCACTCTGCTTATGATAGGGAAGCAACAGAGGAGAGACCTCGCCAGCTGCTGGCTGCAAATTTGGTGAGGGCTGTCTGGGACTTCACTTAAATAAATATGTGAACTTTCCTGAGACACATTTTTGCCTCAAACTCAATTTCAACCTTCAGGCTAAAGCCCTAGTAAGGGAAACTGGATCTGAGGGATCCAGAGGCACAGGACAATGGAAGTCAATGGACACAGCACAGGTGAGCATGACTAATTATTGCTGATTAAGCCCCCATTTCATGGATAGAGGTCATGCTAGTATCCATGGCATAAATGAGGTCTAGGGAACGCAAAGGCTACTGACAATAGGGAGGACAGATGGCATAGGTAAATGCCATTATATCCTTCATCTAGGACCCCTGACGCAGGGGGCGTGCAGGTCACCCTCACATTCATCTGTTTACGTGGCATCTGTCTAGGTCACCAGGACTTGGGGATAAAAAGACAGGAGAAAAAATAAGAATGCCCTTTTTTCTCTCCCTTAGACACCCCAGGTTCTCACTGAAAGAGAGAAAAGAACTAAGGGGCATCTAATTCCCTCTCTCGTAGATGGATAATCAATTATCTTCAGTCTACACTTCTCTGGAGTGTATCCTGAACCACTGGGACTGCTTTGACCCTCAGATTCTGGAGAAAAAATACCTCATAGCACTTTGTACAAAATTTTGGTCATATTATGATTTCCAGGAAGGACTTGGCCTCAGGAAGGTAACATTCATTTAAATGCCATCCTGCAGCTGGATCTTTTCTGTAAATGCAAGGGTGAATGATCTGAGGCCCCATATGTGCTGGCTTTCTTTACCTTGAAGGATAATTCAGACCTTTGCCAACATTGTAGGATTGATCCAGCCCTCCTGTTGGCCATCTCAGAAGAAGCTGCCAGGGGCAATCCCAGGAAACTAAAGAAGCAACCCCTAGAGGCACCTACAACAGGGGAGCCAGCTCTTTCCAGCCCTGCTCCTCTGGGTCCACCCTGTCCTCCCTATTCAGTTTCTCTCTTCCACTTGTCCCCTCCTAGAAACCCTCACTCTAGACAATCCCCAGTCTCACTCCTGCCCCTACAAAAGATGCCTAGTGAATATGGCCCCAGTAAGGTCCAAGTCACCTTCTCTCTCCAGGACTTAAGGCAAATTAAGGGGGATCTTGGCAAAAGTTCCAATGACACTGACAGATATGTATAGGCTTTCCAGACCTTAGCCCAAGTATTTGAACTCTCCTGGAAAGACATTATGTTACTTTTGAAACACACCCTAACACTGAGAAGCAGGATGCTCTGCAAGTGGAAGAGAGATTTGGGGATGAGCTTTGTATCTCATGTAGTATCAGGGAAGGAGATGAGTTTTATTCAGTTGGAAGAGAAGCAGTGCCATTGAACAACCCCAAATGGGATCCCAGTGATAAAATGGGAGAATGGAAGAGAAATACTTTCAGGTGTGCATACTGGAGGGCTTATGTAGGACTAGCACTAAGCCTCTCAACTACTTCAAACTATCCATGATAAATCAGGGATTTGATGAGAATTCCACTGCCTTCCTAGAAAAGCTAAGAGGGGCCTTGGTAAAACACACCTCTATTTCCTTATTAAGTTAAGGGACAACTAATCTTATCAGATAAATTTATTACTCAGGCAGCCTTTGATATCAGGAGGAAACTGCCATAAGACAAGATAGTACTTTAGAGAACCTTCTGAAAGTGGCCACTTTGGTCTTTTACAATAGAGATACGGAGGAGGGCCAGTGGAGAGAGAGGAGAGACAAGAAAATGGTGGAGGCTTTAATGGCTGCATTTCAGGCCCGCCAAATCCAGAATCCCTGGGATGCACCTGGTAACTGCTATCAATGTGACAAGCCAGGGCATTTTAGGAAGGACTGTCCCAATAGCATGAGGAAGCCACCTTGACCCTGTTCAATCTGCAATGGGGACCATCAGAGGGTGGACTGTCCCCAGAGATGCAGATCACCAGGTCCAGAGACAATCTCCCAAATGGTTCAGCAGAACTGATGGGTCCCAGGGCTCCTTTCCCTGACTCCGCTGGTGCAGACCACCATTACCATACAGGAGCCCCAGGTGATTCTGGAAATCAAAGGAAGAAAGGTGGACCTCTTCCGGGACACTGGAGTGGGCCTTTCAGTTCTCCTCTTCAACCAGGATCCCACTCCTATCTTAGCATGACCATAAGGGGCATCTCAGGAAAGCCTTTAACCTGATATTTTTTCCAACCCCTTAGTTATAGTTGGTGAGACCTCTTGTTCACCCATGCCTTTCTAATTATGCCAGAAAGCCCAATTCCCCTGCTGGGCAGGGATATTCTAGCCTGTCTGGAGACCACCATCCTGATGGTCCCAGAACACACTCTGTCTCCTTCCAATGGAGATGGATAGCAACCCAGAAGTTTGGGCAATTCAAGGGAAAATTGACCTAGCCGCAACCACCATACCAGTCTGGATCCACCTTAAGGATTCCACCTCCTTCCTTAACTAGAGACAATATCCCCTGAAACCAGAAATTAGAAAATGACTAGAAGCCATTATTGATAACTTGAAGATGCAGGGCTTCCTCAAACCCTGCAATAGCCCTTGTAGTACCCCGATATTGGTGGTACGAAAACCCAATGGGAAATGGAGACTGGTCCAAGACATCTGTCTCGTTAATGAGGCTGTGCTTCAAATTCATTCAATGGTTCCTATTCTTTATACCCTGCTAACTCAAATACTTGAGGAAATTAAATGGTTCACAATTCTGGACCTAAAGGTTGCATTTTTCTGCATGCCATTACACCTGACTCCCAATATTTGTTTGCATTTGAGGATCCCTCCAACCAGACCACCCAACTAACCTGGACAGTGTTACCTCAGGGATTCTGAGACAGCCCCCACCTGTTTGGGCAGGCATTGTCCAAAGACCTCTCTCCCTGAGTTCCTTTATCCTCAGGTTAAAGTTTTACAATACGTAGATGACATTCTCCTCTGTTCCCCAACTAAGGAAATCTCTCAGGGGGGCAGAAAGGCTCTTAATTTTCTGGCTGACAGAAGATACAAAATTTCAAAATCTAAAGCTCAGCTCTGTTAGACTTCAGTGATGTACCTAGGTCTGATCTTGTCAGAGGGAACCAGGGCATTAAGCAAAGAAACGATTAAGCCCATCTCCTCCTTTTCCTTCCCCAAAACCCTCAAGCAGCTGAGGGGATTGTTGGGCATTACAGGATTCTGCAGACTACAGATACCTGGGTTTGCTGAAATAGCTTGTCCCTTATATCACCTAATAAAGGAGACTCAGGCAGCTAAATCTCAGTCCCTAATTTGGGAACCAGAGGCTTAAAGGCCTTTGACCAACTAAAACAAGCCTTGCTTAAGGCACCAGTCTTTAGTTTTCCCACAGGGAAGATGTTTAATCTTTGTATATCAGAAAGGTAGGGAACAGCCCTGGGAGTTCTAACCCAGGCCCGAGGTCCAGCCCTGCAGCCTGTAGACTAAGTAAGAAGCTTGATTACTAGCTAAAGGATGACTGGTGTGCCTCGGGGAAGTTGCAGCAGTAGCCTTGCTGGTACCAGAGGCTACTAAGTTAACGACGGAAAAAAAACTTAATCATTTATACCCCACATAATGTGGCAGGACTGCTATTTCTAAGGCGAGTGTCTTGCTAATGACAACCACCTCCTCAGGTATCAAGCTCTGCTATTAGAGGAATCTGAAGTCCAACTAAGAACCTGTCTCTCCCAAAATCCAGCCACCTTCCTCCCAGAGGAAGCTAGGGAGCTTGAACATGACTGTGAACAGATAGTAGTGCAAACTTCTGCAGCCAGAGAGGACCTCAAGGAAACCCACTTAGAAAACCCAGATTGGATTCTCTTTACTGACAGAAGTTCTTTTGTAGAGCAAGGGATCCATAAAGCAGGGTATGCAATAGTTACCCTGAATGGCTTTGTTGAGAGTGCATCTCTCTCCTTGGGCACAAGTGCTCAATTAGCTGAGCTAATTGCCCTCATGAGGGTGCTCAAATTAAGCAAAGGAAAAGCAGTTAACATTTATACTAACTCTAAGTATGCTTTCCTAGTCCCTCATGCCCATGCCACTACCTGGAAAGAGAGGAACTTCCTCACAGCTAACAGGTTTCCCATTAAACACCGTCAGGAAATTAACAGATTATTATCCTCAGTTTTCCTCCCATGGGAAGTGGCAGTCATACATTTTAAAGGCCACAAAAAGAGGATGGATGAAAAAGCTGAAGGAAATAGGTTGGCAGACCAAGTAGCTAATTCGGCAGTGAGAAGTCCTAGATTTCTGATCCACTTGAAGCCCCTCTAATCTAGGAAGACGCCATAAGAGAAATAATGGAGAAACAATATTCTCTTGTGGAACTAGAATGGGCCACCTCTTGGGGATACATCTTTCAGTCCACAGGATGGCTACAACTGGAGGATGGCAAGCTTCATCTACCAGCTGCCAGCCAATGGAAAGTTTCTTAAAATCCTTTACCAGGCCTTCCACTTAGGTAAAAATAAAACCTATCAATTGACCCAGAGGTTATTCTCAGGTAAAAAATCTGCTACAAATGGATGAAGAGGTCATTAATGCTTGGAAGACTTGCCTTAAAAATAATCCCCTCAGTTGATGGCTTCTTCCTCCTGGGACTCAAAGAACAAGAAGCTACCCAGGGGAAGACTGGCAAATGGATTTTGCCCATATGTCAAAGGCAAGGGGCATCCAATTCCTCCTACTATGGATAGATACCTTCAATTACTGGGTAAACACATTTCCATGTCAGACAGAGAAAGCCTCTGAGGTGATAAAATTACCAATTCATGAAATAATTCCTCACTTTGGACTCCCTAAGTACCTCCGGAGCAATAATGGCGCTTTGTTCTAGGAGACAGTCACCCAGGGGGTCTCAAAGGCATTAGGCATGCGATACCACCTTCATTGCGTTTGGAGACCACAGTCCTTGAGAAAGGTAGAAAAGATGAATGATGTTATCAAAGGGCAACTCAGGAAACTGTTTCAGAAGACTAACCTTCCCTGGAGTACCTTTCTTCCCATAGCCTTACTACGTATTAGAAACACCCCTTCAAAGCTGGGTTTGGGTTTCTTCAAAATGATGTATGGATGGCCTTTTCTCATCAAGGATTTCTTGCTAGACCAAGAAATCTCTGATCTGATTAAACATGTAATTTCTTTGGCCTGTTTCCAACAGGAACTGAAACAACTGTTGGAGCCCCTATCCTGTGAACTAGGGCCACCTCTATTCAAGCGAGGGGACCTGGTACTGGTAAAGGTACTTCCTTCCCTTTCTCCCTCTATAGGACCAGATTGGGAGGGACGTTACAATGCATTTCTTTCTACTACGCCAGTAAAAGTCACTGAAATAGAACATTTTGGATTCATTATACCCAAGTAAAGGCCTGGGAAGCTGACAGAGATACCTCTGTCAACCCAGAAGAGCACTCAAAGTACCATTGTGAAGAAATCTGGAACCTCAAGCTAAAAATCAAAAAAGATAAGTGCTAATAATTTACCTTCCATAGATATCCTCTTTATAGTCTTGCCTATGCTTGTTGTTCTTACCTTCATTCTGTTCTTCACCATGGGGCAAATCTTTACCAAAGACCCCTTACTCCTGAACACCCATGGGAATATCTCTTCCCGTAAACAGTTATATCTGTTCTAAAATTTAACTGCTCCCATACAAGATTTAATTTCTTTCACCCGAGTGAAACAACCTGGGACACAATATTGTTTTCAGAATGATTAGTATATGTCACTTCTTATTTCTGTAATCTTTGGCACTAGATTCTTTCATTTTTAACTCTTCTTTTTATAATAAACATATTTGATCCATGCATACTTAACCTGGTAAAACTTGTTTCTTCTTGCCTGGCGGCCATGAAACTTGTAGCAATTAGGCAACTGGAGCATCAGACAATAGCTCCCTTTTACTGGGAACCTCAGGTAGGCCTCTGAGAGAAATTTGACCGCCATTTTCTCTAAAACAATGCCCTCTGCCAGCAGAAAGTAGCTAAGATCAGTCATCGACTGTATTCTAATGGTAGTTAGATGTGCCTCTTCAGAGGAGGAAATGACAGAAGCAGAAGGCAGAGAAATTCTAGGCAAACAGGGGTAGGTTCCTGGTGAAACCACACCTTCAAGCTGAAAAGCCTGAAACCCATGGCCCAAAGTGAGAGCTTCTATTCCTGTTTGCCCACTCACTCCCAATTGGTTCTTTCTGAATAATATCTTTCTGCCAATCAAATGTTGCCTTTTCCAAAACTACCTACAGCCCACCCCACCAAGCCCCAACTCTGTGCCAATAAAGACCAAATACCCAGTCAGTAGAGAGAGAGAGAGAGAGAGAGAGAGAGAGAGAGAGAGAGAGAGAGAGAGACAGCCAAACATTAGGGAAGAAAGATGGCTTGACTTTGTGGAAGAGACAGCCAGACTTTGGGGAGAAGAAAAGAAGACAGCTTGACTTTGGGGAAGACTACCTGCCCTTCATGTCCCCTCTCCAGCTCCTCTCTCTGCTGAGAACCATTTTCACTACTCAATGATGTCCTCCGCCTTTACCATCCTTCCAGTGTCTGTGTGACCTCATTCTTCTAGGACAACAGACAAGAGCTCGGGACCCACCAAGTGCAGGTACTCAAAAAGGCTGTTACACCAGCTGTTTGCCCTCACTGGCAGAGGGCAGGTGCCCCACACGATGAGGCAGGGGCCAACTGAGCTGTTAACACACAGCTGTTCACAAACAGAGGAGCTAAGAGAGTACTATAACACTCCCTCTGGGGCTTTGGGGTCACAGGCTCACCCACCTAGGTCCCACCATCAGCTCCACATGGGCCTTGCTGGCTGGATCCTGCACTCGTTCACTCGTGCTTGCTCTGCCTATGGGCCCCACATGGAGTTTGCTCATCCCAGTGCTTGGGGCAGCCAGCCAGGTCTTGCACTTGTTCACTCACATGCTGCCTCCCACAAAGGGTTAAGCGCAGTAGGCTGAGTAAATGTTCACTCCTGTTGTGAGTTCCACAAAGTGGCCAAAACAAATCCTGCATCATGTATATGGATACACAACTGTGTAAACACACACATGTATGTAAGTATGTCTTAGTTATTAAGGCTGCCATAAAAGAATACCATAGACTGGGTGGATTGTAAATAACAAAAATTTATTTTTCATAGTTTTGAAAGCTGAGAAGTGCAAGATCAAGGTGCCTGCAGATTCAGTGTCTGGTGAGGTCCTGTTTCCTGGCTCATAGATAGCTATCTTCTTGCTTTGTTCTCACGTGGCAGAATGGGTGAAGGAGCTAGGTAGAGTCCCTTACTAGGGCACTAATCCTATTCATGAGAAGGCTCTGCCTTCACGACCTAATTACCTCCCAAAATCTCTTCCCCAAATACCATCACATAGGGGATTAGTTTTCAACATGTAAATTTTGAGGGGACACATTCAGTCTATAGCAATATCTATTTCTCTATATTAGTGCTAGTTATGTTCTTGAAAGTCACTGGGAACACTGTGTTAGAAAATATGCAACCCCTGATCCTGGAGGAAATGGAGGAAATATAAGGTTAGATTCCTGAGAACCTCAGGCCACAATGTTTGATCTTATGTGTGTTTCTGTTTAAAGACACCATATTTAATATCTATTTTTTTAAAAGTAATTAATTGCATGATTTTGAATGATTGAAAATTAGAAGATTTGAAAGCCATTTGCAATATATGGGTTCATTTGGCAATATTCTTGCCTCATCAGCTTTGAAAACCTGCTCTTCCACATAATCCTTTGTGACACTTAGCAAGTATTTTAAAAATTCTTCCATCCCTGGACTTCAGAATTTGTCTCCCCTTCAAGTTTAACATGTTCATGCCAGATATCCTTTTGAAATGTGAGGGGCAACCAGCCCTAGCTGGGATAGGTTTAAATTTTTCTGACCCTGGATAATGTGACTGTAAATTTCTCTGGCTTTTACATAACAATGTGACTCACAGTCTTTTTTTCTTTTATCCGTCATTATCTCATGAATGTACAAATTTATCTATTTTTCTATTTTCTCCATAGCTTTCTTCATACACTATAGATATTACTTTAGGACTTTCCAGAGCAGCCTCACATATAGATCAGTGAATTCCCTCTTCCTTTTTGTAGATGTACTGTATTATTTTTGATTCATCAACATTAAATGCAGGGCCAATAGCACTATGACTAATGCCTGAATGATGCTTGTCTAATACTCACATTTTCTCTGCAAGACTTATAAAAGCTTTTGTGCTTTGAAACACTAGACAGCAACATTTCAGTACCACACTTGGGGATCATTTTAAATCGTGAAAATCAACAACAAAGAACACAAAAATGTAAAAAAATGAAACTAAATAAATTGTGAAAAGAACACTTATTTACAATACAAAAGCTGAAACGAGAAGGCAGAGCATTGGCATTACCTCATTTGACTTCAACTAGGAATGTGCACACCCAGTGATTCAAATTTTTTTACTGCACTGTTCGTGGCCATCAATGACTGGAAAAACACCACAGATATTGATTTCGTGGTTACACATAAATTTCAGCAAGTAAGTTACAAATACACAATTCATGAATAATAAGTGTTAACTACATGTGTATATATATGTGTATATGTACTTATATATGTATACGTGTGTGTGCATATATATGAGTTACAATTATATGTTATAATTAAAACCACAAATACATTAGGTATATGTGCCGTAATCAAAAATAACAAAAATGAAATATTTTGACTCTGCTTCACATGCAATTAACTGCCCTGTATCTCCCCTCACTGAAACCTTACATAGTCTAATTGGTTCCATTAAAATTCATTCTATTGTTTCTTGAACTGCAACATTAAAACTCCACTGTCAAGTTCATCAATAGCCTACACATCAAAAAATCCTATAGTCAATATGTAGTCCTCCTTTTATTCAACCAAGCTACATCATTTGACATAGTTGACCATGTCCCCCTTCTTAAAACTGTTCAGTGGGTCTTCTGGATACCTCTTTCTTTTTCTGAGACTTTTTCTTCTAGATCGGTGATTTTCAATGTGATGTGTGCATACTAATTGGGATACACAAAGACTTTTCAAGGAATAAAGTGGGAAATAGTTTTAATACTTTCTCCATTGTGTTCTTCCCTGATACAAATTCGTGCCGGTTCTCCTTATTTGGTTACCCTTCTCACAATTTACAAAAGAAACATACACCTTCGCCACCCCTGAACTCAGGATGGCACACTTCCCTAAAAACGCTAGGGAGCCATACAGATGTTAATGTTGGTACTGAGGAAATCGAAGACTAAAATGATAAAGTAACTAATAGTTTTGCAAATCATGACTTTGCTAGTTTTTAAAATCTTTGTTTTCAACAAAATTAAACAAAAGCTTAATGAGTTGTTCTTGGTAAAATCTTATGAGAATTAGGAACTATCTACTACCAAACACAGGTTGGACATTAAGCATCAAAATTACCTACTTGGCCCCTGCCCCCTACACACACACACACACACACAAACACACACACACACACACACCTCTTACAGTCTACATTAATATAACTATACTATTCCAATGTTACAAGATATAAAGTTATACAAATTTATAACATCACTATTCCAGGAGAGAATGGAATAGTAACACAAAGAAATGAGACCCCATTTCTTTTATGTCATTTCTTGCCATCTCCTGTAGTCACCCTGCCTTCCTTTGTTTCTGTACCAATCAACTTGTCATCTTTGTCCTTCCTTTCCTTATGTCTAGAATGCAATTTTCCCAGCTAGTCAAACAATGTCAGTCTCTCAAGTCATTATAGGTCACCACTCTGACGACTCTACATATTAGCACTTTTATGTAGCGTTCCTCATTGTGCCACGGTTTATCCCTTACCTGCCATATTGTATCTTTATAACATGTACAATTGTCTGTCACATATATATTTATTTGCTTCCATTTTTAAAAATCTTGTTTCACTTTACATAAAAACGTAAGCTCTTTGAAATCAGGACATTTTTCTGTTTTGTTTACTGCGGAATCCTCAGAACTTGGAAGAGGGGAGAACACATAGTGGGTACTCAGTAAATATTTGATTAATGCATAAATGAATATCTTTTTAGCAAAAGCCAAATAAGTAAGGAAATTGATTTTACTCAGACTATTGCAATAGGGAGATCTGAGAATCAGTCTCAGAAGGATGGTTTTGCCTTAAAACTTTTACAGAGAAGTAGGCAAGTTAAAGGTGAAGGATTTACAATTGGGACTGTTATTGCAATCGGAAACCTCAGTCAGTTAGCTGAACAGAAAATGTTTGTTCTTATGTCTAGCAAGCGATGAACAAAGTTTTAATCTCGCCTAGTCCTTCATGAGACAAAAGACTGGAAGTCGAAGGGGCTGCATCAGTCCTTTTAGGCAAAAGGTGAAAAGTCTATTTTGGTCTTGGCACATATAAACAAGGGAGCCAGCTTCCAGTTTTATGGGAGTCGGTAGAAAGGGTAGAGCAAATCTTACCTAAGCCATATAGGGAAGGAAGGGTCTTTGGAGAAAGCCTTTTCTGAATACACAAAAGGGTGGAGAATTTTTTAACCATCAGTTTTTAGGGCTCAGATGAAATTCAGCATCATCACTAACATTATTTTAGCTTCTCTTAAAAATGTTTCTGATAAGATAATCCGATATTTAGACATTCCAGGAACTTTTTTTTGTTTTGCTTTTCACCAGTAAAGTTACTCTGTATTAGGCGCCGACATGGAGCATACAATATTTTACACTTCTTTGAGGTTTGATACTTTACCTTATTTAGAATACCTCCATATGCCAGGAAAAAATTTGCTTGCTGGTATTTGTATGACATAAACCTCAAGAATACTATGAAAGATAGGAAGTAGGGCTCAAGGAGATTGTATAACTTCCCTAAGGTAATAGAATATGTAAATACTGGATCAAATCAAATCATTCATATTTATAGTAAAATAAATCTTATTACTTCTAGCTTATAAAACAGTTGTCTTTGGGAACACAAGCAATAACATGACACTAATTTTTGGCATATGGTATAATAATACAATTCCTCTTTTGTATACATGTTAAAAATTGCTGTCATATTTTATTGTATGTACTATATTCTAATTGACCAAGTATCAGCATTGTGAGCTTGCCATATTTGTCAATATAATTTTTTCTTCCTGTTTTCCCCAACATTCAACTACTTGTGTCTTTTAGACATTAAAACGTATTTGGAGTTTTGCAGTAGGTGAATTTGAATATTTATGGTGCTCAGTGTCATTCCACACATCCAATAAACAGCAGCCAAATATATCACTGTAGACATCCAACGGAGATTTGGTTCTTTCTTAATCAAGGAGCATATAAGTAAAATGAGAACTAATTGCTCTGGTGAATGACTTGTATTGCTCATAATTTGAAGCATTTCTCATACTGACATTTATTCAAAATACAGCAACTTATAGAATAGCTATGACAATATGCAAATCATATAGTGGGAATAAAACTGACATGATCCCAAATTACAATTGCATGGAAAGGAAGTATATTAGTGATGCTTGGATATCATTCTTAAGACATTTATTACCTGCCCCCTAGAAAAAAAAGAAGAAGAAGAAGAAAAAAAAAAAAAGAAAGAAAGAGGGAAACAAACAAACCAGTCTTCTTCCCACTTGGGTTTGGCCCGCTACTCATTTATTGAGCATCAGGTCAGCCATTACCTCCAACTTTTCCTTTGGAGACTTACAATGTTTTAGGTGCTTACAATTTGCTTGTAAGTCTGTCTCCACCTACTACACATTTGAGTTTCCTGAATGTGGGCCCCATGCATTACATTTTCCTGTATCACCTCTGAGTATTTGAATGAATACATATATACCTTGGAGATATTGCAGGTTTGATTCTGGATCACCACAATACAGTAAATATTGCAAAAAACCAAGTCATGCAAATTAATTGGTTTCTCAGTACATATAAAAGTGATGTTTACACTATACTGTAGTTCATTACGTATGCAATAGTATTATGTCTAAAAATCAATGTACCTACTTTAAAAAATATTGCCAAAAAGTGCTAGCAATCATCTGAGTTTTCTGTGAGTTTTAATCTTTTTGCTGGTGGATGGTATTGCATCAATGTTGATGGCTGCTGACTGATCAAGGTGGTAGTTGTTTAAGGTTGAGGTTGCTGTGTCAATTTCTTAAAATAAGACAACAATGTTTGCAGTATCCATTGAAGCCTGATGTAGATTTTTCTATAGTTCTGAAAGTCCTAGATGGCATCTTTTTAAATGATCTTGGCTAGATCTTCTAGACAGCTTCTGCAGTTTCTCTATCAATACTTGCTGTTCATCTTACACCTTTATATTATGGATATGGATTCTTTTCTTAAACCTACTGAATGTGAAAGGAAAATAAATCTTGGAGCCCCCAAATCACTAAGCTAAAGAAAAAAACCAAGCTGAAAACTGCTCAGGGCAAATCTGCCTCCTATTCTATTCAAAATCATCTCTCTGCTCATGGAGATAGATGCATATCTGATTGCCTCCTTTGGAAAGGCTAATCAGAAACTCAAAAGAATGTAACCATTTCTCTCTTATCTACTTATGACCTGGAAACTTTCCCCACTTGTCTTGCCTTTCTGGACCAAACCAATGTTCATCTTACATGTATTGATTGATATCTCATGTCTCCCTAAAATGTATAAAACCAGGCTGTGCTTAGACCACTTTGGGCACACATCATCAGGATCTGCTGAGGCTGTGTTACAGGTGTGCATGCTTAATTTTGGCAAAATAAGCTTCCTAAATTGACTGACATCTGTCTCAGATATTTGGGGTTCACACGAACAATCTCTGTTAACTTCAAATTTTCTTCTGCAGCTTGCTTACTGCTCTCAGTCTTCATAAAATTAAAGAGAGTTAGGGTCCTGGATTAGGCTTTGGCTTAGGGGAATGTTGTGACTGGTTTGACCTTCTATCCAGACCACAAAACTTTCTCTGTATCAGCCATCAGGCTGTTTTGTTCTCTTATCACTCATGTGTTCTCTAGAGTATCACTTTGCATTTTCTTCAAGAACTTTTCTTTTGCATTTGCAACTTGGCCAACTGTTTGGCACAGGAGGCCTAACTTTCTGTCTGTCTTGGCTTTCAACATGCCTTCACTAAGCTTAATCATTTCTAGCTTTTGATTTAAATTGAGAGACATGTGACCCTCCTTTTCACTTAAACACTTAGAGCCCATTGTTGAATTGTTACCCGGCCTAATTTCAATATGGTTGTGTCTCAGGGAACAGGGAAGCCCCAGGGTAGGGAGAGAGCTGGGAAATGGCTGACTGTTGGAGCAGTCAGAACACATGCAATATTGGTTAAGTTCAACAATTCATATGGGTGCGGTTTGTGGTGTCTCTAAACAATTATAGTAATGTCAAAAATTTCTGAACACAGATCACCATAACAGATATAATAATAATGAAAACGTTTGAAATTTTGTGAGAAATTTTTAAATGGGACATAGACACAAAGTGAACACATGCTGTTGGAAAAATAGTGCTGATGGACTTATTCAATGCAGCTGCCACAAACCTTCAATTTGTAAAAAACATAGTATCTTAATAAAGTGAAGTACAATAAAACAAGTATGCCTACAAATGAATGAAATGTAATAAAGTAGTTTGTTTACAGTTTGTTTCGAAGATTACAGTTATTCTTTATCACTTTTAGCAATATTTTGAAGCTTTTAAGATAAACCTTAATTCATTTTTTTATCTATTGATTTAAAAATACTTAATGAAAAATTACTGTAAGTAAGTACTCTGGTATGTGCTAATGTAAGTGATCAATAAAATGTGCTTGATCTATATTTTCTGTATTTTATGATATATAAAGGAGGATTGCTACTAAACAAGTTATCAGAAGAACACACATAAATATATAAATGTAGCAACATGAAGACAGGCCGATATTTAGTTTAATTATCAGAGTTAAATAACTATAAAATAAATAATATTTATTTTAAATATAAACAAAATACATTCCTAAAATATCATTTAGCACTCAGTAAGCATTTGATATATGTTTGTTAAGTAAATATAATAAAAATTGAAATAAAATTGTAAAATGACTACAATTAAATTAGGAATATAATTTTAAATTTTTTGGACAGAAAGACTGTATAACACAAAAAGAGAAACAGATGAATGCTTTTATATTAATTCTATATATATCAACATGCCATTATTCCGAGTAAAACCTTTAAGATCTTATGCTAAAGATTTTTATTTCTTATACTGAAAACTCTCTTTTTTCACTTAAGCTTTGAAGGTTTTTTAAATGAATGCTTATTTATATATAGCAGTTAATTTGTCTGAAATATTTTATTTAAGTAATTTTGACCATTTTTTTCTAAAAGACAGAAGTGAAATATATAGTGCTCAAATAAAACAAAAGTGAAAATATAGTGCTCAAAACATAAAAGAAATTCAGTAAATGTTTACATAATGACCTTGTTATTCCATTTAAATGTGCATTTCTGTAATCTGTTACATACCACTTTGCTTAAAATAAGAACTTTCAATCTTATATGTTTGGAGAAATTCTTTACTTTTGTAATACTATCTTTCAGATTGTGATAATGCTATTTTAATGATAATCCTTAGTAATGACAATAATTCCAAGAGAATGTACTTGGCATTGTAAACACTTTTGAAACTATATTGCACTTCATGTGAGTTTCTCTTTTTATTCCTCTGAAAGAACATTAAATGGACAGAATGGTTCTGTGACAGCAGAATTGTATTCCTCCACTGCTCTGATAATAACATGCTCAGTTTATATAATATTAAAGAATCAACGTTATTCATATTTAAGCTTTCTTCCTCAGGGACTTCTATTTTTAATTCTAATGAAATTCCAATCATCTTATGTAGTCACATTTTAAGATGTTCATCACTGTCCAAATATTGCTTCTCATGTATGTATGTTTATAGTAATTAGTCTGATTTACTTAAATGCGGTGTAAGATAACAAACATATGCAAATAAAGTCTAGAAGGAATAGAATTAAAATGAGTGTTCATGATTCAGAATGGCCTTTTCAGGGACAGCTTCAAGCAAATTGGAAAGCACAGGGAATAAACCTATATTTTATCATATGTTTTATGGTGCCCATTCTTCTTCCCAAAGGTGTAATATAGTTTCTTACTTTCACCATTATTTGTAGCCAGATCAAGGCTCATGGCTCTTTTAACTCTGCCCCCAAATGAATGAACTCACATCTTTCTCAGCTTAAGAATTTCTGAAACTAAAAAATCTAGTTGATTCCAGTAACACGGTTCCACCCACATTAGTACACAAGGAATTTTTTTTAAGTGTAATCAAATCTACTAAGGTATAATTTACATCAATAAAAGTTACAGCTTAATGTGTACACTTCAATGGGTTTTGACAAACGCATTAAGCCACATAATCCCCACAACAGTCATGACGTAGAACATATTCGTGACACTCAGAAAGTTCCCTCGTTCTCCTTTACCATCAGAACTCTTCCCATGGTCCCCAGAACCCAACAGCCACGAGTCTGCTTTCTCTCACTGTAACTTTCACTTTTCTAGAATTGTGCATATAATGTACACAGAATAATAAAATTCTTTATGTAAATTAAATAACAGTATATAATTATTGTTTTTCATTTTAATTCACTTAGCATGATGCTTTTGAGATTCGTAAATGGTGTTGTACGTATGAGTAATTTCTTCCTTCTTATTGAGTTGTATAGATATATTTAATTGTATGGATATACCAAAATTTATTTATCTGTTCATTGGGTAATAACATTTGGGTTGTTTCCTGGGTTGGGGTATTTTGATTAAAGGTGCTATGAATATTCAAGTAAAGTCTTCGTGTGTAAATATTTTTCATTTTTTTTGGATAAATATGTAGCAGTAGGATTTTGGGGATTAAAGTATGTATGAATCTAACTTTATAGGAAATTGCTAAATTGTTTTCCATTATTCATTCCCAGTAGCTGTGAATGAGAGTTTCTGTTCCTCCACGTTCTCATTACCACTTTACCTTGTCAATACTTTCAATTTTAGCTATTCTGCAGTTGTGTAGTGTTGTCTCATTGTGTTTTAAATTTGCATTACCTAAAGACCAATGATGTTGAATGGTCTGAACCCAAAGCAGAAATATTATACAAACCATTAGAAAATGACCAAATATCCTTCTATCTTGGATAATATGAGTGACTGTTACTTCTTTACCAATTACATCTTTAGCCTCACTCTAGTCACATTGTTATAAATATGGTTTATTAAGATATCCACTCATAAACTTCTCCCCTACTTCTTCACAGCATCGTATCCAGAGCAAAGTCCTTCCCCAAAACATCTAACACAAAGACCAAACTGTAAATTAAATCTGTTCTTATAGCCCACTTACTAAGATGTCACAAGTTGTGTGTTCTCTCTCAAGACCATAAACCCAACTTGTTTATCTACAGACGTTTAATGTCATTGAGAGTTAAGAAGACTATCCCTTTCATACTGAATACCTTGGCACTTGCGTTGAAAATCAAATGGCTATATATGTGTTATTCTATGCTGGACTCTGTATTCTTTTTATTTCTCTATATGTCCATCCTTATGTGAATGTCACATTATATTAATTATTGAAGCTTTATAATTAGTTTTGGAGTCAACTAGTATAAGTTTTCCATCTTTGTTCCTTTTCAAAATGTTTTTGGCTTTTTTAGGTTATTTACCTTTCCATATATTTATTTGAGACTTTGCTTGAGAATTTCTGTTAAAAAAAAAAAAAAAAGCATTGCTTGGGATCATATTGATATTAGAGATCAGTTTGGAAAAAAAATCATATCTTAAAAATATTGGCTGGGCATGGTGGCTCACATCTGTACTCCCAGCACTTTGGGAGGCTGCAATGGGCAGATCACTTGAGGTCAGGAGTTCAAGACCAGCCTGGCCAACATGGTGAAACCCCGTTTCCACTAAAAACATACAAAAATTAGGCGGGTGGTGGTGGTGCGTGTCTGTAGTCCCAGTTACTTGGGAGGCTGAGGTGAGAGACTCTCTTGAACCTAGGAGGCAGAGGTTGCAGTGAGCCGAGATTGCACTGTAGCCTTGGCGACTGAGAGAGACTCCGTCTCAAAAAAAAGGCCTGGCGCAGTGGCTCAGGCCTGTAATCACAGCACTTTGGGAGGGTGAGGCAGGTGGATCAACTGAGGTCAGGAGTTCAAGACAAGCCTGGCTAACATGGTGAAACCCCATCTCTACTAAAAATACAAAAAATAGCCGGGGGTAGTGGCAGATGCCTGTAATCTCAGCTACTAGGGAGGCTGAGGCAGGAGAATTGCTGGAATCCAGGAGGCGGAGGTTGCAGTGAGCCAAGAGCACACCACTGCACTCCAGCCTGGGTGACAGAGGGAGACTCTGTCTCATTTAAAAAAAAAAAATTGAATTATTTAATTTGTGGATAGGATATTTCTCACTAAGTCTTTAATTTTTCTCATTGGTGTTTGTAGTTTTAGGTAGACAGGTATTACTTATATTACTTTTTAATTCATCGTTAAATATTTATATGTTTAGGTTCAGTATATTTAAGAGGTCTTTCTTTTAAATCAATTCCTAAGTATTTCATGTATTTTTGATAGTTTTTATAGAGAATTTAAAAAATTTTTAATTTTCAGTTATTTATTGTAAGAATATAGTAATATGAGGACTTTTTAAATACTAACAATTACCTAACTCATTTATAACTGCTAGTAACATTTTTTGTAGATTTCTTAGGATTTACTGTATAGATGATTTTGTTATCTATAAATAATAACACAATTATAAGATTTTTAGTAATATCCCCCATTTCTTTCCTATTTTTGGTTTCTATTTTTTCTTTGTTATTCTGGCTAGAATTTTATTATTTCTATTGATCTTTTAAAAAAATCACCCTTTGGTTTCATTGATTTTCTCTATTGTTTTCAGTATTTTATTTCATTTATATCTGGTCATGCCTTTATTTTATTTTTATACTTATTTCTAGATTAGTGCTATAAAATTCTGAGCACTGATATAGCTGCATACCACATTATTTCATGTTTTATAGTTTCATTTTAATTCAATTTAAAATATTTTCTAAATTCTTATGTGGACCAAAACCTATTGATCATACCTAGATTCTTTTTTATTTTTTTCCCTTACTGAAGCAAGAACAGGACTTTTAAATAACACTTATCAGGGACAATTTGTGATGGCTAAGAGCTCATGTTATCTGTGTCAGGGGCATGAGGCTGGAAGAAGGGAAGGAGGCTGACCGGGGAACCTTTTTGTTTTTTTTCAGTTTCTCACTAAAGGACTGGTTGTCACCTTCTCCATATGCATCTCCTAATTCTGGAAAGTGCCTCACACAGGAGTTCTTTCTTTCTGCCCCTTCACATGCTGCTGCAGCTCTGCCTTCAGTTCACAGTGCCCTCAGCCATTCCTGTGCTCCGAACCCTACCCCTCTTGGGACTAGGTAGTATATTGACTTGGGTGCCTATATCCCAGCAAACTATAAAAGTTTGTTTTCCTCCACCCCATGAACTTCTCTATAATATTAGGCTTTTGCCTTAAAAAATCATAGGTTTGAGTAAAGGTGGAGGAAGAGATCAAGAAGCACAGAGAGAGAGAGAGAGGGAGAGGGAGAGAGAGAGAGAGAGAGAGAGAGAGAGAGAGAGAGAGAGAGAGAGAGAGAGAAAACAAACAGACTCTGCCAGTAGCCAAAGCTTTGCATTCCCTGTAAGTTTTTCATAGCTGCCCTCTTGGACTCAATAGACTGACTGCTAATGTTTTCATTTTAGTCAGTGCTCTATGTCCTTATTCCTGACACCATTCATTTCAGATCTGGAGACCCCTAGACTCAGTGGCCTCAGCCATATTGCCTTTCGCCTTTGTCACTTGCGTCCCTGTGAAGAGACCACCAAACAGGCTTTGTGTGAGCAACAAGGCTGTTTATTTCACCTGGGTGCAGGCCGGCTGAGTCTGAAAAGAGAGTCAGCGAAAGGAGATGGGGTGGGGCCACTTTATAGGATTTGGGTAGGTAGTGGAAAATTACAGTCAAAGGGGATGTTCTCTGGCTGGCAGGGGCCGGGGTTACAAGGTGCTCAATGGGGGAGCTTCTGAGCCAGGAGAAGGAATTTCACAAGGTAATGTCATCACTTAAGACAGGAACTGGCCATTTTCACTTCTTTTGTGATTCTTCACTTGCTTCAGGCCATCTGGATCTATACGTGTAGGTCACAGGGGATATGATGGCTTAGCTTGCTGCACAAATTCCATGATAATTCCTTTCCTATTTGTACCCAGAAAATAATGAACAAAAATCAAAGCACCATTTGGACAACTTGTTTCAATTTTATCTCTTGCTGTTTATTCTTTAAACATTCATTCACAGGTAAAGCAGGGGGGACCCTTAATCCTTCATGCCTTACCCACAACTTAGAAAGAACATTTTCTACCAGATGCCAGGGAGTCTTCTCACATCCCCTAACCTGGCCTGTTTCCAGAAAGTGAAAGTACCCCAACCCCTTTGCCATAATTGTTAAAAAAAAAAAAACAGTGCAGATTTTAGCCTATAGCAAACTAACAAACTAGACTATTACCGTTTCATGGATGCTGGCAGACAACATGAGACTTTTGGGTCAAAGACGAAAGGCTTTATTCCCCATGGCACAGGAGGTAGCATAGGCTTTATGTTCTTGGTGGTTTTCTGTGCTTTCTAAGTACAACAAGGAAAATGAACCTGGGTCTAGGTATCCACCCCCCATACGCAGTGGGCTTCATTGTAGGAGAGGAACATTCAGTGTAGAGAATCTGCCATTTGACAGAGTCCTGTAAACAACTCCACTCCATGTCGCTTACTGCATATGTAACCTTGAGAAATGGTCCTGACAAGAGTAATTAGAACCTTTCTTCCTTGGCATATCCAGTAAGAACATGCTAGAACACTCAGGACCTATGCCAAATTGCCTCTCCCAACATTATCTTGCTCTTATTTTCCTACAGCTTTTTGAATCTAATGATGTGTAAAATAGCTATTTTAATATCTGTATGTGCTAGGTCTAAAATCCTGTTCTTTCTGGGTGTGTGTCTATTATTAATTTTCCTCTTGATCATTAATTATAATTGCCTACATCTTTGCATGTCTGGTAATTTTTTTTATTGGAAGACTCATACTGTGAATTGACATTATTGAGTGTTGTATTCTGATTTTTTCCTTGATATGGTGCGTTTTGTACTGATGTGCAATTATGAGTTTTTGAATCAATTAACTTATTTGAGTCTTGCCTTTCTCTTTGTTAGATCATGTTTGTGTATATAGAAATTATTCTACCTACTCCTTTATGAGGGTTTAGTCTTCAGCTTCAGGAAATTTTTTCTCACATATGCTCAAATCATTGTTAAGAGAAGGACTCCAGAGTACTGCTCTGCAGATCTCTCAAGTTCTTTCTCTGTGTATCTATCTTCCCCCTGGTACACTGTCTCACAATATTAGCTAAGTATTGTCCTCCTACTATCTCCAAAACTCAGATCTCTGTCTCTCTTCTAGGATATGTTTGGATTTTCCCTTCCTGAGGCATAAGCTAGAAACTGGCTCCAGACACTAAGTAGGTTCAAGTTTGTCTTATCTTGCAAACTTGTTTCCTTTTTTGTCTGTGTTCACAGTTCTGTGCTCCCTATTGTTTAATGTTTGAATACTGTTGTTTAATATCATTTGTTTATTTTTCTAGGAGGAGGATAAGCAAGAGAGTAACTAAATTCAGTCCTTGTGGTTCCTTTTATCCTCAAACTGAATTACCCCCTGCAGTTTTAATTACTCTGTGGGATTTAACGTTTTCAATACACAACTTCCTATGTCCAGTCCTTTCCTAACATTTTTGCTGGAGAATATAAGTCAAGAAGAAGCAATTAAGCTGCTTTATGACCGGCATGGATCAGTTGAGACTTTGAAGGACTTAGCTTACCTGTTTGTAAGTAGCTTCCTAACACAACACCAGCTCAAGGTGTAGAAAATTACACATTTTTGTAACAAATATTATTTAATACCTACAATATCCCAAGAGACATTTGTAGTATTAACTATTAATATTTCATTTAAACATGAAATAGATTTTAAAAAATCTTTGAAAACATAGCAACTGTGTTGTCTTACTATGACTAAGAATATGGGGATTGATGTGACATACTATTATTCATTTTATCTAGACCTTCTAGATCAAATTATATTCAGAAATTCAGTAACTAGTATGGTGTATGTGTTGAGGAGTAAGGAGACATAATTTTGCAGATTATTATTGCCTTGAAAAGTCCTCAGATAGCTTTCCAAATAGATAACTTCATGTTTACAGAAAAAAGTGTTTTTTTCATGGTCAATCACATATACTTGAACAATACATATGCCCACACACAAAATAATGAACAATAATCATAATTCTAATTATAAATAAGGAATTGCAATAATCTAAAGATCATCCGCTCTAATAATGGGAGGATCAAGAGAGAAGAGGATAAAGGAAGAAGTGGAGAAATATTATTTTTGGTAAGTCTGTGTCAGCCAGGGTTCAAGTAAGAGAAGCTGATTCTGGCTAACTTCAGCAAGCCAACAGTGATGTTCAAAGACAAAAGACAAAGACCAAACTCCAGGTCTTGTTATCTTCTTTCTAGAAGTGGGACACAGGAAACAATGAATAATGTCTTCAGGCCAGCAGTGTTGATATAAATTAGCTTCAAACATTTTCACACTTGGTGTCTCTTTGCTCAAGATTCAAATCTCAGAGAAAAATATTTCTTTGGTCCATTGGCCCATCCTGGGCCAAGGATAAATATGAATGAGAACTACACATTGACTGCAAGCCACATGCCCGATTCCAACAATGGCCAATTAGCTTTCCCCTCAATGCAAATGAATACCATGCAGACTAAACTAATGCATGTCCATTACAGGCTTAAATATGTGTCAATATGTTAGGTTTCATTGTCTTCTCTTTGTGTGTTATTTTTGTTTTACCTCTTTCATTTATCTATTGCTCTGAGATTAGGTATATATGAGTGATATTCAGTGGCAAACAAGAGTCAATATAAATAACATAAAACATAAATCTCTTTTGCTACAAATAAATAGATGAGACTTGTGAGTGCAAAAATGATCCAAGACATTAAGGGAAATGCAGAGAAATGTTGCTTTAGTTCAACATACTTTTATAGAATTAATCTCGTTCATTTGGTGGGTACCATGACAGATGAGAAGATGAGAGTATTTCACCACTGTTGAGGCCGTAAAGAAACTGGTTTTCCTTTGCTTCTCCACATCTTTAAAATTCATTAAAAATATAGGTTGATTAGACCTGGTAAATATTCCCTGAAAAGTGGTCACAGGAGACTGAGTTAACCTATGTTATATAAGTCCACTGAATCTTAGCAGACTAGGCTTCAGATTTGTTGCCCAGCATGGAGAAGTCACATCCAAGACAGAGCTTAGAAGAAATTGTGAGGAATTTTGTTTGTTGTGCTGGAAAGGCGTACAATGGTGTCCCCATCAGTGTTCTCTTCTATGATACTTGCTCATGGGTTTCCAATACATGAACTCTAAAATTTCCTTTACCATTTCCTTCAACATATATTTTTAAATTTTAGTGGTTTTGCTCTACCCAATGCCCCGCAGCTTCCTAAATTATTTTCCAAGTTGGGGACTAACTTCCTAAAGAGTCACTTTATCTTCAGGCGGTGAAGTCACTACCACACAGATTTGAAGTGGTGCTGGAAGACAGCATCTTAAAATAAAAAGATGATGGGTTTTAAACTAGTCTCTTAGTATTTTTGTGATTTTTTTTAAACATGTT
Source organism: Homo sapiens (assembly GCF_000001405.40). NCBI lineage: Eukaryota > Metazoa > Chordata > Mammalia > Primates > Hominidae > Homo > Homo sapiens. The sequence goes on along the minus strand of NC_000018.10, from coordinate 30,609,180 downwards.
TCATAATCATTTCCAACATTTCCAAAGAACTGACATATAGTGTGGACTCAAAAGTTTTGGTTTTCCTTTCTTACAATAGAGACAATAAAGTTCTTTTTGTGAGGTTCCAAAAGGCCAAACATGAGGGTTCAGAGTTATTAGTCACAAATTCAAATATTGCTGTATCTTTTTTTCTTCCTTTCTTCACAATAGAATTGACAAAATCCCAAACCTTGACGGTCCATAGTTGGATTTTTTTGGTAATTAAATTCAGCTCAGTTATATAGCATCCTGGCATTTGAGAGTTGCAAGGATTTTTTTGAATTAGAACAGTCAAAGTTTAACTTATAAGCTTTGTGATTTGGGACAAGCTACTTTGTATCTGCAGGCTTTAGTTTTCTCCTTTTAAAATAGATTATTAATACCTTACTCATGGGGAATAAAAGGCATCATATATATAAAGTGCCTAGCCTACTGCTAATCCCATAGTATTATCTAAATAAGTAGTAGCTGCTTATTGTCTTAACATCAATCCAGTTTATATTTCCAACCACTAAACTATAAGATTAATAAGAATCATAAATCATTTTTGCTTCACATTCCCCTTCTAATGTTTACTTCAATCTGTGGAAGACATGTAAAACAAATATATTAAGTAGATAAGTATATAAATATCCTCCTACATTTCTATTTTCTAGCTGAAGAATTTTTCCCTTCCTTTTTTCACTCCAGTTGTTTGTTTTGTTAGTATTAATGAGACTCCCGAATCCCATTATATACTTACCTGCACTGCTATGCCCCTATGCCCCTGTGGGATCTCGACTCTTTTAGAACAGATTGTTAAACGTCATCCACAATGTCATCTAATACTCCTTCCACTCCTTTACCTTAGCTGAAACCTAACTTCTCCCATGACACACATTTCTTAAACCTTTTTCATTAAGATAAGTCTACCAGAGAAAAATAATTGAAGGCCCATGTGAGCCCCAGTGTTAATCCATCAGGCAGTGATATGTTGGCCTAGGATATTGTATTTACCACATTTCCACCCAGGAAAAGTAATATATGTATTTGTAAGATCCTCCTGCATAAGCCATGTGGGCATGCCAGATCTATGGTTCCAAGACTCGCACTTCCAATACCCTCTCTTTATAGCACATACAAATGTTATTTATAAGAAATGTTCAATTTATTATCCTGAAATAAAATTCATAGATAACATAATGTAAGTAAACACAACATTTCCAAGAAATTATATATACTTATTTGCAATATAAAGGCAAAAAGTAATTAAAAACATTGTATTTTAATGTGATTGCTTGGGCATAATTAAACAAGAAGAAATAATAAAACAGCTTGATACTGGAATCAACTTATAACTAATAAATGTTGGTATAAGAAAAGTTTTTAAAAAATCAGAAGCCATCTGTATAAAAAGGACATGAAAATACAGAATAAAACTTAATGTTGGAATAAGTAAAAATAAGCCAGATTTTGCTTATCTTTTGTTTATGTGTTTGAGAAGAGAAATATGGAAATTAATTGGCATAGGAATAATATGCCAAGACAAACTAGACTGTTGAAGTGGAGGAAATGAGGAAGAAGATATTCTCATAAACTGTACCTTAGATGTAAGTTAATGTCAAAATAATTTCGTGTTATGACATAGAATGAAGTAGTAACAAGGTATCACAGAAGACAAATTATATCTGAAAATTTGTATTTGTTAAGAAGCAGATTTAGTTGCTACAACAAAGAGCTTAAACTTTAGTGACTGAAGCACAATAGATTTTACTTCTCATTGTATATTCTAGAGATGACAGCAAAAGGCAAATCAGATGGCTTCACCAATCCCAGGATGTGGCTTGCAAGGTAGTAGTGGTGTCACCATTTCCTAGCTCCTAGCAAGAGGGAAGAGAAGTCCAGGATAAGGAATTCTGTGATTGAGGAGCTGATTCAGAAGTTACAGACATTACCTCTTCCTTATGTAATTGACCCAGACTTCATCACATGACCATACCTAAATAGAGAAGAGACTGGGAATTTGACCATGTAACTGGATAAAATATCCATGGGTCTATTACTCAAAGAAGCATCAGTCTCTGACACAAAATCTCACCTTCTCCATTGAGGCAAACTGAATATTTCTATCACTTAAAAAAAACTTAGACATTAAGTAAAACTAAATGGAAGGGTAAGGGGTGAAAAAGACAATACCACAAAATTCCTTACAGTGTGTAAGGTAGATCTGGGAGAGTATAATATAGGACTGAAAAAAACAACAAAATACATCTAACAAACAAATAATTTGATGTATAATTTTCAAATATTTGTAATTGGATATGAAACATTGTTTAAATCACCTTTACTAAGGAAGTTCAATGATATCTCTGAATTTCATGTCTCTGTTAATTTAATAGAATTTGGTTCTTTTACTGTTAAAAAACAAAAAACCCTCAAATTTCTTTCTTATATATTTTCAGTTGATTTTGCCTTTCAATAATTGTACTACTGCACAAAGACATCTGCTTTAATCAAAATACATAGTTGAAAATGCTATCATAATAAATTGAGTTTCTTTCCAAGGAGTGGGTATGTAAGTTTTAATTGGGTCCAAAACCTATCATAACTAGATGTATTAAATCATATTTTGGCTTCAAAATCATTTTTTAATTAACTCCTCTTCAATTATTGGATAACATGTTTCACATCCATTTCAAATGGATTAATCATCCAATCTAGGATTGCATGTTCATACAGTTTTTAAATTTAATCATTATATCTCTTTAAGTAGCACACAAATGAGAGCAATATAGTTCCATTTCTGTATGCCTGAGCTTATCCTTATTTAGCTGCTACAAATATGGAAACAAAGTTCTTGGCAAGCAAAGATTTTTAAATAGTATAAAATTGTTGATACATTTCTTGATACTGCCATTGCTTTCTTTATCTCATAGGAAGGGCCTCATTTATCTCTTCAAATACATATTTGAAGATATGTCACATCATTTCACAACATTTTAATTTTGGTATTCAACTTGTGTTTGATTAAAACAATTCTACAATAAAATCAATTAGTGAACAAAGTTGTTTTAGGATCATTTTAGAATCAGTTGTTCATTTCTTCTTTATTATCTCTTCACAGTTTATGAAATTTATTATTCAGTGGATTGCATTAATTATATGAATATCACTGATAACAACAATTTTTGGTTTATGAAGTCTTTAAGTATAATTCTGAGTGGTTAAGTGTGATTGACAAATATTAAAATAAATGCTAAAACATTTGAGGAAATTTTAAAAATGTGGCTTTACACCCATGTTACTGACTGCTCATAGCTAGTGTTACATCTATTGTGTACACAATGATACTAGAGAGAAAATATTTTTCATATGAACTAATATATAAAGGTTATAGAAATTGTCATTTCCTTAGGTGGGTGCAATGGGATGTGCCTGTAGTAATAGCCACTTGGGAGGATCACTTGAGCCCGAGAGTTTGAGGCTTCAGTGAACTATAATTTCACAGCTGTAATCCAGCCTATGTGACAGGGGAGACTCTGTCTATAAAAATAAAAAATTAAAATCAATTAAAATTAAAATTGTCATTTCCTTTATCCTTACTGTTAGATTGTCAGTACAGACCCTCCAAGAAGCACCAAGGCAGAAGACAGAAAGGTAGGATACAAAATTCAGAAAATTAATGGAGGAAATGCCTATGAAGAATAAAGGAGAGGGAACATAAGACACACAGTGTCTTCAAAATGCAATGCAAATCTCACACTTGTGAAAGGAGAGGAAAAGGAGAGAGAAGAATCTTGGACTACAAATAAGTTTTAAGAAAGGTTTAAATAGACCAATATCAGATCGTTAAGCTAAAGTCACCCAGGAGGACTGTGGACTATTTGAACGGACTCACACTAATAACTCCATTGTGTTCAGTCATTGATTAGAACAGCCTGCGGGAAGATTGGCCTAAGCATGAACACAGTAATAGATCAGATACAGCTGAGGCCATCAGTGAACAATGTTCCCAGCTGTGGGAAATGTGAGCAGCTCATTTCCATGACTGCCTCATTAGTAATTCTGAAAACCAGATTTCCTCTATGACTTTTAATTAGAGGTAAACCAGACCTCACCAAGCCATAAAACTTTATTTCTATGCAGAATGCTTTCATCCATTTCTAAAGCAAAGATGCTTACCTGGTATTCATTATATAGTTGGATCATTATATAGTTGGATTTTTTTAACTTGCAGTAACTCAACTATTGTTCTTCAATCAGTCTTACTGCTAAATTCAATAGAAGAAAACTGAAACTGGATCCCTTCCTTACAGCTTATACAAAAATCAATTCAAGATGGTTTAAAGACTTAAATGTAAGACCTAAAACCATAAAAACCCTAGAAGAAAACCTAGGCAGTGTCATTTGGGACATGGGCATGGGCAAATACTTCATGACTAAAACAACAAAAGCAGTGGCAACAAAAGCCAAAACTGACAAATGGGACAATGTTCCATTTGTCAATTTTGACAAATGTTTGACAAATGTTCTTTTGCACAGCAAAATAAACTATCATCAGAGTGAACCGGCAACCTACAGAAAGGGAGAAAATTTTTGCAATGTATCCACTTGACAAAGGGCTAATATTCAGAATCTAGAAAGAACTTAGATAAATTTACAAGAAAAAAACAACCCCATTAAAAAGTGGGCAAAGAATATGAACAGACACTTTTCAAAAGAAGACATTTATACAGCCAACAAGCATATGAATAAAAGCTCATGATCACTGCTTATTAGAGAAATGCAAATCAAAACCACAATGAGATACCATCTCACACCAGTTAGAATGGAGGCCATTAAAAAGTCAGGAAACAACAGATGCTGGAGAGGATGTGGAGAAATAGGAACACTTATACACTGTTGATGGGAGTGTAAATTAGTTCAACCATTGTGGAAGACAGCATGGTGATTCCTCAAGGATCTAGAACCAGAAATACCATTTGACCCAACAATCCCATAACTGGGTATATACCCAAAGGATTATAAATCATTCTACTGTAAAGACACATGCACATGTATGTTTATTGCAACACTGTTCACAATAGAAAAGACTTGGAACCAACCCAAATGCCCATCAATAATAGATTGGATAAAGAAAATGTGGCACATATACACCATGGAATACTATGCAGCCATAAAAAAGGATGGGTTCATGTCCTTTGCAGGGCCACGGATGAAGCTGGAAACCATCATTCTCAGCAAAACAACACAGAAACAGAAAAGCAAACTGTGAATGTTCTCACTCATAAGTGGGAGTTGAACAATAAGAATGCATGGACACAGGGATGGGAACATCACACACTGGGGCCTGTCAGGGAGTGGGGGACTGGGGGAGGGAAAGCATTAGGAGAAATACCTAATGTAGATGACGGGTTGATGGCTGCAGCAAACCACCATGGCATGTGTATACATATGTAACAAACCTGCAAGTTCTGCACGTGTATCCCAGAACTTAAAGTATAATCATAATAAAAAAATTCAGGGATGAGGCATTAGACCTTAGTGAGCATCGGATCCTGGCACTTTGCATCATCTTATTTAGTAATCAGAGAAATCCTTTAAGATATGTGCTAGTACATCCAATTTGCAGATACTGAAACCAAGGCTCAGGGAATTTATATTTCCCAAGATTACCCAGTTGGGAAGTAGCTGAATAGGATTAGAACTCAGAGTTTTCTAATGCCAAATATGAGTACTATTCGCAGCATGTTCTTTATAACACAGCATTCAACATCCCTGTTTAATCTATTTTTTGGCAATAAACATGAATATCAGAATGAACTTACGTGATTATAGTTGATCTTTTTGAGCAAGAACAATATTTGGCCAGTGCCACTCTTTTATCTTATTATGGTGGGAATTAAGGGTTAAATGATGTATACTATATCAAAACTACTGGTTGAAATTTAAGCAAAGGAACAAGAAAATGTTCTCTTTAAGTATATGTTACTACTCTGGTTAACTTTTTCACCAAATGAAAAGGTTATTTTTAACCTTAATCTTATTAAGTTTTTAAATTAAACCTATGCTGATAATAAAAAAAACAAACAAATAAAAGCCACAATTAGGTATCACCTTACAAACCATTAGTATGGCTTTTATTAAAAAGGCAAAAAATAACAAATGTTGTCCAGAGTGCAGAGAAAAGAGGGACTTGTACACTGTTGGTGGAAATGTAGACTGGTGCAGCCACTGTGAAAAACTATATAGAGGTCACTGAAGAAATTTGAAACAGCACTGGCGTATCACCTAACAGTCTCTCTTCTGGGTATATACATAAAGGAAATAAAAGCATCTGGTAGGGATAGCTGCACTCTCATTTTCATTGAAACAATATTCACAATAGTTAACATATCGGAAACAACCTTAGTGTCTGTTGACAAATGAATGAATAAAGGAAGGCATTCTGTGGAATATTATTCAGCCTTAAAAAATAAGGAAACTCTGCCACTTGTGACAACATGGATTAACCTAAAGGACATTATGCTAAGTGAAATAAGCCAGACATAGAAAATAAAGTACTGCTATGTCAATTATATGCAGAATCTATCCCCCTCTCCCTGCAAAACAATCAAATACATAGAAACAGAGTAGAATGGTAGTTACCAGGGTGGGGTGGGGGGGTGGAGGAAAATGTCAAAGGGTACAGAGTTGCAGTTATGTAGGATAAATAAGTCTAGAGCTGTAATGTACAACATGAAGACTAGAGGTAATAATACTGTATTGTAACTGGTGTTAATAATTTGCCAAGAGAGTAGATTATAAGTATTCTTACCGCAAAAACGAAGCAAAGCAAAACTAAGAAACTATATGAGAAGATGCTATGCTAATTTGCTTGATTGCAGTAATCATGTAGTAATGTATATGTATGTCAAGATAAGTATGTCAAAACAACACGTTATATACCTTAAATATGTTCAAGAAAAAAAGCCAATAGGATTAGGAGTAGTTCCTCAGGACAGTGGGACAAGGAGTAATTCCCTTACATCACAAAATGTCACCCATTCATATCTCCTTTACACCAATTCCAGCAATGGCCTGCAGTCACTGCGACAGTCAAAAGGTCCTTACCTATTTCCAAAACGTCCCAGAAAACTGCGCTCTGAGGTCAGAGGCCTGTGAACCACAGAATATTTTCTATATTAGAGAGACTATTTGAACTGAGGAACAGCCATGGTATTTCCTTCCTAAGGCACTCAGCTCCTCTTTTACGATATTGATGAATCATTATTTTAAATGTATCTGCTTGATAAGGCACCAATTCATTGTCCTGTCAGAAAACTGAACCCTTTTTGCTCAAGTTTATCCTTTGTTTTGGCAAGAAAAAAGGGAAGGGGAGGGGAGGGGAGGGAAAAAAAAAAAGAAAAGAAAAAAGAAAATGAGAGGGAATTGCTCTGTCTATGCCTAAGATTCCAGAGTTTCAAGCTCAGAAGGGACATTTAGGGGATTAATTTTGTAAGAAAGAGAGAATAATTGTTGCTACCCTAAATTCTTGTGATCTAGAGCTTAAGGATCTCTTAGCTCCCACAGTTTTCCCTGTAGGACTCTGCTGGAAACAATAAGAATGACCACTAATTTCTTCCACTTTACAGCATTGCCTGGTACAGAGTGGATAGTTATTTCCTTATCATAATTTTCACCTTTTATTTCTAAGAATAAATTACATGCAAGTACAAACAGGATCATCAAACGAATATATATCATATGAAACCAGAGAAAAAAACACAGTTTTTTCAAATATGCTATTTTTCCAGAGACCAGAATTTAGTTTGTTTACTTGCCCTGACCAGGAAACACTAATATTCCTAACTATAGCTTGATCTTCTTGCAAGGCATAGATGATCTGTTTGTCATGGCTCTAAGAAACCTTACCAGATCATCCCTAATTTAACACTACAGTTGATCAGCTTCCTTGAGGATACCCTACTTCAGGGCTTTTTTGCTATTTAAATTATTTCCCTATTACTGAACTAGTAATCTCTATGTCACTGAATGAGGCATTCTTCTTGTGATTATCAATTTAAATAAGATGCTGACAAATATTATTAAGTGTAAAGACACAACAAGTTACTAAGTTTTCAATGGAAATAAAATGCAAATATTAAATATTTCCTGAATTCACAGTGGTTCAAAACAAAAATATCAACAGACAAACCTGGGTTGGAAGCCTGGCTCCAGCACATTTTAATTTTAATATTTACAGGATGAATAACCTAGAGCCAGTTATATGATCTCTTTATGCCTCTGTTGCCTCACCAATAAGTAAGATAAATAAGTGTCGTGTCATGGAATTGTCGGGATGCCTAAAGCAATAGCTTAGTGCTTGACCTATAATACAAGTTCAGTAATATTCAATAAAGTAAAATTATTATAGTGATAACATTTATTTTTATGCCTTATATATTAGCTTGTATGACTAATAAGTGATCCTACAATATTTCAGAGATTTTACTGATAAATAGAGGTTGGTTTTCCTTTCACTTAACAGTCCAGGGATGGCGATCTATATCAGCTAGTGGCAGTCATTTGGGGTCAGGCTGATGGCAGTTCTTCTAGCTATGAAATGTGGCTTTTAAACTCTCTCTGATCATCACCATTTAACCCTCATAAAGAGGGAAAAGGGTGAAAAAAAAAAAACCTTTTCTTAAACGCACTGACCAGAAATGGGACACAGCACTTCCAATCTTGTTTTGTTGGCGAAAGCTTAATCACAGGGCAAATGTGGCCGACTGGAAAATCATGTCGCAGCTAGTTAATACGGGCAAAGAAGAGAATAGATTTTGGTGGACATATAACCTCCCTGTCATAAATTTCTTAAAGTTATTAATGCAATAGCCTTTTCTCCATATTTCGAAAGGGTACAAGGATTGTCTCTATCACCAGGGGGTGAAAATATGGCTACTGGATTTTTACTTGAGCCTCTAGAATACATTTTTCAAAATTGAGGGCTGGTGTCCAACTGTCACCCAAACTCCTGGAGGAGGGCATTTTTACAAATGTAGATCAAGTTCTCTAGCTGACCCACTGTATCAGAATCTTCGGGGCTGGATCTAGGGATCTAACTTGATATTATCAAGTAAGATAGATAATTCCTACATTCATTCAACTTGAGAACTACTGCATTAAAACCTAAGGTTACACTTAAAGTTATAGATGACTTTCAATTTTAGTTCTTCCAGAGCTGCTACTATTTGTTCTTTAACATGATAGGACTAAAACAATCTAAACAAAAAGCAAAACTCATGGTGATTGTATCTCTATGATGCATCTTTTTCACTTTGCTCTCTTTCAGGTCATTGGAAAACACTGATGAATTCATTTTAGTATAAATTTCATTATTTGATATCTTACCTTCTATGTCCATCCCAACCCAGAATTATAATATTGTCAATAAAATGAATATATTAAGTAATAAATTATGTTTAAGGCCTATGACGATTTGGCTACTATTAAGGGAATCTTTGATTTTCATCATAAATTATATTTTTTTGTGGGGGAGACAGGGTCTCATTCTGTTGTCCAGGCTGGAGTGCAGTGGCACGATCTTGGCTCACAGCAACCTCTGCCTCCCACATTCAAGCGATTCTACTACCTCAGGCTCCCCAGTAGCTGGGACTACAGTTGCACACCACCATACTTGGCTAACTTTTGTATATTTTGGTAGAGACAGAGTTTCGCCTTGTTGGTCAGGCTGGTCTTGAACTCCTGACCTCAGGTGATCCATCCGCCCACGTCAGCCTCCCAAAGTGCTGGGAATAAATTGTATTTTTTTGATGACTACAAGTTTACTTTATGACCTTGATTTAAATTTCTACTTGAATACTTTGTTTTGAATGCTTCAACTTTATGTAAAAGCCTTTTTTGGTAAAAGTATAAACGGTTAAATTTTTACCTAATTATATTTATTCAAGTACTTTTTCTTAACCTAAATCTTCAAATATAGTCTTTAAATTTGTTGTATTTTATCATTCAATATTAAGATGTTATTGTTAAAAATAGTAACCATTTTAGTAATATAGTTTTGTGTATTCCTTGGTACTGACCCCAATTTTATTTTCTTACATTTAGTTTTATGATTTCAAAAATACTATTCCTGTTTTCCAAAGTAATTTCTTAACATTTTTGACTTATCTGGAAATCTCTCATCTTATATGGATCTAGAAAAAGATTATGCTTTCCTACTGTTTTCTAACATAAAGATTAAGCCTTCTGGAGACCTGATGTGAGCTTTTTAACTTTAGATGTTTTTTATATGCCTAAGGCCCGTGAGTTTCATATCTCGGTTTCCACAAAGAGCTTGGATCTGCGAGAATTAGCAAGGGATTAAAGTGATGTTTTCCACCCTGTGCTCTTGCTTCTGGCTACTGTTCTCTTTCACTTACTGCATAATGTTTTTAGGATATATATATTTAATTCACTCTTCTCTATTATGGCCTCTATTTTTCTCATATTCTTTTCAGATCTTCTTGACATCACTTTGGCCAATAATGGCGTCAATTTTAGTTTACTTCCATGTAAATATGTTTGGGTGATTTTCAAAGAACAGATACAATGTGAAGCTATAAACCAGATTCATGTTTATCTGTCACAAGAAAACTTGGACTAAGAATAAATTCCACACTTTCCGTTAAAGAAAACAAGAATTGTAGCTTAACCAACATGGAATTTGTTTACTGGGTTATGGATTTGTTAATTAGTAATCATTGATTTGACATGTAACCAGGTTAGGTGAATTTCCCTATTCATTATTTCCAAGTGCAAATCGCAATCACATACTTGAAATTATCCAAGATCACATAGCAAATAAAGACAGGAACAATGAGTTGCAAGCACAAATCCAGCCCTGTAGGCCTAGGTTGAAGTGTAGACCTGCTGAGTTTACATCCCAGGGAACCTTGGGATTTATCTCACGTTAAACTCTGCTGGGACTGGAAAATTCTTATTTATATAGATGATAGGTGTTATACGAGTGAATATCTCAAGGGTGGGATACCCTTATGCCTATAAAGTCTAGCATCGTGTATAGCTCCCGTCTGGCTGAGGGTTAGTATATGCCGTATACTTTTAGGAACAACAGTTGGATGGGGCTACCAAGCTATTAAAGCATCTTGAGAAGGGTCCAAGTTGAGTGTCTGAAAGAAGCTGACAACATCTGGTCTTTGTGGAAAGAAATAAACAGAAAAGAGAGCGAGAGAGAAAGAAAAAAGAAAGGAAGGAAGGAAGAAAGAAAGAGAAAGAGAGAGAGAAAGAAAGGAAAGAAAGAAAGAAAGAGAAAGAAAAAAGGGAAAAAGGGAAGGAGAAAGAAGAGAAAGAGGAGGAAGAAAGGAAGAAAATTATTTAGCTTTCACTTTCATTCAAGGAAGTTACTTCCTTTTACTTAATTATCAATCAGTTTCCCTTGTGACAATAGCTCAAATACCAATGCCAACACTCTTCCTATCTGGGCTGCTTTTTATTTAGGCATGCTTCTGTGGGAGTATGCAAATGATAATAACTTCTTTGTTTAGCCATGAGCCAATGCCTACTTCAGATTTCTTATTCTGTGATGACATAGGTATATTTACTGAAGCAAACTCTCAACCAAAAAAGTGAATAATGTGTACAATACTTTTAAAATGCAAGTATATTATTTTAACCATGACTATCATTATCATGACCATAATCATCATCAACTGCAAATATACATTGAACTCTCTTTCTGGATACCACATAACAATTATATGTTCTTACTTTAAAAGAAAATTAATGTGCAATCTCTCTTTTGGGGGGCAAAAAAATCTCCATTTGTGGAGACTGTGTATAGTATCTATGAATAGAAGCTGTATAGTATATATGAATATAGTATTTTATAAAAATAATGTTCATGAGCTAATACATGTCATAGACACAAAGAATGATAGGAATGTAGAGATGCATTATACTTTCCTAATATAAAACTTTGCCAATAATAAACTCAGGTGAACTGGATAAAGCAAGCAAGATTTTAGTTTTCTAAGAAAGCATAAACATGATGCTGTTTAATGAATTGTCAAACAGTTGTAGAAGTTAGCACAAATTCTGTCTTTAGACCTAACATATATGTTTAACAGTAGACAAAAGCAATTAATTTTGAACAAAAAATCAGTTTTTATCTCCTTAAAAGTTCAACTCTGACAGTTCTAAAGATAACAGTTTCCTTGGATTTAATGAGCATTATCCCCATATGTTTTAGGCACTTATTTGCTAGCAAAATCTCATTAGGCAGTGTGAAAAAATTAGTCCTTTATAAAATTACACCTCTGAGAGAATTGACAGCTTTTTCAATAGTGCCATCATTTGTCAGAAACAGAGGAGCAGAGCCTGAATCACATGAATATGATGTGTTTGTGCTGTAATAGCACCAACTGACTTAGACATTTTTGTCAGCTTAGAAGGGGCCAACATTTCAGTATCACAGAAACTTCTTCTAGGGATACTGCAAACAAGACTGAGATTCTTTTAAATTTGAGATTTTAGTGACTTGATGGTAGAGTGCCCTGTAAATGATTTCAGTTGAATGGGCTTGACAGGATGAGGTCATAGCTGACAAAATCTTATTATTGATGTTAATTTTGAGATTTTGAATAATGAAATATGGATATTAATATGAAAATTAAATCCATCTTGGTTTGTAAGATAGGTCTATTTAATTTTATGTTATTTCATTTTAATATATACATTTGTGTAAGTCTGTAGGTGCTTTTACAATTTACGTTTATCTTATATTTCCAACTAGACTTTAAAAATTAAGAAACTACAACATGTTCTTTATCAAAAATAATGACGTTATTAATTAGGATTAGATCAAGCAAATAATCAGAAAAACATTTATTTAAACAAATTAGGATTGAGTTTTCTCACCTAATAAACAGTCTTGAAGAAGGGATTGCACAACCATCCATAAAGCAACACAACAATGTCAGCAGGAAGCCTGGATTTCCACTTCACCAGTAGTTGTATTCTTTTGTACTCATGCTTGTTTCTTTGTGTACATACATTGTTGCTACAGCTTATGACATCATGTGTACATTCAGGGCAGGACAAAGGGAGAGTAGGGCAATTCTAGCACATCTTTGCCTGTATTAATCTGTTCTCACACTGCTATAAAGACATACAGACATCCCCTGAGATGGGATAATTTATGAAGAAAAGAGGTTTAATTGACTCACTGTTCCACAGGCTGTAGAGGAAGCATAGCTGGGAAGGTCTTAGGAAACTTACAATCATGTGGGAAGGCAAAGGGAAAGAAGGCACAGTCTTGGTATGGCCAGAGCAGGAGAGAGAGCAAAGGGGAAGTGCTACACACTTTCAAATAACCAGATCTCATGAGAACTCTATCGTAAGAACTGCAAGGAGGAAGTCTGCCCCCATGAGTTAATCACCTCCTTCCAAGGACCCTCCTCCAACATGTGGGGATTACAATTCAACATGAAACGTGGATGCGGACACAGAGCCAAACCGTATCAGTACCCTTACCAGTAAACTTCTGAGTGTGTTTCATTGGCCAAAACTGAACCATAGGGCCAGCTTCTGGCTGCTTGAGAGAGGTGAAAATTAGAGAACAGAAGAGATTTGATTGGTTATGACTAACATTGTTGATCACTGGATTTTATCAGCAAGGAAGAAGTCAGAAAAGGTATTAGTAAGCTAAATGTACTAGCCCAATATATACTCATTGCCAAAAAAAAAAAAAAAACAAGGCAAATGAAAACTGTACATTAACATTGAAAATTTTTGCCTCTTTTCTTCAAATCCAGCATTAAACCTGGGGTTTTCTTAATTTCATTTAAAACAGAAACGCTTCGGAACTACAATATGATTTTATATCTATAATCGTATATTATTATAGTTCCAAAACGTATATATACATTATCATTTTTTAATTTGTGGATTGCCCATGGATCATTAATGTGTTTTTGTGCCTAATGACCGTGAGCTTACAGTTTCTGCAGGACTCAGTAAAGAAGAACCCCATTTGCGGCCGGGTGGGCGCGGTGGCTCACGCCTGTAATCCCAGCACTTGGGGAGGCTGAGGTGGGCGGATCACGAGGTCAAGAGATCGAGATCATCCTGGCCAACATGGTGAAACCGCATCTCTACTAAAAATACAAAAATTAGCTGGGCGTGGTGGCACGTGCCTGTAGTCCCAGCTACTCGAGGGGCTGAGGCAGGAGAATCGCTTGAACCCGGGAAGCGGAGCTTGCAGTGAGCCGAGATAGCGCCACTGCACTCCAGCCCGGTGACAGAGCGAGACTCTGTCTCAAAAACAAAACAAAACAAACAAACAAAAAACAAAAGAAGAACAGCGTTTGCATATGTAGTTTTCTCCTAGACCTGTTTTTTGGATTGCAATTTCTCAGATCTGCTTCCATCATAATTTTAAAACTTTTTTTCCTAGAAAGTTTCCCAAATTTTCTTTTTCTGTTTTTTTTTTTTTTTTTTTGAGATGGAGTCTCGCTCTGTTGCCCAGGCTGGAGTGCAGTGGTGCTATCTTGGCTCACTGCAAGTTCCGCCTCCAGGGTACACACCATTCTCCTGCCTCAGCCTCCCTAGTAGCTGGGACTACAGGCGCCTGCCACCACGCCCAGCTAATTTTGTTTTTGTATTTTTAGTACAGACGGGTTTTCACCATGTTAGCCAAGATGGTCTCGATCTCCTGACCTCGTGATCCACCTGCCTTGGCCTCCCAAAGTGCTAGGATTACAGGCGTGAGCCACCGCGCCCAGCCCCAAATTTTCAATTGGTGGAGGGAACCTTTTCTCATTCTCCAGGGCTGTCATATATTAATTAAAAATTACTCCTTTAACTTCAGTGGAATATGGGAGGGATGGGTGATAAACACATGCATTTATCACTGGAAGTGGAAGATCTTTATAAAATTCTCAGTATTTCCTTACTCAGTTTCAATTCACAAGTTTATTGAGTATGTAGCAAGATCAAAGTACCATGCTGGTTGTTATAGTAAACATATAGATGACTAATACACAGTCTGACAAAAAAGGTACTTTCAATCTAAAAAAGGTTGGAGGAATGAGTCTTTTGTACTATTTGCAGCGCTAAGAAAGCAACTGCTCATAGAACACTTAAGGGTAGTGAGGAAAATCTTATGTGGCCAAAAAGGTCACAATTAAAGAAGAGAATATAATAATGAGAGATAAAATGCTCCAAAGGAAGCACAAAGCATATTTTTTAGTTGTGGAAAACCAGAGCAGATGGCAAAATAAATAATCCCCAAGAATTAGATGGTAAAACGGTGCCTTTGGGCAACAAAGTCAAATGCTTAAAATTGTTTTGTGGTTTGTAAAAAATTATCTTTGTAAATGCAGAAGTTGGCTGGGTGCAGTGCCTCATGCCTGTAATCCCAGCACTTTGGGAAGCTGAGGCAGGAGAATTGCTTGAGGCCTGGAGTTCGAGCCTGGGCAAGAGACCCCAGCCTGTTGCACCAGCCTGGGCAACAGAGCAAGACTCTATCTCTGCTACAACAGCAACAAAAATTAGCTGGGCATGGTGGTACACACGAGTAGTCCCAGCTAGTAGGGAGGCTGAGGTGGAAAGAACTATCGAGCCCAGGAGTTTGAGGATGCAATGAGCCATGACGGCGCCACTGCACTTTAGCCTGGGTAACAGAGTGAGACCCTGTCTCGAAAATAGTATAAATGCAGAAGTCATTGAAAAGAATGGAAGGAGAGAGGTGACAGCGAAAACTTTACTCCTGAAGTATAGACAAATTTCCTGTTGTAGTGGGCCAGAGTAAGTAATGATTGAACAGAAGCAAGAGTATGGACTTCAAAATGTAAAAGCAGAAGACTAGAGGAATAGCAATGGTGCAGTGAGGTAGAGTCTGTGATCAAGTCTGCAGCAAGAAAGATGGTCCTGACTATCCTCTGAGATGGCCAGGTACCATAAACTGTACACTATGGAAACCCAAATAAATGTCTATCTTTTTTTTTTCTTTTTTTTGAGACAGAGTCTCACTCTGTTGCCCAGGCTGGAGTGCAGTGGCACGATCTAGGCTCACTGTAAGCTCCGCCTCCCGGGTTCACGCCATTCTCCTGCCTCAGCCTCTCGAGTAGCTGGGACTACAGGTGCCCACCACCATGCCTGGCTAATTTTTTGTATTTTTAGTAGAGACGGGGTTTTACCGTGTTAGCCAGGATGGTCTCGATCTCCTGACCTCGTGATCCGCCCACCTTGGCCTCCCAAAGTGCTGGGATTACAGGCGTGAGCCACCGTGCCTGGCCAAATGTCTATCCATTTTAAGCAGCATCCTCCATAAGCAAGTGCAACTTAGTTACTGGATCAGTAACATTGGTATCAGGTATATTATCTTAACTTCTTCTAAATTACTCTAAAATTCATGCATAAAAAGAATTTGCCTAAAGCTACACGTTATGTCAGCAACAGATCCAAGGTGAGAAATTCTTCTGTGGTTTTGCTATGCAAAGTCATAATGTATACATGTGTGTTCGTGTCTGTGTGTATGTGTGTGTAATTTGTATGTGTGTGTTTTTTCTATTTTTGATTTGCTGTATTTTACTTCATATATATAATACTGAAAATATGATTATGCTAATTAATGGTGAATATATGCAAAGAACATAGGAGTAATGATAAAACAAGCCTGTCTTTATTGCTGAAAATACATTTCATCACCTGAGACTCATTTTTAATTGATCCCTTAGGGAGAGTATGATAAGCAGTTATTCACATGGCTGAAATGAATACTACAGTGAATCTTACTTTTCCCTATTTCCTCTCAAGCTAATACTTCCTTTGTGTTTGTTAATGTCTCCCAATTTCATTTACTTATTAGATTTGGTTGTTGACTCACTGCAAGCAATAATTTTTAAACAGATGAATACTGAGTTGAAATTGCTCAATTACTAAAGTTATATTTTGCTATATTTATTAATGTTTGCCTGGCTATGACTGAAAGTAAAATAACTTTGGGATTTTGCACAGATGAAAAACTTTGTGAGTTATGGCTGCATGAAAATATTTTGTGTAGAAAGTACTGGCATGTCTATCTTCACACAGAATAAAGACAGCAGCAAAAAGTAGCAATTATGGGATGGTCATCTTGACAAGATCAACCTCTCTCCCTACTCATCCCCAGCTCACAGCTCTTGCCGTGAGATTAAAGTGATAAAGCTTGCCAGGTGGGGTGGCTCATACCTGTAGTCCTACCATTTTGGGAGGGTGAGGCAGGAGGATCACTTGAGCCCAGGAGTTAGAGACAGCCTGGGTAACATAGTGAGACCCTGTCTGTACAAAAAATATAAAACTTACCAGAGTGTGGTGGTGCACACTTGCAGTTTCAGCTACTTAGGAGGCTGAGATGAATGGATTGCTTGAGCTTGGGAGGTTGAGGCTGCAGTGAGCCATGATTGTGCCACTGAACTACAGCTTGGGCAACAGAGGGAGACCCTGTCTCTAAAATAAATAAATAAATAAATAAATAAATAAATAAATAAAATTTTTTTTATCACTTAGTGATAAAGCTAAGTGTTTTGAGTTCTCCAGAGAAAGATAAGTATAATGTATTGTAATTAGTCCTATAGTTGCAAGTTAATAGCAATATATAGTCACCTTGAATTTAATATTTCTAGACATTTATTTATCAGTGGAATTTCATAAAAAGTGTTCCTTTTTAATATAACTTTCTTTCATCATTCTTATAATTTTATACAAGAAAGTCCAAATTGTCCTTATTATATTCTCTAGACAGAGTGCACATTTAAACAAAGCAATTGGCAATGTCAGGAATTTCAGGCACTCAGAGAAGGGAATAAAATGTCTTCATTAATAATAATAGTTCCTAATCTGTTAATAGTTACTATAAAAATTCAATTCAACACTGGAGTGAGAAAGGGATAAAAAATGTCCACATGCAAGAACAACAGCAAAAAAGTGGGGAGTCTTTTTCAGAATCAATATAGACAAAAATCTCGGAGACTGTTGATATGTACTTTAATGTGTATCCAAAATATGTGCCAATTATCAAGAATACCAAGTACTTGCAGAAAATAGACTGCCTGGCAAATGTGTTAGAGACAGAATGAGGAGAAGAAAGTTCACTGATATGTAAACTGCAAGTAAGTTGGACAAAAAATACTTCATAAGAGAATTAGAAAACAATAAAAAGGTTTTGGTGTTAACCATGCAGAAATTCACCTGGAGTGGCATCAATGGGATCTTTGGTTACTTTCGGGTAAATGATGTACTCAAGGATAAAGATGTGAGGTCTGACAGACTGAATTAATTCTTTGCCTTAGACATTAATTAGAAAGATATTAGGGAGATTCTCAAATCCAGATTGTTACAGGCAATGAGCAGGTTGGATGTATCAGATCAAACAGTGGTCAATACTCAGATGTTCTCACAAAATTGACAAAGTAAATGTAGATTAATCACCAGGACCAGATGGTATCTACCCGAGGGTTTTAAGGAACTGTACAGTGAAACTGAGAAACAGTTGGGCATGTGCAACCAATCATTTCAAAGAAACACGGTGCAAAAAGACTATTTGTTTGCAAATTTAACATCTTCGGAAAGAGTTCTAGGGAATTGCAGTTGGTGAGCTTATAGGCAAATGGTGTCTCTATAGTGGAAAATAGTCATCGTATACTTTCTAAATATCCTTTTTTTTTTCGTTTAAAAAGCGGTTCCAAAGCTTACTCATATTTGACATTACTCTCCATGAATTTTATATTCAACTATGTGAAATCTATCTTAATTAGAAAATGTGTGCATGTTTGTGTGCGTGTATGTGTCTGTGCATGTCTTTTTCTGTGCGTGTATATGTGTATATACACATATATACAGACAACATCATTAACTGTGTTGACTATGTTTCAATTTCAATCTTTTTTGTGGTTCTACTTTACTCTTGCCATCGGTAGAGTGATGTATTTTCTTTTTAAACAATTCATCTATATAGTTGGGAAAATGTGTAGGGGATAATCATCTTTTCAAATAAAAACACTGCATCTTTAAAGGAGAGTGTCTGTCTTTAACATACTCACCCTTCATTTTAATGTTAAGAATCCTGCTGCATAATCTGCTTAGGAGCTCCAGACAAGACACGTACAAAAACAAAACAAGACAATCATTATTCTCTGTTTGCTTTAATGTTCACCAGTCTGGCTAATTGATGTCAAAAATTGAAATTGTGATTATGGGAACTAAAGAAGTAGAAAAACATTTGAAAGTGAAATCTATTGAGTCTAATCTATTTTTATTGTCTTTGAATCTTCTTGTGTTCCCCATTCTTTTCTTCAATGAAGTGGTTATATTGTGGCATATGGTAGAGCAAAATACACAATGCACTGAGTGGTCCTAGTTTAAATTCTGAATCACTAACCTCTAGTGAGGCCCTGAGCCATGGCTAGGAACGCTACTATATTTCCTTTATTAGTATCCTCTGCAAATGTCCATAACCCCTTACTCTGCCCAGTCTCATCTGATGAAATTAATTTCTCCTGATTTTACTGAACACATGAAGAGAGGCAATGAAAAGAGAATTTATGTGTTTTCTCACTAGAAATCTACCAGTATATCTCTGTTTGTACCTATAAGATTTACTTTCCACCAGTTACAATACATAAAATGTTCCTGTTTCTATTTAAGTTTCTCTTCACCTTTATACTGGATTTTATCTCTCTTTCCTATCCCTTTATCTGGCTACCACAATTGTACCTTCTTTCTCTGGCATCTTCAGTATTTTTCTCTCTGTTAAATCAATCTTATCTGGATGTAAATGCTCTGCAATTACTTCCATTAAACAAACATACAAACTAAAACTCCTATGACTATAAGTCTTTCATGTGCTATACTCTTTTTCAGCAAAATGTTCTGAAAGCATTGTTCTCTATCTCTTTAATTACAATTTTTCTTAAACCTAATTTGAATTTATCCTCTTCACTCTTATGCAACCAAAAATCACTCTCATGAATGAATCCAGTGATCCCCCTGTTTCTAAGTCAACTAGTCATTCCCATGTCTTTGCTAAAATTCAATGTTGTTTTAAGTACATTGGCCCACTCCCTTTGTCCTGGAAAATTCTCTTCACTGCATCTTGAGCACTTCATTCTTCTGGTTTTCCTTCTACCTCACTGGCCACTTCTCATTCTGTTTCTCATAATCCTATTTTTTTCCCATCTGTAAATATTGAAGTAACCTAGGGCTCATGACTCAGATTTATTTTATTTCCATCTTTATTTATTTTCTTTATGATGCCAAGTTTTATTGCTGTAAGAAATGATGAGTATACTGATTACTTGCAGATTTATTTCTCCAGCCTGAGCTTCTCCTCTGAGTTCATATTTGTCTGATCACCTACTTGTAATCTCCACATGGAAAAAGAAACATGCATCTGAAACATACCACATCCAATATAAAACTCTAGATTCACCTCCACAAATTACAGTTCTCACAGTCTCCAAAATCTCTGTATAGGTGATACCATTCACTCAGATGCTCAGGGCTAAAATGTTTTAGAAAACTGGAGTCATTCTGGATTCTTCTATTTCCCTCATACCCAACTTCTAATTCATCAGCATGAGCTATTAGTTATATTTTCAAAATACTGTATTCTAAATCCCATCACTCTTGACAATTGTATCATTGCCAGATTAGTCAAAGCCACTATGATATTATGCCTGAGTTTTGCCATAACCTACTCTTCCTCATCTATTCTTGTCTCTCTACCCTTTTCCAATCTATTATCTGCACAACAGCCAGAGTGATTTTAAAAATGTACAAACCAAGCTATGCTATTCCTCTGCTCAAAACCCTGAAATGACTAACAACCATGCCTAAATAAGTGAAATCCAAAATATGATCTAAAACCACCTTTTGAACCCATCTCTTGCTTTTCCCCCTCACTCATTCTGCTCCACTTAGACTGAATTTCTTGCCTGTTTTGTTTAACATACTTCTAGAATTTTGCCTTTTCTTTTCCATCTGTCAGGATGTTCATCACCCAAATATCAATGTAGTACATTCCTTTACTCCACCTCTAATTCCAATTTCCATTAATTCTGATATTCCTTAAATTGTTCCAGTGTCAAAATTAATAAAGAAAGATACTTTTTGTAATAATTTTTGAGATGAAATGATTTTACAAAAGTATTGATTCAAATCTCATAATATGTAAGACTCTTTATATAATCCAGAAGATTGTAATCAAGTACATAAATACATACATGTTCATGGCAGCATTATTTGCAATAACCATAATGCAAAAGCAATACAAGTGTCCCTCAAGAGATGAGTAGAATAGATAAATAAAATGTGGTATGTATATATTATGGATTATTTCTCTGCCTTATAAAAGGAAGGAAGGAATTTTTATACATGCTATAACATGAATTAACCTTAAGGACATTTTGCTGAGTAAAATCAGCCAGGCCCCCCCAAAAAATTATAATTCTACTTGGATAAGGTACCTAGAATAGTCAAATTCATAGAGACAAAAAGTACTATACACCACAGAAAGTAGCTACCAGGGGTGGGGAGGAAAGAGAATGGGTAACTATTGTTTAAAAAGTATGGTTTTGCAAGATGAAAAGTTCTGTGGATGGATGGTGGTGGTGGAAGCAAAATAATGTGAATGTACTTAATGCTATTGAATTGTATAATTTCAAATGATTAAGATGGTAAATTTTATGTTATGTGTATTTTAACACAACTAAAACTTTAATAAAAAGAAAATGACCATTCTGTTTTAATTATTACAGCTTTGTAATGTTTTGAAATAAGTAAGTGTGATGTCTATAGCTTTGTTTGTCTTACTCAAGATTGCTTTGGCTATTCAGGGTCTCTGTGATTTCATGTGAATTTTAGAATTGCTTTTTCTACATTTGTAAAAAATGCCGTTGGTTTTTGATAGAGATTGCATGAAATCTGTAGATCATTTGGGTAATACAGACATTTTAACAACATTGAGCCTTCCAGTCCAGGAACACAGATGTCTTTGAATTTATTTGTCTCTTTTCAAGAGGTTTTTCATCAAGACTTTTATCTTTTTGGTTAAGTTTATTCCTGAGTATGTTTTTGAGGTAATTATGAATGAAACTGTTTTCTTTTCAGATAGTTCATTGTTGGTGTTTAGAAACTCTACTGATATTTGTATTTTTATTTCTTATTCTACAATTTTATTGAACTACTGAATTCATTCAACCAGGTTTTTAAAATGGAGTATTTAAGACGTTCTACATATAAGATCATGTCACTTACAAAGGATATTTTTAATTCTTTGCTATTTGGGTGCATTCAATTTCTTCTTCTTGCCTAACTGCTATCTCTAGGACTTTCAGTACTATGTTTAATAGAAGTGGCAAGAGTTGTCATTCTTAGTTTTTTCTGGATACTAAGGAAAATCTTTGTGCTTTCATCTTAGAGTATTATATTCGCTGAGAGCTTTTCATGTATGACGATTAGTATATGGAGGTAAATTCCTTCTACACCTAGTTTTTTGAGAGTTTTTGTTATGAAAGTGTGTTGACTTTGCCAAATGTTTTTCTGCATCTATTGAGATGGTCATGAAGTTTTTATTGTTCCTTCTGTTAACATGGTGTAGCATATTAATTGATCTGTGTACATTGAATCATCATTGACATATAAACTCATGGAACAGAAGAGAGAGTCCAGAAATAAACCCACACTTATATATATGGTCAACTAATCTTCAACAAAGGTACCAAGAATACAAAAAGGGGAAAAGATGGTATCTTTGACAAATAGTTGAAAACATTGGATATCCACATGCAAAAGAATATAAGTAGATTCATTTTACACTGTAAATAAAAATCAACTCAAAAGGAATTAAAGACTTAAAATTAAAACCTGAAACTGTACAACTCTCAGAAGTAAACATAGAGGAAAATCTTCATGACAGTGATCTTAGCAACAAATTATTGAATATGACATCAAAAGCACAAGCAACAAAAGCAGAAATAGAAAATTGGGACTACGTCCAACTAAAACACTTTTACACAGCAAAGAAAACAATAAACAGAGTGAAAAGGCAAATCACAGAATGGGAGAAAATTTTATATACCATATATATGATAAATGGTTAACATTCAAAATATAGATGGAACTCTTATAACTCAATAAGAATAACCACAAGTGACCTTTTTACAAAATGGGCAAAGGACTTGAATAGACATTTCTCCAAAGAAGACACGCATATGGCCGACAGGTATATGAAAATATCCTTAATATCTTTAATAATTAGAGTGCTATAGTTTGGATGCTGTCCCCTCTAAATCTGATGCTGAATAGTGAATCTCCAATGTTGGTGGTGGGGCCTAGTGTGAGGTGACTGGATTGTGGGGATGAATTTGTCATGAATAGTTTAGCACCGTCCTCTTGGTGGTGTCCTTGTGATAGTAAGTTCTCATGAAATCTGACTGTTTAAAAGTGTGTGACATCTGCCCCTTGACTCTCTTACTCCTTGTCTCACCCCGTGAGTCTCTGGCTCCCCCTTTGCCTTCTGCCATGAACGTAAGTTTCCTGAGGCCTCACCAGAAGCCAAACAGATGCCCAGTGCCATGCCCCCTGTACAGCCTGCAGAACCATGAGACAATTAAACCTCTTTCTTTATAAGTTGCCCAGTCTCAGGTATTTCCTTACAGTAAGGCAAGAACGGCCTAACACCTAGGGAACTTCAAATCAAAATCGAAATGAAATATCACTTCATCTTTTTTTGAAGTGATATCGTCATAAAAATAAAGACAAAAAATGTTGGTGAGAAAATGGAACCCTTGTACACTGTTCATCAGAATCTAAAATGGTGCAGCTGCTATGGATAAAAGTATGAAGGTTATTCCAAAAGTTAAAAATAGAATTATTGTATGATCTATCAAACCTCCTTCTTGGGTATATATAAAAAATAACTGAAATCAAGAACTTGGATAGATATTTGCACTCCCATATGCATTGCGGCATTATTCACAATAACCAAGATATAGAAACAATATAAATGTCCATTGACAGATGAACGGATAAAGAAAATGTGGACTACAGACACTGTGCAATATTATTCAGACTATAAAAAGAAGGGAATTTTGTGAATTACGACAATATGGATGAATCTGGAGGACATTATGCTAAGTGAAATAAGCCAATTACAGAGGGACAAATGCTGTGTGGTTCCATCTATATAGTATCCAAAGCAATCATACTCATGGAAACAGGAAATAGTATGGTGGTTGAAAGGCCTAAAGGAAATGGGAATAGGAGTTGCTGTTCATTGGGCAAATAGCTTAAGTTATGCAAGACGAATAAATTCTAAAGATCTGCTATACAGCATTGTGCTACAATTAAGAACAATGTATTGTACATTTAAATTTGTCAGGAGGCTATACCTCATGTTAATTGTTCTTATCTCAACCAAAATGCACATAAAAATAAAAAGCAACTTTTAAAATAATCAACAATAATATGCATTTAGAGGAAAATTTACAAATAAACTGTGCAGCATAAACAAGAAGAAAGAGGGAGAAGTGGTTACCTATTCGCTTGTGGACAAATGATATTCTCCTACCCCTATCTCCTGCTTTCCTTTAAAACTCAATACAAACTGGAAATAATAGTGCGGTACTTTTCAGCTACATAGTAGTAGAAACTAACATTACTAAATCTCTCATATTTCCTTTCTAAAGAATGCCACCAAAGCTATGTTGTTTTGTGTACAAAGGTGAGAATGATCATTCCTTTAAGTAATTCATGTGGCTGTTTCAGGCCTTTAATAAGGTATAGGTTCAAGGCAAAACAGAATTAAACATGAAGCAGGAACCCCAAATTTACTTTTCTATTTACCTGGTGCTATAATGTTGGAGGAGTCATGTATTATTTAATGAACTATGTCTAAGATCACGATTTCCTTATATTGATATATCTGAATCTGGAGGAAGGTTCAGGACTGGTGGGTTGCTGGGTCAGGAAGAAAAAATGCAGAATTTTAACAGCTAAAAAGCAGACAGATTGGAAGAGATAAACCTGGGATTTAAGATTCATTCAATATGCAATAACTATTTACCAGATACCAATCATTAGTTTCTAAGTGAATCATGAAGAGAAGCAAATTCTAAAGACAAAGGGTAAAGAGACAAGAACAAGGACCTACATTTAAAAAGTTGCTGAGTAGGTAAAATTGATACATTCAGCATAACTGTAAAAGGAAATCTGGAAACTATTTTATGCTACTAGTATTCATTGTGTGTATCCCAATTATGAATGTACGTTTCATTAACTTCTGCTTTTCTGAATCTGATAGGCCATTCAGAGTGAGTCCCTCATTAGAGATTTTCTGCAAAATCTTCTCATGCTAAGTAATCTTTTTTTGTGTCCAGCAACCAGGGAATTGAAGAGAAACGTCTACCTGCCCCTGCTACCAGATATATTTAGCTAGCAGATGGCAGATTGTGGTTCCCTTGAAGTAATTGATGGAGAATACAGTGCCAAACACTAGAAACAGGAGGGGCGTGGTGCCTTCTCCATGTGTTTCTTTCTGGCCTCTAGGAAAAAAGAGAAAGATGCAGAATTCTCGTTTTTCTAAACAAAAATACTTAGTATACTATTAGTGTAGAAGGTGACACATTAATTAGAAACATAATACAATTACATCATTCCAAATCTTGGGATAGGCACTAGAAATATAAAATTGAGACCTATTCTTCAGTAATATATGTGCTGCACAGGTGAAAACTTTAGAAATATTGTCAAGACGATGTATAAACTACACAGAAAATTTTTAAAGCACACGTTATTATAAAAGCACAAAGAAACAATACAAGATTATAAAGGTTCAGGGAAGGTCTTCTTAGAGGAGAAGATAGCTGAATTGAAGCTTAAAAAATGAGTAGGATATATCCAGGGAACAATTAGGAGAAGGTGGTAGAATGATGGAAGAAGATCACAAAGGCGTGAAGTACAAAAGTCTGTCACCTTGGTAAGAAGTCACAAATAATTCAGTATTGCTAGTGAAAAAAAACAGGAATAATGGCAGGTAAAGCTGAGAGGGAAGCCATAATCAGAGAGATCATGGAGGGCCTAAAATGTCAAGAAACAGACTTGGGGCCATATCCTGAAAGTCATGGTTGCATTCAAGTTCCAGCTATTAGCAGACAGTGTAAAAAATATTTTGATGATAAGGGCAAAAAAAACCAAAAACACCTAGTTGGAAGTCCATTGTCACAGACTAAGTGAAACACAATAAGACTTGAACTACAGTAATGGCATATTGGTGGGATGAACATATTCAAATGGCTCTCAGTCTTGTGAATTACTGACAGAGGAGGAGTTGAAGTTAAATTTTGAGTTTGTTCCAGAACATATTGACTGAGTTGTCTACAGACCATCCAAGGGATATATTTAGTAGAAAGTTGGACATTGAATCTGATACTGAGAACATCAGGACTGAGTGAGCCAACTCACCCCTGTGTCAAATCCATGAACCCAGAATAAAGTAGAAAACTTGGTCAAGAGTCAAGGTGCAGACAGAAACATACCCTACTCTCAGAGGGCTTAAATGAAACTGAGGAGACATACAGGAGTAGAAAAGTAGAAAGTAAAATACAGGACTTAAAAAAATGTAGTGTATTAATAGAAACATTTGCGTATAGTAAGTCTGTCAGATAGTCACATGATGGCCACTGAAAAGATAATGTGTTACTCACAGGTAACTAGAAGACAGGGTGCTCCAGCCATGGGGGGATTGCTGGGGCACACAAAGGAGCACCTGGGCTTGTCACCAGGCAGAAGCAGTGGGAAAAACTGAAAGCATGCCCTTAGAAGGAGGAGTCATCCCAGAGGAGGGGGATGACCAAGTGGGCAGGAGACCGAGCCAAGGTGACTCAGACATATTATCAGATTGTCCACAACAAGGGATGTCCTGCGTGTCCATGCAGGGCAGATGTTAAAGCATCCAGTTTACAAAAGCAAGAAATAAGAGTTAATACGAGAACTGAAACCCTGAAGGAGAAAAGAGCTAGTCTCTAGAGAGGATTGTTAATATTCCAGAAGATTCACAAATCAAAGAAACAGGCTAATAAAAAACAATATTGCTGAGGGCCTGTTATGTGCCAGGCATTGAGCTGGGTGCTAAGGAGGAAGTTCTGCAATTGATGGAGAATACAGTGCCAAACACTAGAAACAGGAGGGTCATGGTGGCTTCCCCAGGTGTTTCTTTCTGGCCTCTAGAAAAAAAGAGAAAGAGGCAGAATTCTTGTTTTTCTAAACAAAAATACATAGCACACTATTAGCCTGGAAGGGGACACATTAATTAGAAACATAATGAAGTTGTTAACAACGGGTGATGCATAAAGAAATGTTACAGGGAGCTTCAAAAAGAAAAATTGATAGCCCTCGGACAAGTTTGTTTATTCAGGTATTTAAATGATGTTCATCATTTCAGCATCTGGGGTGTTTCACATCTCAGAAAAGCATCATTACCGAAAAAGGTAATTTCAACAACAGAAAGCAAAACAATTGAATGGAATTTTTGCCTGCAGGACTGAATGACCTAAAAAACACAAACTTTGAATAATTACAATGAGGAATAAAAGAAGGTAAAAAAATTAAGCAAGTAGAAAAAGATTGGGTTTACTAATGGTCTTAACAAGCCATCAGATTTTAGTACTGATAGACTATTTTCAAATATTTTTCTTAAATATTTACTAGAAGTTTGGGCTGATAACCTAGATTAAATAAGAAATAATGTCTGATTTTACTTGAACTTTGCTGTTATGCTGGTATATATAAGGATGCCTCATATTTGGATTACTGTATAACATTTTCCTTGAGTAAAGTTTATTTCCCCCTGAATCCATCTTTTTAATACACTGCCAGACTAATCTGCCAAGGACCACATCAGGTTTAGTAGAATTAAATTTGCTCAGCCTTCCATAAGTAACCAAAATCAAATGTTATAACCAGATGCCCTGTTAAGTCCATACCTGTATTTTCTTTGCATTGGTCAGTATTAATTACTTTCTTTAACTGAAAGCATGTAACTTGCCACTTGCCAGAGAAACCCTTCTTATTGCCTTAAGAGACACATTTCAGGCATTTAAACATTGCTACCTCCACTTCTCTCCCTCCTCATTTCCCAACCACTTCTCCCTTTCCAAACAGAATCTAAATTAAACCACAACAACCAGCTTTTTAGAATTCATAATCATTGCACAACACACACACACACATACACACACAACTTTCCTATAACTATCTAACTTAACCCTTCTATAACGTTTCTCCCTATTTTGTGTGTGTGTGTGTGTGTGTGTGTGATGTTATTTTGTTTTGCAAACCTCTTTAACCTGTTTCATTTTTTTCCAGTACTGTCCTGATTCAAGACGTTGGTGGGGGTGGGGGTGCAGTTAATGTTAAATAATAAATAGTATTATTTTCACATTTAGAACTTTCTAAACACCTCCTCTTGGCTAACTTACCCTTACTCGGCTTACTTGCCTAACTTATCCCTACTACAAAAACAAGTTTAAAATGCAATTCTCCAAAAATTCTGACCCTTGTTAAATTCCTATTGTATTTGCTTGCACCATGCACCTTCTATTTTCAAAAATTGTTATTTTAATCCCTCTTTTTTTAGTGAAAAACTTTGTTTTTAAAAAATTACCTAGACCCGAAGAACAGAAATTATGTCTTTTATATTTTTTAATATTGCAAAACACAACACATATGACAATATCATAGATTCTCAAATATTTTTACTTTCTATCATCCTTACATAGAAATTATTTCGTGTTTTTCATAAATAAATGTGCTTCCCTTAAATACCTGGGTAAATGCCAGCAGGACAAATTCTGTAAACTACTCTACAGATTTTCTTTTCTAAGGCTATAAAATAGATTCTAAATGCAGGGTTATAAAAATGGTAAAGTGTTTTATTTTTATCTACTATTTTCATGCTTATATTTTGTTCCATATATTTTCTTATAGCTACTATATAGGCAATAGACTATCTGATAATCTGGCTTCTAATCTTAACTGACTGAAGAAGTAACAATTGCCCAGTTATGACATTAGGAACACCCACTGAAAGTTCCTTAAGGATCAAAATGCCTGAAATTGGAAAAATCATTATGATGTCTTCCAAGAGGCAAGAATATGGTTGTGTTTCATAAAACAACAACAAAGACAACAAAAATACTCTCAAGCAGCTGAAACACATTCGTTTTCAATTTTTTTCTAGTTTCAAACATATACTATGGTCATATATAAAAGTAGGTTCTTCACCAGCAAGTTCTCACTCATGACTTATACCTGGAAAATATACAAAAGCTTAACAAAAGGGTGTACTGCACTCACATTAACTCAGCCTTGAAAAATTACTTTTTAATGTGGTAGATTAAAAGCATTATGTGCCATCAAAGCAAATTGATCTTCCTTTCTTTTTATAGGGTGTGATAGTAAGGCACATTTCTGAGTGTGATAATGAAACAAACTTTTCCTGACTTATCTTTCACAAACTCTGCTTGAAGGCATATAATGCCTGCTGTTTTTCATAACTGTGAATTTGTAGATTCAAAAGTTTAAAATGGTTTTTTTTTTTTCAAAAAACCACAATCAATTGTACAATTTATTTCCTGCCAGCAAGTTGCAATTAGATCTCATTCACTACCTCATGGTTGAATTAGTCAATACATAGATGTATTAGAAACAAGGTGTTCAACAAACACAAAAGCTAACAATTCATCATTAAAACAGTGAGACTTAAACTACATTACATAAACACTCTGAACAAAGAAGCTAAAAATCTATTTCTCTTTCCAATTCTTTAAAAAATATAATTTCTAAAAACATCTATGGCATAATTTTCTCATCTATGTGTGAGAAATACTAGTAGCTTGGATCAGTGGTAGGAAAAAAAAGTGGAATTACATAATTTGCCAGCAATCATTATGCTCTAATATGTAAAACCTTGTTGGCCCGTGTAAGCATGTTGCATATAAGAAGGCTCTATGGTTTGGATATTTTCCCCCCTAAAATTCATTGAATTTGTTCCCCAAATTTGGGGCCAGATGGAAGGTGTTTGGACATAGGAATTGACCTCTAATGAATGAATTAATACCCTCCCACTGGGGTGAGTGTGTTCTCACTCTGTTAGTTCCCACATAGTCTGGTTGTTAAAAAGAGCCTGGCACCTCTCATCCCTGTCTCTCCTGCTTCCTCTCCTACTATGTGATCTCTGTATACATCAGCACTTCGTTACCTTCCACCGTGAGTGGAAGCAACCAGAGGCCCTCACCAGATGCAGATGCTCAATGTTGAACTTTTCAGCCATAAGAATTATGAGCCAAATAAACCTTTTTTCTTTATAAATTACCCAGCCTCAGGTATTCCTTTATAACAACACAAAACAGACTAGGACAGAAGGTATGTGTTTAAGTAGTTTGATGGAAAAACATGTTGAGAACCAAAATAATAAGATATATCTTGAAAATTTTTAACTGTAAGGTCTCGCTACACTAAACAATTTATCCAAACCACTGTCTCAAGAGATTTAAGTTTTTTTTCTTTTCGATTACAAAAGTGAAAACAGAAACAACAACAAAAATCTTGAGCAAAACCTTCATAAAATTTTAACTATAGTGCCCTCTTGGTGGTGTAATGATGAATAATGTTTGTTTCTACTACTTGTTCTTTATATTTTTCAAATTTGATCATATCTGTTTTGTCTATTTTAACAAAATAAAACATTGTAGATAAAGCTAAAAACACTTGTTTTCCTCATTGCAAATTGTATTCTCTCATGTCTTTGCTGTTTTAAAAGCAATGACTAACATTAACTGTGTAATTTTTCAGTATTTCCCTTAATTTTGTGTGTGTCTGTGTGTTTGTGTGTGGCAGAGAGAGAGTCAGAAAGAGAGAGACGAAGAGAGAAGCAGTACATGACAGCACAACATATATTACTTTCATGTGAATAGTGAATAGTGAGTATAATACTGCAATTTTCTTTTTAAAACATTGCTTTGCCCTTTACTATATCAGTATATGCTAATGTCATTAATTCATTTTTTTCTATGTACAGTATTTTACCATAGAGTACATTACACATTTTATTTATCTGTTAATCTGTTGATGGATGTATACATTATTTTTAATTTCCTCCTATTACAAAATGAGCTAAAATGGAAATTCATACATATGTATGTATATATATATGTGTGTATATACATATAATATGTGTGTGTGTATAATCTTTGCATGTAACTGTAAACAATTTTTAAGAGTTTATATGTATAATAGAATGGCTGCTTTGAAAGAGAAATAATTAACTCAAAACTGGCTATTCCCAATTTTTTTCTCAAATTATTGTATCATTTCTACTCCCAGAAATAGTATATTACAATTTCTTTCACCAAGATCCTTTCCAATATGTGACACTCAATTTAAGGCACTTTGGTCAATATAAGTAAGAAAAGTGTCTTCTTTGTAAACTGGCACTTCTCAGGTTGGTTAAGATTTTTGGCATATTCTAATACTTTTTGGACTCATGGGTTCTTCAATCAATTAATAATCATTAAATGTTACCACTCCTTTCAACTGGAATATAAGTACATTTTCATATTGATTTCAAAAATAGTAATGAATAATAATCAATTCTGTTACCAAGTTCCATATATTGCTTCCTAATCAGCCAAAGTTTACATTTTAACTATGTTTATGGTGACTTTAGTCAAGCATAAATGCATACTTTTCAAATAATCAAATCCATCAATCTCTATTTTATAAGATTTGTTTATGTTATGATTTTAGAACTCTTTCACTAACATATAGGGATATATTCTATACATTCTTGTAATACTTTTAAGTTTTGTTTTCCCTATTATTTCCTCCATCTTGAAAATATTTTATATAAAATGAGATTATAATCAAATTATTTCTTCCCTCTGGAAATGCTAGCATTTAAATACCATTTACTTAATAGTCCTACATTAGACCACTAATTTGTAATGTCCCCTCTAGCAAGATGTCATATTTGATGGTGTATTTTCATTGCTCTATTCTATTCCACTGATTTATTACTTATTTCTGATCCTGAACTATGCTTGCAATAAGATGTGGTATCTGGCCAGACAGAACATATAATCATTATTTTTAATATTTTTCCAAAAATTGTCTTGGCTACTTTTGTCTCATTCTCATGAAGTTTAGGATCAGTGTGTTCAAGATTTCAATAAATTCTTTCGGGATTTTTATTGGAATTGCATTGCACTAATACATAAATTTGGGAAGAATTAACTTGCTTATAATATGAAGTCTTCCACTGAAGAACTTATTGTATATTTTCATTTATTCAGGGCTTCTTTTATGTATTTCAAATTTTGTAATCTTTTATTTCACAAATAATTTGCACACATCTGCCAGTTGTTTCACCCCTACACATTTTAGTTGATGTAGATATTATGGATGGAGTCTTTTTAGTACTATTTTTTGTAGTTATTTTTGATTGTTGGTTTTGTATACAATGAATTTGCTGAGTGCTCTCATTAGTTCTAATGATTTATAGATTACCTTAGGTTTTCCAAAACACAAAGTCTGCAAATAACTATAATTTTGTGTAAAAATTGTAAAATATTTTTGCCTCTTATTTTTGATTTTCTATCTTATTTAATTGGCTATCCACTAGAGTTTTCAGTTCAACGTGGAGTAACTGAAATTTACAACAAATTTGCTGAAATTTAGATGTCATCTTTATTGTTACGTTTTTTATTAGAACGTTTATCAGTTTGAATATTTTATATGGTGTTTAAAGAAAGTTTTTGATGTACAACCTTCATCAGGTTAAGGGAATTCCTTTCTACTTGTAATCTGATGATAATTTAAAAGATGAATTAGTTATTCATTGTATCAGACATTGTGATGCACCTCTTGAGATAAATTTTTTTACCATCAATCTGTTAAGAGGGAGTTTATATTGATAATTTCTTCTAGTATTAGATTATCCTTGCTTTCCTGCAATAATCCTCATAATATATTAACTTGATAAAAATGTATCCAATTTAAAAATTTCGTTCAATATTTCAGCTACGTATTCAAATACAACATTGCTCTCTAACTGGCTTTTTATGCTCCTGTTTCTCCTTTTGTTGTGAGGTCAATAAAAACTACAGAATATAATTCACATGGCTTGTTTTTTATTTTTATACCCTAGAGAAACTTTTTATAAGATTGGTAGCCATCTCTAAAGATTAGTACATTTCCAGAAACCAAATGATACAATTAAACTTTGTGTCTCTTGCCTTGATTTTGGAGTTGAAAGAGATAACAACTTATTTTTGGTTGTTTGAGGAAAGTGTCTAATGACTCTGGTAGAAGTAATTCCTAGGAATGTAATGGTTTGTGCTGGGCCTTGTACTTTAGCCAGGTTAATTAGATACTCTCTAGTGGTCATTAGATTAACAAAGATTTGAAATTCAGTTTTAGCTCGATCGTCTAATTGACATATCAGCATTACATCATCAATATAATATTTGTAGAAAACATGCTTTTCCACTAAGTCAAATCTAAATTTCTTTTCTTCAAGTTAAGACAGTATAAAGAATTTAAATACAGTATCCCATAGGAGCATGGTAAAAGTCTGTTGGATTTGGTCCCCCACGGATACAAATTGTCTTTCATTTTCTCCTGAAACAGAAATGTAAAATAAATCATTAACCAAACCAATCACAGAATACAAATCTCCCGTAACTTGCTGCAAAACTTGAATTAGTAACCCCATGTTGGGCACGATGCAGCAGGGCTATTATTTTATTAAGGTCTTTATAATTTTTAAATGATCTCCAGGGTATATTAGCTTTTCTGAAAGGCCATGCTGCATTAACAAATAATTTGTAGGAGCTAATATATCTATGTCTAATATACTCTTAATAGAACTTAATTTCTTGATGTCCTTCATGAATTCCACATTGCTTTAAATTAATTTCAGTTATATAAAATTTTCAGTTGTACACGCCTTAAAACAGTTGTACATCCTTAAAACAGGATGGAGCCAGACATGGTGGCTCATGCCTGTAATCCCAGCACTTTGGGAGGCCGGGGCGGGCAGATCACTTGAGGTCAGGAGTTCGAGACCAGCCTGGCCAACATGGTAAAATACCGTCTCTATTAAAAATACAAAAATTAGCCAGGCATGTTGGCAGGTGCCTATAATCCCAGCTACTCAGGAGGGTGAGGCAGGAGAATCCCTTGAAGCTGAGGGGTGGAGGTTGCAGTGAGCCGAGATCGCTCCATTGCACTCCAGCATGGGCAGCACAGCGAGACTACGTCTCAAAACAGACAGACAAACAAAGTAAATAAAATGAAACAGGATAAAGAGTAGGCTTGTATGAAGTTCTTTCCTTAATAGTTTGTATAAAGGGAATCTCTCATTCTCGCATAACATTATCTCAGTAATGTACATTGGTGAGCTCAAGTAGTAACTATAACTTTTCCTAATATTCCTAGTTTGTGACATACTTCACATATAAGCCTCCCACCACTGCATAACCATTTGTCCCTAATTTAGTTATATTACCAGAGCACATTTAGGCTGCGATAATACAGTGTGCCCCAGTGTTCAGTAACCCTAATAAGGGTGTCCTCACTATCCCAGGACATTTTAGCCATATCAATGCCAACAGCCTGATTTTCCTGCTGGAGTTTGGACAAGAAATCATGGTCTTCTTGTTTCTCCACATCATAATCCTCTCCTTTACCTCATATCTTTTAAATCAGCACTATATCCACAGGGGCTGTAGATTTCTCTTTGGGTAAATATTATATTTTTAATATTAATCAAACGTAGAATATTTTGAGAGAATCTGATATGGCCCTTACATAGTTTGAGGGGTTGATGGAGTAATTAGATCATCTATTCAAGTTATAGAGATCCACTAACATTTTAGCAGCTATTCTGATTGCCACCTTTTTCAAACCATTTTTAATGAACCATCTGAATATTTCTACCCAGTTTGTCTAGATGTTTTCTTGATCTCTTTTAATTTCTGTTGTTTTATTTCCCCCTAAATAATACTAATCATTTTCCCTCCTTTCAACCGCATCTCGGGCTGCTGAGTTAGTAGATTCCCTATAGACTACCTTACATCTTACATTATGGTTCTTACAGCACCATGCAATAGAAAAGATTTGAGAGACTCCACAGCGTATACCCACACAAGGCTTTTAATAAAGGTAATGGTACAACAGAGAAAGGAAGCCCAGGTAAGCATAAAGACAGCCAACTACTTCCAGCCTCAGCTCCAGGGTCTTTTCTCTGTTGCACATCTTCAGACGGCTTCATCTTCAAATTGTTAACGAACAAGTTACGTTCATAGATTCTGACGTTTCAATAAAGCAAAGGCAGATATTTTCTAATGAGCTCTTTTGTACTCAGCTGGTCATAAAATCAGGCTAGGTTAAAGCCAAGTGCAAACAATCAGACCTCATATTTTCAGGAAATAATATAGACAAGCAAGTACAGAGGGGTTCCAGGGAAGGTTTGGACTTTATATACAGCACATTTTAAATTACTAGCTAGTCAATGCTTTATCTCTGTCTTAGCCAAGGGTCAGCAGCAGACTTCTAATAGTCTCTGTATATAATCATAGTGCTATCAGATACCAACCACGAGTTCACTGAACCGCATTCTTATACACGTTGTTTACAATTTCAGTTATCTTTTTGTTATTTCATTAAAAAAATCATTATAGTAGAAGAACAGAAAATGGGCTATATGATTAATTTCTAGAAAGACTTTCAGATTGCTTTAAGTTCTAGAGACTATTATACTATCTTAAAAATGTTTTTTGTATGCTTGAGAAGAATGTGGATTCTATCATTGCTAGAGCTGGGTAATATACAGATATATCTGTCTTTTATACCAGTTTTTTAAATTAAGTTTATCAAACCTTTCAAAACTGTTCATTATTTTGTCCATTTCACCTATCAACTAGTAAAATAAGTTTGTTAAGGGATTTTATTATTCTAGATTTGTCCATCTATACATGTAATTCTGTCTTACATATTTAAGGACAGATTATTATGTTCACATAGATTTTGGAGTTTTATGTAATCTTGGTAAATTTAACTGCCTTTCACTATACTCTCATTATTTTTCCCTAAAGCTTGTTTTAAATAGCATTATCAGTATTTTTAAGGTTGTTTCTGATTTGTGCATATTTCACCATGTATGTGTTTTTACATTTGTCTATTTTTTATAGAGTCATATAGCTATAGTTTTAAACGTTAATATTATATTATCTGTCTTTTAGCTGGTGACTTGGATTATTTTACATTTATTGTGATTACTTATTTGTTTGAATAATTTCTCCCATCTTATTTTCTGCTTTCTATTTATCCTGAGCTTTTTATCTGGTTCTTTTAACCTTCTTTTATTGCATTTTTATAAATTGATATTTTTTCCCTTATTGTTTTTGAAGTGATATACTTAGTGTTTATACTTTTTAAAAAATGCAAGCTTAAAAATATAAAGTTAATCAAAATTTCTACCTTTTTCAGATCACTTTAAATCTGACCACACCTCCCCTCATTTTAAACACTGGTATAGGTAGCTACTTCCCAAAAGGAATGTTTGTGCCATTGGCTGGGAAGAATTCTCCTATTCATGGGTGTATGATTCAACTCTATGTCTGTTTAATTTTCAATGACTACTTTATGAGATTCCACCTGTGTAAACTGAATATAAAATTGTCACATTGATGATCTGCTGGTTCTTTGTTATATAGCCAGCTTTTAAAGACAATTCACTGTGCCTTCGTCTGCTGAATGGTATAACGTACACATGCCTCATATCACTGTACTCATGTGCATATTTCACACAAGAATGCACCTTTCTTTCCTCCCCCATCAAATCCTTTACAGTTCCTAAGATAACATGATAATTTTCAAAGCAATAGAAGCTCTCTTCAAAAATTTCCCACTTTTAGACATTGCTGTCTGTGATAGGTAATAATGCATAATAAAAGTAGAAATATGTTCTTTATGTCATGATGTTAACATTATCATAATAGTAGCCATATTGCCTTCAATTCACTGATTTGTTTATTCCCTATAATCTATGGCATTATAATCCATATAGTGATGTTATGGCTATGACATTTTAACACTAAAATGTATTCAACATGAGCCATTTTGGGGAAACAT
The DNA here is from genome assembly GCF_000001405.40 of Homo sapiens. NCBI lineage: Eukaryota > Metazoa > Chordata > Mammalia > Primates > Hominidae > Homo > Homo sapiens. Next base: position 30,571,944 of record NC_000018.10, on the reverse strand, counting down.
GAAAATGAAAACCTATAAGCAGAAACCTATGTTTTTAAGAATCAAATATAAATGAAATATATCTGAAAGTATGGTCTCATCAACCTATAAATATGTTATACTATGAGGTAAAATTAAATGGTTAAAACCCTAGTTTTGAAACTAACACTTTCAAATGACCTTTTCATAAATAATATATTCAGAATTATTTTTATTTTTCAAATATCAGGTTTTTTTGCATTGTTTTGTTTTACTTAATAAAGTGTTTTTCACATAGAATCATTCTTTTTGCAAGAAAAATGATAATTAAAATTTTCATCTGAAAGGATTCCAAAGGCTAAATTATTTTTAAAAACAAATGCATCAATTTATTACTAAAATTTATTTTGCAACCCATTCAGTTTATTTTTGCCTTTGAGAATCACCTAGTTTCTACTCAGTTACTTAAAAATCTGAAAGTTGGCAAACAGCCTCTTTAAGCAGGGCTTTTAAATCAGAACTTCTTTCTCCCCGCCCCAATATTTGTAGGATTTTTCATTTTTCCATTGTTGTAGGGGATGTCAATATGATATTTTTTTCATTGCACTACATCAGCGTCTAATTTCCATATTAATTTCTCATTTGTGTGTGGAGTCTCAACTGTATTATTGAAGAAACCCACTAGTAAGAATTGTCCTAAATCAGCTTGAACATTTGAAATGTAGTCTTACTCAGAAGAGACTCAATTGATTTTCTTATTGCAACTCATTTATTCCTCTATGATTTAAAATCTAATGAGTTATAGAGAAGATGTTTTACTTAAGAAGTCAGACCAATTCCTCAATCAATCCTGACAATATTGAGTAAAATCAAGATAAAGAATACAAATTATTTGCAATATTGTGTACCTCATTAAATGTTTATGGTAAAATCAAGGAAATATAAAACTATGCTTTTCCCTTCAATAAGCTTGCAACTTTGTTGAGAAGATGGAGCCCAAATACATGAAAAGTTAAACAATAGAAAAATTAAAAAAAAAATCAAAAAACTACCACTCAACAGCAGTTAATGTCATTTGATAAGTCAACAAAGGAGTGATATAGATACAAACTGGCATCAGTTATAATGAAGGAAAAACTTAAAAATAAAATTATTTAAAGGAAGATTATACCATAAAACTAAACGTTATGTGCATATCTAGATACTTTAAGAATAATGGCAGGCAGTTTAGTCTAGCTGAAAGATAATGCTAGCCTTGGCTTGGTAACACAATAAAACAAGTTAGTTTGAAAAGTACAAATCATCAATAATTGATGTATAAATATTTCAGTTTTTCAACTTGTGCAACTGAATTAATTTTGTTTTATTAACACTACCTAAAAGCTACTTATTTTAATATGCATCTGGGTGAGAGTATTTGAATCGTAAATATTCTCCTCACATTTTTCTATTCTACTTTAGTTTATGTGTAAATCAATTCACCGGCAAAATAAAGAATAATTTCTTCAGCACTAGGATGTCAATATATAGCTACTAGAGAAGGAGGCTCAAGGCTACTTTATATGAATGCCGTAAAAATATTGCAACATTGAAATCTCCTAAAAAAAGTAAGAAATTAATCCCTTACATAGTTGTGTATGTGCAAACACATTTAAACAAGACGATATTTTTTAAAATATATTTGAACATTATTGAAGTGCTTGAGTTTTATTCCAAAATTTCAGATAATTCAGGCTATTCCTCCTATACAACAATGAATAGAGCTTTTGCTTTGCATTAAAAAACATACAAAAGAAAGACATGTTTTTGGATTCCAAAATCCGCAAAAGCTAAGTAACTTGTCCACAGTTACAGAATTAGTAGATTTAAAAACTCAAGTTGATATGATTACAACTTGTATGCTCTCTTCATTATGCTTTTGTAGCATGTTAGGCTGTCTCGGAAGCAGATTCTGTGATCAAGTTTAGTGTATAGAATGTTTATTAAGAAGTGTCTTTGGGGTCAAGATTTGCGGAAGAAAGAAGAAGGAAACAAGATTGGATAGATGAAAAAGTCAACCTGTATTGCAGACACAACAATAATTTTGGCTGAGATCACGGGGAACTCTAGAGCTAAAAGGTACTGTCATAGTTACCCCTCAGTAGGAAGAAATGGATGGGCCCTTTAACCACATTCATTGGATCTGGGCCACTTGAGAGGGGTGAAATGTGATGGAGGATGTGGTGAATGCAGTAAAAGGGAGAAAGCGCATGGAGAAAGCTGTCTGTGCAACTGATGTGATCTCTGAATTTGTTGACATCTAAAGGGTATCTCTGCCTGCACTTTCTGCATCTGGGGCAAGAAATCCTTCCTTGAAAGAGAACTGGGGTGAAATATATCTGTGTCCACTAAAATCCACTCCTTATACTACCCAGAAGCACTTCTTTATATGTGGTAAGAATCCTCTACTTGTCTTGATGCCTTACCTGGTGGCATGACTTTGATCCTCATCCCTGAGGAATCTGAGCCTCTGGTCCCCTTGCCATTGTAAGGCATTGTCCATTTAACCATCAAAATTAAATATGAAAGTACCAAAAGGTACTCAAGTGGATCATCTAGTTCTACAAATATTCTTTCCTGCTTCCTTTATGTAAAAACAGCCTGATTATTTGGCTTCATTGCCACTGCCAAGATAGTGACAACTCTTCTTTTCTTTTTAGTCCATTCACACAAGAAGCCTGAAGTGCCCAGGTAGCAGCTGTAGCTTATGGTTCAATAGGACTCATACTGTGTCTCCTGGAAATCATTCCCACTTGGGATAGTAGTATCGCTAACCCTGATTATGTATCTCTAAGTCAGAATTATGAGATTGTGAAGCAAACCCCATCACTGGGAATGAAGGTAAGTTCTGCTTCCCCTGCTTTCATCTATTGGTTCCATGACCCATGAATTCTTCCTGTTGGAGACACAGCAGACTTTAAACGTCTTTGATTTAAAGTCTATACTACATTCTATGATGTCATCTTATATTCATGAAGTATCCTCTCTTAGCTGGAGTGTTAACTATTTGTTTAGCCACCGTTCCAATGTTCTGGCAGGCTAGTAGATGCAGACTGGCATAGCGTGTGATATGACAGTGGATGCGATTATCATGGACCCACTCCCATTCTTTTTTTGCTGTAAAATGAGACCATGACTTTACATGATGTTACATGAGATCCCAGATAGGAGGACTAAAACGTCTATAAACTCTTGAATATTGGTGTCCTGCGAAGCTTTGCAGGCAGGAAGGGGAATTTATACCAGAAATTTATGTCTACTCATTTAGAACAAAGCACTGACCTCACCATTACGGAAAGAGGTCAAATACAGGCAATGCGCCTGCCAGTGATTAATTGCTTTTGAGTAATAGTCCTTTATCAGGGCTCGCCATTGGTCTCTGTTGTGGTAGGCTAGACCTTTCGCAGCTGCAGTAGCCTCATGAGCTTTGCCAGTGGGTCCATGCATAATCTCTATCTTTGTTACCATGACCTCTTTGTTCATGTGTCAGTTGTTCTAGCAACAGGGTAGCCAATGACCAGGGCCGGCTAACATCAACTGACTGAGCCATTTTGTCTATGTGGTTGTTTACTGCCTGTTCCACTGCAAATAATTTCTGGTGAGCATTAACAGCAGCACAAAGATCTTCACACTTTGTGTCTATTCCTGTATGCTCCTTCATGAGTCGCCCCAGACCTCCTTGTCTCTGATCTTCTAATTTGTCTTCTTCAAGACTACTGATCAGGCCATTTCCCACTGCCCATAAGTCAGACCACTTCTCTCTCTACATAAAATGGCTAACTGGTGCATCTCCTGAAACTCTGCTATTTGGAAGAACTTTTCTTCTTAACTTTAAAGTCACACGTGTGTGAAGATGTACTGTAACATTGTCTACTTTTTGTTTTAACAAGCCAGTACCAAGCCAATACATAAGTAAAGTATAGACTGTAAACAACCTGTATGTAAACCAAACTTGGGCTTTTTCTTTTTCCATTACTTGAAGGATCATCCATGTGGCCATAGGCTGAGCAGAGGTAGAAGCACAGCTGCATTTCTTTCTTTCTTTCTTTCTTTTTTTTTTTTTTTTTTTTTTAGATGGAGTCTCACTCTGTAGCCCAGGCTGGAGTGCAGTGGCGCAATCTCGGCTCACTGCAAGCTCCATCTCCTGGGTTCAAGTGATTCTCCTTCCTCAGCTTCCTGAGTACCTGGGACTACAGTCACCCACCACCACACCCGGCTAATTTTTGTATTGTTAGTAGAGACAGGGTTTCACCATGTTGGCCAGGTTGGTCTGGAACTCCTGACCTCAGGTGATCCACCCACGTTGGCCTCCCAAAGTACTGGGATTACAGGCATGAGCCACCGCGCCCGGTGTAGTGAAAGTTGTAACGATTCAACTGTAATTCCCACCATTGATGGCGCTCTTACTGCAAGCTGGTTGGGGATTAATGCAGCTCTAAAACTCCATCTTATGACCAGTTTGCTCAGACCACTTCCAACAGTACTTTCACTGGCAGCCATACTCCAACATAGAGGTTAATGGGCAGTACTTATTAAGGAGTGCTTTTGAGAGGGAAACCTATGGAAGGAATGGAAAGAAAGTAGGACGGGGTAGAGAAATAAGTAGAGCTGTAATCCAGGACAGGGATAAGACTCAGCTAATCACATAGAAAGCAGAGAGCTCTTGGGCTAAAACCACCAATCAGAATATCAGTATATCAGGCCCAAATGTCTAGGTCTTAATACCTATTATTTGATGAGTCACTGGATATGGGTTTTTCTGAGAAAGCTGTGACCCTGAGACAGTCGACTTTGTAACTAAGCCAGTCCCTGAAGGGGCTGATAACTATAGGCAGTTTGCTGAATGCACTCTTTGCAGATGGGTCAACAAGACTCAGATGTCTGCTCTGGATAACATATCTCCATGTCAATCACAACCAGATGGTATTGATAATTAACATAGATCTTCAGAATAAGCAAATGGAAATATCATAATCAAAATCACTAAAAAGTATTGTGGTTATATACTATACCAATAAGTCAGTAAGGCAGCATATCTACATTACCAGCTTAATAAAGAAATTTTTCTCTGTTAGATTTAAATACGTCAGTTTTCCTATAAGAAGCTTACAATATAAACATTACTTTCCTAATTATGAAAAATCAAATAATTGCTCTGTATTTCCACCTTAGTCTGTGGTGGGCCCTGTGCTTGATAAATACTCTGTGTAAATCTTGACTAACAATTGTTAACATGGCTTATAATTCTTTTCTGAATTGCCCAGATACTTGTCTTAATCCCCTTATCCCCCTATGAACATGTGGAGATGCAAGCAAAGTAGAACATGGACATTTTACCAGATATTTGAAACCACAATTTATTTGTGAATTAATTTGTATAGGGAATTGAGTCAACAATTTAAGCCTTTGTTGTATTTAGCAGGATTTCAAATAATAGTTTTATTGTCTTTGCTTATTTACTTTTAACTTGAATTATGCAAACAGTAATTTCAATTTTTCCTCCTACCAATTGAAAAAGCACAGGAGACTTTATTATAATTAATCATTTATTAAGTATCTGTTTACTGTGGAAACTGAAGTCTCAGACTCTGAAAGTATGTCATGAAATATAACCACTAATAGTAAAATGAAAATAAAACTACATTTTAAAAAATATTTTAAACATGATGGACACATTTTATTTCCATTAAGATGTTATATTTGTGGTGATAGCATTGACAAAAATTTGCCAAGCTGTATAAGAATTATTCAATTGCCCATTGCACAGAGTCGCTATAAACATAAGATATAGGGTCAATATGATAGGTGGAAAATTATTGTGTTCTTTCTTTGCTTAAGAATGACTAGTTAGGAAATAGAATACTTCCTTAAATAAAAAAATAAAGTTCAAGATCTTTTATTAAAGTTAAAATAAAACAATATACACATACAATATGTACATGTTTTACCTGACATTATTTGCTTTTCATATGGCAATGCTACATCTCCTCAAATGGATGGCTCTAATTGCTCTAATATAAAGGTTTGAAACTTGTCTCAGGAAGACTTCTATTCAAGATGGGGTAACAAGGACCACATTTGCTCCCTTGGCACAAAAAATAATTAAAAATCGGGGCAAATATATATGAAACACTGGCTCTCAAAATATTCAACAACATACAATGAAGGATTGTGATCTCTAAAATATGGAAAACAGATTATATGAGCCCTATGATTGCCTTATTTTACTATTGGAGAAATTTCTCAGGTTATGGAACTGGAGGAAGAATGAAGTCAGAGCCAGGGTATCCCAGAGTTCAGTTTTGGAAAGTCAAGGTGGTTAGAATTTTCAGCAGAGTAAGTAAAAGAAGAGTATCCTACATAGAAAAAAAAAAAAAATCCCTGACGTGTTCAGTTCAGTGTAGATCAACTCATGCATGCGAGCGAAATACCTAAGTCAAAAAAAAAAAAAAAGACTTAAATGAACACTGCCTAGAACTCACAAAGGACAGGGTTATTGCCTGTTGCAAAGAGAGTAGAAAACTAATAATTCATGAGGCATCTTTTAGTGTACTAAGAAGGGTCTACATGTAGCTTTGGTCCCACATAACGAAGCATTTAGGCAAAACCAAGTAATTTACCTTTGTGCTAGATTACAGTTCAATAATATTTTTAGGAATACAGAAAGATACAGCATTTAACATTCAGAATGTTGGGCAGTCAAACAAAAATGACCAGGTATGAAAAGAATAGCCATAATGAGGAGAAATATTAACTTCTCGAAAGCTAAATTCAGAATGATAGATGATAGAATAAATACAACAATATTAAGGTAATTAGGTCCATCTTTCATATGTTTAGGAAGACAGAAGAAATATTTTAACATGTTAAATAGATAAATGAATGATATAAAAAAGACCAAATTGAAAATATAATATTTCAGATGAAAGTACCCAGAATGTAATTAGCAGGGGATTAGACCCTGAGGAAAAATCTTTAGTGAACTCGATGTTATAGCAATGTAGCCTATTTAAAATAAAACAGACGGAGAAAAAGAACAGAGCTTCGGTAAACTATGGGACAAATTCAAGAAGTTTATATATATATATATATATATATATATATATGTATATATATGTATGTGTGTATATATATGTGTGTGTATATACATATATACTCTGTGTGTGTATATATATATGTATATAATTGAAGTGTTTGTATGCAGGCAAAGCAGAAAAATTACTTGAGGAATTAATAACTGACATTTTTCCTCAAAAACTTAATGACAACCATCAGCCCACAGATTCATAAACCCAAGGGCAAAGAACACACCAATGCACATCATGATAAAATTATGTAACACCAAGCATAAAGAGAAAATATTAAAACTCTGAGAGAAACAGACCCACTACAAACGGATAGACAAATAAGAATCATAGTAGATATTTTTGACAACAATAAAAGAAGCTAGAAGACAAATTTGAACAATTTTTAAAGTACTAAAGGTAAAGAATTATCACACTATAATACTTTAGCAAAAATATATTTCCAAAATAAAGACAAAATAAAGAATTATTTAGAAATAAGTGAAATAATTGGTCACTGGTAGACCTGCACTACTGAAGTAGTTAAAGGAAGACCTTCAAGTAAAAGAAAAATGATGACAGATGAAAAGGTGGATCTATAGAAAAGAAGAAAGACAACTAGAAGTTTTAACTACATGGCAAACATGAATTTTTCTTATTTTAAAAAAACTTTTTAAAAGAATAAACTGTTTGAAGCAAAAATAATAGCAATGTATTATGAGGTTTATAATATGGATAGAAGTAAAATGAAGGATAACAGTAACACAAAGTCCAAGAAAGTCCAAGAAAAATGTACTGTTGGTTTTTTTTTGTTATGCATAAAGTAGTATAACGTCATGTGAAAATATATTGTTACATGTTAGAGATGTGTTCTACAAATTCTCAAGAAACTTTTAATGTAACACAAAAAAGCTGTAGCTCATAAAAGAAGTAATGAAACTAAAAGTAAGAAAAGAAAATAAGTATCATAGTAAAAATAAATAAAAGAGAAAAACAATAATGAAAATCAATGAAAACAAAAGTTAGTTTATGAGATAAATAACATTGATAAAACTCTAGACAAACTGATGAAAAAGAACACAAATGATCAATATCATGAAAGAGTGAGTAAAAATCATTAAAGCTTCTCTATATATTCAAAGGATAAATAGATTATAAATAACCATTCAAATAAATTGAAAACTTTGATGAAACAAGTAAACTTCTTGAAAGAAACAAGCTACCAAGCTCACACAGATAAATTAGATAACCTAGATATCTTTATATCTATTAAAGGAATTGAATTTGTAGTTTAAAACCTTTCCATGTAAATACTCCAAGCTCCTATAGCTTCACTAGTGAATTCTGCAAAATATTTATGGAAAGATATTACCAATTCTAAGCAATCTCTCACATAAAGTTTAAGAGGAGAGACTACTTCCTGAATCACTAATACAGCAGTAATTATTCTTATGTCAAAATTAGAAAAATATATTGAAAGAAATCTATAGGCCAATATCCCCCATGAAAATGGAAACAAATATTCTGAATACAATTTTAGCAAAATAAGTTCAACAATATATTAAAAAGATAAAACACCATAAACAAACGGTGTTCATCCCAAGAATGTAGAGTTGGATTAACTTTCAGAAACCAATCAATTTATTTCAACACATGAAGAAACTGAAAAAGAAAAATCATATACTCATACTAATAGATGCATGAAATGCATGGAAAACTTTCAACATCTATTTGCGATAAGGGGGGAAAAATTCTCAGGTGCCTTAAAATAAAAATTTTTCAACCTGATAAAGAAAATATGTGAAAAACCTACCACTCTTATCAAGCTTAATGGTGGAAGACTAAATGTTTTCTCTCCAAGATCAGCATTAAAACAAATGTGTCCAGTCTCACTACTTCTATTCAATATTGTATTCAAGGTTCTAGATCATATATTAAGAAAAAAAATAAAAGTTCATATTAGAAAAGAAGAAACAAAAAGTTTCATTTGCAAATGAAATGATCATCTATGTAGAAAATTCTATAGAGTATACAAAATCTGCTAACTTGACAAGAATACAGAAGAAAAGATCAATATATGAATTAATAAGCTCTATTTTGTAACACTCAGAAGTAAATAGTAAAATATTGCATGTTTATGGGTAAAAGTTAAAATATTATTTAGTTTTCAATCTTCAAAAATTGATAGGTTTTACACAATCCGAATCAAAATCTCAATCAGCTTTCTTTTTTCAGTAGAAATTTAACAGCTGATTTTAAAATTTATATGGAATGTGAAGGACCTACCTAGAACAGTAAAAACAGTTTTGAAAAAGGACAGAAAGCTACAGTAATTTTTAAAATGTGCTATTGACATGAAAATGAGGCAAACAGATCAATCCATTAGAACAGCATGCAGAAATACACACACACACACACACACACACACACACACGGTCAATTGATCTTCAACAAATGAGCAAAGGATTTTCAGTGGATAAAGGATAGGAAGTCATTTCAGCAAACAATGCTGGAATGAATGGAAGTCCCTGTGGAAAAAAATAATGGAATGTTAATCCCTGTCTCACATCATAAATTAAAATTAACTCAAAATATATCAGAGATCTAAATGTAAAACCTAAAACTGCAAAAATTCTGGATAAAAAACATAGAAAATGTTTGTGAGCTTTGTTTAGGCAAATATTTTTTAGATTCACTATCAAAAGCATGAGGAGTCATAAAAGATAGAAAAGAATGCATTGAGCTTCATCAAATTTGAAAAATTCTACTCTCAGAAAGACTCTTAAGATAATGAAAGACAAGCTGCAGGCTTTGAGAAAACATTTGCAAATTACATGTTTGGGAAAATATTTTTAGGGAGACTATATAAGGAAACCTTAGAACTCAATAATAATAAAAAACACAAACAACTCAATAAAAATGAGCAAGATTCAAACAGACATTTTACTTTGGCACAGAAGATACATGGAAGGCATATAAACACATGAAAAGATGGTCATTCAACACTATTACTCATTAAGGGTTTTCAAACTAAAACGTATGTGATTTAACTACTTACCTACTTCAATGTCTCAAATAAGAAAGCCTGACCATCCCAAGTGTTAGTGAGGATGCAATGGAAAGCAGTAAAAGCACCTTGCAAAACAGTTTGACAATTACTTCAGAAATTAAAAACACACCTAACTTACGGCCCAGACAGTCCATGCCTATGAATGTAAGTTCATTAAAAGTCTTACATTCAAATGTTCATAGCAGCTTTATTTGTAATGGCCAAAAACTGGAAACACAAATGTTCAGCAATAGGTCTAGATAAACATTTCTGATATATCCATAGGAAGGCATACTGCTTAGCAACATAAAGCAAAGAATACTTACTTGATATAGACATATCAAGTCTATATGATGGACATATCTTCAAAATAATTATGCCCAGTAAAAGAAACCAGATAAAAGATTGCATGCTCTGATTTCATTTACACAAAATTATAGCAAATGTAAATTAATATTTAGTAACATAAAGCAGATCAGTAATTGCTTGGGGACAAGATGGGTGACTGGGTGGGGTAAGAGAAATGGATGATAAAGGGGCATGAGAAAGTTTGGGGGTGATAGAGATGTGTATTATTTTTATTACAGTGGTGTTCTTTTCATGGGTGCATACATGTGGCAAAATTTATCAAATTTTACCCCTTAAATGTGGAGATTATTACATGTCCATTATGTCTCAGTAATCAGAAACCTGGCCTCAGAATTAACTGTAAGTATGTCTAAACACTAGCTTAACTACTACACAGTCGAGTAACTTTGAGTTCCTTGCTAATATATTCATAAACTTCGGGCGGTATATACCTTATAGGTATATTAGTAGATAAAAATGCAATAAACTTAGTGAAACATTAGTTACAAGGCCAGGCACATATTTAATTTTTTACAGAATAAATATTAATTATAGAATGATAGAGCCAAACAATATGAATCATGTGAAAAGCAATGTATTCTAACCCCTTTTTAACAATTGCCCTCCCAATACAGCACAATGTTCACCAAAGTGTGTTTCACAGAATGGTTCCAAATTATCTATTAAAATTGCCATGTTCTACAAATATTTAAGACCAAATGTTTAAAACTATTATTCCACTAATAGGAGAGGATAAATAGGATTGATTGCATGGTTATATCAGTTCTACCTATATGTTGACCTATACTACTGAAGTTACAGAGACTAAGAAGCAAAAAATGACTTAACTAGATCACATTTGCTTCAAATCTCCACTTCAGTTCATTAATATAGAATAGTCCTAGTGTAGTCTGCTTCATTTTTCCCCCATACATTGCCAGGGTGAACTCATAAAATTAAAATTCTCTTATTCAATGAACTAAATGAATATAGCAACTCATCTAGTAATAAAAAAGTAACTCCACTACAACTTCAATCATTCGTAGGCAGCTTTGGGCTCTGAATTGAATTAGATTACCTCTCAACTTCATTTTACCTGCCCTACTTTCATAGAAGGCTGCTTTCACAGTAAGAATATATCTAAACTATGAAAATTAAGTATATCTCTGTCATTATTTTTCCCTCTTTTTAATTCCCAAGCTCTATATGGAAAATATATCTATAAATCACTACAAATCAAGGAAGATGATATATACATGAAAACCTTATTCAAAGGGAGACAGTTTTATTATTGTTGTTATCATTATTACTATTACTACCACTACAATTACTACTATATTACTCTTTTACAACTATAATACTACCACTTATATTTCAATTGTACTATTTCTGAGAAATGGGGGATTGAGGGAAGAGGAAGAAGAGGAAGAAAAAGAAGACAGTTAAAATGAAAAAAAATATTTAAAAATGATAATTGGCTAACTGTACTCTCCTAATTTTTTAAGTTGAGGGATTTTAGTAGTTGTTTCCAGAAACCAGAATAGCAGTACGAGCACTCTAACAGCCTTCCCTCTTTCTGGAGTTGCCAGATTTAACAACAACAACAAAATATAGGGCACCAAGTTAAATTTTAAATTCAGATAAGTAACAAATTATTTTTTCCTGTAGGTATATCCTTGATATGGTTTGGCTCTGTGACCCCACCAGAATTTCATCTTGACCTGTAATCCCCACATGTCGAGGGTGGGGAGTGATTGGATTATGGGGGCAGTTCCCTCATGCTGTTCTCCTGATAGTGAGTGAATTCTCATGACACCTGTTGGTTTCATAAGTGATAGTTTTTCCTGTACTCTCACACACTCACTATCTCTCTTGCCTGCCACCATGTAAGATGTGCCTGCGTCCCCTTCTGCCATGATTGTAAGTTACCTGAGGCCTCCCCAGCCATGCAGAACTGTGAGTCAGCTAAACCTCTTTCCTTTATAAATTATCCAGTCTCCACTAGCATCCTTACAGCAGTGTGAGAACCAACTAATACAGTCCTACTCAACATTTGAGACTTGTATCAAAATAATTATTTGCTGTTTACCTGAAGTCCACATTAAACTGTCAATTTTCTATTTTATCTGGCAATCTTACCACTTCCTCCTGTATTTCTCACCTTACTTATAGTATGTGGCTCAGTAAAGCATGTAAGAGTAACCTTCAAAAGTCATATGATCAAATAGTTTTACAGGAATGCAAACTCCCTATCAACAGCTAATTATGGAAGCAAAACCTGTATGTGTTGTTTGGCAAGTAGTCAACTAGGAGAGATCAGGAAGGGATGAAAGGATGAGGAGGAAAGAAGCATGAGGAGATTAGCATGGGTGAGTGCAACCTTCTTTTACAGCAGTGGATTTGGTTAAATATGTTTCACTCTTCCAAGGTTATTAAATATAAGTATTTTAGAAAAGAAAATGTACAGATGATTCTGCTTTTCCTACCAAATATAATGCAACTAGGCCTTAACGAGTGAAGATTCCCCCTTTTTTTTGCACTTTAAGAGTAGCTTTCATCCCAAATCTGTACAATGCCTACCCATTCAGCCAATTATTCAAAAAGGTTACATTTGCTACTTCATCTTTAATGAAAAGAATAATAAACCAAATCAGGAACAAGGATTTTAGTATTCTTTTCTACTTTAAACTTGGGCAACAGTCAGCTCCTCTTTGACTCATTTTCTTACCTGGATAATACAAATTAATAAAAACTTGCTTATCTGTCTCATAAAAATCTCGATGAGCAATGATCTCTCAGTGTGTTTGAATGTATAATAAAAACTATTACTCCAGACATTTTACACAGCAAGAAGAACTGTTTAAATCTCTGTCATGGAAATACAAAGAAAGTAACCATTTCACCTGAGCCATGAAATAGTATGTTTGTCAGCAACAAATTTAGTTGGAAAGAGGACTAGGTAGGGAAACCATGTCATTTATTGTTCATACTGGGATATTTGGGGAGTGAAGGGACTGTTATTAATAGCCCCAGGACAGCAGATATAAATGGAGATTGTCCCAAGCAAACTGAGCTTTGTTGTCACTCTAGGTCTAAAGACCAGTCTGGCTTTTTTGTTTGTTTATTTGTTGTTTTCATTGTTGTTATTTGTTTGTTTAAGAGACAGGGTCTTGCTCTGTCTCCCAGGTTGGAATGCAGTGGCACAATCATACTTGCTGCAGCCTTGAACTTCTGGGCTCAAGCAATCTTCCCACCTCAGACAACTGAGTAGCTAGGACTACAGGTGCATCTCATCACACCCAGCTCAATTTTAAATATATTTTATAGTCACAGATTCTTGCTATGTTGCCCAGGCTGGTCTTGAAATTCTGGCCTCAAGTGATCCTCCTGCCTCGGCCTCCCAAAGCACTGGGATTACAGAAGTAAGTCACCATGCCCAGGCAAAGACTAGTCTTGAATATGCATTTACATAATCAGTACAGTATTTTTATGAGACGGCATATTTGTTTCCTGTGACTGGGGAGAGGTGAAGTAACGATTTGCTGGCAAGCATTGATATCCAAAAAAGGAAAGCTGCTCAAAGTTAGATATATTAAACTGATGATAGAAAAGTAGATTTCAAAAACTACTTGAGAAAAGATTTGAAAGATTGTATGTTTAGAGACTCGAAAGGAGAAGGCATATTTTAAAACATCATTTGTATTCATTTGAAAAATCATATTTAGGAGGTAAATAAGTGATGATTACACTATATTCTAGACTTATGCACTAAACATTATAATATCAATATACATATTTTTCAAATGAAATAACAAGGAGAAAACATCCCAAAAATCTTCAAAAATACTATACTCTGGCAATGAGTACACTAAAAAGGACACTATAGTAATGGAAAGGAAGATTATTTTATATCATAAGTTTCTTATTTAATTGATATGAACTGTGAAATAGGTGTTACTTTCCATATTTTATGACACAACTTAGATAAGTAATCAGTTAAACTCACACAACCAGTAAGTGTCAAAACTAGGAATCCATTTAATTCTTCTTAATACAAAATAGGCAATCACTGTTTAAAAAACTCAAATTGTGATCAATATTTGAGTGGATAAATTGTGCAAAATCATACAATGTAATCCTATACAGAATAGAGAATGAATAAAATATTACAATACTCCAAAGTATGGCTGAATCTCTCAAAAGTAATATTGAACAAAAGAAGCCAGACATAGTGCATACTATGTAAATATAAACCATGAATATAAACTATTAATGTAAACTAAAAGCAGCTATCACTAAATTATTAATAATAATTCTTAGGTGCTAAAAGGAAAAAATGAAGAAAAGGAAAAAATAAAGTGATCACCATAAAAATTAGACTAATAATCTAAGAAGGAAGATTTGGGGTTGTAAAGAATATATATATTTTTTCTGAGGTGCTAGAAATGTTCTATTTCTTGATATAGCATTAGCAAATACGAGCATTTTCTTTTTCTTTTTCTTTTTTTTTTCTTTTTGAGACGGAGTCTCGCTCTGTCACCCAGGCTGGAGTGCAGTGGCATGATCTAAATATGAGCATTTCCTTATTAGGCAATTATTAAACTATACTTATGTTTTATACACTTTTCAGTATATATATTATATTACAACTCATAGTTTTAAAGATAGGAAATTATTGATATTTTTATACCAACTAAAAGCTTGGAGGATTTCATTTGTAGACGAATACAATTTATCAGAATTGATCCTAAAGGAAAGAGTAAACCCAAAAGAAACATAACCATTAAAAAAATTGCATATAGGTATTAAAATCTTCCCAAAATCATCTTCTTCTTCTTCTTCTTCTTCCTCTTCCTCTTCCTCTTCCTCTTCCTCTTCCTCTTCCTCTTCCTCTTCTTCTTCTTCTTCTTCTTCTTCTTCTTCTTCTTCTTCTTCTTCTTTTGAGACAGAGTCTCACTCTGTCACCCAGGCTGGAATGCAGTGGCGCGACCTCGGGCCACTCTGCCTCCCGGGTTCAAGCGATTCTCCCGTCTCAGCCTCCGGAATAGCTGGGACTACAGGGGTGCGCCACCACGCCAGCCTAATTTTTGTATATTTAGTAGAGATGGAGTTTCTCCATGTTGGCCAGGCTGGTCTCCAACTCCTGATCTCAGGAGATCCACCCACCTTGGCCTCCTTCCAAGGTGCTGGGATTATAGGCGTGAGCCACCACACCCGGCCTTCCCTAAATGTCTTTATAGGGTAGTTCTAAGTATTTTATAAGCAGATAAGTTAAATTTTATCCAAACTCCTTCAGAGTAGAAAAAAATATAAAACACTCTCAAATACATTTTATAAAAATAATAAAACCTTGACTTCAAAACCAAGTTAAGGACTAATCAGGAAAGGAACGTTACATGTGTATCTCACTCCTGAACTTAAATAATAATATTCTGAACAAAATGTTAACAAGCACAGAAAATTACAAAAAAGATAGCATGTCATTAAAAAGTTGTTTATTCTACAGTTGCAACCTTTGTTTAAGAACACAAAAATACTAAAACAATTATTAGTTATAATAATATTTTTAAAGGAGAAAAAATCGATCATTTCCATAGTTGCAGATATAACATTCTATAAAGTTCAAAATTTCATAGCTGAAAGTGATCAACAAACTAGAAAGAAAAGAGAACTTCTTAACAAAATTTCCAACAAACAAGAAATATAAAGGAATTTCCTAAACAAAAATAAAATGCAGAAACTTTATTTTTAAATAAGGATCAAGATACGGATGCTTGCATTATCAATTCTTTCAAATAGTTTAACTGTTATTGAAGAGCTTACCTATTTTAGTTACACAGGAAAAAAATAGTACCATAAAATTAAGAAAAAAAAAAAATAGAGGGCAGTGTAAAATAAGAAAAGAGAAAAAGAAACTGTCAATGATTATATTGTTTTCCTAGACAGAAAATTCCTCCAAATTTAATAGAATATTATTTGAATTAATAGAATATTTAGCAAGCTTCATAGATACAAAAATGAAGAGTCAAAATACATTGCAATTTAAGTAGAAAAATTAGATAAAATATGTAATTCAAACAAAACATTTACAACACATAAGCCACAAAATAAACATGAAAAAAATAATTTTATTTCTATATATTAACAATAACCATGGACAAATGGAAAATGAAACCATATGACATTGAACTTCACTTTGAAGAAAAGGGAGCATTTCTAACAAACTTAACAAAACATGTGTGGGTTCTATAACCTGAAAATACAAAATACTGGGGAGAGAAATTTAAGAAAACTTAAATAAATGCAGAGATATACTAAGTCCATGGATTAGAAGGCTTAACATGGCAAAGATGTTGATTATCCACAGTTTGATCTATTATAATATTTATTGTAATTTCTATAAAAATTCTAGCCTGATTTTGTATAGATAAACATGCTTATTTTTCCAAAATTTATATGGAAAAGCCCAGGTCCTAGAATCACTAAAATAATCTTGAAACAGAGAGATAAAAGTGGAAGAAATTACTCTATTTCACATTAAATCCTACTATATGCCTACAGAAATCAGGAGAATATGGTATTGATATAGAAATGGAAACACAGATCAATAAAACAAGAAGAAAACTCAATAATAGACCCACGTAAATCTGTCCAACTGATTTTTTACGGAGGTGTGAGAACAAAAAAACAGGAGAAAAATCATCAGTATCTAGACCTAGGCAAAATTGTCTCACTCCTTTCAATGGAGAAAGGAAAGGCTTTTCTATAAATGATGTAGGAACGTTTGTACACTCATAGGCAAAAACAAACAAACAAACAAAAAAAAACTTTACACATAATACAAAATTAACTCAAAACAAATGATAGACTTACATGTAAAATGCAAAACGATAAAACTGTGTTGAATTCATTTGTACATAAACATAATAGATTGCTGTATCTCTGTAGTAGTCAGAGTTCTCCAGAGAAATAGAACCAATAAAGAGAGACAGGTGCGCGCGCACGCGCACACACACACACACACACACACATATGGAGAGAGAGAGAGAGAGAGAGGCAGGGGAGGGAGAGAGTGTGTGAGAGAGAGAAAGAAAGAGAGACGTTAAGGAATTAGCTCATGTGATTGTAGAGCTAAAGTCTAAGATCTGCAGAGTAGGTGGGGAGGCTGGAGACCCAGGGAAGAATTGATGTTGCAGCTCAAGTCCCAAGGCAGTCAGTTGGCTGGCGGAATTCCCTCTTATTCAGTAGGAGTCAGTCGTTTTCTTTTCATTTCTTTTTCTTTTTCTTTTTTTTCTTTTTTTTTGTGATGGAGTCTTGCTCTGTAGCCAGGCTGGAGTGCAGTGACACGATCTCGGCTCGCTGCAAACTCTGCTTCCCGGGTTCAAGTGATTCTCCTGCCTCAGCCTCCCGAGTAGCTGGGACGACAGGCACTCGCCACCATGGCCAGCTAATTTTTGTGTTTTTAGTAGAGATGGGGTTTCACCATGTTGGCCACGATGGTCTCGATCTCTTGACCTCATGATCCACCCGCCTCGGCCTCCCAAAGTGCTGGGATTACAGGTGTGAGCCACCGTGCCTGGCCAGAAGTCAGTCATTTTCTTAAAGCCTTCAACTAATTGGATAAGGCCCACCCACATTATGGAAGGTAATCTGCTTTATTCAAAGTCTACTGATTTAAATGTTAACCTGATCTAAAAAATAAGTTCACAGCAACATACAGACATGTTTGACCAAACATCAGGGTGCTTTGGCCTCGTAAGTTGACGGATAAAATTAACCACCACACTACCTACCCAAATTTTAGATATCAAATCTAATAATGACACACACCAAGAAAGTGTGAAAAGTTTTAAACTCATAAAATGGGGCTTTGCATTTAGAGCAGGTCTGAAAATGGCTTGAGATAGCAGGAAGGGGAAACTGGCTTGAGTTTTATTACCGTTGGGAGGTGGGTCTGGGGTGGGGTCACATGTACTGACCAGGCCAGGAATCACGTGGGTTGAACTTCCTGCCAGTACCAAGAGACTGGTCTTTTTAAAGTTTGCTTAGATGTCGGGCAAAGGGGAAAGTGAAGTGGTGGGACTTATAACATTGTCAGCAGTAAACATAAAAATAATGTAGTCAGTCTCTTTATTACAAACTTATAGGATAAAAATAAAACAGTTTAATCAGTTCAGTTTAGAATTCAGCAACATATAATGCAGACCTATAACCTGAGTAATTATGGTGATGTAGATTATCACTTTAATTCTCTATTGTAAATACTTAGCATCTTGGTAGGGGAGTGGAAGGAAAAATTGTGTAAACATGGCTGTGCTTTAAAAAAAAGAAAAAGAAAAATGTACCTGCTTCTGTCTGATATGACTTCTGTCCAAACTTGACACAGTTCCTGTTTAATCAGTTTAGTTTAGAATTCAGCAACATATAATGCAGACTTATAATCTGAGTAATTATTGTGATACAGATTATCATTTTAATTCTCTATTGTAAATACTTAGCATCTTGTGGATCCCTGGTTTTAAAGTATATCAATTGATATTAATTTAAATAAAAGTCTTTACAAATCTGTATACATTTTCCCACAAACCATATGAAATTTTTGAAGTTTTCCATTAAATAGTACATTAATTTATATTGACTTTTTATTAAAAACCTCTGCTATTATTTTGAGTGCATTTTTATGCTATGACTTACTTTCTTCTTTCTTCCTTTATAAAAGTTTCCGATATAATTTCAGTTACTGATCATTCTTAAATGAATTAAGGTATGAAATCTGCTGAGAAGCCCTTCATTGAATTTTCTCTTCATCCTTGAGTACATTCCATCGTTGGCTGCTTACGGGCAAGTCATATTGGAATTCCAAATCACCAGAGGCGGCCCTAAAATGGTGAACGAACAACAAAACTAGCATTCCTGATTTTCATCAACATCATGCAGCTGCATAGATAAACAAATCATATGGGGTAAATTTTTCTATTCCATCTAATTGGACTATACTGTTATAGACAAGCCTTACTATGCAAAAATAGTTATTGCTCTCTTATATCTTCGTTTGCATTATCATCATCATCATCTCTTATTCAGATGAGCTGATTAGAAAAACACTAATGAGTTATAGGATTTGATATTATGCAAATGCATTTTTTCCCTAGCTGATGAGTTTATTCTCATCTTTTGCTTAAGAATACTAACTCGTAACAAGGGTGAATCAAACCTATGCATATGTAATGATGTAGAAATAGCTCCATTCTATGTATATGTGCGTGTCTTCAAGTCCCTTGTCTATTTTTTCTATCCAATCTCATATCAGTAAAATTTGTAACAAGCTTTTTCTAATCTTAAGTGAAAAAATATAAAAATAAAAGATGTATACTACCTTATTGAAAATGCTTGACATTGTTTAAATTTTTTATAGCGATACTTGAAATAGAGCTTGGAGAAATTACTTATGAAACATATTTATGCCAAAGTCATCATCAAATTCTACAGACACTTTTCTTTGGCATATTAAAGTATTATTAGGACATCAGTATAAACAGACTGCAATGTATCTTATATCTTAATGTATTAAGAAAAGTAAAAAACTCTTTGACTCCAAAGACCTACTTATTAAAAGCATCAGTATTGAATATACTGCATGCAGATAAAATTTACATCAAAGCACTTTACAACTGAGATGGTAGAGAGTCTGAGGGAAGTTATAAGGAGGTGAGTTATCTTAAATAATAATCATTTCAAAGTAATAACCTGTGTAAAAATGATGGCTCAGTGCTTCTGCATTTAGTATTCAGCAAGTAGTTATCCTGTCAGAATTGGCAATGCCTAATGATAAATGTTCAAAAGACCCTACTGGAATATTGACAAACCCTCAACTTGTATGTATTATGGAGATAAGAAGGCTAAATTTATATTTGCGTTAAGCCATAGCCCAGCCCCATACTTCACAAAACAGAAAAGCTTTGTTAATAATTTTTCAGGATGATGAGCATAATGTGTGTGAATAAGGATACACAACAGACACACACACCCATGCACCCACATGCACACATGTGTTGCTCCATCCTTTTTATCACAAAACTTATGGCATTGTAATGATCCGGGGTTATTTGGAGAAATAGAAGAAGTAGGATCTATCTGTCTATCTCTCTCTCTGTATCACTATCACCTATCTATTTGTCTATAATCTATCTATATATATATATTATGATAAATAGGCTTACAAGACTGAAATGGCAAGTCTGAGTTCTATAGAGCAGGCAGTCTGGAAGGACAGGTTAGAACTCTTGGGTACGGGAGATCAAAAGTTGCTACCTGCAGGCAGAATTTCTTCGTTTGAGAGGAAGCCTGAGCTTTGTCCTTACAGTCTGTCAACTGATTGAATCAGGCCCACTCAGATTATCTAGGAAAATCTCTCTTACTTAAAGTCAACTGATTATGGACTTTAATCATATCTACAAAATCTCTAGATTAGTATTTGATTGAATAGCTGGATATTGAAACATAAAACTGACCATAATTAACATAGTTTAATGATATGGGTGTGTCTTGCTGTCTTTGACATTTTAATGCATTCAAATATTTGAAGTATCCTCTTATAAGTGAAGTCCTTATGTTGGTATGAAATGCTAAATGTGTGAGTATGCTAGACATTTAAAAATGTATTAGGGTGACCAATGACCAGTGCATCCTCTGCATCAAAAACATTACAATGAAAACCACTGAACTTGCTCAGATAATGTTTCAGTGGTACAATGAGAATTTCTAATTTTATTTATAATATTACATGCATACTTTCTTCATAAACTAGTGAGTTAATTCATAGAGTGATGTGTCTTTTTATACTCTTTCTTCTGGCTTGTCCATGTCACCAGCATGCTTGGTATGGTGCTCTACTCCTGATTTGTTCAAAGTGTTAAACATAATAATTAACTAGCAAATTAATGAATTGAAAGATAGGGCCACCAGTATATTTCACATATGAAAACCTGTTTTCTTTTTTCCTCTAAGCATAGACAAAATCAGATAAGGGATAACTCCCTTTGAAATATATATTCTACTCTTTATAACATATTTGTCTTAATATAGAGTCAGAGTATTATGCATTCTTACAGAGTTACACATAGGCCTCTGTTTATTCATGCCTTCATTTATTCTATAAACATTCATTAGACAATACAAAATTGAAGACTTCAACAATAGAATAAAGTATTAAGGACACGGTTAGATATAGAAGGCAATGTAGGTAAAAGTGGATCTATTGCCTGTGAGACAGGAGGTAGAATGAGGAAAAAAACAATGTATCATAGAGTGGAATACGGAGACAGAAATGTTTTGCTTTGACTTTCAGACTTGCCATTAGTAACTGTATTTCGGCAAGTTATATAACATGTTGTCCTGCTATTTCTATATATATAAATGGGATTAATAATACCTTATAATCATGTATTTGATAAATATTTAATAGAACAAACAATAAGAGCCAGGCACTGCACTATTCATTGGATATACAATAGTAAACAATATGAATACACTCGCTTTTCCCATTGAGTCTATATTCTACCCCACAGGGTTGTTACCTAAGCAGACAGTATGTGTAAAGTGCTTAGTAGCATGCCTGACATATGTAAAATGATCAATGAATGGTAATTATTATTATTGTTGTTGTTGTTCTTAGTAGCAGTGGTATAATCTATACAGAAATTACCAAATGACATAGCTAGAAGCCTGTGGTCAGAGTGGAATACAGAAAATAGTCATGAGGGACTAAAATATTATACAGGTGAGTATCATTAGATTAAAGCAGTTCAAAGATGGTGAGACTAAATTATTATAAATGTTATATATTGGATATTAATTTATCAATAATAATAGACACTTGGGTGCGTGAGAAGATTTTGAGAAAATACCTAATTAAAGGTATTGGTAGATATATTTGAGAGGTAAATATTAGAGACATTTCAGTCACAGAATCAAAAACAAATCCATATGTTCATTGAACAAGTATTTGCTAAGGAGGCACTATGTCTTTAGGAGCACCTAAAGATTTCCCTGAGGAAGGCTGGGCACGTTGGCTCATGCCTGTAATCCCAGCACTTTGGGAGGCATAGAAAAATAAATAATCAACAGAGTAAACAGCCTACAGAATGAGAGAAAATATTTGCAAATTGTGCGTATGACAAAGGACATATCCAGAGTCTACAATATACTCAAACAACTCAACAACAACAACAACCAAATGTTATTAAAAAGTGGGCAAAGAACATGAACAGTCATTTATCAAAAGAAGATATACAAATGGGACAACACACACTGGGGCCTGCCAGGAAGTTGGGTGGGGAAGGGAGAGCATTAGGAAAAATAGCTAATGCATGCTGGGCTTAATACCTAGGTGATGGATTGATAGGTGCAGCAAATCAACATGACACACATTTACCTATGTTAACAAACCTGCACACCCTGGAACCTGCACGTGTACCCTGGAACTTAAAATAAAAATATTTTTTTTAAAAAAAGAAGACAAACAAATGGCCAAAAAGCATATAAAAATGCTCAAAATCATGAATCATAAGAGAAATACAAATTAAATCATAGTGAGACACCATCTTATGCAGTTAGAATAACCATTATCAAAAAGTCACAAAAAAGATGTTGGCAAAAATGCAGAGAAAAGAAAATAGTTATACATTGTTAGTGGGAATATAAATTTGTACAACCTCTATAGAAAACAATATGGAAATTTCTTAAAGAACTAAAAATAGAACTACAGTTCGATCCAGCAAGCCCACAATTGTATATCTACCCAATGGAAAATAAATCATACCATAAAGATCCCTGCTTTTGTGCAGTACTGTTTGCAATAGCAAAGATATAGAATCATCAATGGCAGATAGGATAAATAAAATGTGGTATATATAATCTATATACATACAACTCATTTTATATATACATACACACACCTTGGAATACTACTGAGCCATAAAAAAGAATGAGATAATACCTTTTGCAGCAACATGAATGGAACTGGAGGCCATTACCTTAAGTGAAATACCACGGAGACATAAAGTCAAATACCACATGTTCTCACTTTTAAGTGGGAGCTAAGTAATGTGTACACGTGGTGGTAGAGAGTGGAATGATAGACATTGGAAACTCAGAAGGCTGAGAAGGTGGCAGAGTGGGCAAGGCGTATGGGATGACAAATATTTAATGAGTACAATGTATATAATTTGGGAGATGGTTACGCTAAGAGGCCAGACTTCACCCAGTCACACTACATACATGTTACAAAACTGTACTCATACCCCCAAATCTATAAAAATAAGCTTATTTTAAAAAAGACTCAGTTTTCACATCACAAAAATTGGGATAGCAATTATATTTATTTCTTGGAGTTGTGAAAATTAGATAAAATCACCTATCTGACATTTTTTGAGGGTAGTAGACCCTCAATAAATGCCAGTTACCACCGCTACTGCTACTATTGCTTCTGTAACTTCCTTATTAAGCAGATACTGTGGAAAGAAACACCAACTTAAACACATCTTCTCCAAGTCCTAAGAACTTTGCTAGTAGACTCTAACTGGCAATATTGGGATTTAAGGAAGCTAATAAATAGTATCCCTGACAAAGGAATCAGGAAGAAGAGATGGTGGACTAAAGATGAACTTAATTAGTAACATGGCTACTGGAGAATATGGTTTAGGTGTAAGGCAAAAATAAGTATCCTAATCTTGTAATCTATAGTTAAGCAGGCTTATCAATTCATTTAGGTAGTGTTGAACAAGTGCAGGGGCCTTCCCCCAGGGGACAGCTTCCTTTTACCGCATGGCAAAGAACAGAACAAAACACACACTCTCTGTAGATAAGCAAATTCTGAAAAGAAATACTGAGAAAAGCAGTGAACTATAAATACCCAGATGTTGCTTCTAAAATTGCCAGTCGGATAATCTTTTCTCCTTGAGGAAAAGAGAGAGAAGGGCAAAGAGAAGACAGAACTGTTGTACTAATAGATATCCCTCTGAATGGAAAAAATGAAAGAAGGGATTCCCTCAACAACCACAACAACAATTGCCCTCCATCTCTCTCTTTCTAGTTGTATTTTTATTTTTGTTTGTAATTCCAGCTTGTGTCTCTCTTTGATCCAAAAAGGTAATTTCAGACTTGAAGAGTGTGCCTATGCAATCACTGCTAAACTGTGCATCCATGACAGTATCCTCAAAAGCTAAGGTATCACTGTGTCTTTTATATTTTGTATCCTGCTTGAATTTAGGGGAATATTTGTAATGAGTGTCATGACCTCCTTGAGATCTTGGTTCTACTTCATTCTTCACTATTATCTGTAGCCAAGCTGGTTGTTGTTGTTTTACTATTATTTCGAACGTCAGCCTATATATCATAGACCTATGGGCAAATACGTGTGCCACTATGTCACAGACAATGCAGTCTTTGTCACTTTACACAAAGAGGGTAATATTCTCGCATTAAAGAATGAATTCACTGATGATTGGAAACATAATAAGATTGTTTTAAATTTCCATTGAATGAAGAAATGAAATATAAATGTGTCATTGTGTTATTTGAGTACTACCAGTAAAAATCATTTTCAGCATATATCACTAAATTTTCCTTTATTTTGCTTAGTTGTTCTAGTCCAACAGTTCTTGATGATTTTATACATTAGATGTGCTTACAGTGCTTTAGAAAAAAATTTATATTTTAACCTGATTCTAGTTATAATGCAGGGCATTTAGAGTAGAATGAAGGTTCATATGCTTTGAAAATCTCCCCTAGGTGATTCTGATATAATCTCTTTATTAAGGACTTTGCTCATAGAAGATGAGCTGATCTCAGCCTAAGCAATGATATTTAGCATTCCAAAATGCACTGGATAGTTCTTAAATTATGAAATGCTCACTTTTTTTCACATTGGTTTTCTTCTGTCTAGAAAGCTTTAATATGCTAATTAACTCATACTCATTTTTCATAAAATCAAATTTTTTTCTTATCTTACTTCTGATTCCTATCAGCAAGCAGAGTCAAGCACTTATCATAATGGAAAGATCAGGAGCTTATTAACCACAGAAATTTAAAGTCACGTTTTATTCCCCAAATCTCCCTGAAAGGACTATCACAGTTTTGTATAGGTATAAATCCACAGTAGCAAAGAAAATGTGAGAAGAGTGAACAACAGGGAGAAAATAAAATTTTGAATGCTGGAATGCAGATTGAGGAGTGATGACAAACTTAGAAGACTGGAGAAAGCTGAAATCTAGGGGTTTTCAAGGAAGGTAGGAGCAGGAGACTCAGAGCATCCCTATGGCTCAGGGAATCAGAAGCAGTGAGGACCTTTGCATTTGACTGGAGGTGAGCAGGAGGCAGGGAATGAGATCACTGGCTGAGAATCTGTATCAATAAACCATTAGGCACCTAGAACGTCTTTCCAACTCTCATCGGCCAAGTGACTCCAGGGGATGCTAGCCACTGCAGTGAAACCAGATGGATTAAATGAAAATCCACATACTGAAAAATGAAACAGCCCACAGACTGAGATCACTGATAGCCACCCAGAAGAGTCTGGATGATTCTTCACTGCAAACTCTGATGGATATTGAAAAAGTGACAGGACTAGATGTTGAGGATCCTCCTAAAGATCCAGGTCACTGCTTCAAAATACAGCTGAAGTCCATTGAAGGCAGGTTATGGAATTCTTTCTATATGCGCAGCACCACTGTGGTTGCTGGGAATACAGCATTAACTTTCTGTATGTCTGTCTCTTGTCTCTGTATCTGTTTCAATCTCTCTCTGTGTGTGTATATATATATACAAACACACAGATCCATATATGTGTATACACACACACACACACACACACACATACATATATGGATGACGTAAACAGATTATAGATAGGCAGATACAGATGTGTTTGTGTGTGTGTGTGTGTGTGTGTTGGCTGGGTGTGGCTGTTCATGCCTGTAATCTCAGCACTTTGGAAGGCCGAGGCAGGAGGTGAGTTTTAAGCCAGGAGTTTGAGACCAGCCTGGGTGACAAAGAGAGATAGATTTTTTTTAATCGTGTTTAAACATTGATTTCTCTGTATGGTGTAGGATAAGGGTCAAATTTTATTGTTTGTGCATGGAAACCCAATGTACCCAGCACCATTGATTAAAGAGACTATCCTTTCCCAGTTGCATCTTCTTGGTGCTTTTGTCAAAATTTGGTTGGCTGTATATGTTTGGATTTATTTCTGGGCTCTCTATTCTGTTCCACTGGTCTATATCTCTGTTTTTATGCCAGTATCACATACTTTTAATTACTATAGCTTTGTAATATAATTGTAAATCAGAAAATGTATTGCCTACATTTTTTTCTCTTGGAATTGTTTTGGGCATTTGGCCTTTTTACATTTCTTTATGAATTTTGGGATCGATTTTTCTATTTCTATGAAGAATGACATTAGGATTCTGATACAGATTGCATGGAATCTCTATATTGCTTTGTGTAGGATAAACATTTTAACAATATTAATTCCTCTGATCCATGAGCATGGGTTAACTTTCCATTTATTTTTGGCTCTTTCAGTTTTTTTAAATCAATATTTTGTAATTTTCAGTGTATACATCTTTCATCGCCTTAGTTAAATTTATTTCTAGTTATTTTTTGATGTAGTAAACGGGATTGCTTTTTATATTTCTTTTTCTATTATATTAGTATATAAAATGCTATTGATTTTTATATGTTGATTTTATATCTTACAACTTTATTGAATTCATTTTTAGTTCCAACAGGATTTTTTTGTGGAATCTTTGGGACAAGTTTACATTTAGGATCATGTAAACCGTAATTATCTGCAAACAGAGATAATTTTACTTCTTTGTTGCTGATTTGGATGCTTCTAATTTGTATGGTAATAACTACTACCAAGAAAGAAAAAGTCAGAGTAGAATATAGATAATTCTCTGTGTAGGGGGGAGTTGATCTGCAAAGAATGGTAGGATTGCAATTTTAAATAGGCTTGTCAGAGAAGGAAGCACCCACCCTGAGAAGAGGACATACGAATAATGTTCTGAAGGAGGCAAGGGAGCCAGGTATGGAGATAATTGGTATAAAAACAATCCAGGCAGAGGGAACAGGTACAAACTGCTGAGGCAGCAACAAGCTTGGTATGTTCAAGGAACTGGTATGGCTTTCTCAGAGTGAAAAATGTGCAGAGCAATAGGAGAAACATTTAGGGTTATCCGTTTCCAGACCATGCAAGGTCTTGTAGGTCATGGTGATGACTTTGACTTTTAGTGCAACAGAAACCAATGAAGATTTTGAGAAGAAGGCACCATGACCTGACTTACATTATTAGCGATAATTGTGGCAGCTTTGTTGAGGATAGATTCAGGGGTAACGGTAAAAGCAGGGAGGCTTTTGCAATAATCCAGAGGGAAATAATAGCAGCTTGGGTGATGCTTGGATGTTGAAGGAATCAGTGTAGGTGGTTACATGTCTACTTGTCAATGAGTCCTACATTTGATAAAAAGCATTTAATCAAAATCAAAATGTTCATGGCAAATAAATTGTAAAATGAGATTTTATACCTAGGCAAATTAAAGCTGTGAGTATTTAGGGACATTTTCAGTACTATCAGTTAGAATTCTTAGTAACCAACAACAAAATCCTCTTGAGTTACTCTAAGCAGACAGATATATGTATCATTCTCTTATGTATCTCTCTGAATCTCTATGTGGATTAGAAAGCTGAGTTCAGAGAACACACAATGGCCACATGCTCACATGGAGAACCTTACTGTAGTGAAAACTCCACTGCTACCCTACATGGTACTAACATCCCATATAATAAAAAATCACAGATTGGAATTATGGTTCACAGAACAAGAGGCCAGGAGTTCCAACACTAGAGCCTCTAAAGACCTTGATACCGCCACTGTTGTGCTTGTCAAAACTATGAATACGTGTATTCTTCCTTCAAATAACAATCCTACTTATACATGTAGGATATTGGTGAAGCCAGGGTCATATGCCTGAACAGTAGCAGCAAGGGAGGCTGGAAAAATGAGTTATGCCTTTCTGGGGATGTGCAAGTCAAATATGCAAAACCACAAACTTAGGATGTGATATCCAAACACGTTGAATGCAAACACAGATTACAGACATGACCGGTTCTCTTAACATCCCACCTTTTGCTATTCAACATCAAAATACAGCCTTTACTAAACATACATTTAAACATATATTTCCCTGAACAGGCTGGGCGCGGTGGCTCACACCTGTAATCCCAGCACTTTGGGAGGCTGAGGTGGGTAGATCACCAGGTCAGGAGATGGAGACCAGCCTGGCTAACATGGTGAAACCCCGTCTCTACTAAAAATACAAAAAATTAGCCGATCAAGAGATGGAGACCAGCCTGGCTAATACGGTGAAACCCCGTCTCTACTAAAAATACAAAAAATTAGCCGGGCGTGGTGGCACGTGCCTATAATCCCAGCTACTCAGGAGGCTGAGGCAGGAATATCACTTGAACCCGGGAGGCAGAGGTTGCAGTGAGCCGAGATCGTGCCACTGCACTCCAGCCTGGGCGACAGAGCAAGACTCTGTCTCAAAAAAAAAAAAAAAAAAAAGAAAAGAAAAAAAGAAAGAAAGAAAGTAAACATATATTTCTTTAAACTATACAGTTGACCTGTGCCTTTTAAAATTATACAATTCTCTCTTATTCAGTAAAAGAAAGCACTCCCTCTCCCTGAAAGGGAGACAAACTAAGACTTGTCAATTACTTCATCTAGGTTTAAGTTCGGTTCTTTGGATGACCCCTGGGTTTTGATAGTATATAAACTATTGATTAATAATGAAATCAGCCTAATGCCAAATTTGAAAATTAGCCACTACCTATACGTTTTATTCTTGTATTACCAGTCATCCAAACCACTGTTACTTCCTACTTACTGCATTCTAAGAATATGTTGTTATTGTTATAGTAGACCAGAGGTTGGCAAACCTATTCCCTAAAGCACCAGAAATAAATATCTTAGTTTATGTAGGCCACGTTTAGTTTCTGTCACATATTTGTGTGTGTATATGTGTGTGTGTGTGTGTTTGTGTGTGTGTGTGCATTTACTACCCTTTACAATGTACTAACTACTTTAAGCTCACAGGTCTTACAAAAACAGGCTGCAGGCTGAATTTGGTTAATGGGGTATGATTTGTCAATTTCTTTAGTAGCTCAATTTTATTTACTTTAAAATTCTGCGATGATCAAGGCTCTATAGGACTAAATTATAACATAGATACATATAATTGATTCAGCTTTGAAGCATAAGAATAAAAAATGCAATGCTATCTCTGTTGACTGTATGCAGTTTCTTCTGCTTTTTAACTTATGGCAGTAGAAAAAGAATATTGCAGAGACAAAGGACTTTGCTGATTTCTTTTAGCAAAAAGACAAAGAAAAAATAGATTTACAATTGACTTAATGTTTGTGTCCCCCCAAAATTTACATGATCAAATCCTAACCCCCAATGTGATGTTATCAGGAAGTGGGGCCATGAGAGTAGAGCCTTCACGAATAAAACTAGTGCTTTTATTAAAAAAAAACAAACCCAAATATGTCTCTTACCCTCTTTCTGCCATTTTATGATACAAGGAGAAATCAGTAGTCTACAATCCAGAAAAATGGTCCTCACCAGAACCCAACTATGTTGGCATGCTGATCTTGGACTTCCAGCCTCCAGAACTGTGAGATATACATTTCTGTTGTTTAATCTATCAAGTCTATTACTTTGTGTAGCAGCTCACACTAACTAAGAAGAGGCACTATTACAGCTAGCCTTTGAATGCATTCACAATAATCAGCTATCATCCTCCAGGATGTCTTCAGCACGGGCCTAGCAGGTAAAGTAAGTGGGGAAAATGATAGGAATCATCCCCTTAGTATCTCCCAAGTCTTTGATGTTGGCATTATGCTCTGCAATCCCCCAAGTATACAGTATTACTTTTGATTTATTACAGTTGTGCCTTGCATAAAAATGGGATATATTCTGAGAAATGTGTTGTTAGGTAATTTCATCATTGTGTGAACATCAATCAGGTCACTTACGCAAACCGACATGGTACAGGTTACTACATACCTAAGCTATGTGGTGTAGCTTTTTGCTCCTTGACTACAAACCTGTACAGTATGTTTCTATACTGAATACTATAGGCAATTGTAACGTAATAGCATATATAAATATATCTAAACATAGAAAAGGTACAGTAAAATTATGGTATTATAATATTATGGGACCAGCATCCTATATGTGGTCCATCATTGACCTAGATGTTGTTATGCAGTGCATGACTGTATTTTGGAAGGAAAGAAAAATTCTAGGGATTCCCAACTTGTATTTCCTATCACATGTTGTCTAAGTCCATTAGTGAAGAAATCTATGTGGGTAGGATTCTTAGTAACTTTTCAGTATATCCATTTATCCTCCAACACCAGTAAAATCGCACTGTGGTCTGCTGTGATGTTGTGGATCTCCAAGAATTAGCACTAGCTAAGAATCAGTGCCCAATCATCCTTAAAGAGTATGGGCATTTTTCTTTACCCAGTACACAGCATCCTGGAAAATAGCTATAAGAGAAGGCTAGGAAGGAAGTTCACATACATTTTTATGATATTGTCAGAGCTTCTTTGCTCCAGTCTGCCCACATTACTTCGAAGGACTTGGATTCTGTGATCTGATACAAATATGGGAGTTAGGTATTAGGCCATGTCTCTTTTGGTGGCTCCAATCAGGTCTCTTATTGGCACATGTAACAAAAAGGTTTATTCCATCTACCAAATAGGAACTTTCTGGGTAGCCGTAAAATTTATTGATAATAACACTGTAATCAATAAGTAATCACCAAAGATTTATCTAGTTCCAACCATTCTGGACCAAAGTAGAGTAAGTATATCTTCATCTTTTAAGTTAGAGCTACTTCTTGATTGCTTCCAGCATTGCCACTGAAAATAAATATTCATTTAGTTAACAGTATCTCCCACTGCCCAGCGGCCAATGGAAATTAGCCATTATAGCACTTTCAAATATTCTATTTCTACCTCTATCAGTACATGTATTTCTGAAAGTCATGATGAAGACACTTTCTCATATACCTCCCCATAAAACATAGACAGGAAGGGTGTGCAGGCAGCTTCATTTATTACATGTATCTACTGCCCTAACATTTTGGATTCCTCCTCTACATTATAGCAAAAAGTACCTAGTATCTCAATCTTATTTAGAATCAGCCACCAATGAGTCTAGGTGTTTTAGTCACTGAATTAATTAAGCAGAATACTTGTAGGAAGATTTAAAGCAACACATAATAAGCTTCTAAAGTATTCAAAGTAAAGTATTCAAAGTAAAATTAAATAAAGAAATATACTATCAACTGCTTGATACAGCCCATTATATCTGGAATCTTTGTGAAGTGCACCCCTACTAAGATATTCAGCCCTATCTGAAATTATTTTTCCCTCCCTGATTTAGCATCATAAAAATACATTTCCACACCTACTTTCCAGGTGTATGCTGATACAATTTAGCAAGATCTTGTAATACTTTTGATTTATAATTCTCTCTTGTAGTTCTAAATTGGCAATCGATTGCCTAACACATACTGGGATATGGCTACATTGCAGGTTGGAAGCCAGCGAGGACATTGAAGGGAGTGACAATGAGGTGAAATTATTGCACTCTACAAGGTAACTGTCTCTTGTAAATACATTATACAAATGACCTCTTCAGGATGAAGAGAAGGTTACTGTTCTCATGGGATGGAGGTATCAATGGGATTGACACTTAGTGTCCTCGTATTCTACAACTGGCTGAAAGTAACATTGCAATAGTCAGAATTATGTTAACATAGCATAACCAAACTATGAAATATATATTCTACAAGAAAGAGGGGAAGATGTAAGAAAAATAACTCCCCATTTTCTCTGGTTAGAATGTAATGATAATATCCATATCTCAAATGTAAAAAACATATAATATAGTAAGATTATAAGCATGCTTTTTAGAAACAAGAAGAAAAATACAAGAGGAAACAAGTAAATGAGTTGGAATTGGTAGTCTTTGGGGAAGAGGAATCCAAGGTGAGACAGATGACTATTGTTTTTTGTTGTAAGTATTTTAATCCTATTTGGCTTTTAAAATCAAACATGAGGCTGGGTGCAGTGGCTCACGCCTGTAATCCCATCAATTTGGGAGGCCGAGGCAGGTGGATCACGAGGTCAAGAGAATGAGACCATCCTGGCCAACATGGTGAAACTCCGCCTGTACTAAAAATACAAAAATTTAGCTTGGCATGGTGGCACGTGCCTGTAGTCCCAGCTACTCAAGAGACTGAGGCAGGAGAATCACTTGAACCCCAAAAGTGGAGGTTGCAGTGAGCCAAGATTGTGCCACTGCACTCCAGCCTGACGACACAGTGAAAGTCGGTCTCAAAAAAAAAAAAAAAATCAAACACACATGTTACATCAATGTAAGCCCAAAAGATATATATATATATATATATATATATATATATATATATATATATGGATAAATATAGATATTACAAATATAGTTTTAGCCCACTAGGGCTGCCATAACAAAATAATACCAAAGACTGGATAGCTCAACAGAAATTTATTTTCTCACAATTCTGGACGCTGGAAGTCCAAAATCAAGGTGTTGGCAGGTGCTCCTGAGGCCTTCCTCCTGGACTTGCACATGGCACCTTCTCATGAGGTCCTCCCATGGCTGGCACTTTCTCTTTGTGAGCACATATCTGGTGTCTCTCTGCAAGTCCTAATCTCCTTTTATTACAAGGACATCAGTCAGATTGAATAAAGGTCCACCCTAATGGCTTCATTTTAACTAATTACCTCTTTAAATGCTCTGTCTCCAAATATAGCCAGACTCCGAGGCACTGGGATTTAGGGCTTCAACATAACAATTTTGATAGAGGCTGGGCATGGTGGCTCACAGCTATAATCCTAGCACTTTGGGAAGCTAAGACGGAAAGATTACTTGAGCCTAGGAGTTCAAGATCAGCCTGGGAAACATAGTGGGGCCTTGTATATTTTTTAAAAAATAAATACAACAAAAGAAAAAATAAACATTTTGAGAGAATACAATTCTGTTTATAAAATAAAAATATATACATTAAATATATTACATTGTTGCA
This sequence comes from Homo sapiens, assembly GCF_000001405.40. Classification (NCBI taxonomy): domain Eukaryota; kingdom Metazoa; phylum Chordata; class Mammalia; order Primates; family Hominidae; genus Homo; species Homo sapiens. The sequence continues at coordinate 30,538,285 of NC_000018.10, read as the reverse complement.
TAATTATAATATATATTACATATATTACATGTACATTACATAAAAATAAAAAATGTTTTTATGACTATATATGTTTATATTGATTTTTTTCTCTCTCAAATTTTAATCATTGCAGGCTTCATTACCAATACTGATTCTGCAATGATTTTAGAGAAATTATTTCTAATTTTAAAATATTTGTTTCTTGCCTATAAAAACAAATTTCAGTAAGTTATATAAGATACCTTTTGTGAAGTGCTTTGCTCAATAACTGCACATAGTAAGATCTCTGGGCACTCATTGGCTCTTGCACACAGCAGGTAATCATAATGGAATTTATGCATAAACTATGAATTTATTCATGCTGTCATCCATTCAACACTTATTGCACATTAATTATATTTCAGGCACTCTTCTTAGGCTAAAGTGTGAATAAGAAGTATTTCTTTTTTTTCTTTTTTTTGAGAAGGAGTCTCTGTAGCCCATGCTGGAGTGCAGTGGCGTGATCTTGGCTCACTGCAACCTTTGCCTCCCGGGTTCAAGCGATTCTCTTGCCTCAGCCTGCCAAGTAGCTGGGATTACAGGCGCGTGCCACCATGCCTGGCTACTTTTTTTGTATTTTTAGTAGAGACGGGGTTTCACCTTGTTAGCCAGGATGGTCTTGATCTCCTGACCTCGTGATCCTCCCGCCTTGGCCTCCCAAAGGGTTGGGATTACAGGCGTGAGCCACTGCGCCCGGCTGAATAAGAAGTATTTCTAAGGCTTAAAAATTGATATTTAATGAAGGAAACATAGATGTAAACAAAAAGGGAAACAAATTTGTAGTTACTATAACACAAACCTTAGCAAAACAATAAAGGAGTATGAAAGAGAGAGGCTCAGTTCTAACTTTTAGGAGGATGAGGAGCGGAATCAGAGTCAATAAAGATTTTATAACAGAGACAACAGGTAACTTAGAACTTCATTGTTAAATAAGAGTTCACAATAGGGAAGAAGCACATTTTAGAGTGAAGAGAAACGCAAAACAAACCAGGAGTAAAAAGAATGGCTCATTCAGAGCAATAAAAATAATAACTATATTTGGAACAGAGGGTACAGGGCGAGTGTCAAGAGTTGGCATTATTTTCCTTAGTACAGATAGCAACATGATGAAGTAGTAGTCTTACTTTCTCCATATTTTGAATGAGAAAAATAGGTTTATAAAGGTTAAATCCATTGCTCCATGTCACCCTTCTAACAAGAACAGACTCTTGAATGGGATCCAAACACCTTATTCTTAGTCATGACTGATCAATTAATGCTTGCTGAATGAAGTTTTGAATAAAGGAATGGTTGCTTAATGAATGCCATGTCAATGTGTGGCAACAATATCTACCTGAGAGTAAAAGAACATTTTAAAAGCAAAATCGGGGAAGCCAAGGTTTAACTAACAAGTTGAAAATAAGATGCGATTTGTTTTAGACTACAGTAAACTGACCAATTACACTGTTACAAAAATATGTTTGAGAGAGAATAATCAATCTGGTGTGAAATAGTTGCTAATAAATATATTTTTTCCTTCTTTAGGTCAAGACTGTTGTGCTTACTAACTGATTCAGCAGAGAGATTAGAATGGTGTGTATCTTAAAGTTTAGAAGTTTGGAAATTGACCATTTGAAACTTTCTTCATGTTTTCATTGTATTTTTCACTTCAACTCCATTGACGTTGTAAAGTTGCTTTGAAGAAGTTCTATGAATTTTAGGCTTCAAATTAATAACATTTCAGATAATTAGCAGAAGAATAAAGTAGCTTAATAGCTTTAGAAGTATGAGGTCTATAGAAAGAAAAAAATTAGAAATAGCCTTGGGGTCACATTAGTATTTAATCAATGTGTGAGTGTTGATGGTAATATTGTGAGGCTTAGTCCACAGCTGCAGAGATTCTGCTTTAGGACTACATATTTCAACAGCTGATAATGCTTTAAAAGTTTGATAACAATTTCTAGGAGTTTCCATTATTTTGAAATTAGAGACAGATTATAACATAGTAAAAATTAGTCTTACTCTAATGAACCTACTGTACAGTCCATTAAGTTCAGAATCCTGGGCTCCGTAATTGATAATTTAGAAAACTTTAACCATCTAGATGTGTAATACCATAAACTTTAGTTTCATTCTAAAAATAAAGCAAAACTCCTGCTTAAAGAAGCAAGTCAACTGTGCCGTGCTGTTCCTAAGGGAAGGGAAATGGATTCATTCTCACATCCTTGCATCAGTACCTTTATTGCTTCAGAAATTACAGAGAAGGTGGCATGCTGCTTTGCAAATAACACACTCCCTTCCTGCTCTGAAAGTGACTTTGGTGACATTGTAGATTGTTCTCTAACCTTTAAAGACCTTTCCTTCCATTCAGCTTTGGTGCCAGCCATTTGGGGATGGGTACTCTTTTTTCTGTCCTCCTTCCTTCTTCACATGTGCATTTTAGTGCCAAGTTATAACACATGCCAAAACGCACATGTGAAGAAGGATGGAGGACAAAAAAGTACACATCCCCAAATGGCTGGCACCAAGGCTGAATGGAAGGAAAGGTGTTTAAAGGTCTTTTTGATTTATAGTTGCTGCAACCATTATGTAGTTACCCTGTTTCAAAGCACTTACCAGTATGTGACACATCATAGATGTACTTGTTCACCATAGTGGCTGGATGCCCATGTTCTCCACTGGAATGAGAGCTTCTAGAGGGAGAGAACTTTTCTTCTTTGTTTGTTTCTTTGTTTTTGCACTGTTTGTTTTTGCAGTGTTGTATCCCCAGCACTCAGAACAGTGCCTGGAATAAATTAGGCATCCAAATAATTTTTATAGAATGAATGGATTTTTAAATGAATTAATGGATTTGTATTCTTGTTCTGTCTCACTATCTCTTCAAAAATTATTGTCACTTTCTATTCCAGTCCTTCATGCTGCTAGGGTCAATATTCTTCTGTCTGATCCTTGGATCTGGAAATGTCCTGTCTACAGCACAAGTGCTATATGAACAGCATCCTTGGTCTGATCAGAGCGTTACAGAGTACCTGTGATGCCCTTTCTCTAAGCTTCAGAGCCAGTCTTCTTCCCTAATTCTTACAGTCCGTTTCTTGCTGCTGAATGCTCCTTAATGCCTCTGCCAGCTTCCCTTCATCCCTTTCAGCTGGTCAATATGCACGTCCAGGATAGAGAGAGTCCAGAAATCAGACATAATCCCAGGCAGTGTCCTGGGACATCTGAGACATCTGTCTGGTCCCTGAAATTGTTGATCTCCCAAATCTTCCCAATTTTTGCCTTGTAGTAAATAAATGTCTCTGTTAATGGTCTGGCCTTTCACCAGATGCAAAATGTTACAATTACCTCAAACACTCAACCTGAAGCTTTTGTTCATCAATATCTTACAGGATTAAATTTACATTTTCCCCATACTTGTTTGTATTTGATTGATGAATAATAACCCCTATAGAGAGGCTTAGATGCTCTGTGTTGAATGCACAGCTGGCATTATGCTATTAATCTATTGTGATGGCATTAGTAATAATTGCGTCCGAGTGTTAAAAAGAGTCCATTTTAAGTACGTATAAAAGCAGCAATATCCCATATGGTATGATTTAAAGGATGTCATAGGAAATTAACCTGATCGTCAAATCCATCTCATTAAAAACACTTTGTCTAAAACAGTAAAGATTTCTTCTGTGGTTAACATAGAGAAGCTCCATTACTTTAAAAATCTGATAAGTAAGCATATTAAAACTCAACTCTGTCCATAGTTTGTCCTTGGTTAAAACCTTTCAATGGAACCCCATTGTCCATCCATCAAGTCTAAACTTCTTACACCCAATCAGAGCATTTTGTCAGTTTATGTCACTCCCCTGATGTTCATTGACCATACACCCCAACTAAACTGCAATGTCCCTCTCCCCATACACACTCAAAAACTTCCCTGTTCTGTCTTTTTGCCCCTACCCTCTCTTTTGTCTGGTAACCTCGACTCTCAGTCTCCATATAGCCAGAAGGAAACTAGGTAAAATATGAGGCTTTGAAGTAAAAGATCTGGGATCAACCCCCTCTCTGTCACTTATTTACTTTGTGACCGTCGACGAGTTTTATCTCATCTAATTTTTAAAAATGTTTAAGTAGATGGCACAATATCTATTCTATAGTTAGTACAAGAATGAATAATACAGAAAAGGTAGGTGGTTCAATTACTAACTTATATTACTGAACTTCCTAAGTAACATCTAATTTCTGTCAAAAGACAAAATTACTACAAATTCAACTGGAAACTCCTATTTTCGGGAAAAAAAAAATGGTCTTGTTTAGTATCTGTTTCCTTGATGTTTCAGTTTATGTAGCATTTAGCAAGAGTGACACCATTTTGGTTTGGTTTGGTCTGTTAGGGCCCAGGACAGGAGCTCAGTCTAAAACAATGGCCTCCCTAATTTTAATGTAACAATTCCAGTGATGTTTTCCTTTCTTTGGCTGAAATACTGTAAAAAGTATTTTTTTCTTCTGCATGCTTTGCATGCAGAAGTTGGACTTTCTATTTTATCTTTGACATTTACCTACTATGTGCCTCAGACAAGTGCTTAATTAATTGAACTTATTTACTTATCTGTAGAAGGTGGGAGCCAGTTCTTTATATTATTTAACTTAACAGTTTCTTTTTGTGTGCATACTCTCCATTGATTTACTTTTGTTTGTTCATCTTTGCATAAGCTGGTTATTATCCAGGCCTTGGGTTTGCCAATAGACTAACTTAACATTTTCAATGAAATCATATGCAAAAATGTTTGCCACATGGTTTCTTTCCTCTCTTTTTTTGAGTACTTATAGTACTTTGTTCATATATCCCTTATGATGTTTGAAAAGTCCTATTTTGAGTGCATGCTGTATTATAATACTTTTTTAAAATTACATTTATTTAGGATAGGGACTAAGTCATTTTCATGTTTCTATTTTAATGCTTTAATTTAAATATATATTCCATAGATGTTTTGGTGTATATATATATATATCTCTCTCTCTCTCTCTCTCTAATGGCTAGTAATAATTATTCATAATTGTTACTAAGTAATTCTTTATAGTATTGCTTAATCAGATTACGGGATAGTGTCCAAAGCCCTGGGAAGTAGGAGAATGAACAGGTATGTTAGGACAGAAGGACAACAATGAGTAAAACGAATAATGGCATTCATATAAGGGAACTCTAGGTAAAGTTCAAAGGCACAGTGGCCTTGAAAGGGGCAAAAAAGTACCAAGGCAAGGGTGGTAAAGTTAAGATACCTGATAGTAAAGCATATCTAGCACTCTATTTTTTCTCTTCCTAGCACTAGCCCCTTCTCCTCCCACATAACCCTTATTAAAATGGCTTTATTCTTTATGTCAGAGTGGCCTAATTCGAAGGTACCAGGTTGTGTCATGGATTGAGACCCCCAGAAGCCAACATTAAGATTTGGACTCACAGGCAAGATATTTATAAAGAAAGGGCTCCATGGGAAACTAACACGGGAGTAGGGAAAGCTGAGGAAGGGAAGGGATTTGAAATGGAAAAGTAAAATGAGGTACAGTCTTAGTCAAAGTCCTACAAAGGGTGGCTTCAACTTGATATTGCAAGAGTTTTGTGGAATGTCAGTTACACCTCAGAATAGTTCTGAGCTGAGGTGTTGGAGATTTAAGTCCTAGATGCTAGCTTATCTTTATACAAGGCATATTATAGGGGCTCTGGTAGCCTGCGGTCAGTCTTTTGTAAAATAATTGCACATACCGAGTGTTGGGATAAAATCACAAAATGTGGTTTCCCTCTCTCCCCTTCCCAGCCAATATAGAAACAAAGGAAAAAAGATATTCGAGGCTCTCCGGGTAGAGCACCAACACTATCTGAAACGTCAACAAAAGTGGGTGGGTTGCAATATTATGACCATTTAGAGCCTGCTGTGGGAATACAGAATTCTTAGATACTTTCATTTTGTTCCTCCCTCATGACTATGCTTAAAGTTTAAATGTATGGTCTTCATCACAGGGAAAATCAATGGGGAAATTAGGGCACTCCAGCACTCCTGGGTGAAATGCTTTAGAAATTGAAATAAAGTAAGATTTTAGGCTTAGAGAATCCAGATGACCACAATTTCATTTAGCTTTGGAATATGGCATTTTAAAACCAATGCTCCTGGTATTTAGGGCCACTTACTTTGCACTTATGCTTCAGAATTTAAAAATTCTATTCAACATCTCATCCTTTCAATGCATGAGTGAGCAGTGGTGCTTAGTCCGAAATATCAATGCAAGTTCCAAAGTTACTTAATTCACTTCATTACTTCATCATTTACAAGAAAGTGTAGGCTGTGTGCAGAAGTGGGAGAAGTCTGTGTTAGTGCCCTCAGCAGCAGTATGAGCCCTTGTGAGTTAACACTGGCAGGAATGCTTCAGAGACACCAAAGAAGTTAGCAGCTGTATTGGAGGCTTTTTCTCTGTGCTTTAATTTTGAGACAGAGCATTAGCTTTGGCACTTTTCAGTTGATAGGTGTTTTTCTATATATTCTTTGGGGATTTCAAAGTGAGCTAAAAGGCTTTTTAAAGGATGAGAAAATGAAGCTTTTATATTTGTTATTTCCATTGTAGCTATTATTGAGAAAATTAGCTCTATGGCAAGAGAACCGAACAAACAACACAAGATTACTTTTCAGGATGTCATACCAGACTTCTGGCAATGTGTTGTACTCTGCAGAATTCCAAAACTAATAATAATAAATAACTAGAAGACTACATTAAGAACACTGGCTTTCACGAAAATATTTAATGTTAAAGACCAGCTAAACATGTTTTCATCAAGGAAAGCAGAGCACAAAATGACATAACTTACAACTCTCTAGAGCTGAATCGTTACAAGATGGCAAATTCACAAAATAAGCTCCCTAAAAATCAATGGTATACATTGTGAAATCCCAACATGTATAATATTCTTGGAACAATTTACACTCAGCCTAAGCAGAGTGAATCCACCTAATACCTGAAAGTGAAAGAGTTAAGATCATACATGAACACAATATTTTATGTGCTTTAGTTGTTGGCTCAAAGCCCATATAAAGTATGTGATCTCAAATCATCTAAAAGTAAATGATTTCTTTCTTTACACTTATAACTTCAGGACACACTTTCAACACTTATGTATTTGTGTCTTCTTTTTTCTTAGAAATTGCTTGCAAAATTACACTTGTCAGACATTAACAAAGGAAAATATTTTTCTTCGCTGAGAAGAGCTCATGACACAAAAGCATGGGAGCTACAAGCTCCCATGAACAGGGAGATTGTAGAATTCATCTCATTCCTTATGCAGGAAAGGAGTATTTAGGTATGAATACATTTATATTTTTAATATTATAAGTGTTAGGTGCATATACATTTATAATTATCATATCTTCTTCATATATTAACCTTGTTTTCTTCATAAAATGTCCCTCTTTGTTTCTGGAAATATTTCTTGTATTCAAGTCTATTTTCTGTGATAGTAATGAAACCACTCTAGTTCTTTTGTACATATTTATTTCTATGGAATATATTTTTTTATCCTTCCAACCTGCTTGTGTCTTTGAATATAAAGTAGGATTTTATAGATAACATTGAGAAAAGTCATGTTTTTTAGTCAGTCTAGCAATCTCTGCCTTTTGATTGAAGTGTCCATTCACATTTAATATAACCATAGTTACGGCTGGGTTTACATCTGACATTTTGGTAGGTTTTTTAAAACATATTTCTTCTAGATTTTTCTGTTTGAATTCTTTGCTGATACTTTTGCATTCTTTGCTGATAATTTTGAATTTGTCATATTAATTCTTCTGTTGATTTTAACTATAATTTTGGGTTATTTCCTTAGTGGTTCTTCTGCAGATTATACTAGACATATTTGTTTGCATTCTTTTTTTTAGACATGATCTGGCTTTGTCACTCAGACTGGAGTGCAGTGGTACAATCATGGCTCACTGCAGCCTTGAACTCCCAGGTACAAGCAGTCTTCCTGCCTCAGCCTCTCAAGAAGCTAGCGCTACAGGCATGTGCCACCGCACCCGGCTAATTTTTAATTTCTTTTGTAGAGACAGGTTCTGTCTATGTTTCCCAGGTTGTTCTCAAACTCCTGGCCTCAAGCAGTCCTCCTGCCTCAGCTTCCGAAATTGCCAGGATACAGATATGAGAAACTGCATCTGGCCTCACTAGGAAAATTGATTATGTTTTATTTTGTTTTTTGCTCCTCTACCAATTGCTTCTGTACTGTGTATTGTGTGTGTATATGTGTTGAACAAATAATTTTAAGAAACGTTTTAGTTTCTCTGTTGATTTTAAGGATTTCTGAGTTATTTAATAGTAAATAAAAACAATAAAATACTAAATAGAAGTTATAGATTTTAAAAATGCAGTAGCCAAAATAAAAAATTTGCTAGAGTGGCTAAAAAGCAGATTCAAGACAGCAGAGCAGAACAACCATGATTTTAAAGTTTGATCGGTAGATATTATCTAATCTGAAGGAACGAGAAAAAAATGTGAAGAAAAATGAATACAGCACTATCAAGGATAGCAAAATACACGTAATAGGAGTCCCATAGAAACAGAAAGAAAAGGAAAAAATATTTGAAGAAATAATGATTGAAATTTTACAAATTTACTGAAAAAAAAAATCTCAAGATGAAAAGAGCCTCAACAAACTCCAAACAGTAGACATCCAAAAAGAAACACATCAGTGATCATTACTGTAGAGGTGGCTTCAGAGTATAAGTTTTGCAGATCTTTTGTTAAATTTAATCCTAAGCAACTTATTCTTTTAGATGACATTCTAAATTGAATGATTTTCTTAATTTTGTTCTTAAATTGTTCATTGCTAGTGTATAAAATAAAATTTTTTACTTTTCAAATTTTTATTTATTTTTTCTTCCTAGTTAGAATGTAAAATACAATTTTGTGTATTTATCTTTTACCTGTAACTTTACTAAACTGAATTATTATTTATAATAATTTTAAGTGGATTTTATAGGATTTTTTTACACTCAAGATTATGTCATCTACAAATAGAGATAAGTTTGGTTCTTCCATTCAAATCTGGAGGCTTTTTATTTCTTTTTCTTGACTTATTGCCCTGCCATTTTAATTTTCATTTTCTATTTGTCTCATATAGTCTTATATTTTGTTCCTCTTTTACACATTTATTTTGCGTTTAGTGAATACTGTCTAGTGTAATATTTTAATTTCTGTAATGATATTTTACTGTATTTTTAAGATATCTCAGTGGTTGATCTAGGCCTTACTATATACATCTTATCAGAATCTACCTCGTATTTGTACTAACTTGATTCAAGTGAAATGCAGAAATGTTACTCCCATATACCTCTATTCTCTTTTCTTCATTTCAGTGCTACTATTGCTATGCATAATATATTCATATACATTACAAGGTCAACAATACATTGTTATAATTATTACTTCATATAATTTAATGTATTTTAAGTGCGATGAGGGAAGAAAGAACAAATACATATTTATAGAGCTTATTATATTAAACTTCTTAATTACCATTTCTACCTCTTCTCATTTGTTTCTGTGGATTCAATTTACTACATGATTACCTTTTCTTACTTCATTACAACTTTGCTCCTATCCATGTCTTTTGTTCTTTTTTGATTAAACTTCAACATAAAAAATTTCTTTGCAAATGAAGAGATGAAGTTATTTTATTTATCAATAGTGCCTTTGAAATAATGTGCTTTTATTCAAAACCAAAATCTAACATGACTTAACTTCTGTTCACAGGGGACAAGATCACTGAAGAAGAGACTTGAGGGATGCAGTACTTAAGAGTCTCATTTTTATCTGTACTTAACTAGCCACACATAAAGTGTGATATTCAATTCTGTACACTTCACTTTTAGAGTAGTAAGATTAGTTAGTGATTATTACAAAACGATGGTAAAGATATGAATCATGTCATATAAGGAAGTATCCTAGGGATGAATATGGATCTAATATGGAAAAGATAATGAGTTCAATCATTTGAATGAATGGCAATGTGGAGGAAGATTTCAATCTCTTTTTATACCTGTAAAAAGATAGAGGTAGGGCTAATGGAGGAAGCTATAGGGCTCTAGTTTCAGCTCAAGAAAAGTAAGAGTATTTTTAATATAACAAGATAAATATTGGATGACGTAATTGGTTTCTATTACTAAAGGTATTTAAGCATAGACTAATTAAACAAATTAATTAAACTTTGCAGAGTAATTACTGAACCAAAGCAATAGTTTAACAACCTGGATTTGGAAAATGCTAAAAATAGAACAGGTAGTGAAATCCAGGTAGCTGTCCCTTTAGGGCAGCTTTCTACTTGTGGAACTCTGTTCAAAATAGTTAGTCAAAGGGTGTAAAATTTCAGTCAGACAGAAGAAAAAAGTTCTAGTGATCTATTGGGCAGCATGATCGACTATAGTTAATAATAATGTATAATATATTTCAAAATTGCTGAAAGAGTGGATTTAAATGTTCTCACCATAGAAAATGATAAGTATGAGAAGTCACAGATAAGTTAATTAAGCTGATTTAATAATTCTACAATAATACATGCATTATAATATTACATTGTGCCCCATAAACATACAAATGGAATATCTATCAATTAAAAATAAAATTTTTAAAAAAGATTCAAATGCAGAGGAGAGTTTCTTTGGCCTGTGATTTACATGACTGTACCTTGGCCACTTTAATTGTGGGTCATGAGTGAAAGGAAAGGGATTTTCTCTAGGGAGAAGCTGTCTGCAAGGAGCAAGTATTGTTGTCTCCTAATTTTTCACAGCCAGGAGCTTGTGCCATTCAGACTTAAGCAAAGGCACAGAAGCCTTTTGTAGTCTTAACCAGCTGTAAGTTCTAAGAACAAATGTCAGTTTGTGGCTCTATCAGCCATGTGGCAGCCTTAGAGTAAAAGCTATTTCAATTTGACCTTGGTGAAGAAAGATAGAGCATACAGACACTAATCCAGCAAAAAGCTGTGCATTATTTTCAGAGAAAAGAGGCTTCAGAACAAGTGATAAAAAAGAGCGTTATATAATGATAATGGGGTCAATTCTCCAGGAAGACATAACATCCCCTTAATGTGTGTGAGTTTATAATAGAAAGTCAAAATACATAGAAAAATTGGGTTTTGTCCAGATTACTTGATCATATACTTGTATTAAAATTTAAGAACCGGGTGCCTAAAATAGGTAAATTTTACTACATGCAAACTGTACCTCCTTAAAATTTGGCCCTTTCACTGCCCCTTCTCCCAACAAAAAATCAAGGTGTGGAATTACATAGAAGAGTACTGTTGAAGCAATATACTTTGCGAATTCCTGTGGAAACTATAGATTGAGGTGAGAGCCAGCCCCAGCTGAGGTGCTACAGCTGAGGAAGAATTGATTCTGCATGAGCATCATGACTCTCTAGCTGAAGCTGAGAAAATTAAGAAGTTGAATAAGATAATTTTTAATTTTCATTTAATTTAACTTGAATTCACAAAGGAAAGGTAATTAGATTTTTGGACTTTAATTCTTTGGGACATGAAAACATCTTTAGTTTTAATGCAAAGGTATTAGATATTTGTACTTTTTTCACATTGATGATTTGTTGATATGGTGGGAATTACACTCAAATTTCTAGAATTTATATTTTGTATTTTTATATTGGCATATTTTTGTGTTGTTTTTAATATTACTTCAAACCTTTGATAGGAAATTGAATAGGAAATTGTGATAAATAGAATAATGGCCACCTAAAGATGTCCATGTCCTAATCCCTAGAATCTATGAATGTGTTACCTTACACAGTGGAAGAGATTTTGCAGATATGATTAAATTTAAAATGTTGAGTGTGGAGATTATATTGGGTTATCTTGGTGGGTCCAGTGTAATCATAGGGATCCTCATAAGAGCAAGGGTGCAGTCAGAGAAGGTGATGGGAAGATGACAACAGACGTATGGTCAAAGCAGCAGACTCCGAAGGTGGTTGCAGATATCAGAATAATGTCAAGAATGGGCCATTAGCCAAGGAATATAAACAGCCTCTAGAGGATAGGAAACGCAAGAAAATGAATCATCTCCTAGAACCTATAGATGCTTAAATTTTAGTCCGTTGAGACTTCTCACTTCCAGAAGTATGTAATAATAAATATTGGTTGTTTAAGCCATTAAGTCTTTGATCATTTGTTATAGCAGAAATAGAAAACCGATACAGAAATGAAATTTAAACCTTGCATATATTGTGCCCTTGGAGTAGATAACACACTGCTGCAACTTTTTGAGACCTTTCTTGGCCATTGATTGATGTCAGAAAATGGCTGGAGAAGGAGTGGTTGGTATTGCAGGAATGGCTTAATGAAGGTGAGTGTATGATTGCCATTTAAAATATCTTTAAAGGATTATACCATGGTTTGACATTACATGAAAATTGTATATGCAGGATGGTATGGAAAGAGATCAATGGGAGGTAAATTTGATATTTGTGAAACTAATATTCATCATTAGAGAAATGACTGTAATTTTTTTTATTTTCCTGCAAAGCAACAATGGAGTATTTATAAGCTCTGCAAAGGAAGGATGCCCTCAAGAAGCTGTATAATTTTTGTTGTTGAGATTGATAATAGAATATTGCTCACCACAGTGGATCTCAGAGCAGGAGCAGTTGCCAAAATCTCAGAATAGGTTAGAAGTAAGTGTGACTGGTTCATGCATCAAGTGTGACTATTGTTAAAACACTGAGTCGTTTAGTAGCATTTTTTTCTTTAATAATGCCATGTATGGTAGAATAATGGTGCTTCTCACAATTAATGGCTTAAGATAGATGAAATCCAGCGAAATAAACCCAACTAAGGTACTATGTAATTTAAAATTTATATTTTTGTAATGGTATCTTGTATTTTTATTTGTGAATAAAAATTATTTGGTCCTTTTGAGAGATAATCGTCTTGTGAAGAGGCATGGTCTTTTGTTTCTGAATTTGATACCTACTTAACCACAAATATTCCTCATATGTGAAAAAAAGAAACTGCTAAGAACAGTCAATACCTTTTTTCCCAGTTAAATAACATCTTGAAAACATGTGCAGTTTTGCAATTACTTCATTTTAAAAGATATTGGCCAGGTGCAGTGGCTCACGCCTGTAATCCCAGCACTTTGGGAGGCTGAGGCGGGCGGATCACGAGGTCAGCAGATCAAGACCATCCTGGCTAACATGGTGAAACCCCATCGCCACTAAAAACTCAAAAAATTAGCCGGGCGTGGTGGCAGGCGCCTGTAGTCCCAGCTACTCAGGAGGCTGAGGAAGGAGAATGGCGTGAACCCGGGAGGCGGAGCTTGCAGTGAACCGAGATTGTGCCCCTGCACCTAGGCGACAGAGTGAGACTCCGTCTCAAAAAAAAAAAAAAAAAAAAAGATATCTTAGATAATGTCCTATTTGAATTGATTCTATAAATATAAGTGTCGTAAAATAAGGCCATAGGTACTATATTGCTTCAGACAGTTAAACCTGCAATTTATTGTGTAAAGCTCAGTATCTAATCCATCTTAATTTGACCATATGTTCATTCAGGAGCATTCTTGTAATTCTTTCCAGTATACCTTTAGGGTAGATGACAGAAAGCAAAGTTTTACTTGGCATTGAAAGATAATCAAGAGATACCCTGACTGTTCGTCACACTCTGATCAGGGTATGGGATTACCTAAAAGTGTCTTTTATCTCTACAAACAAAGATTAAAGACAAAAAGATTCATCTACTCCTCTCCTTTTTCTTTTTTTCTTAATATACAGAGAACTCAAGCTGATTATTTATGTTAACTTAGAGTTGTTTTTGTTTCGGTTATATGGTATATTCTTTCAGCCTTCCACTTGAATTAACCTGTGAAAATACTGTCTTAGTTGAGATTTGAAACTTCAATAATTTTGAATGTACTGAGAAACAGAAAGCCATTTGGGGAAGCTTTTTTTAAAAAAAATACAAACAAACAAACCTATAATAGAAAATTGTTAGTTCAGGCCTTGATTAAATACAGCTCAGTTTCAATAAGGAAATAAAACCTTTACTTAATGAAATTCTTCTATATAAGTATTTCTTCCCTTAGATTACTGGGGAATTGTAATTTCATTTTTCAGCCATGTAGTTAGGATGTAGTCTGATTCTTTTGGGAAGTATTGAGATACTTTGGGGACTTCTAAACTATGTCCAAAATTTTTGTTTTCCTTAGAAATTGAAGATGAAGAAAACGCACTAATCAATGAATTATAATTTATTGGCTGACTTAAGTTTCAAAGGTAAATTTTCCCTTATGCTTTTATCTTTTAAAATTTTCAAATGTGCCAAATATTTCTATAGTTAAATAAAAGGAAACACATTTATATAGTTACATAAAACGTAGAATATAGTTGCTCCCATGTACTTAATTATTTATTAAAAGTCTTCAGAGATTCACTTGTCATATAGGAAACACTATTATTAAAAAGCAATTATTGTATATATCAGCATGGCCTTGCCACATAACAAATTGTGATAGAAACTGTATTCTCATATGAGAGTTAACTAATCTGCCTGAATACTGTGATTCTCAGAATATGACCAAGGCCAGAACCAAAGAAACCGATATAGATACAGAGGTGAGACTTCAAATCATAGAGAAACAGCTCTCCTTAAAACACCAGGGAATAATTTATCAGAATAAGTCTTTTGTTGTTTGTTTTTTCAGATCTCAGACTAGGAAGGCACTTGTTTCATGGCCATCTACATCCCTACCACTTCCAGAGTGTTTTAACCTACAATGCCTCCTATAGCCAACTACTGTCTACCCATTGTGGTACTTCTCATACCTAATTATAAATGCTTCTTTATTTTTATGTATCATCTACCAGTTTTTTAACCTTTGTTAGAGCAGAGATTGTGTTCATATTGATTGTTTTTATCTAAGTACCACATTAGCTGACAATTAAAATAAATTGGATATATATTTATTGAGTGAACTCACTATTTACTATCGCTTCCATGTCAAAATTATAAGCCCCTTAAAAGCAAATAAACATGTCTTATACATCTGTACATCTTTTTCTATCTCAATACATCTCTTACAAAAATGCATGCTCTGTGATAGGGTCTCAAAGATTTACTGGCTATTTAATTTTGTCTTTGAGACTAAATCATAGGGGAACGCTCCAAGAAACTGCTAACCTTGGGGGAAAGCCCACCAACAGCCAGAAAACAAGCGCTGCCTCCATCCCTTCTAGGCCCTCACAGCAGTACGTTTTTGAGTTATAGAAAATCACTATGAAAGTGAGACACTGAACTTAAAAAAATTAATATCTGAGAAAAAATGGAGGTAGTAAAGACAATGGGCTGACTATAAATAGAAAATTCTAAGAAATATGAAAAAAACTACATTTGTGAGATCTTGACAAATTTTAAATTCTATTTAAATGTAAATAATGTAATGTAAATAAATTCTATTTAAATGTAAAGTAAAACAAACATTCCTTGTGGTAGGCGGAATTCCAAAGTGGCCCCTCTAAGGTTTCTCTTTATAATCTCTGGGACTGTAATTGTGTTATGTTGTAGGGCAAAAAGGTGTTTTTCAGATGTAGTTACGGCTACTAGTCAGTTTTGAGTTAATCAAAAAAGACTATTCAAATGGTTGCAATCTAATCACAGGGGCCCTTCAAAATGAGAGCCTCTTTCTCCAGCTGGTGTTGGAAGAGAAGTTCAAGAGATTTGAAGGATGAGAATGCCTCATTGCACCACTGGTGGCTTGAATATGTAGGGCGTATGTGGAAAGGACTAGAAAGTGACTCTGGAGACTGAGACAGGCCCCCAGCTGACAGCCAATAAGGCAATAGGTACTTGGGGCCTATAGCCACAAGCAACTGGATCCTGCCAACAATCAGAGTGAACTTTAAAGCAGATTCTTACTCTGGCTGACACCTTGATTTCACGCTTATGAGAGACCCTATGCAGAGAAACTAGTCAAGCCAGACTGGATTTCTGACCTAGAAAACTCTGAGACTAAAAAACAGATATTGTTTTAAGCTGCAAATTTTGTGGTAATTTTTTATACAGCAATAGAAAACTGAAACACTTTCATAAACATTTTGTCAGTTGGGGTTTTGTTGGGGAGATTAATTACCTGTTAACATGTTTTCTATTGATGCCATATCATCCACTCCTTATGAGATTTCTGGAAACCAGTTTTGCATTTCTCCTAAAGGTGAATAAAAAGAATTTGTTATTCAGATGTAGTGACGGCTACTAGTCAGTTTTGAGCTAATCAAAAGAGAATATTCGAATGGTTGCAATCTAATCACAGGGGCCCTTCAAAATGAGAGCCTCTTTCTCCGGCTGGTGTTGGAAGAGAAGTTCAAGAGATTTGAAGGAGAGAATGCCTCATTGCACCACTGGTGGCTTGAATATAGGGGGTATGTGAGAAGGACTAGAAAGTGACTTTTTTTATTAATTGCTATTAAGAGAACACACTTAGATATCGTTTTCTAAAATAAATCAGCCAAATAATACATGACAATGTGAACATCTTGTGTCATGGGATATTTCTTCCTTGGCCTCACTATGTTTTCCTGCGTAAGTCATTTATAACCCATGCTACTTGACATAGTAATTTATTTACTTTGAATTAATGGTCTCAATTCTTCAGATTATTTACTCACCTCATATGACCTCATTCTTTGCTAAGAATGTCCTCGTATTTTGTTCATTCTTCTGGAGGTCATTCATAATCTATGAGAATTATAACTATATATGAGTTCATATGCAAGACTGTGAAAAAAAACAAGAACGAAAACCCTATGTTGACTATGAATGCACAAAGTATGTTAGTATCCTGGAGGAAGAAAAACTGATCAGTGTTGTCATAACTTTTCTTTATTATTTCTTTGTCTACGGCATATTCATCCCTTTTTCTTCCCTAAGAAATATGTCATACTTTCTCATCTTGTTATCATTAGTACCACTTATTTAAATTCTAATTATGTATTTCTTAAGGAAATTTTAAGTTTTATTTCTTGTGACTAATTCAACCCTAATATGTTTAAACAATCTTCTCATTTCTTACAATTATTAAGTAAAATACTAAGTCCATAGTATTCCAAGTTTAATACCTTAAAATTATATTTAATCCTATTATTTATTTTATTCCCAGTAAAGTCATGATAAAATTTAACTAGTATCTTTGAATTATTGTTTACAGTTGTTTTTTGTAAATGCTACCTTTAGACCTTGTTTCTTCATACTTGAAAATTTGAAAAGTTCTGAAGAGCTGTGCCATTCTTGTTTTCCCTTCCTATCAATTCATCCTGCATAAATGTCACCAGTATAATATTGTTAAAAAGCCTCTTTAATCATGTTGTCTTCTTGCTTATAAAATTACTCACACTAAATAATAATTCTCAAATTCTTATGTCTGCAATTCAAAAGCTTCTGCAATCTAATCTCCGCTGCCCTCTCAAGTTTATCTAAAATGTCCCTTCTGAACCCTCTAATCCAAATTGTGATATTTTAAATATTGTCTGTTGAGTTCATCTTGTATTTATTACATATTGATTTGGGCTATAGCAGAATTTATACAAGAGATGACTTTCTATCTCTGAAAAAACTTCTTTCCTTCCTCCAAAATCCATTTCAAATTTCAGCTTAGCCAGTAGTCTTCTCTGAATATTTCAGATAAAACTGATATTCTTTTATTCGATTATCTACTCTCAATAATATTTGAATAAAGTTTTCCACACAAATTTGGCCCCTTGGTCCCAAACTTCCATGTTAGATATCAGAAAACATGAATCTTCATCAAGAAATTAGATATATTTATATAGTTGAATCAAAAAGTAACTAGGAGCAGGCAAAGGATAATAGAAACTATATTTCTTTTAAATTAAATGTTCTATTATTTATGAAGGTCAGCAGTTTTTGTTGACTATAATTGACAAAGTAGTTATTGGTGTCTGCACAGAGGCCAGTGTCAGGTGAGCATCCAGGCTGAACATTTCTCTTCTCTCCAGAGGGAGAGACTACTTTTAGTAGTCTACTTTTTTTTCTAATTGTTATTAGACTTAGGAATAAAATTCAAAGAGAGAGAGAGAGAGACCCTTCAGATTAGCATTAAAGATCAGTGGCAACAATAGTGAGGGTGACCTGCTCTGTCATGTTTTATCAATTCTATGGGCAAATCCCAAGTCTGGTGTTCAGAGTAAATTCACTAACAATAAGTTACATCACAGTGAAACATCAGTGGTGGTAACAGTACACCCTAAATCTGTTTGCTTTGGATTATAATAATCTAGGGAAAAAAAATGAACTGATGTGCTTCAGATCAAATACTGCCAGCTGACTAGTCTAAAAATTACTTTGCAAAAATGGAAACACATTCTATTCCCTCAAAAATTGGAAAGAAAATATTACATTTTTTGAAATAAACTTTTCCACAAAAGCTGAAAAGAAAATACTACTACTTCTTAAGGTGTGGCAATTCATATATACACACATATATGTATTCATATAGTATGTATTTGTTTATTTTTATCCTAATTAGCACCAATCAAGGTTTATATATAGGATATTCTACATATGATCTCTTGTTTCCTAAATGAATGGAAATGCACCTTAATTTTAATTTGAGACTTGGCAGCCACAGGTTTCTTTTAAAAAGTCTCTATTTCCATTACCTGCTATCTTGGTTCATATACTTTTCATCTTCTAGATTTCAGTAATATCGTGTAACGATTTCTCACAATTTTGCTACTCTTGGATCTTTACTTTATACCTTTACAGAAGAGTCTTTGTAAAGGTCAAATCTTGTTATTTTACTCCCAATTAAATGGCTTTCATTTGACTAGAGGAGAAAGTCAAACCCTTCACCTTAACATACAAGGTCTTTCAAGAACTGGCTTTTGCATTCCTTTCACTCCTTACTCCTCATTCTGTTCAGAACTGCATCCTGTAACAGAACTATTTCAAGCTCTCCAAAGTCATTATGCTTTTTCACCATTGTTTCCTGCTCCTGTGTATATTTGAAGTGCACAAGCTCCACTCAAGTCCTACTAATCTCCTCCCCTTCCTGACACATGTGTCTGGCAAGAAGACCTTTACCTTTTTAGTTTCAGTTCACGCACCACAATCCAGAAAGATATGTCTTGAATTATCTTCCTCCCAAAGGAAAATTAGCCATAACTCTCTCTATAGAGCTAGCACACACCGTATTTATGAGATTTTATAATTTATTCTCCATCCCTCATCACCCCTTGAGGACAGTAACCCTATCTTATTCTTTTCTGTATCTGCATAAAATAGAATCCATAATATAGCACAGTGACCATCAGCAAAATGTTACTCAAAAATTGCCAGTGAATGAATTCATTTATTCATATCAGAAAGTTGACATGTAGAGATGGCAACCATGACTCCAGTGGAACACTTGCGGATGTCTTGATTAGTAAGTGTTTATAAAATGTTAACAAAATTAAAGAAGTGCTTATCCATTATGAGTAAAAACAATACAATATCAAACACCCATGTATCATTTACAATATACTCTGCACAATTTTAAGCACTTTATGTGTATTGATTTACTGGGAGTCAATGAAATACATTTTATTCAGTTCCTTGGAGACAAAGTTCTGTAGAGTTCGCCATTTGAAACCCATGGTTTGGACAAAAAAACTTGACCATAGTAAATGCTGATTATAAAAATAAATTATACTTGCATTTTTGGAGAAATATAAATGTATGCTAATAAAGTATTCAACACATTGCTGTAAATTAAATGTTGTCTTATCAAAGTTTAGGGTTTACATTTCTTGTCCAATGTAGCCAAATTTAAAGTATTTAAAAATATTTAAGAGAACGTATATAATTTTTAGTTTATTATTTTTAAAATGTTATGATATTATGTTATAAAATATTCCTAATTCAAAAGATACTTCATGCATTGAGTATGCTATCTTTCATACATCAGGGTGTATCATATTTTCTTTGTCTTTATAGTCAATGAAAACATTTATTTTATTATGCTTTGCTTTATTCTTAACTATTTGCATACATGTTTTCTTATCAGATTGTGGGTTTCTTATAAGATTGTGGGCTACAGTCCCACTGCTAAACGACATCCCACCTACCTTTTCATTCCTACACAACACCTCGATATAACATGATGAGCAGCACAGACCAGTAGAAAGGAGAGAAGCCATAAAGTAAGAGTAATGATGTATCCTGGTTCTGTCAGGTAAGTAGCTTCGTGACCTTAGATAACTTTGTTTTTTTTTTTTATTTTCTAGGACACACCTTATTCTCAGGCGTATACACATTTGGGATTAAATCATTTTATATTCTCCTTGGTTCTAATAGTCTATTATATAATGAGAAATGTAATTGTTTATGTTACTTTTTGTCATCTATAAATGAACTCTGTTGATTTGGGCAGGAACTTAGAATTCTTAAAAATATTTTCTATATAAAAATAAATTAGCTCATCACTTATTCACCCATCTTTTATTAATAGACTTTTTGAGTCGAGAGCATACTGGGAACCAGCAAAACATGTGTAGTTAGTCAGCCTACCTTACTGTTGCTAATTTTGCCCTTGTAACTATGTTTTGGACAACATGATTTTAATATTAATAGAAACAATAACATTTCCGAGGTTGTTCCATCAAAAAGAATAAACATGAACTTCACTTTCTTTTTACTCCTTCCTTCTGGATGGGATACAGGTTTAGTGGTGAATTATGCAGGTAAGAGCAAGACCCAAGAAGAGTTCATTAACAAAATTGGAAGATCTGGGTTCCCAACCCTATTTACACCACTGTGTCATGCTTGGATTGCTTACATTACCTATTACACACACAAAAATAAATTCTATTATACCTAATTATTAATTTGCTTTTTATTATGGCAGTTAAACCAATATCCTAACTAGTATTTGGAGCTTAATCAATCTCAAGGTAGCTGTTATTAGAAGGAGTATAAATAAAGCATCTGAAACAGGACATTTTGCATTTACCAATCAAAATCTGTCCTCCACATTTCTCCACCTTAGTGTACGGGAAACTCCCCATAAGAACTACATCAGTGGGGCATCTTGCCCTCTAGATTCTGAGTGGGTTTATCAAATAGAAAGCACTGGTAACAAATTAAAGGAAGAGAGGAGTTTGAGGTTAAACATTTATTATCATGACTGCTTCTCTGCCAGTTTGTCATAGGTTGATTATTTCCCTCTGCTAAAGGGCACAGCTCCTACAGGAAGCCTCTTCCTGCGATTACAGCTTCTCCATCCTTTGGAAGTTTGGCCATCCCTTGCTTTCCCTCAATTCTCTCTAAAACATAAATATTCTCTTTATTAAACTCCCCTTAATTTGTTGTGTAAAATGCATGTGCGATGTCTTCTGCTAGGACTGTGACAAATTAAACAAGTGGTAGAAAAATGGACCTGGAAAACAAACTCTTTTTATTGGATTCTTGGGTAGGCAACTCAAATGTTCAATGACTGTGTGGGTCTCATCTTTGCCAGTGAAAATGTGTCCCTGGCAATCCATGGGATGCATGCCATCATACTTATTCAAATAACCTAGTAGAAGCAGGAATAAAGGACAATAAAGGTATGTAGTTTAAAGGGAAATAATTACAGTAATTATAGTGATTATGGGATCAGCTGGTTGCTTTTTCTGGTTCCCCAAAGAGTACACATTGAAAATGACAAATTGACGGAGTTTTTTTAATTATTATACTTTAAGTTCTAGGGTACATGTGCACAACGTGCAGGTTTGTTACATATGCATACATGTGCCATGTTGGTGTGCTACACCCATTAACTCGTCATTTACATTAGGTATATCTCCTAATGCTATCCCTCCCCCCTCCCTCCACCCCATGACAGGCCCTGGTGTGTGATGTTCCCCTTCCTGTGTCCATGTGTTCTCATTGTTCAATTCCCACCCATGAGTGAGAACATGTGGTGTTTGGGTTTTTGTCCTTGAGATAGTTTGCTGAGAATGATGGTTTCCAGCTTCATCCATGTCCCTACAAAGGACATGAACTCATCTTTTTTATGGCTGCATAGTACCATGGTGTATATGTGCCACATTTTCTTAATCCAGTCTATCATTGATGGACATTTGGGTTGGTTCCAAGTCTTTGCTATTGTGAATAGTGCCCCAGTGAACATACATGTGGATGTGTCTTTATAGCAGCATGATTTATAATCCTTTGGGTATATACCCAGTAATGGGATGGCTGGGTCCAAATGGTATTTCTAGTTCTAGATCCTTGAGGAATCGGATTGTTGAGACAGTTCAGAACATGCGTGGAAAGTCAGGAAGCCTCTAAGGCAGCTTTGAAGGAAGCACTCTTCTGCGATAAAATGAAAGGTAAGAGTCAGCTAAGCTCACATCCTGATTGTAAGGGTTGCAGTGTTTGCAGCTCCAATTAAATACTAAATACTTTCAGCTCTATTATGTTAAGATAAGAAACTGATGGGGAGTGGGACCTTAAGATAGGGATTGAGAACGTTTAGACAGACATAAATGAAGCTTGCAACTTTGAACCACAAGCTCCCCTGAAATTTCCTTGCTGTCAGAATCAGCTACTGTCATACCTCCTGTATCCCTACTCCTATCTGAAGAAACCAGTCTTCTCTGAACGACCTTTCAATAATAACAGCATCTGTTGCCATTTCTGATTCTCTTCCTTTCCCCCCTCTTCTCCTTACTACTTCTAGGTCTGTAATAATACTTAGATCCCAGCATATGCTAGAAAAGTAGCCTAAAACGATCTAGCGTAAAATAAGTAAACAAACCAATGCATACATTCATAAATAAACAACATGGCCATGTATTTTTTTATAAGCAGAAGTTAGGAGTGCCTGTATAGAAGCTGCCCTAAGATTGTTAGATCAATAATAGCACAGTGATATTTTATTTGAGCTCACTGATATAGATTTATTCTTCTAGGATTCAGGATGCAGTGAGTTGCCTAGAGGACTTGAGCATTTGTGTAATAGCATCTACAGTCTGCTATATTTTTAGTCAATGTAATTTTGAAACAAGACCTGCTTTAACACATTATAGAGAAAGGAACTGAAGATACAGGGAGATGAGGATGTTCAAGGGCATCATACTCTCTGGGATCTGACTAACTACTCTTTCACCACAACTCATGAGAGGACACGTTCTTCACTAAGTTCAGGGGATGGCTTAGCAAGGTGGATATTAATCTTTGAAATGTTCTATGGCGACTATGTTTTCCTGGACCAGAGATCCTGCTTTAATATTGAATTATCAGGTCTCAGTGTGAATGAAGAAATCATAGAGCTATACCAATCAGGTGGTAACAATTCACCTTCAGAGACAAGGTGAGTGAAATGATCACAGCACAACAGAGCAGCATTTCCCAAACTTGGCTGCACATTTTACTTACCTTCTGTATGTTTTAAAAGTACAGATTCCTGTCTCCTGCTTTCAGGGGTTTTGACTGAATTGGTCTGGGGTGAGGCCCAGGCAACAGTGCTTTTCCAAACTCCCTGGGTGTTTCTAATATACAGCCAAATATGAGCTAGAGGAAAGGAGTGCTAATCAAAATGTGTTCACATACATGGAGCTGTGGTGATGGCTGATTGATCACAGGTGCCCAAGAAGGAAGTAAATAGGCTTTGTATTAAGATAATGCGTAATACCTACAAGGCTTAAATAGGCTGAAATATCCTAGGTCTGGTAGACAGAAATAGCCACCATATGGATTCTCAATCTCTTTCTTAGCTCACAGCACTAAGCAATCTCACAGAACTAGTTTATTGATTGAGAAAGAGGCTCATTCCCTATGAGGAAATGCTCTGCACACACAGCCACAGGTGTGCATTCAAAATCCCCTTAGATCCTTCTCCAGAGGTACCAGTGCCATTTGTATCAGTGATGGCAGCAGCCACTCTAGATGGCCTGCCACTGTCATCATGCTGGCTGCAGCATGGAAGTGCTGACCTGGCTGCACACTCCATGGAGCAGGTGGTAGCCCCACCCTCCTGGGTGCAGCTGCACCTACCCAAATCGTGGCTATAAGACCCAGGCTGCTGCTCCATGGAACAGGCAGGAGCCCTGTTATCCTGTGTGCAGCTGCAGCTGCCCAATTGTCGTTGCAGACCCAGGCATCCCTGCACTCTTGCAGCTTGGGAAGGCCCTCCCTGTCCTTGCAGGCTTGGAAGTGTCTATTCCCACTGCCTGGCTTCTCCCTGCTGCCAGGCCCACTACAATCTTGGAGCAAAGCTGGGGAGAGCCCAGACTCCATGAACTGCAGCAGGAGGCAGACAGGTTCCTGGACAGAAGGGGGTGGGTCCCCAGTGAGGCTTCACCTTCAGGCCAGGGAGGACCTGAAGGCTGGGAGCTGGGCTACCAGTCCCATGGACTGTATTTGGAACTTGTGGTGCCTTTTCCAGGACTGCCCATGGCTGCCCATGGATGAATCAGCATGCACTTCTTCCACTCTGAGGTCTATAAAAGCCCTGGGCTCAGCCAGAGCTGAGCAGATGATGGATAACCAGCTGCAGAGAGGAGATAGCTTCTCTGCCAATAGCTGGAAAACGTCAGGACAACCAGTAGTAGAGAGGAGCTTCCCACTCCAGGGATGACCTGCTACAGAGAGGAGCAACCCACTCCAGGTCCTCCTCTCTGCTAAGAGCTTCAGAGACAATGGGATGATCTGCCAACAGAGAGGAGCCACCCACCCCAGGGCTGCCTCCTCTCTATTGAGGGCTGAACATTCACAGGGACACACTGGTGCAGAAAGGAGCTACCCACAGCAGTTCTCTGGGCTGTTCTATTGCTCAATAAAGCTCCTCTTTGTCTTGCTCACACTCCACTTGTCTGTGTGCTCATTCTTCCTGGTCGCAGGACAGTAACTTGGGGCCTACCAGATGGTAAGGCTAGAAGAGCTATAACACAAATGGCTGAAACATGCCCTTTGCTCATCACATTGCAGGCAAAGAGAGGGAGAGAAGAGCTGTGCCCCTGGGGGGATCCCAGGCCTAGGGGCCCCAAGCCACGGCTGTGACTCCCTCTTTGAGGCCCTGCAGATTCTAGTGTCTCTGAGCTTCTGGGTGCCACTACATTTCCCAGTGCCAACCAGGGAAGCTGCTTGCATTGCAGCTGGTCCAGCCACAGCCTTGCAGAGAGCCAACGCCTGTGAGCTGTCCACCCCACTGTAGCAGCCTGTGTGCCTGACTGTGCACAGTGGCTGGACCCCATGCTCACTCGCTCACACACCCCTTACTGCTGCACACCTGGCTTGCCCTTGGAGGCATGGGATCCAGGCTGGTAGCATGAGCCAAGCACAGCTGGCAAGGCCGAGTGGGCAGGGCAGAACAAGCCAAGCATGCATGAGCAAAAGTCAGGCAAAGACATTACCAGTCACAGAGGTTTCTGGCTAGAAAAGCAACACCCCAAGGATCCTGCAACACTAGGATTGGGTATATGAAAGAAAAGATACCCAGATTTTTCAGCAGTTATTTGATGATGGTCTGAATTCATGCTGATATTTGGGAACTTGAAAACAATTGTGGTTTGCCAGATCATTCTGGAGGTCATGGGATAGATGAAGTCTTGGCCAAAGTGGATCCAGTGGGATCTCAGACCAATTTTGCGGTACTCTTATAGTCCCCTAATCAATAGTAAGAATGCATGTACTTTTTAACTGGAAGAATTCCCACATTTGTTCCCTGGCCCACAGAGTAAATACTTGTATTATTCTGTTCTTGTGCTGCTAATAAAGACATACCTGAGACTGGGAAATTTACAAAAAAAAAGAGGTTTAATCAGCTCACAGTTCCACATAGCTGGGGAGGCCTCATAATCATGGTGAAAGGCAAGGAGGAGCAAGTCACATCTTACATGGTGGCAGGCAAGAGAGAACTTATGCAGGGGACCTCCCATTTACAAAACCATCAGAACTCATGAAATTTTTCACCACCACGTGAACAATATAGGGGAACCACCCCCATGATTCAATTATCTTCCCCTGGCCCCACTCTTGACATGTGGAAATTATTACAATTCAAGGCGAAATTTGGGTGGGGCTACAGCCAAACCATATCAATACTATTAAGACAGAAAGAGCTGCAAAAAAGCCCTGGAACAGCCCTTCTCTCATGCTATGATAGTAAACCATAAATAATACTGCATACTGTATCTGTGGAAATAACAGACTTTAATACTGTAACAAACAAAATGAAAGATGCAAGCATATTGATTCTTACCACATTTTAATTCATATTACCTCTTTGGGTTTTTTAAAGGTAGATAATTCTTAAAGAATGAATGGAAATTATCAAATACTTAGATAGATGATAATGCCCATCATGGGTACCGTTTCAGATAGAATATCTTTGCTAAAGTAAATCATTAGATGCTTAGCTAATGACATAGCAAATATTTTGTTTTGTTTTAATTCACTTCTATAAGCAAATATAGTAAGAAGCCATTTGGCTTTATGTGTTAGGGACAACAATATATATTGCTTTGTTGCCACAGGGCTATGTCAGTTGTCTAGACATCTAGTAAAATACAGTCTGAAAGGATCTTGGTCTAAGTATATCACAGAACATTATGTTACTCAATTAGACTGAAGACACAATTTGAGGTGGATATGGTCTGTGAAGGAATCACGCATGATGGGGTATGGACAAAACACCCTGTAATGTTGAGGGGCCTAACACAAGTTGCTAGAAGTTTTATGGTTCCTCATCCTATGAGAATATCCTTTCTAAAGGATAAATTGTTCCATCATTCACAACCAAGGAAAATCACTATGCTTGATGGTATCTTTGGATTCTGAAGAACATTTGTACTACAGTTTGGCATGCTATTCATATATTTTTACTGTATAATTTACAAAACTTAATTTGAAGGGACCTGAAGCAAGAACAACTTATGCAGCAGGTCCAGCTTATATTTCAAGCTGCCCTACTACACAGTCCACATGACTTAGGGATGGCAACTGACAGTCTGTGGCAAAATCTGGCCCATCACCTGTTTTTGTATGGCTGATGAGCTAATAATAGTTTTTACATTATTAAATGGTTGAAAAAATAATATTTTATGACATATGAAAATTATATGAAATCCAAATGTTTATGTCCATAAAGTGACTTTTATTAGGAAAAAACACACTGATTCCTTTACTTACTGGCTATGGATGCTATTGTGCAACAATGACAGAGATCATAACAGAGATCGTATTGCCTACAAAGCCTAAAATGTTTACTATCTGTCCCTTTATAGAAAAGGTTTCCCACTCCCTGCAGTAAACGAAACAGAAATTGGAATGGTGAGAGAAGGGGATGCAGTGTAGAGCCTCTGGCAGGCCTTTAGGAGAAATTATGGCCCAGATTCAGGGGTTTATAGTGAGGCCAGGCTCTTTCTTTCTAGGAATAAGAGCTGTTTGTGGGTTCAATATCAAAGAAATTATCTCACCCAGACTGATCTGGATATTGGCACTATTAAGTGCCCCAACTGTTAACCTCAAAGACCATTAAAGTTGCTCCTAACTTGTTTCCAAGATCCAAACTCCTTAAAGTAGGGCATGAAGTGAAAGTGTGACCTAAACTGTCTATGATAATTTGGGTGTTACCTAAGTTAGCAAATTATAAAATTGGGCTTGTGCATCAGCATTTCACTGAAACCTGGAGAGAAAGTGTATGAAGACAAAGAAAGACTGAAAGAAACTAGCACACAAACAGAAAGCTTAGACATCCAGAGGAATTGTTCCCACTGCTTTCCTTCCCCTCCTTCACACCATGCTCTGCCTACATGGGGAGTTTTCCATGACCACTTGATGGTGAAGGAGAAAACATCCAGTACACCGTATGTCAACAGTACATGGAAGTGGAGAACTTCTGTCTCATAGCCCCATTCAGGCAAGACCTAAAGATTATAGTAAAGGGACTAGGTGCAGTGGCTCATGCCTGTAATCCCAGCATTTGGGGAGGCCAAGGTGGACCAATCTCTTGAGGTCAGGAGTTCGAGACCATCCTGGCCAACATGGTGAAACCCTGTCTCTACTAAAAATAGAAAAGTTAGCCGAGTATGGCGGCGCATGCCTATAGTCCCAGGTACTCAGAGGGCTGAGGCAGGAGAACCATTTGAACCCAGGAGGCAGAGGTTGCAGTGAGTCAAGATCGTGTCACTTTACTCCAGCCTGGGTGACAGAGTGAGACTCCATCTCAAAAAAATAAAAAAAATTAAAAAATTATAGTAAAGGGAAATCCTCCTAGTGAATAGAACTTGGGGCAGTACATCTGTTTGTTATTTTATGTGTAAGGAGGGACTGTCCAAGGAAAATATCTATACTATCTAATGGGTTGGTTGATGGGTCAAGCCCTTGAAAAGAAAATTTCAAGGTGGCTGATCATTCTGAGTAAGAGGTAATTGAATGAACTCTGGGCATAGAAGCCAATGATGACGATAATTGTGTTCACTGTAAATGATCATCATAGAAGATTCATTTAAGAGGAGGCTTTAAATAAAAGGATGGAGACTTTGATCATTCAGGTGGATGTCATTGACTTTTTCCCAGACATTTTTCTGCTTGCTTAATGGGTCCACCTACAAATAGTCCATAAAGGTGAGCCTAAAGTCCATGCATGATTTCCGCAGCTTACAATTACCGTCAGTATAGCTGATCTGGCTACTAACATTACTAAACATCTTAGTTGTCAACCCCAGAGGCCAGTGCTGATCACCTAATATAAACGTTGTTTTTCAAAAGAATAGCCATCCATCTGGTGGCAGGCTCACTACATTGGACCCCTTTCATCATGGATGACCAGTAATTTATTCATGCAGAGAAAGATGTATATCTGAGTTGCAAATATACCTTTTTCCCGGTAACACTTCTGTTTGTTTGTTTTCTGGTGATATAACTAAATACCTGAGACTGAGTGATTTATAAAGAAAATAAATTTTTATTTTATTGCTCTGGAGGCTGGGAAATCCAAGGTCTAGGGTCTGTGTCTTGTGAGGGCTTTCTTGCTGGTAGGGTTTCTCTGCAGAGTTCTCTTATGGCCCAGAGCATCACATGGTGATGGGGGCTCATGAAAGAAAGTCAAACTGTCCTTTTATAACAGATCCACTCTTGTGATGACCAACCCACTCCCACAATAATCCATTAATCTATTAACTCATTAATCCATTAATCCACAAAAGGATGAATCCATTTATGAAGGGTGGGCCCTCATGATGCAATCACCTCTTAAAGGCCCCTATTTTTGTACTGTTTCATTGGAGATTAAGTTTCAACATTAATTTTGGATGAGACAGATATTAAAACCATAGTAACATCTGAGAGCAACACTATTAAGAGACTTCTAGACATTCATTTCTGTGATATTCCATATAATATTATCACCACTCAAAGTGTATATTATCCATCATTATGGCAAAGAAGTAAAGCAATGGGCTAGCATCCATAGAATTCACTAACTTAACATGCTTATGACTCAACAGCAGCTAGCTTTATAAGTGGTGGAATAGCCTGCTAAAAGTATAGTACTGTACTTACTAGGAGACAAATCTCTTTAGGGTCATGGCATTCTCCATTCATAAACCATAATTGATTTATTCTACCCTAAACCAGAAGCCAATTATGTTACCACTTTTCCTATAGCTAGAATACATTCAGGAACTAAAAAGCTGGGAGTGGAAAACTTCTCTCCAAGCGATTACACAAAATAAATCACTGAAGAAATTTCTACTTACCATCTCTCTGGCCTGGGTTTTAATGACTTTCAAAGTTCTAATGTCCAAAGTAGAAATGTTACAATTAATAAAGATCATGGTTGCATTTTTTAAAAACAAGAAACTGATATTGCTCTCTGTGATTCTCATGCCATGCATAGAAGAGGGGAACTTTCATGGCAAGATGATTATTCTTGGTCATCAAGGAGAAAGTGGATAGCTGCTATACAAAAGAGCAAGGAAGACAATATCTAGAACCAGAGGATTCACTGGTATGCCTTTTAGTATACCCTTACATAGTGGTAAGGGGATAGTCATTGGAACACTGCAGCAATGTGATAAAGATATAGAGCCACAGAGAATTCAGATCCCAGGAATAAAGATTGGGATCACTCCACTTGGTAAAGAATTCTATTCAGCTTAGATGATGGCAGATACTAAGAGGAATATTAAATTGGTCTTGCAAAAGAGAAGTTACAGAAATAGGACTATTAAATCTAGGTTTTTAAAAATTGTTTCTTTCTCTCCCATTATAATAAAAAAAATAGTGGTGACTGAAGTTTTAGATTTTAGGATGGAGGATATTTACAGTGCTATCATCCCATGATGAAATGGAAGCTTGTGATATTTTGTATGAAAACATACATTTTCTTATCAAGAAAAAGAAGAAGACTAGATAATGAGATGATAGACACAAGAAGAGATAATGAGTGAACTGTGCTGGATATTTTTTTATTGCTTCTCCAAATCCCCTTTTCTTCCTTTCCCATCCTATTCTGTTCCTTGGGAAGTTGACCATGTCAGCTGCATCAGTGAGCTCCTTTTCCTGGCTTTGTACTTGACCAATGGAAAGTACCTGCAAAGGAGCTGATGGAGGGAGGAGATTAAGGTTTCGTGTATATATCTCTGACTTCTTCCAGTTTACTAAAGGCCACAGTGCCTAACTGGGAGCGCTCTCTTACAGCTACTACTTATATTTCCCAGTTCCAGTAACTGTTCTCTCTTCTCACGTCTCTAGACCTAGGTGTATTAACAGCTCCTAACTCTTACCAGCCCTGAGGTGCTTCCTGAACCTTTCTGATTTTTCTTAAATGTCCACATGTTATAAACAGTCCTTCTATTAATATTTCCTCAGATATATTTCAAATACATGCTATATAAGTGTACAATCTGTTTCAAGTGTAGAAATTGAATGACACAAGCAAAGAGTGGGCAGAATATTAAATTAGACATTATTTTTCTTCTGTCTCTTAAGTTTGAAATATTAAAAGTGTCAAGTAAAACAGATGTCATTATCTAAGAAAATGCCACCAGTACCATATTTCCCTGTGGCAATTCAGTCCTAGTTTTGATGAGAGGTTAATATGAAAATAAATGTAGCTTCTTTGCTTTTTATCTTTATGTGCATGCCTTAGAAAAATGACCTTTACAAGCAGCACACTGGAATGTAAATGCAAATTGTCTTCAAATGTTTTTGACAAGAATAGTGCACTCAGAGATTGCTATGTAAAGAACAAATTTGCTAAGTAATTTCTATTTAATAGTTGCTAATAATTACAACTATTTTCAATAGATTTGGTTTTCATCACTTTTTATATTTTTATTATAGTCGTAAAGAATTAAACACTTAATAAAATTTTACATGAATAAGAAATGTGTTAAGACATTGCAAAATAAAAATAAAATAATAAAACTAAAATTAAGATTAAAATCTAGCCTTAATTACTAATTTGGATAAACCTACTCAGTTTATTCCATATAAAGCTGACTAAATGTTAAAGAAACAAAATCAATGAATATACTCAAGTAATACTTAGCTGGCAAATAATATAATTCTGCATGTCATGGTAATTTGTGTCCAAGATTTAATCATTTCAACATGGCAATAGTATAAACTTGTTTTATAAAATTATTTTTGTGCTTTATTATTGCCTTGTTTTGTTCTAACATCTTTGCAGATGTTAATAAGCACTTTTCAGCTTGGCGTCTCTATCTACATAACACATTGTACAATGTGGTTTCAAGAACTTCAGACTGCCTACAAATACAGTAAAGTTGTTTTTACTTTATATGTATAACTTAAACATATTTTTATACATATATACTTACATGTGAATATACCAGTGATTAGCATATACGAGATGTTTTCCAAAATATACTCTGCAAGTGAAAATTACATTTGTAAAAGAATCAACATAATAATAAATAATTATTAAAACAGTTCTTAGAATCTTTTGGAGATTGGGTAGTTAAGTGACATTCAAAGATGCCCCAGCATCTGAGAGTAGCAGATACCTGTGGATTTACCTTTAAAAAACAGAAAGATAGAGCCAGAAGTATCTTCCAAAATATTTATGAAAACAGAGTAAGACAAGGAAAATAATAACTCTCAATCATTTAATCAAACTAG
The DNA here is from genome assembly GCF_000001405.40 of Homo sapiens. Lineage (NCBI taxonomy): Eukaryota > Metazoa > Chordata > Mammalia > Primates > Hominidae > Homo > Homo sapiens. Next base: position 30,506,133 of record NC_000018.10, on the reverse strand, counting down.
GAAGACTGATCAACATACTGCTTTCAGGAGAAGAAATATTACACTTTTCTTATGTAAAAATAATTCCGTTTTCATGTGGGATTTCCTGTAATCAACTCCCATAGCTAAATTAGATTGTCTCTAACATCTGCTCCCTACCCCATATATCCAATCCTATCTACTCTCTCTCAACATCTAAAACCCCTGAAGTCACAGAAAGTCGTGACAGCCTACTTCATGGGAGTCTTTATTTTTCTTATGATTTTAAGTTCTCTTTCTACTGCATTGGTTTAGTTTCTGGATTATCTTAGGAGCTATTTCTCCTGCTAGGACTGTCATATTTAGCAAATAGAAATACAGAAAATAAACGATTACATTTGAATTTCATATAAAAGTTTTTCTGTTCCATGCAATATTTGAGACAAATATATGCCGCAAAACCCTCATTTGTTGTTTATTTGACACTCACATTTAACTAGATGTTCTGTATTTTACCTAATAACACTACTTATTGGATACTTAGTGTTTTATAAAATTTTTCCTCTTTCCATTAGTTCCTCCCTCCCCACCCTTCCTGCGGCAATAACAAATGTGTACTTATTGTAAAAATAGTTTTTTGTAACGTTTGGGAGAGAGAGAAGAGAAATATATGGATAATAGAAATGTTTTAAAACAGAATTTATCTTTTCTCCTTATATAAAGTAGAGCTCATTGCTTTTTATCACAAAGTAGGCATTTTTAATTGACATTAGTTGACCCTGATTACAAGAAAACAGAGAGATTCTTGAGTGTAACTTTGAGTAAACTTAAAAGGTTTGTATACTTGTTTCCTCAAACATATATTTAAATTAGTAGCTGGGGAGCTCTGTCTATCCACCTGTGTATCTACATATCCATCTATCCATCTATTTATCAAGAGCTTAGGACTGCAATAAGATTTGAAGGATATCTTGTATGTGTATATATAGATACAGAGAGAGAGAAAGAGAGAGAAATAAGAATTTCTCTTGCCATTAGGCAAGAAAGCAGAACAGATAAAATAAAATACAAAAAGTGATGGGTGTGCAAAATATTAATCCAAAAAAGGCTAAACCTTCCTTATGGCCTAATTTTTTTCTATGTATTCCCTACATCTAGTATTTATTACCTCTGTGGATATGTGGAGCAAGCCTATTAATGGGGACACTGACAATATTTTATTAATTTAAAATTTTATGTGATTTTTAAACTTTTCTGAGTCATCTGATTTTTAGAGCCTAGTATTTTCTTCAGGTATTTCCTCAAATAAAGTTTACACTGAAGATGTTTCTCTCCATCTTATATGAAATAGCAAACCAAATGCATACTTAATTTTTCCCATAGCACTTATCATCTTTCATATCTTATAGTCATTCACATATTAATTAACTTGTTCACTTTTTATTGCCTGTCCATTTACATTAGAAAGTAGCCACCAGAATTACTAGTATTTTGTTTGTCTGGTTCTTTGCTATATCTCCAGTACTTCAAACAGTGTCTAGCCTATAAAAGGATAGACCATATATTTATTGACTGAAAGGTGAGCTATACTTATTTTCATATATACTCAAGAAGTTAACCAAAAGTTTAGAAGGTTTTTCTGAAGCTTTAAAGGCATATTGCATATGAAGGATTTAGGATAGTGTGTGGCTCATGGCATATGGGAAATGAATGATTAATTTCATTATTATTAACACAATGCAAGCTACCTGACATGTAGTAGTAAATCAATGGATTTTAATACTCCTTCCTTTCCATTTCAATTTTTTTGATTTATCACTTATGTTGAATTCTTAGCTTTTGAACAGAATCATAAAAAGGCAGAGAAAAACAGAGAACAATAAAAAGGATTAATATATAAAACAATAATAATGTGTGTAATTTAAATTATATGTATAAATAAAATTCTTGGCAACAATTGCACAAAAGGTAGGAGGGCATATATGATGCCACGTTATTTTTACACTTTAGCATTTGTAATTTATTAGTAGTGAAAATACTCATTCATATCAAATCTTATTAAGTCAAAAAGATTCATGTTGTAATTTCTTAATAGAAGAGTAAAAGAGTATAAAACTAAGAATCTCATGAAGAAATAAATAATTAAAAGTAGCTGATTAATCCAACAGCAGAACATCAGGTAACAGAGAAGAAGAAAATATGTGATGCAATAGATGTACATAAATCCAAATACTTAAGCAATTTCAATAATTCCAAAGATAATACATAATCAAATAAAAGAATGTCATTCTGGAGTTTAGAAAGGAATCTAAATTTTTTTTTTTGAAGACAAACTTGAGGTGGGAAAATCACTTGAGCCCAGGAATTCAAGGCCAACCTAGGCAACGTTGAAGACCCCCATCTCAAAAAAACAAAACAAAACAAAACAAAAAACAACAACAACAAAAAAACCTAAATTAAAAGCACTACCACCAGCAACAAATAGATGAATATTATAAAAGAATGGGAAAACATACGATAAAAAAAGAAACAATAACAAGAAGAAAGTTGGTGTAACTATGCAAGACTTTAGGCAAGAAAAATTATCAGAGCCAAAGAAAGTTATTTTAACATGGTAATAGTCCTTATGTCAGGGAGATTATCAATTCTAAACATATATACATAGGTATATAATAACATAGGTTTATCCCATGTAAAGTATAAATTGACAGATATAAAAGAAATTAATACTATCACAAACATATTGGGGAACTTTTCACATGTCTTTCTCAGTTAAAAAAAAAAAAAAAGGCAGACAAAATACCAGCAAAGAAACAGAGAGGGTATATGATCTCAACCAAGAGTGAAGAAATACAACATAGAATTAACAGCAAAAAATGATAAATTTGCCAAAATGCAAATGGAAGTAAATAGAAAAGCATACTTATCTTGTATCTGTTTTAAAACTTACATTTAGTATTTTAAAACCTTCTTAGAAAACATCACCAGCCACATACAATTTTAGTGGTCACTAGGTAAACATTTAAGATACAATATCACCAACATTTTAAGAAAGTTCATCAATGAATTTAAAAAAACAATATTTTCTGTCTTATTTGATGAGGCCAGCATAACCTTGAAACAAAAGTATGCTGAGGACATTGAAAGAAATAAAATCAGAGGCCCATCTCTCACCTGCAAAAGCCCTAAATAAAAAATGCAAAAAGCCCTAAATAAAAAACAAGTAAACGGAATATAGCAATACATAAAATACAATTATTTATCATAATTGTTTAAATTTATTGTATCAAAAATTGTGGATTAGTAGTCAAAAAGTCAACCAACATAATTAACTGTGAGGGAAAATTGTATGATCATCTCAGTAGATATAAGAAAATATTTGCTAAATGTGATACCATTTAAGTTTTTAAAAGTAAACTTAGGATACTAGAATTTTAAGAAACTTTCTTAATCTGACTACTCATTCTATAAAAAATAATAAAAATAAATTTCTCGTGAAATTTTGTGAAGTTTCTTTTTTAAGACTCAACAAAGAACCCAAAGATGCCTACTCTCATCGTAGTTACTCAACGTTTCGAAGGAGGTTCTATTAAGGGCAGTAAAACCAGAGAAAAATGTTAGGCAAAAGAATTGAAAAGGAAACAATAAAATTGTCATTCACATAATATGATTTTGTTCATAAAAAATAAAGGACTAGAGCAACAAACTATAAGAATCTATCAGTGGATCTAGCAAAGTATTTGGATACAATAGCAATACAGAACAACACAACAAAAAGAAAATACAAAATTATTATTTGCAATATTTTTAAAACAAGAAATATTCAATAATATATCTGATGAAAGATGTACAAAATCTCTACATAAGAATCCACTAAACTTTATTAGAGAAAATGTGAAACGCCTAAATAAAGAGACTCTTTACCACAATTATAATTTGAAATATTTATTATTGTGAAGATATCAATTTTTTTACATTGATCTCTAAACTCAATATAGTCCCAAATTTAATTTTATATTCAGGACATATAAGAACTACAAACCAGTTAGTATAAAAAGCAATTAAGTTTAAAAAATGGTGAAAGATTTGGGCTGCTGCTTTACAAAAGAGTTTACTCAAAAAGTCAATGAACATAAGTAAAGGTACTCAATACCATTAATAGTGAAAAAAATACAAAGTAAAATCTGATGAAACATATTGCCACATTTTTATCAAATTTAATAAACGTTTTAAAAATGATACCACCTATTGTTATTAAAAATTCTCATATGCTTCTGGTGGTAATATAGATTGATATAATCACTTTGGAAAGTTTGGAAAGTTGCTTACACCTCTAAGTCTAAGCATGCACGTATATTATGACTAAGCAATCTATTTCTGTGTATACACCCCAGAATTGTTCAGACGCATTCACCACAAGTTATATATAAAAATATGCATAGCAATACTTTTGGAATGACACCACATTAGAAACAACCCTAATGCTTATCAGTAGTAGAATGGATAATGATATTATGTATCCATTTAATGAAATATTACATGGCAATGAAAGTGAAGAAACTACTGCATAACAGCATGGGTTTATCTCATAATACAATATTTAAAAAAAACAAGCCTATAACAAATGAGTGCACAATGTAATTCCATTATAGAAAGTTGGAAATTAGCAAAACTAAGTGATGATAGAAGTTAGGATGATGTTTTGGGGGAGACACAGTGTCTCAGAGGGGAATAATAGAGGATACATGATAATGTTCTATTTCCGAATCTGTCTGTTGATTACACGGGTACGTTGAGTTGTTTAAATTCTTTGAGCTGAACAGTTACTATCTCTGCGTACACATATGTTGTGCTTTAATAAAATCTCTACTTAAACATGAGATGACCAACCTTATTTTTTTGTTGTTTATCTCACTTCTTTCAATGACCAAATGATTATGCTCCCAAGATTTTATCTAATAAATTTATTTCCATCTTTTTCTAATATTTCTTGCCTCAGATATCATTCAGAATTCAAAAGGTTGCTTATACAGTTCTCTAAATCAGTACTCCTTCTAAAAGAAGAAACTCATTACAATCATTGCTTTGCTCTTAAATTATACACAATACACAGCTACATCTTCTCCAGATTCAGATGTGCAGTTGAAAACTTTGCTGTGACTGTTTGTTCCTCCACTAATACTGTGAAAAAGAATATTCACTGTTTAGAATTTCTCAGCACCCATATATTATAGGATCTGAGATGGTTGCAAACTGCTAGTGCTATAAGGAAACAGCATTATAACTATTTGTAAAAGTGGCTTTTCTAGTTTTGTGTGTATCTTAGTCAGTTCTGGTTGCTATAACAGACTACCATAGACTGCATGGCTTATAAACAACAAAAATTCACTTACCCAAGCTCTGCAAGCTGCGAAAGCCAAGATCAAGTTGGCAGCAGATTTGGTGTATGGTGAGAGCCCACTTTCTGGTTCACAGACAGTAATCTTCTGGGTATGATCTCACACGGTGGAAGGAATGAAGGAACTCTACAGAGTTTCTTTTATAAAAGGACTAATCCCATTCATGAAGACCCTGCCTTCATGACCCAATTATACCCAAAGGTCCCACCTCCTAATACCATCACATTTGGGAGTTAGGATGTGGGAATATGTCCAGTTCCTTTTTGAGATTTGAACAACTGGGGGAATTTCACAAGTACGTGTTTCTGCCATTTCCCCTAAAAATATACCATCACCTTTCTGTCACCTATGCGGTGTGAAAGTGGACTCAAATTTAGGTTCTATCTTACAAAGAACAAATATGTAGAGGTATAAAGAGATTGTAATATGTGACTATGAGTTCCAGAAATCACTTGGTCTTTCCCATAGGAAGTGAAAGAAATGAGAGAAAATTAGATTTTACTGTGTTAATGAGGCACACAGGAAATGGTTTAGTTTTGCTTTTACTTTTTCATTAAAATAGGCAATGTGAGATCGCAGTTAATTTTTTTACACTTTCATTTATTTGTCATAAATCAGACAAATGTAGAAGTTCAACTGAAAATTCTCTAAGTCAAAGAGGATGGGGAGAAGGATCTAACATTTACAAGATGCCAATTATTTATATATTGTATTCATCCTTTCAAGAATTTTATAAAATAAATATTATTGCAGTTTTATAGATGAGTAAACTACACTCAGTGGGCTTAAATATCACCCTCAGGTTCACAAAGCTAGTACAAAGCTAGAGATAGGAGTCAAAGTCCATACTCTCACCATTCTAACCATGCTGCCGCCACTCAATGTAGACTTAGCCAACTTTAACAAATAGCCAGTTGATCCTTATCCCTATGTTGTACTTTACCTTTTGGGGGGCTTTACCTCTTATGTGTACTTGAACTGTAATTTGTGGAAGATATAATTTTAATTTATACCAGCCTTATTACCCGTGTAGCCAACAGCAGCTTCCTTTCTGAAAAAAAAAAGAAAAAAAATGTGTGGAATATTAGCATTTTATATCACAGACTTTGGATTTTGTAAATAGCAGAAAACCCACTTAAAATCAATTTTTACCAATAGATCTGGAATGGAATTAGAAAAGATGACTACCACTCGGGAGGCTGAGGCAGGAGAATGGCGTGAACCCGGGAGGCGGAGCTTGCAGTGAGCGAACATCGCGCCACTGCACTCCAGCCTGGGCGACAGAGCGAGACTCCGTTTTCAAAAAAAAAAAGATGACTACCATAATATGCATGTTTTTCCAGGTGAACTTTTGAATGGGAAGAAAAAAAAACACTTTGAAATGAAATTTGGTAAGAAAGCATAATACCGTGAACCAAGCAGCTATCTTACACAATGCAGTCCAATGTATTCAGTGATTAGGTAAGTGTAGATGACCCACAGTGGATTGCTATATTTCATCAAATCTAATACACCACTATTGACTGTGATAGCACATTATTTTATAATGAAGAAAGAAATACTAGCAAATACTATTAAGACAACATTGATTTCATGATGAATCCTGACTTCAAAAGTGTTATATTTTGAAACAGAAAGATGTATGTTTTAGAATTCATGAAATTAGCAAGCTATCTTTATAGTGACTGGAATAAGATAACAATTCATCCCTCACTCACCAACCTGTGTAGTAGATGTTCTTCATTGTGGCAGCCTCTTTCTAAGAAGTGATTCAGTGATCCAGACTCTTTCCATTTGGGGTCTGGTCTATCTTTAGCATACAGCTTCCAGGGGCCCTGTGCCTATCTTCATCAAGAAGGCAGCAGGGAAAAGCGCCTGGGGACTACGCATGGGAATTTTGTATAAGACTGGGCTGGGAATGAAATCGATCACTGCTACTCATATTTCGTTGTTGGAACTCAGTTACAAGGGCACAAAAGAAGCTGGGATATTTCATAAAGCTGTGTGCTCAGAAAGAGAAGGAATTTGGTTTGGAAAAGAGTGAAGCAGGCTCTACTATAACCTTCTAAGTTAGGTTTAGTATGTTCATGAGTATTCCAATCTTCTATTTGTTCATAAACTCATGCAAGACTGTTTCTCAGTGCCAATTTGGCTGAATGGACCACTGAGTGGACACATAAAGAGACACTTAAAACCCACAGCACAATTTCTGTGTGCATGAAATTAGGATTCATTGTCTTAGTCCTCTAAGATTTGGGTCATTTTTTTGCTTATGTAATACTGTAGCATAATTTAGTCTAATATGATTAGTAAACTCACTTTTCTCATCTTATTTATTGAAAATAACAATGAATACCTCATAGAGTAGTAGTAAGGATTAGTAGTAATACCTCATAGAGCTGTAGTAAAGATTAGTAGTAGTACCTCATAGAGTAGGAGTAAGGATTACTTATAGTACTGAATCAAAGCATTAAGGACAGTGCCTTGCATATATAAATAAAAAAATCATTACTGTTATTGTTATAAAAGAATTACTTTTGAACTTGAAATATTTACTCTGTTATGACATATTTATGTACTAATATTAAAATAATTTTCCTCATAATGTATTTGCAACTTAATTTTTACTTAGGTTACTTAATCTTTGAAATTGCCTGAAAATGGTCCCCTAACATAACCTTCAGAAAGAATTAGGATGCTTGTAACCACTCATATGCCCTTCTCATAGGTACACTAAGATGATCTGTTTATAGACATGGAGAAGAATGTTGTCAATTGTAACCCCTCTACCAGCGGTTGTTTGAGAGTTCCAGTGTTGTTTGAATTAGAATGGGCACAAATTGACAAAAGTACAGTTTTGGCCTACTGTAGAGAGTTTTTTTCTAATGACAAGTCTTTCTAAAATTTTCAGGACCCATAAGAGAGCTTTCAGTCTCTTCCAGAAAGATGTCAATAGTCTTTAGGCTAAAATATTTATATTCTCCATGGTAATAGTACTCCACCTTCATTGTGAGAGCGCTATCCTCTATATTTTTTGGAGCTTGAAATAGATCCCTGATTTTAGATATAAAGGTGAGAAATCCCTGGATTCATACCACAGTGTGCTTTGTAGAAAAGACTGTTCTATGCGTGGCCACTAATATATAATTGTCTCACCGCACATGGCACCAAAAAGGAGGCATACTTTATTAATGGTTGAAATATGTCTGTGTTTCAAAAAATAGTAAAAGGTTAAACTAGATCATATTTTTATTTTATTATGGATAAAGTAGAATGCATCTATGTCAAAATAGAATAATGGGACAAAATGAGAATTTAGTGTCAAGATATAGTTCTGCCTAAGGTCCATTGTTAGGGAAAAAGTGAAGATTAAGTTTTAAACTTCCGGAAGCGCACAACAGAAATTATCCAAAGTTAAATTATTATTCAAAAATAATTTCAATTTATAAAATTAATTGTATAGCTAGGCACATTTTGGGTAAAATGTCTATAAATACAGATGACCCATCTGCTGTTTTCTTGGAAAAATTCACTTCTGTTTATCCTGATTTTATTTTTCCTTTGCTCTCATGCTGGCATCAACATCAAAGTGAGGTCCATCCACAGTAAAGATGTGCAAGAGATACAGAAGTAGATGTAAATAAGGCCCAGTATGGATTGATTCCCAAATGCAGCTGATATTCATCTTTGTAATGAACAATCACTACATTTAAAATGTTTCCAAAGAAAATTATCAAAGCCAGCAATTTAATTGATTTTTATAAGATAGTTCAAAATAAGTTTGCCTTTTTTCAACCATTTGAGTATTTTGCTGGAACAGCTTCAGTTCTCATGAAATAATTCTCATTTTTTAAAGTAAGTGACGTTTTGTGCAGATTAGTAAAATATGTGCACTGTTGTCATTCATTGCTGTAAGGAAATTTATTCTTTATTGTGGGAATCTTTTTCTTTAAAAGCATGTTATTATTTTAAGGTTTCTAAAATGTATCTATATTCTGAAGCAGAAATAATGACTTTGTGACTTTTACAAAGGTGCTTACCTTTCCATACCTATCAAATATAAACTATCTACATGGTACGTTTCCTATATGTTTTGATTTTTATCATTGTATGTTTTAAAAGGTATTTTTGAAGCTTGTCATATTTGAAACATATAGGAAATATAGAAGCTTGTATATTTGAAACATGCCGGAAATGAAATTGTTAATCGTGGATATAAAATTTTGACATGAAAATTCAACTTCTGTTTTAAAATTAGCTCTTTTTCTTTATATAATTATGACAAAATATGTGATAAACTTCTGTAAAGTTTAAGATTTGGAGTCATTCCTAAAGTTAATGATTACGATCACATTACAGTAACTGCATGAAAAGACAGATATTCTTTCTTTCTGCATTATAGGCATAATTTGTGAGATTCTGTTTGCTCAAATTTTCTTTGTTTGGACTTACATGTATTATTCTCTCTTTCCCTATGTTAAAGAATAATTATCACCATTTTTAGTAGCTGGAGCTATTATTAAGAAGTATAAAATCTAGATCAACTCTGAATAGTTTAAAAAGCCATTAGAAATTGTTAAATGAACTAATGAAAGCTGGTTTTCTGAGATGGTAACTCTAGTTTAGAAACTTACCTTAATCCATCCCTAGGACAAACTGACTCTAAAGATTCCATCAAATATTTATAATTTTTTATTTTAATTTCTACATGATGGTTAATGAAATGTCCATACTGGCTATCCTTTTAAATTTCTTTTTATTTTTTTCCCTTAACCTCTTCATTTCCCCTTCCCCGCCATTCCCAAATTTTTATTCTATGACAGGAGAAATATTAATTCAAAGGTAAAAAGCTGCTAATAGTAATCATTTGCCTATGAATACCATCAGCTAAGCTAGTGAGAAAAGATGTATATTTAGTAATTTAAAATGAAATTGAGTTAAAATAGGAAAATATATATGCAAATCGACATTGAAAAAAGTAGAAACTTGGTGAGTTTCATTACATATCCTTCACTTATCTTTAGAATGATGACCTTAAAAACAGTTACACATTTTTTTTTTCATCCCAAGGACTACTTGCCACCCGTATTATGTTTTCCAAGTTGAATCTCATTTTGTAGTTGCCCTTTAATCACTGAAGTTCTCTTTTTATCATTTCTGTGCTAATTGGTGTTAAAACACTTGACAATTTATTGTGATTTAATTTTCATTAGCTTGCATGTCTTTCTCTACTAGATGATTAATAGAGATGTTAAATAAGATTACAACCTACTAATAGTGCCCTCCCTACACTTTCTTTACCTCTCCCCCACTAGGTAGCAATATGTTTTTTTTTTGATGGAAGCAAAATGAAGTTCCAGTCTACATCCTGTGAAGAATTAGATTACTTTTATTTGATAATTTGAAGATTCAGAAATTCTCCCTTCAGCCTGTGATATACATAAGTTAAGAATAAAATTGTGCACTTACTAATTGATATAGATGTACATCAGTATTTGCATAAAATCAAATAATAGTTAAGTTTCTCAATTAGTCAGCATTTTAAATATGAACGTAATTTCAACATGAACAGCAATCACATACACACATACAATCTTAGGATATAAATATTTTAAAACATAATTCACAATTTTTAATTTACACTTTTCAATTTCTTGAAAACATCTTAAAGTAGATTTACTCCAAAGGATGGGCTTCAATTAACCTCATCTCAGGCTGACAATTCTTTCACCATTTTTAAAACAGCTTTATTGAGATAAAATTCACATATTATAAAATTCACACTTTTAAAGCATACAATTCAATGACTTTTATTATAGTCACAGGTTGTACAACCATTATCCACTATCCCTAGCTGAGACCCATATATTTTCATATGTATGTTGTTCTTGCAACATTTTTGTGCATTACTTAACTATATTACTGATCATAATTTATATGCTTGCTTCCTAGTTATTTTATATAGACTTACTGTTTTCTAGACATGATGGTAAGTTTATTAGTGGCTAGACATATGTGCTTATAATGGTATATTTAATCTGAAGTTTTGAATGTAGCAATAAGACAAAATAGATGTCAAATTTCAAAGTGAATACAAGTCAGATCATATTAAGCTGATTTTATGAAGGAAATAGTCCAAATTCTTTAGTGGAACTTGTTGTTTTATACGCATATATTGTCTTTAGGTCTAGGGCTCTGTTCTTCAGGGATTGCCTACGGTTGAATAATTTCCCCTCAAAGTTCATGTCCACCCAGAACCTCAGAACAAAACCTTATGTGTAAATAGTGTCTATGCAGATGTAACCAAGTTAAGATGAAGTCATACCAGATTAGGGTGGGCTCTAAATCCAATATGATTGATGCCCTTATAAGAAAAGGGAAATTTGGAGCAGAGACACAGAGAAGAGAAGGCCCTGTAAAGGCACAGGCAGAAATTGGTGCAATGCCAAGGAACATCAAGGATATCTGGCAACTACTTGAAGCTAGAAGAGGCAAGAAAAGATTCTTCCCTAGAGCCTTCAGAAGAAGCAAAGCTCCACTGACAACTCGATTTCAGACTTCCAGTTTCAAAGTATGTAAAGTATGTGAGAGAATACATTTCTGTTGTTTTAAGCCAGTTTGTGGGACCTTTTTTTTTTTTTTTTTTTTTTAAAGCAGTCCCAGGAAGCTAAGACAGAGACTGGAGTCCTTGAAATGATTTTCATAATATTTTCTAGGTTTCCTTCTCTAGTGCCTAGGCCAATCTGGGACCAGCTGTGTAGTCCAGGCATGGTTTTCTTAGTCGGGAAAGAGACTTCTGTGAGCTCCTGGCTCTTTATCCCCTTTTAGGCTCTCTGAAGGCCTCTACTTCTACACATGAGGTTGGAAATGAATTAAGAAGATCTAGGATTCACACTCATCTTTCAGTTCCAGGAGAACGATCTCAAAAGTGAATTGTCCCCTTGTGTTAGTCTACTTGTGTTACTACAGTGGAATGCCTGAGACTAATTTTTTAAAAATGGGTTTATTTGGCTTACGGTTCTGTAGGCTGTATATGAAACATAGTACCGAAGTCTGCTTTTGGTGAGGGCCTCAGGAAACATAAAATCAAGATGAAAGGGAGCCAGGGTGTTGGGTGTCACATGGCAATAGAAGGAGCAAGGCAGAGAAAGGGGAGGTGCCAGGCTCCTGCATGAACTCAGAGTGAGAACTCACCTGTTAACAAAAAGACGGCACCAAGCCATTCATGAGGGAGTCACCCTCATGATCCGAACACTTCCCACCAAGCCCCACCTCCAACACTGGTGATCACATTTTAACATGAGATTTGCAGGGGACGCACATCCAAACTATATTATCCCATGATAAGCACAATATTTTTGTGTGTGTGAGATTCCCAAAACTGAGCTTCCAGAATGATGCTAATAGACTGATTTGGGGTAATTTTTTGTCAGAGGACAAATTCAAGGCTATGGGATATCAAAGCTTCTTCAGTGTCTTAGTCCACTTTTTGCTTCTGTAACTGAATGCCACATTACATGAGACAGAGAGAGCAAATGAGGGCCAACATCAACCTTTTTTCAGGGGCCCACTCCCATATATGAATTCATTCATGAGAGTTTAGCCCTCATAACCTAAAAACCTCTTAAAGCCCAACATTTCAATACTGTAACAGTGGCAATTAAATTTCAACATGAGTTTCAAAGGAGACATTCAAACTGTAGCATTCGGTGACCCTTGGCTCTAGCCATATATATGGACCCATGTATTGGCTCTTACTCAGCTATTTTCTAACCATAGTACTGCCTCTAGTCTATAGCACTGATGTTGACGGAAGGATAATGGGACTCTTTTACTCTGTGTACCTCCCACTACAGTCACCCAAGGTAGTTACCCGGCACCCTCCACATGCTCTGCTCCACAGGCCAGTCAGTCCTTTGAGACTGCCCACACACATGTCCTTCAAGGCCATTCAGGATCACACTTGGCAGCACCAAAACTGTGTCCAATCATGACCTCTCTCATTGCTAATTCATGTGGTGACATTGTGTTTTCGGGAGCAGTCTTAAAATGCACTGTATACAAGAGGAACTATCTTGTGCTAATGGAACCACTCTGTTTGTTCCTACCATGGGCCCCTTGCTTATTCTATACCTGGCTGTGATTTTGGAAGATGGGAGTGCACTCCATATCCAATGATATCTATCACAAACTAGGAATGCAATGACTATGGTATAAAGAGTTCAAGAGAACAGATATTTGGAAAAGTATATTCAAAGTTTACTCTGGCTAAGACTTGCAGTTGTGCTCAAATAAACATAGTATCTAACTATGTGGTAATGCTTTGAAGCCAGCCTCAATGGGCAGCAAGACAGATGACATAGCATCTTGTGCAATGACGTAACTATGGTTAAATACATGGTATTAGGAAATGTTATGATGCAAAGATCTCTATTGTTTGAATATGAACATTTTTCAGAGCCAGGGCATTATGCAAATAACATTGTTGCATTTCTTTGTTCCTTCTTTCCTTCCTCCCTTTCTTCCTCCCTCTCCCTCCCTCTTCCCCACTTCTCTTTTGTTTTCTTTCTCTTTCTTCCTCTTTCTTTCTTTCCTTCTCTTTTCTTTCTTTCGTTTTTCTTTCTTTCTCCTTCCTTCCTTCCCTCCCTCCCTCCTTCCTTCCTCCTTCTTTCTTTCTCTCTTTTTTTCCTTTCTTTCTTCTTTTTCTTTTTTCTTTCTTTCTTTTTTCTTTTTCTTTTTTTCTTTCTTTCCTTCCTTCCTTTTTCTTTCTTTCTTTCCTTCCTTCCTTCCTCTTTCCTTCTTCCTTTCCTTTCTTTCTTTCTCTTTCTTGTCTTCCCTCCTTCTTTCTCCTTCCTTCCTTCTTTCACTTCCCTCCCTCCCTCCATCCCTTCCCTCCCTCCCTCACTCTTTCTTTCTTTCTTCTTCTTTTTTCTTTCTTTTTTCGAATGGGAGATGTTAAAGATGTTTCTTTCTTTCCTCTCATTCTCCCTCTCTTCTCTTTTCTTTCTTTCTTTATTTTTTTTTGAATGGGAGATGTTAAAGAAGCCAGGAGTGTTGTGTTTGAAAATAAAGAGATTGAAGGATGGTGCTTGGACTTGAGGACCTGAAGAAAAAAACCTCATGTCTGGATATTACATTTAATCTTTGCATGATGGCTTGAATGAACAATCAATAAAAATATAATTACTCCTCTATTATTTTAAATCTTCACCAATAAATCATATATGTTACATAACCTCATGAATTATGCTATATATTATATAATATGTTATAATATATAAAAACATATAATAATATATTATATATTATATATTATATTATATGTTATAATATATAATTTATTATATTATATATTATATATAACATATAATATATTATGTTATATATAATATATAATATAATATATGATATATGATATATAATATATATTATGATATATAATATATATTATAATATATAATATAATATATTATAATATATAATATAATATATTATATTATATATTGTTATATATAATATATTATATTATATATTGTTATATATAATATATTATATTATATATTGTTATATATAATATATATAATATATATGTTATATATAATATATAATATATAATATATTATAATATAATATATTATATATTATATAATATATAATATATAATATATTATATAACATATATATGTTATATAATATATAATATAATATATATGTTATATAATATATAATATATTATATTATTATATATAATATACTACATAATATATTATATTATATATGGATAATATATATTATTATATTATATATTATATCTATAATATAAATTATATTATATCTATAATATAATTTATATCTATAATATAAATTATATTATATGTATAATATAATTTATATTATATCTATAATATAAATTATATTATATCTATAATACATAATATATTATATTATATCTATAATATATAATATATTATATTACATCTATAATGATATATTATATTATATCTATAATATATAATATATTATATCTATAATATATAATATATTATATCTATAATATATAATATATTATATCTATAATATATAATATATTATATCTATAATATATAATATATTATATTATATCTATAATATATAATATATTATATTATATCTATAATATATATTATATTAGATAGTATATGTTATATTATACATTATAATATAATATATAATATATTAATATTAATATAATTAAATTTAATTTATATTTTATTAATATAATTAAAATTAATATTATATATTACATCAATATATTATATATTATAATATTATTCCCCTTCTATTCAGAAAAGAGGTTGGGCTTCTCTAGAACAAATAGGAGAAACTAATACATGTCCTGTAAGTTTGTATGGACATAGTTTTGTCTGATGTATGGCTGAGGAGTCTGAAAGCCAGAAACTGTTTCTGTTTGCCTGAGGGAGTGGTAGGAGAGAGAAAGAGACAGTGAGAGAGCAAAAGAGAGAGAGGGAGAATAAGAGAGGAGAGAAAGAGAGAGAAGGCTTTGTTGGGAAGTAGCTGAACTCGAAGGTAGGGTAAAGCTTGAATTAGTTTCCCATGACCCTAAGGCAACTTCTAGGAGCAGGGAAAGAGCTGCATAGGTATCACTTAGGTTGCTCAGGCCTTAACAGAGAAGAAGAAGCTGGAGTCTGGCTGTTCACCACCTGGTTCCAGGGAGCAGACACAGACAAACAAGCGCCACACCCACTCACTTCAACAGAAATAATAGTGAAAGAAAAACAGCATTGTTGGGGTCTCTGAAGACCATGCAAATAGATGCTTTGTGGAGACAGAAAGATTTCAATTTTGTTCAGGCCCAGAGATCACAAATAATGTGTGAAAATAGAAGTCAGTAAAGAACTTTCTACTGTTCTTAACTACCATGCTCTTCCCCTGCTTTTACCAGGAATGTAAAAAATGGTATCTAGTACTGCAGGTAGAAATATGTACAGAAACAGAAAGTCAGAAATTGCTTCACACACATCAAACCTCATCGTTGTGAGACAAAAGTGTAAGTCATGTTCAAAGTGCTAATTCCTTGCTGAATTCAGACTGTTTGCAACTCAACATGAGAGTTTTTAAAAGTTTTATTTTTTTTTTCATGAGAGTGATTGCCAATGTCAAGGGACTGCAAGATTGGCAAGAGACAGACTACTTTTCGTGAGAATATTTAAAGAATGTGTGGGGAAAAAAATGAAGTCCAGTTTGATTACATTCCATGAATTTTGTTAATTAACAATGGCAGTCAAAATTTGTTGTATATATTGTGACAACAGGGATGAACCTAGAGAACACTGTTAAGTAAAATAAGCCAGGCCCAGAAAGACAAATACAGCATGATCTCACTTATAGGTGGAATTTTTACAAAGTTGACTTCACAGAAGCAAAGAGTAGAATGGTGATTAGAATCATTATTAGAAAGAGAGGGTCGGGTTTGGGAAATGCTAGTCAAAGGATACACAATTTTAGACACGCAGGAACAATATGTTCAAGAGAAATGGCATATAATATGGTGATGATATTTAGTAACAATGTATTGTATTATTTAAGATAACAAAGAGAGTGGATTTTGAGTGTTCTCACCACAGAAATATAAGTGTGTGAAGTAACACATTTGTTGGTTAGCCATTCCATAATATATGTACATACTTCAAAACATCATGCTGCACAAAATACATATATACTTTTTAATTTGTCAAAAGGAATTAATTTCAAAAATTTTATTGTCTCTGATAGAGGATAGATGAAGCTCTGTACCATGATACAGATTATGGTATGTAGTGCTAAAGAGAAGGAGAGAATAAAAATTTTTCAAAAGTTTTTAGAATGCATTTCTTCTTCCTAGCTTGGATTTTACAGTCCAATGCTTCAAACTCTCTTTGAAGAATTTCTAAACAACTTTGACCTGATGTCTTTTCATCCTATCTTCCCAGCAAGCATCTAGCCTTGGATAAATCCTACTACCTGTATTCTGTTTATTTGAACATACACTTCTGAGAAACTGGAAAAAAAAGTCACACACTTGAGCCAACTGACATAGTCACCAGTGTGATTAGTGTTCTAACAGGTTTCAGCTGAATTGTTTCACTAAACAATCTTCTTTCTCATTCTCTACAAGAGATAAGAGATAGTTAATCTTTTATACTTGCTTCCCTTATTCACAATCACTTTTCTTCTCAATAGACACCCCCCCACCCTGACTACCACTTCATAAAGAAAATAGAATACATGAAGTTGTAAAGCCCAATTCTAGCTTCCAACAAACCAACAGTCTTGTCCACATCTATGCATACCTCTTGTTTCCTTAAAATGGAAATTTCTTCACCAATGTCAGGTCCATAATTGTTCCTGTATTTACAAGTGGTGTGCTGTCCTGAATCTTTAGATGTCACATCAACTTATTATCTCACATTCTTCTAGAATACCAAATTGCACCTTTTATACAGAAAACTTTCTATCTTCATATAAACTTGTTTAAATCCTTTATATCTAATATAATAACACCCACAGCAAATAGGAAAAAAAAGAAAGGGTAAGCTCAGCTGTGTGCTGTGACTCACTCTTGTAATCCCATTACTTTGGGAGGCTGAGTCAGGAGATTAACTTGAGCCCAGGAATTCAAGACCAGCCTTGACAACATACGGAGACCCCATCTCTATTTTTTAAAGCAATTTCTTTCATATTAAAACAACAATGACAATACATGTACATGAACACCAGAAAAAGAGAACAGAAATAAAAACACAACAGAAACAGATAGTCGTATGTTGCCAATGGGAGTGTAAAATAATGCAGCCTCTATTGGGAGGCATTTCTGGCAATAGCTATCAAATTTTTTAAAGTATATATCTTTTTGCTATGAGCCTAAACCCTAGGAATTATCTTACACTAATACTTGGAATACATAAATGACAAGTGTAAAAATTCATTTATTGCAGTATTGTTGGTGATTAAAAAACTGAGTCAAATCAACTCACTGCCTAAAGCCTGCAATGATTCTGCAATTCTCTCAGAGAAAATATTCAAGCACTTCCAGTGGCTGCTCTTTGATCTCATCTTCATCTTCTGCCATTTCCCACTTTACCTCCTGTGCCCCAGGCCCATTGGCTTTCCTACGATTCTTCAAATATACTAGGTATGTGCTGGAATAATACCCTTTCCTTTTATTGGAACATAGTTCCCATATTGTCTGCCTCTCCCCTCTACAATATAAATTACAAGAAGGTTTCAATCATTATCTGTTTTGTTCATTTATAAAAATCTGAAATAATCCTGGTCATAGTAGGATTTAATGCAGATAAGTTGAGTGAATGAATTAACCTAGAAATCTAATAAAGTTGAGTGTTTAAGTAAAATATGGTAAATCCATAAAATATAATACTATGTACTACCAAAGAAGTAAAAAATGACCATGCTTTCTGCTTTTTATGTTCAATGGAATATATAGAAGTTATATGTTAAATGAAGGGGAAAACAGAGAGTTGTAATAGTATGTTACATATGTATCAAAATTTGGAAAAAAAGAGAAATATTAATTCATAGTTGTTTGTATTTCTACAAAGAAGCTAGAAATATATTAAAACATTAAAAATGTACTAATTGTGCCAACATACATAGTTTTGTATTTAATCACTAACCATGCCTAACTGTTAGGAAGCTAGAAACCACAGGCTAGTTCACAGCCTTGAATCTGGCTGTTCATTACAATAGAAGAAGAGGAGAATGAGTTTTATGGGCTGCCAGAAGTTTTCTCTATGGTCTTTAAGAAAATACTGTGTGCCACAGAATACATATATCCTGATTTCTTCCAGAATTTCTAAAACCGAGGTCCTTGTTTTTTTTTCAGTCCTGTATCTGGATGGCAATTGCTGCTTAAACCCTTAAATAATGCCTGCTGCTAAAGTTTTCCCCTGTCACTTCATTTGAATTATTCATAGAAATCTGCAACAGTGCTGCAGTTGTTAATAATCTAAAATGCCTGCTCCAGCCATCATGTAATCCTTTCCACAACTTGTTTTCCCTCAGCCTCAGCTTTTGAATTTCCCAACCTTTAAATAAGTCAAAAGCGGACAAATATTCCTTTCTGCTACTTCTTTGCCTGAATCCTAGTGCGTATGTTTCCTAGTGGGTCATTTTCTTCTGTTGAGTTTCTAGTCACTTCTAGCTCTAACTTAAATCTGACTGCTTCTTAAGAAAACTTCCTGCTTGCATGCCTCTCAAATAATGCGGGGCCAGGAAATAGAAGAGATAGTCTTTTTGTGCAGATTGTGATTTTCAAGTAATTTTTCTTAATTTCTCTTTCCAAAAACCTGACATCCTTTGACACCTGACAAAATTCCCTCATCAACCTACATCCTGGTCCCATAACGATTCATTGAAAATCTGAGTTTATCTGCCACTGTTTTTCTCCATGGCTCTGTCCTGTATGTGGATGCTCCTTTTGCCATCTTAACATTTCAGTGCTTTGATTAATTTATCAATTAGAGTCCCTAATTTATCAATTAAGGTAAATAGGAAATTTTATTTACCCTTTATGGTTCACAGAAAGAGATTATGAAAGGATAACTTACATAAGGGAAGACAGAATTATAAGAAAATTTGTGAACTAATCTGAAAACTCATCAAAGAAAAACAAAAGGAAAAGAAAAAAGAAAGTAAAAAGGCAAGCAAGAATATAATCATTACTAAAGAAAGAATAGGAGAGGGAAAGAAAAATTATGTAGACAAAGGGTCATATCTCATTTCTGCCATTTATCAGCTATGGACTGTGATCATATTATGGGCAAGGCTCTGCAAACAGAAATATGCAATATGTGAATCAGCTCCTCCTTCTCAAGTATGATACCTCTCAGCTTTTCTAGTAATGGACTTTTTACCTGTCTCTCTATTTGAAGCATATAAGCAGATATGCTATATGCTATATGTTGTAAATATTTGTGGGAAGATAAATGGAATGAATGAATGGAGTCAAATCGACCCGCTTGTTGGTTTAAATCTGTAGTTCACAGAGCTGTTTCAAAGACAAGAACTTTTCAAGAAAACTGTCACACATCTCTCAGTGCTGTGTTCCTCATCACATTGTCCCAAATTGAGATAAATATTTACCTGCATACTCTAAAACCAGATGTCACAGACCTAACTAATCTGTGATGATAAAACGATTATATTACCCTGTAGTTACTGAGCTATGAAACACCAAGATTCTTTTGTCTTCTTTGCTACATGTCTAAAATGAGATGTCAGAGACCTAAATAATTTGTGATGAAAAAATGATTATATTACCCAGTAATTACTAAGTTATGAAACATCAAAGTTCTTTTGTCTTCTTTGCTAGATATTACCTCTCAAAGGACACGCTAAAAGATGATTAAGTAGGTTTTCAAACACAGTTGGTCCTGTTTTTCTACTACTTCTCTCACTCACACTTGCCTCATTGAGCTACCTCCGTATCTTTGCATTTGCTCACACCACTCCCTGAGTCATGCAGGCTTTTTGAATCAGTGATCTCTCTCATCTTTTAGATCATACCTCAAATACCACCTCTTCTGTGAGGTCCCACTACATATCCTAGCCAAATTAGCTCCTCTTCACCCTGTCATTTCACATAAGATCAAAATATCAATTTTTAATATAATTTAAAATTTGAAATTGTTGATTTTCTATGTATCTATTTAAAGTTTTAATTACTGAAAGTGTTTCTCTGCTACATTGTAAACTCCCTGTTGGGAATTATCCTGCTTGTCTTGTTTTCTGCAGAATTTCCAAGACACAGAATGATGTGTTTCATTTAAACATCATGTACAGATTGTTTCTATCATACATATGACCTGAGCTTTAAAATTGTAGAATCCATTAATAGCCTGTATTCATTAAATATATGTTTGTGTATCATCATATATGCTATATAAGCAAATGTGTACAGTGATGTATAATACATGTGTGCGTGTGTGTGTGTGTGTCTCCTCTTCAAAATGTTGTATCAATTGAACATTCCTTTACTTGTAGGAAAAAACCTATATTTTGAGAAGCTACAGATGAGAGGGTTATATACTTTTTATTTGAAAAAGTATTTGCAATAGCCTTTAAAAAACAGGGATTTGTCTTTAAATTTGTGAATATCAAAGCATTAGATGCATTTTCAACTTTTGCTTGTGAGTTAATAATGCCAGAGTTTGAGTTCTCATTAAGCCAAGCGCTCCGTCAAATATGGTATAAATGCTTTAATTCTCAAGACTTGAAGAGTGAAAATTTGGCCATTGAAATACATGATATAATTAGAAAAAAGAAACAAGCTCTATGTATTTTCTTAAAAACTTTGAGTGTTTAATAGGAAAGCAACACAGCCTAACAGGCTAATATGAATTAGTACCTAATGATTTTCTGTCATCCAAGACATCTGCATTTTGTGTTATTTCCATTTCTTTTATTTGGTGTAATAATATTTATTTACTTGTTTATTTATGACAAGTGATATTATAAAGTGTTTTTTTTTTTTGACTGAGCTATTTAAGTTGTGGCTGATAAAATGCACTCTTAGCTGCTGTAATGAAATCTACTCATGCCCCGGTCTCTAAAGAATTCACCCCTAATACCTTGTAATCCATGAAGGACTTCCATATAGCTTTATGAGGCTCTTAGGTCCAGAATATCAATAAAATCTGAAAAGAAGAATGCATGCTTGCTTTATATCTCAGATTTCTGAGCTGTCCCATCAGATTCATTTTATATTCTCTCTTCATCATCCCATATAACACTTTACATTCAGTGCTACTTGCAATTTTCATGCCAAACTTCTCCTTAGAAGTTTTACTAACCCGAAGATTTAAGAAGGGAAATAAAATAGACTAGTAAAGGCTGGCCTTGTGGTCGATGTCCATGTCTCAGTAATAAGATTTGACAAAGGAAATTTTATTATGTCAGAATAGAGCAAAAATTGTCAACTACTGATGAAGAAATACAAATAACCATAAACTCATAGTAAATCTCTGCATGATAACACTATTAAATGAGTCATTTGACATAGTGTAGACATTTATTTATGTTTTAGCATCCTGTTAGTTGTTCTGCTATCAATCTAAAAAATTATGGGAAAATAAGGTATCAATATTCTGGTTGTACTGCAATTAACTCTCTGAAATCTGCCAGACAGACAGACATCCTACATTAAGATTCCAAGCTGCACTCCACAGATAAGTTTACTTGTGACTTAGCTGGAAGGTCATCCAGTGGAAAGAATATAAGCAGCTTTTTTTTGTAAGATAGTTGAGGCAGTAACATAGTCAGTGATACAGTTCAACTCCAGTGTTAAATTGGTGATTTAAACTCAACCTCCAAGATTTATTCCAGCTTTGATAGTGCATGGTCTGTGCATAATGTTTCACACAATCCATGGCATTTCATGAAACGTGCTATTGATAGAAGCCAAAACTAATGTCGTTTGAGAGTTGAACAGGGATCCTATCGGTATGTTACTTCAGGGTTGTAAAGACTTGGAACTCTCAGCCAACTTTTAATAGAAGTTCCAACTTAGTAAGGGCTTGGATGTATATAGTAACTTATAGTCTTTTTATTCTCTTTCTCCTGTTAGATAAGTACATATGGGAATTTTGCTGATTAGCCAGTAAACTTTAAGTCTGAGCAAATGCCTAAGAAACAAACAAACAAAAAACCAAGTCAGTAGGGATTTTTTTTCTTTTTTCTTTTTTTTTTTTTTTTTTTTTTTTTGAGACGGACTGTTGCTCTGTCACCAGGCTGGAGGGCAGTGGTGTGATCTTGGCTCACTGCAACCTCTGCCTCCCAGGTTGAAGTGATTCTCCTGCCTCAGCCTTCCGAGTAGCTGGGACTACAGGCATGAGCCACCATGCCCAGCTAATTTTTTTTTTTTTTTTTTGTATTTTTAGTAGAGACGGGGTTTCACCATGTTAGCCAGGATGGTCTCGATCTCTTGACCTTGTGATCCGTCTACCTCGGCCTCTTGAAGGGGATTTTTTTTTTAAACACAGTGTGAAATATTCTCATGTAGAGGAATAGGAAAAATTATTGAATAGCTTATTCTGAAAAGTTTTACAAAGTATCTATTTTCATTAAATGGGAAGCCCATTGAAACAACAATGCAACACAGCCAAAGTCAAATTCTGAAGTCTGTCTGCTATCCTTCTGGGTAATATGCATCTCAGTGGTTTTTAGTAGTTATTAAGCAATCTTGGCTAAATTACTGCTCACAAAAGCATTTACTTTTCTTGTCTAATTTTTATAGTAATTATATGGAAATAGTTTGGTGCATATTTAACAGAAAAATTACTTAAAAGAATATAAAGTTTCTTGTTTTTAGTTAAGCTTGATATAGATTTTAAAGTAAATAAATAGTTCATAATTTATATCAAATGGCATTGATTGCATGCATAAATTACTGGCATTTACTATGGTTCTGACTCTGAATCTCTTGTCATTAAAGAACCATGTTATTTTTTAAATTAAGAGCATATTGTGAGATTCATTTGTTTTTCCATCTTATTGCGATAGGATTCGTTCACATCATTGTAGTACCTGAGCATTCTAGGTACCTACTGCTGTGTAACAATCACCTCACATACCACAAAACCACAACCCTTTTACTACGCTCAGATATCCTGTGAGTCGGGAGTTTGGGCTTACACAATGGGAATGGCTTATCCCTGCTTCTCAGGTCCCGGGCTCAGCTTGGAAATCTCAATTACCTAGTGGTGACTCAAAGGGCTGGGATCTATAACTATTTGGAGGCTTTTTCACTTGCCTTATTGGCACCTGGGCTGGAGTGACTCAAAAATTAGTCTCGCATGGGACTCTTGACCCGCGCTTCTACCTCAGTCTTCTCTGTGTGGCTTGGGCTTCCTCAAAGTATGGTGGCCTGAAGATAGTCAAATTCCTTACATCATGTCCCAGGACTCCAGCGCAAATATTCCAGGGAAAAAGGCAGAAGACATATGACTTTCTGACTTAGCCTTGAAAATCTGAGGGTCATATCTATGCTATTCTCTTGGTCAAAGTAGTTATAAGCCCACTCAGATACAAGGAAAGGGGGTCCCACTTCACAATAGAAAGAGCATCAAATAATTTGAGGTCACGTTTTAAAAGTAACATTCTGTGGTATCTGCACAATTGTGCTTTCCGTTAGACCCACAGTCCATCTATTGATTTCCAATAAATATCTATATATGTTCATTAAAATGAAGTTAAAGGTATATACATATATTTAAAGTTAATGGAGTTTTGAAATCACCATCTGGTTCTAATTACTAACTAAGCCAAATCAAATAGTACATCATGGGAAGAAGTTCATTCTCATTACTAGGTCTCATGGGTGAAATGCCCTAGAATTGTGAAGAAAGTCCCTTGGCATTTTGCCAGTGTCTTCTCTTCCAGAGAGATCTTTAGGCTCACAATTTGTCTTTTGACTTTAGCCTTTCAAACCTTAGTAGTCCAATGAAGAGTTTTATAGATAATGAAATCTCTCAGATAAGACAATTCATAATTTTTAGTGGTAGCAGAGACTATTAAGGTCTCCAAAGGTAAAGATGCTCACTTTCATATTGTTCCCTTGAGAATTAACATTGTTTTCAAGGTCGAGAAAAATAAGCTCAAATGTCTCAAATCACAAAAGTTGCTTTTTAGTATTGCATATGACCCATGGGTTAAGTGCATTCTTTACAAACAGTGAATGAGGAAGGACAGAAGGAAAAGTAAAGTGGGCAGTAAAGTAACAGTAATTAATTTGGGTGGAAAGGGTGAGATGCATTGAAATGAAACGTTAATTGGCCGGGCGCGGTGGCTCATGCCCGTAATCCCAGCACTTTGGGAGGCCCAGGCAGGCGGATCACGAAGTCAGGAGATCTAGACCATCCTAGCTAACATGGTGAAACCCCGTCTCTAGTAAAAATACAAAAAATTAGCCAGGCATGATGGCGGCCTGTAGTCCCAGCTACTCCGGAGGCTGAGGCAGGAGAATGGCGTGAACCCGGGAGGCGGAGCTTGCAGTGAGCGGAGATAGTGCCCCTGCACTCCAGCCTGGGCGGCAGAGCGAGACTCCATCTCAAAAAAAGAAAAAGAAAAATAAAAGAAACACTAATTGACCATATGCAAGAAATTATGAATGGAGGAAAGAAACACACTTTTATAATCACCACAAGCAGAAGTTCTGTTTTTGGTTTTGTAAAGGTGGAAGAGTATTGGGCACCTATAGAAAGTTAAAAAATAATACTGAAGTAACCTAAAGTATCCTTCTTTTTTTTTTTAATTTTTTTTTTGTTTCTATAAGAGTGAGTGTTGAAACCTATAAAATGCTGTATCTTGGTGAAAAGAAAAAAAAATACATTCCAAATGTATGCTTAAAACTGTCCTAGGCTAAAAAGCAATAAGCAGCAATGATTGAGGAAATGTGAATTAATGCTATGATTTTGATAAAATTCTCGATTATTCAGGTTTATTATATGAAACACCCTGACTCCTCCCATATTTTGTTAAATTAGATTACAACTATAAAAGACTTTTTCACATGCTTCACATCCAACTGGGAATGTGAATCCTAATAGGAACTGGATGTATTAACTGTAATGCATGTACATTTTTTTTTCATAAAAATTATGACATAGTAATTAATTTTCTATATGTCTAATTTTTACATTATGATAAATATATAATTTTTTAAATATGACTTAAGTGCATGCCAACTAAGAATGACATTCGAAATCTGTGGTGAACATGGCAATATATTGTTTAATTCCTGGTTCAGGAATGTATTCGATGACCATTTGACAGGAATGACAGCTATCAGCTCTCAGTCCATTCTGAGATGACTGCAACTGCAGTAAGCTGCCTCCTGCAAAGTCATGCCCTTCCAGGACATCCACATCCAATGTCTGATGGAGTTGAAGTATAAAGCCAAGGCTATTACCTTGCAGGTAATTTAGCACCAGCTCTCACCAGCTCAGTGAAGTGTGTTCAGTCAAGGCTGTTGCCAGACCCCATCACACCTGGACTTGTTCCTCAGCCACTCCTGCATCCTTCCTTTCCCTTCTATGGGGGATAATCCCAACCAAGATCACTCCCTAATAAATGTCTAACATGATAACCTCCACCAGAGTCTGTCTGCTTTCAGAAAACGCAACCTACAATAGAATTTTAACAATTAAGGTTAATCAAACCTGAATATAAACTATCAGTTCACACTTAAATTTTTAAGATATGCAAAAAATGCTTTCTACTAGAAAAAGAGTCACTTATTTTCTGTGTGTATGAGTTTCTCCTCCAATTGATTATGTCATTTTGAATTAAAATAACTCACTCACTGATAATGGACAGTGTCGGAGTCAATGTCAATGCAATTTCAAAAGCACTATTGGAATAATGTATCTAGTAAAGGTTTGATAAATTGACTTGCTAGATTATTCTGCTGCCAAATTATTCAATGGTAAATAAAATTGCTTGAAATGTCATAAAATAGATGATGGTTTTCTTCTATCCAAGGTAAAAGACAAGCTTTAACAGTAACAAAACCACCCCTAAAGACTTCCTTTAATGTAAGCAAATTTCAGTTCTTATAATGACAGCTGGGGAGTTATGGATTCTTTTCAGTAACTTTTAAAAAGAGGCTAATTTAGAACCCATAATGGGAATAATTGACTAAAAGGAACAAAAAAGCAACTGTTTCTTTTTGTTTTTAAATAGGAAAATGTCAGTATTTTCAGTGCTTCTTTACCTATTTCTTCTTAGTTTCATATTTTGTTTGTCAGTGTATGTGGGTTTTGTCGTATATTTTCTGTTTGTCTATTCTTAATTTTTAGAGTAATTTTTTTTTTTTTAATTAGAGTTTTGCTCTGTCGCCCAGGCGGGAAGTGCAGTGGCGCAATCTCAACTCGCTGCAATCTCCGCCTCCCCGGTTCAAGCGATTCTCATGCTTCAACCTCACAGGTAGAGCTGGAACTACAGGTGGATGCCACCATGCCCAGCTAATTTTTGTATTTTTAATAGAGACAGGGTTTCACCCTGTTGCCCAGGCTGGTCTCTAACTTCTGACCTCAAGTCATCTGACCACCTGGGCCTCCCAAAGTTCTGGGATTACAGTCATGAGCTACCATGTCTGGCCACAAATTCTAAGAGAAAAATTACTCCCTTTTTTCTGGGTTTGATAAACTGCTAATATGTATATTGGAAATTGATGCTACTCTTTATTTTGAATGTATTAAAGAAGGCTATTTGCTGTAAGAGTTAATGAGTTCAACACACACAGAGAAGTAAATTTGAGCGATAAAGACCCTGATAAATTTACTGAGCCCTGATTCAATCCTATTGCGGATTTCAAAGTTATATGAGAAAATCATTTTGAATTTGCTTGTCTCATTTACTTCAATTTCTGTCATTTGCCACCAAGATAATTTCTACTAATAACCATACATGCATGTTCCACATGCTCATGCATGCATGGACATATGCACATATTGTATAGTCTGCATTTCATGCATACCCATGTATTCATTAAATAACATATCATGTTATGTGGCCATATTTATGTTCAATACATGCAGATTTAATTCATCCATTTTGCTGATTGCAAATATTACATTGACTAGGTACACTATCATTTAAGTTTTCTCTCATAGAAACATAATTAGGCAATTAGTTTTTAACAAAACTCTACCAGTCAGTCATGTTTTCATTCACTCACTCATTCAGTTTATTCATTCTTCGAAATTTCTGTTGAATAAATTTTTTTTACAAATATTTTTAGTATATTTAGAAAGGTTAGAATTAATGAGAAAGACATGTGCAACAATATTTCCACTACATAGCAGCATAAAATCAATGTGATATGCATCATACGAACTAATTCCCATCTGAAGCATGATTTGGTAAGGTTATTTTGACTCATTCATTTTAATGGAGAATTGGAAATTAACTAAAAATTAAACTTTTAAATTTTGTTATCAAGTATGAAAGACAAGTTTTGCCCATCACTAATGATCATGGTAAACTGCCTTGTTCTAGAAGGATAAGCTTTCAAAGAAAGAGAGAACCTCTTTATTCTCAATTGGTCAGAAAAAAAAATATATAAAAGAGACCCTATTTTTTGAAGAAGAGAAGATTTTAATAAATACTTGGATGGATAATCAAATGTATTATGAGCAATAAATGGCTAAAGAAAGTTCATGAAAGTTTAAAATGCAATTCTTTCTCTAAGAATAATATTTCTAAGAATAATGATTAGCACAGGTGAACTGAACATTATGGGCTTGAATTTTAGGAGAAGGATAAGAGCTGGAAAAAAAGATATTTGTTATTGTCCTGTAAAAATTCTTTATATTAACATTTTAACTATCTTATATATTTGAAATATCTGTCCTTCACATTTTAATTTTCGAGGCC
Source organism: Homo sapiens (assembly GCF_000001405.40). Taxonomy (NCBI): domain Eukaryota; kingdom Metazoa; phylum Chordata; class Mammalia; order Primates; family Hominidae; genus Homo; species Homo sapiens. The sequence goes on along the minus strand of NC_000018.10, from coordinate 30,477,343 downwards.
TTGCACCATTTCATGATTTTTTTTTGTTCGTTGTCCATTTGTTTGCTTATTTTGGGGAGGATTGCTTTGATTGTAGTCAATACAGGATAGACACAGTGGCTTACACTTGTAATGTCACCATTTTGTGAGGATGAGGTGGGAGGACCATATGAAGCCAGGAGTTTGAGACCAGCCTAGGCAACATAGCAAGACTTCATCACTACAGAAAATAAGTAAATACATACATGCATGCATACAGTCAATATATTTGATGTTTCCTCTTTGCATTTTTCCTTTTCTATACTTATCTCTTCTCCACCTAAACATTTACGAATAGCTATACATATGTATATATATGTGTGTGTGTGTGTATATATATATATGGTCATCTGTAAATTTTTATATAGAAGGCTATTCGTGAATTTTAATATATTAATACACATAATTCTTCCTTTTTTGGGAAATTTTATTTATATTTTTATTTACATATCTACATATCTATTTAATAGTTAATAGTGTTTGCCACGTAGGTCCTTTGTTGAATGAAAGCATGAATAACCTCTGCATTTACTTTTGTATACATTGTGAGGATGAATGTGACTTTAATATTTTTTCCAAATATTTCCCAATGATTTCAGCACTATTTATTAAATAATTCAGAATTTTCCCATTAATTTTAAATGTCACTATGATCATATGTTAGTTGAGTTTGATGTGAGCTTTCTGCTCTGCTAAATTTATTAATCCATCTATTCTGGTGCCATTACCACAATATTTCCTTTATGGTGCTACAATAGTGCATTTGACAAATATCTTTAAATTTTAGCCTTTTCATGTTATTCTCATTATACTTGCTGCTTTATTATTTGAGAAGATTCTTAGAATCATATTGTCACTTTCAAAACAACTTTTTATTCAAATAAGAAATGTATTACAAATACGTGTTCATTTGAGAAATTGATTTGGTTCTAATATAGTCTTCTCATACAATAACATTGACTGATATATTGTAGATAAAGTTTTGGGATTGATAGTTATGATAGAATGGTAGTTGATAGTGTGAGGTTTAATAAGTTTCTTGAGGTTGAAAATCAATGATGAAGAGATGGTAAAGCTAAGGATGGATGTTTGGGGAATGCGCAGATATTTCAGATTGGAAGAGAAAGAAAACTGAGTCACAGAGAATTAATATTCCCAAATTATGTTGCTTATGAAGTATCTGCTGATTGAAAGAAAGAAAGAAAATTTAAGTGCATAATATACGAGGCTCAAGGAAAATTAAGGCAGAACAAAAGATACTGAACTTGCAATTTAATAAGGCATTGATGACCATTGCTCTTCGAACATTTTATCTTGAAAATTTTTAACATGCAGACTGAAGATATGTACTCAGAACATTTTGTACACACAACTAACATTCAACAATTGTTAACATTCTTCTGTATTTGTTTTATCTATTTTGTTTATATATTTTTTGCTAAAAATAAGGTATAGACAACTTGGAACTCTTTAAATGCATACATATAAATTTTCTAAAAAATAAGATCATCATTTTATATATCCACAATGTCATGATCACTTCCAAGCAATTCAAAAATTTTTTACTAACATCTTCTAAAATGTAGTCCATATTAAAACTTCCCAAAATAACCACAAAATGTCTTTTATATGGGTGTTTTAAAAATCAAAATCTAATCACATTTCATATATCACACTTTGTTGTTCTGTCTTTAATCTCAATTTAACTAGAATGTTCATCTCAACTCTTTTTCATAACAGTCATCCCCCTTGTTGACTTTATCTAATTATTTCCTTTGGTAACTTTTAATTTGTTGATTTATTTCCTAAAATTCTTGTAATCTTTGAAATATAATTAAAGTCTCTCTTGGACACATTTTAAATAGTTACTTGGGGGAATATTTCCTGGTTGATGTACTGGTTGATTGCAGCATATTAGTAGGCTTATCATTAGATTGTCCCATTTTTAGTGATTACTTGGGTAAGCGGGTGGGCAACTGCTATTTTAAAAAATATATAATTTTCTTCTTTACAAGTAATCAGTGACATGATACTCTAGCATCATGAGAATATATTCTTTCCCCCTGAATTTTTCAATGAATGGCTTTAGCAACTATTAGTGATCATTTTTTCTGAGTCAAATATTTTATTAAGGGTTACAAAATGGTGAATTTTGAGTCTATTTTTCTTCCTGTATTTAATGGCTGGAATTCTTTTATAAGAAAGTTTTCTTTCTCAATTGGGATGTACTACATTCTTCCATCCAAAGTTACAAGCAAAGCTTAACTCCTTCACTTGCCAATATTCAGATTAAGAGGTTAGTGTAATAATCACTTCCAGTAAAGTGAAACTGACTGTTTAAAGTTTTTAATCAGTATTGCAGCCTGGGGAAAGTGGCTAACACATGCAATCCCAGGACTTTGGGAGGCCAAGGTGGAAGGATCACTTGAGTCCAGGAGTTTGAGACCAGCCTGAGCAACATAGCAAGACCCTGTCTTTACAAAGTGTGTGTGTGTGTGTGTGTGTGTGTGTATGTACACTTATATATATATCATTCAAAAGCCCAGAGAAATATCTACTTGAATTAGATTGAGTCACTAGATAAAAACATTTTATTTTATTTTCCTCAACATTTCCAGAAAACTGATTAATTATATTGCTCTCTCTATATACATAGCAATTAATTAGTCATTATTACATTTTTGGTTATATTGTCCCAAATATGGGGCAACAAAAATATCCTCAAACTGATCCTTTTATCCTTTTGATAGGCCTCTATTACACTTTGAGTAGCTTTTTGCTTCTGGCAAAAGCTATCACAACACTAGAATCAGCTATGTTGGAATCAAGGAGGCTTGGCCTATTGGTTGAAAATATTATTTTAAAATATAGATTTGGGCCCTTGCAGTTTTTGTTGTACTGAGCTGTCATTGTCCCCAGAACTGTTTAATGGGCAAAGCTAAAAAAGACAATGTGAAGCCATTTATATTTTAGAAGAATTATTTGTTTTACATGTGGGAAGTAGATTGGAGCAAAAGAGACAAAACAGGAAACTGAGAGGTAACAAAAGTTGTAAAAACTTACTGCCAGTGAAGATGTTAAGAAATAGATTTGAAAGATGTGGAGAAAGTAGGTTTATTAGTTATTTGTTCTTAACTGGTTATAGACAGTGAAGTTCTGGGATAGTTAAGAATTCTTTCTAGTCTTGTAGCTTGTGAAACCAGGTAAGTGTTGTTGTCATTAGTTCAGCATTTTAAGGAAAAAGCAAATTGAATTCAAATTAGTTTGGCAGTTCTATGGAGGTAAACAAAAAAATAAAGAATTAAATTTAGGAAATGCTGTGCCTCAAAAGTCTATTATTATTGAGTCTCACAAATCCTATATCAATGGTTCCCAACTTGCCAGAATAATAAAGTAGTTTATATGACATAAGTATATTTGTTTACATTGTAGCATTAAAGACTATGCTCATACTTAGTGGGGGTCTATCCAAACTTGCTTACTTAGATTAAGAGTGAATAAGCTTTGGTTTTTGGTTTTGGTGTTATCATTTGTATATAAATACTTGGAAAATTTATACTTTTTTTTTTTTTTGATGGAGTCTTGCTCTGTTGCCCACCCTGGAGTGCAGTGGCGGGATTTCGGCTAACTGCAAACTCTGCCTCTGGATTCAAGCCATTCTCTGCCTCAGGCTCCCGTGTAGTTGGGATTACAGGTGCCCGCCACCACACCCAGCTAATTTTTGTATTTTTAGTAGAGACAGGGTTTCACCATGTTGGTCAGGCTGGTCTCAAACTCCTGACCTCATGATCCACCCTCGTTGGCCTCCCACAGTGCTGGGATTATAAGCGTGAACCACCATGCCCGGCCCTGTTTTTTTCTAATCAGATATTTCACTGTCAAGAGAAAATTGTTGTTCTTTGAAATTTTGTTTCAAAATTTGTTGTCCTTTGTAGAGAAGCTTTGGAAACATGAAGTTTATTTCCAACTATATTCAATTTAACTTTCTCAGTATTATTATCATCTTGATATATTTTATTTATAGAGATGATTACTAGTTGAAGCAAGATAAACTATATACATTTTAAAGACTATGAATATTTGTAAGTCACACTGCTACATATGAATTAAAGTGTTACTACATTATAAAATTTACACAAACAAACACACTTAAACAAAATAAAATCATGATTATATCCAAATGTACACCTTTCAGATGTGCTCTACTAATGTGAGGAAAGTGTCAAAATAAGTCATTCGAAAAACCCAGAGAAATACCTGTTTGAATTAGATTGAGTCATTAGATAAAAACACATTTTATTTTATTTTCCTCAACATTTCCATACAACTGATTAAATCATTTTCTATTGTTTACAAACAGGTCAGAGGTTCCCTTTTATTTATCTCATTGACTTAACAGATCTTCTAAAATATCCATTCATTTATCTCTTTATCCCCAACAAACCAGAGACACTGAATAAGAAGGTGCATATGACACAGAGAGGACACTTCAAGACATTAATTCTAAAAAAGGAAGACAGATCTTTATAAACAAATCATAAGAGTGCTGCAGGGGCACAGAAAGAGGAGCAAGTGGTAGCTTGGGAGAGTCATAAAAGACCTATATGTTAGGTCTTTAATGATGGATGAGGGTTGGGTAGCTGTGACAGAGATGGATAGTTCTCCCAATCTCTCAATATCTGTTCTCTCCTTATTTTTTGGTAATACAAGCTTCTGTTTATCACATGGCTGCTCAGATAAAGATTAAATATCCAAGCCTCTTGTGCACCCTGGTGTAATCATATCTTTAGGTTCTGGACAATAGATGTGAGAGAGTTGTTGTGCGCAACCACCAGGCTATGGCCTTAACAGAATTGCCTGTGCCTTCTGCGTCTTATATCTTTCATCTGCATGCTGTGATGGTAGAAGCTGGAGAAGCCACTGTGTATTACCTTGTGGAAGTCACGAGCTGAACGTGTAGAACTTACAGAATAAGTCTGGGTGCCTCACAACATCTAGCTATCACACGAAGGCAAATACAATCTTTGTGTGTGTGTTAAATAACTGTGTCTCCTTGTTTGGCTCACAATATTTTTAATTCTCTTTGTTATAGGAACCTGTTATGTATTCTAACTCATACAATGGTGGAAAAATACTTTGAAATTGAAAGAAAGATAACAAATTTGGAAGTATAATAAATAAACTAGTAACTTTACAGTAGCATAAATCTATATTAGAAAAGTACCAAATACAATACAAAAATAAATGCACATAATGGTAATAAAATTTGTGGTTTAACTTACTGAAATAATTACATTAAAATTCCCAAGAAATAAATATAAAGAAATTCTTAAAAATAATAATCTGGATCATGACTAGCAGGGGCTCATTAGATCCTACAGATTATTTCTTAGAACTTGGAAAATATATGCTTTTGGCAAAATTTTAGGACACTGTAGGCTGCTTTCAAGACACATGTTAGAAAATAGGGTAAAACATAAAGATTTCAAGCATTACTTTATTGTCTGAAAAACACTTGACTTTTAAAAAGTGTTTATGAATCAAGAACACAAAATTTCCTTCCAAAGCCACTTGGTATTCTCTGTCAAATTTATATTAACATAACAATCTGAATTTATATATACAATATATGTAGCTCATGTAAATCAACAATTACTAAAAACAAATCTCATTTGGCTTCTTGTATTTCTCTATAGGACTGAAGTATGTTTTATAACCCTAATCCATTATATTTAATGACCCTTGAATGATTCATTTTTGTGTGATCACTCATTCTAGGGCCAGCATGTGGTTAATCAATAATAGGAGTTTCCTTTTAAAAATTAAGAATTAATTTCCATGATAAGCAAGCAAGTAGAAAACATCAATGTCAATTTTTTAAAAAGGAGCAATAAAAATAATTTCATCACAGATCATGACACCATTCTATTAGAAAGCATAAACTACTGGAGAAAATCTGATGTAGGTTTTCAACAATATTTTACATTCGGTTTGGCCTGTGCTATTAACATTGTATCAAAGATTCATGGGGCTAGAAGTGATAAAGACATCAATATAAAATCCTTCCCTTTAGATCAGGAATCATGATCCTGAAAGGATAACTGATTAGGCCAAGATCATACTACTAAAATACTGAGATTAGAAGGGGCTTTTGAAGTCATCTTGTATAAATTAACATCCAGGGAGAAAATCTTCTTTCCAACATTTTAGAAGATGCTTGAACACTTTCAGCTATTAGAATTTTAAAATACTTGGGTGCAGAATAGATTGTTCCATAATACATTATTTTCACAAATATTTAACACTTACCATGTACTAGGAACCATGCTAGGCTCTGGCGATAGAGAAGCAGTATAAACAATATAGAAGCTAGTCTCTGTTCTTGGAGATCGTAGTCTAGTGCAGAAAACAGATGTAAAGCAATCATATAAACAAATAATTAAAAACCGCCATGAATGTTATAAAGGACAAGTGTAGGATTATAGGAGAGCATGGATTATATATAGGATTATATATAAGATTATAGTAACAGTATGGCCTGATCTTGTGTGACTAATCCTGGGAGACTACCTTGTAGAGGTGTCATGCAATTTGAGATCAGAAGATGAATGGGTGCAAAGCACACTTAACAGAATTGAAATTAAAGAAATCAATATTTGAAAAAGCATTGAGCCAAACAAGAATATGATGTAAAGAATAGCTAAAATAGGGGGCTGCATTGCTTAAGGGCAGAAAGAAGGTAAATAGCTGGTAAAGAAGCTAGAAATCATATAGGGTTGTAGGCTGAGTTAAATATTCCAGTCCTAGTGCTGGCTCCACCACTTGTTAACCAGTATACTAACAAGGAAATAGATTTTTTATATTTCTCATTTCCCAAATTATATAAGAATTCTATGAGTTCATTTTTAAACATTTAGAAGGTTGGTAATTCAGTAGACGGAAACATCCACTCCTGTATTTGCTCAACAGCTGTTTAGTATCCACAGGGCCAGTCACTTCTGTGTTGCAAATATGTGATGGACTAAATGTTATTATACTGACAGAAATAAAGGTGGAGTGCCAGAAAGATCTATAGTGTTTGAAACTGGAAGAGACAGGTTCTTCCAAGAACTCTTGGGGGAAATGGAGATAAATTGTACCCTCAGAAGACTAAATTTGCTTAGAATAGTGAATATACTTTCAGATAAACTCTGAGCCAGGTATTCTAGTATTCAGCATAGTTGTAATGGGTAGTCCAATGATATATGTTTTAGAATCATGAACTTCAAGTGAGCCCTTAATACCTTCTAGAATTCATATACTTTTCCATTCTTAGTTGACTATTAAATAAGTTCCCTTTTCTCACCGTACACCCCAAACCTTCTGTCCTGTTCTCACTCTTGGTTGATGACTTTGCTTCCTGTTTTACTCTAAAAATTGAAGCAATCAGAATAGAACTTTGAGACGGACCCCCATTATCATAGCAACCCACCTACCAGCATCTGACTCATATGTTGTATGTATCCACCTAAATGACACATTCAGTTTTCATGCTGCTATCTGAAGTCATTCATTTTTTCATTACAACCCACCCTTTTCAGCTCGTTGAAAAGACTTTGACTCATATACAAACTCTTCACTAGTAGCTCTACTGCCTCATAATTTTTCATTCTTTATTGGGTCATTACCAGAAGCACATTAAGAAGTAGTTATGACTTCCTATTAACCAACAACCACAATCTCAAGATCCCACGGCCTTCAATAAATATTGCTCCATTTATTTGTTCTCTTTTTTATATTTAAATTCTACAGGAAAGCTGTCTACAAGCACTATATTCAGCTTCTCTCCTTTTCTCTCTAAAATTTAATTCAATCAGAATCTCACCATCATCCCCCACCGAAAGTGCCCTAGTTAAGATCATCAATTATTTCTCCGTTCTTAAATTCAGTCCTCAATGAGCAATCTCAGTCCTCAGTGCCTTTATTAATAGCATTTGGCACAGTTCATCACTCCCTCCTCCTTAGAATTCTTTCTTCACTAGGCTTCCACCGAACTCCCTCGGGTTCTTTTTTTTTCCTACTTCATTGGCTGTTTTCACTCTGTTTTATTTAATGATTTAGTCTTATTTTCTCAAGCACTTAAAGAAAGTATGCCTCCAGGCAAAGTCCTAAATTCTTTATTTTCTTTGCTTTTAAACCTAAAATGCTTTCCAGCTATATCATATAGCCTCACATATACAAATATCATTTATATCTTGGCTACTCACACATTTATATCTTCAATCCAAACCCCTCCCCTGGATGTCAGACTCGTATATCCATCTGCCTACTTTCTACTTGTGTGTGTGTGTTTGTGTGTGTACCTTAGGGTTAATCCTTTATCTTTTAATTTCCTTTTCATTTATACCTAATATGTGACGATATCAGGAAATTCTGTAAGTTCTACTCTCAAATTCATGCAGAATGCAATTATTTATCTCTATATTCACTAATACCAAACCTCCACCATCTCTTCTAGTCATGCTGCTAAGCCCCCATCATCTTTTCCAGGACTCTAATATGTCTCTCCTAAGCTACTAATCTAACCTTCTAATAGTTCTCTTCCACACACAGTCTATTCTCATCAGAGTCAGAAAGAAGTTTTTAAAATAGGGCAAGTCATTTTCCACCTCTGCATAATACTGTTCAACAGTTCTTCATTTCACTTGACATAAAATCTGAAGTTCATTCAACAGTCACAATGGTTCTGCATAACTGATACTACCTTCCTACTTTGGCCTTCCTCACTCCACTCCAGCTACACTGGCCTTCTTGCTGTTTTCCAAATTCACAGAGCACAGTTGTGCCTCAGGGCTTTTCTGTTGCTGATCACTCTTCTCATAGTGAAGAGCTCAATTCCTCACATTTGTCATGAATTTTCTCTATTATATTTTCTTAATTAGGTCTTCTTTCATACTTTTATTAAAAATTGCGTTTGAATTGTTCTGGACCTTTTCTTGCTTTAATTTTCGTCATAATTCTCTTACACTGTAAAACACTATATTGTTCCTTATGTATTTGGTTTTCTCTATCTTCTTAAAATATAGGTTTTGTGAGAATGGCACTTTTGGTTTGTGTCCGGTAATATATTCCAGAGTTCAAACAATACCTGGTTAGTAAAGTTGGTTAATACATACTGACTGAATCAATCAAGGTAATAATTTTATAGTGAAGGAAGCATAAACCATTAATGTAACATACACCTCTGCAGAGCTATATGTCCCAAGAAATCAAACAACTCATCACAGGGGTCCTGTAACCTACCAGGAATTTGAGGACTGTGATACCACCGAAGATGAAGATAAAAGAGGATACAAAAAGAAGGAAAGTTATTGAAAGCATGTTTTAGAAAAGCTAACAGCTCTGTCCCCACTCCTACTTAGAATAATGATTCAGTAACTACTTATCCACCATCTCAGGTTGAAGGAGATTCATTCTTTGAGAAATGTTCCAGATGAACAAAAACTTCTGCAGTAAATATAGACACCCTCAAGCTTCCTTCCCTTTCCTAGTTTCCAGAATTCTAGGAGCTAACCTTAAATGTCCAAACAGTGGATATGAGGCTTCTTCTCCAGAGAGATAGCAGCCAAAGAGGAAAGAACTACATTTTTTTTTTTTTTGTCATGTTCTTTCCTGGTTTTGGTGTTAGGATGATGCTGCCTTCATAGAATGATTTAGGGAGGATTTCCTCTTTGTCTGTCTTATGGAATAGTGTAAATAGGATTGGTTCCAATTCTTCTTTGAATGTCTGATAGAATTCAGCTGTGAATCTGTTCTGGTCCTGGACTTTGTTTTATGGCAATTTATTTTTATTACCGTTTCAATCTCGCTGCTTGTTTTTGGTCTGTTCAGGGTTTCCAATTCTTCCTGGCTTAAGCTAGGAGAGTGGTATATTTCCAGTAATTTATCCATCTCCTCTAGGTTTTCTAGTTTATGCGTGTAAAGATGTTCATAGTAGCCTTGAATGATCTTTTGTATTTCTTTTTTTTTTTTTTTGAGACGGAGTCTCGCCTTGTCGCCTAGGCTGGAGTGCAGTGGCGCGATCTCGGCTCACTGCAAGCTCCGTCTCCGGGTTCAAGAAATTCTACTGCCTTAGCCTCTGGAGTAGCTGGGACTACAGGCGCCTGCCACCAAACTCGGCTAATTGTTTTTGTACTTTTTTTTTTTTTTTAGTAGAGACGGGGTTTCACTGTGTTAGCCAGGATGGTCTTGATTTCCTGACCTTGTGATCCGTCCGCCTCAGCCTCCCAAAGTGCTGGGATTACAGACGTACGTGAGCCACCTCGCCCAGAAGATCTTTTGTGTTTCTGTGGTTGATTGTGATATCTCCTGTTTCATTTATAATTGAGCTTATGAAAATGTAAACTAGCACAACAGCTATGAAAAACAGTGTAGAGATTCCTTAAAGAAATAAAAGTAGAACTACCATTTGATCCAGCAATCCCATTACTGGGTATCTACCCAGAGGAAAAGAAGTAATTATACAAAAAAGATACTTGTATACACATAGTTATAATAGCACAATTCACAATTGCAAGAATATGGAATCAGCCCAAATGTCTGTCAATCAAAAAGTGGATAAAGAAATTGTGATATATCTATATCTATATCTATATCTATACCATTAAATACTATTCAGCCATAAAAAGGAACAAAATAATGGCATCTGCAGAAACCTGGATGGAATTGGAGACCATTATTCTAAGTGAAGTAACTCAGGAATAGAAAACAAAACATCGTATGTTCTCACTCATAAGTGGGAGCTAAGTTACTCCCACTCAGCTAAGTTACTCTTATGCAAAGGCATAAGAGTGATAGAATGGTCTTTGGGGACTTGGGGGAAAAGGGTGGGAGGGGATGAGAGATAAAAGACTACAAATGTGATACAGTGTACACTGCTCGGGTGATGGGTACACCAAAATCTCACAAATCACCGCTAAAGAACTTACTTATATAACCAAACGGCACCTGTCCCCCAAAAACCTATGGAAATAAAAACATAAAGTATAAAGAACTACACATTTCAAGGTCCAGAAAGTCCATTCTCTAGTCCACAAAACCTAACCAAACATAGAGAGACAAGACAAGAAGTTAAAGGCTCCCGCTGAAATACTAATGGATAATCAAAGATAAAATAACAGCTGAGGAAAGCATGCAAAATGCTAAATCAAAACAAACAGAATCATGAGCACAGAGGAGACAGAAATAAAGAAAGGATTTTTAAAATTTCCAAAATTACAATTGTCAATTTTTTAAAAATTAGAGCATTTTTCCAAGGGAAAAAAATCTTTGGAAAGGAAAAACTCATAGAACAAGAATGATATCTAGAAATAAAAAAATACAATAGTCATAATATCAGTAAAAATACTGGCATATAAAATTGAGAGAGCATTTTGGATATTAGAGGGGAAAAGGGACAAAGACTACATAAACAAAAGAAGAAAAAATAGTTTAAGCTAACTAGTATAATTTCAGAAAAAGTAAAGAAAATAAACAGAAGGTTAAAATAACACAAACGTAACTACAAACATACCTTATTTTATTGTGTTTTGCTTTATTGCACTTCACAAATTTTGCATTTTTCACAAATTAAAGGTTTGTGGCAACCCTGCATCAAGCAAGTCTAATATTTCTACTTTTCCAACAGTATGTGCTCACTTCGTGTCTCTGGTAATTCTGGAAATTCTCACAACATTTCAAACTTTTTCATTATTGTTATATCTGTAATGGTGATCTGTGATCAGTGGTCTCTGATGTGACTATTGTAATCGTTTTAGGGCTCCACAAACCGCACTCTCATAGGATGTCAAGCTTAATTGATCAATGTTGGGTGTGTTCTAACTGCTGAATTGACTGGCTGTTTCCCCATCTTTGTCCTTCTTATTAGTCCTCTCTGTTGCCTGAGGCACTGCGATATTGAAATTCTGCCAGTCAGTAACTCTAAAATGCCTCTATGTGTCCAAGTGAAAGGAAGAGTTTCATTTCTCTAATTTTAAATCGAAAACTAGAAGTTGTTCAACTTAGGAAGGCGTGCCAAAAGCTGACATAGGCTGAAAACTAGGCCTCTGGAGCCAAAGTTAGCCAAGTTGTGAATGCAAAGGAAAAATTCTTGAAGGAAATTAAAAGTGCTACTCCAGTGAATACACAAATGATAAGAAAGTGAAAAAGCCTTATTGCTGCTATTAAAAAGAAAGTTTTACTGATCTGGATAGAACATCAAACCAGCCACAACATTCCTTTAAGCCAAAACCTAATCCATAGTAAGGCCCTAACTCTCTTTTGTTCTATGAAGGCTGAGAAAATACTGACCCTTCAGAAGAAATGTTTGAAGATAGCAAAGGTTGGTCCATGAGGCTTAAGGAAAGAAGCTGTTTCCATAATATCTGTTTGTCGACAATGCACCTAATTATGTAAGTGCTCTAATGGACAAGTACAAGAAGATGATTGTGGGTTTCATGCCTGCTAACACAACCTCCATTCTGCATCCCATGGGTAAAAAAATATTTTTGACTTTCAGTACTTATTATTTAAGAAATGCCTTTTGTAAGGCTATACCTGCTATGGATAGTGAGTAATTCCTCTAATGAGTCTGGGGAAAGTAAATTGAAAACCTCCTGGAAAATATTCACCATTATATATATACCACATTTTATATATATACCACATTTTATGTATATACCACAAACGTGGTTTATTGCAACTGGATCTACTCCTGGTGAAGACGTTGTGCCCGTTGTTGAAATTACAACACAGGATTTAGAATATTGCATAAACTTAGTTGATAAAGCAATGACAGGGTTTAAGATAATTGGCTCCGATTTTGAAAGTTTTACAGTGAATAAATCGCTAACAAACAGCTTCACATGATACTGAGACTCTTTAGTGAAAGGAAGAGTCAATTGCAGCAAACTTCATTGTTTTCCTACTTGGAGAAATTGCCACAGCCACCCAAACCTTCAGCAAACATCACCTTGATTAGTTAACAGCCACCAATATTGAGGCAAGACCCTCCAACCGCAAAAAGTTCATGATTCAGGGAAGGCTCAGATGATCTTTAACACTTTTTAGCAATAAAGTATTTTTAAGTTAAGATATGTGCATTGCTTTTTAGAAATAATGCTATTACATACTTAACAGACTACAGTATAGTATAAACATAACTTTTATATGCACTGGAAAATGAAAAAATATTTGCTTCTCATCTTACTGCTTTATGGTAGTGGTAGTGGTCTGGAACCAAACCCACAATATCTCCTAGATATGCCACTATTAGAAAATTCCCTAGAACTATAGAATAAGGATCTCTAAATTAATAAGGTACAAACTCTGGCCACATCAAAATACATATTACAATTTCAGAGTGTTAGGAAATAAGTAAGATTTAAAAATTCTTCAAAAGAAAAAACTACGAGGAATTATATATGTAAGTAGAACGTAAATATTATTTGACTTTTCAGAAATATTGAAAGAAAATGTAAAAGTGATCCAAAATTTCAGAGAGAAAGTGAATCTTGACCTATATTTCTTTATTTGTCAAAAGTATAAACAATAGGAGGGTAAAGATAGTTTCAGGTGCACGGAGCCTCAATATTTTGCATTCCATATCCCCTTGCTTCGAAAAGTGCTTGCTAAATCTGCTATCAAAATAAAAGCATAAAGCAATCTAGAAGAAGATATAAGATCCATGTGACAGGCGATTCAACTAAGGAAAGCGGTTAGGGGAATCCCCTAAAGAATAGTGGAAGGATGCCCTAGAACAGTAGTTATAGAATAAATTCAGAAAAGTAACTAAACCAGATTGGAAAAAAAAAAGAAACACCAGACTCTGAGAGCAGTGTCTCCAAATCAAAAAAAAATACAAATCCTGGGTTTCTGATGGTGTGAAAAATTGTTTTGATCGGTTGTTAGAGCATTTAGGAAAAAAAAATCATAGTATTCTAGTGGTTTGGAAAAGTATTATTCATAACAATGCAAACAGTGTATGTTATTCATTATTTATAATAAATGAAATTCTGAATATTTACTTAAATAAAAAATATATAAAATATATATTTATATATATATAAGGGGAATTTTATATGACAGTTTTTTAACCTATAGTAACTGAAAGTCAATAGGTAACATATAAAGTTGACAAACTAAGAAATATAATCAGAGGCATATTAGGATATTTTATTCAATCTCAGATGTCACTGATTATAAGATGTACCACATTCTATATTCATATTTTATAAATAAAAATGACAATATTCTGTATTATTTTATAATTTTATTTGATGTTTATTTTAAAATCCCTTTTTTGACTTATTTAAAAAGAAATATTTTTCATATAGATATTGTTAGTGTATCCTTCAAACTTCTTTATGTTCAAAGTCAATTCTGTAAAAGCACCTTTTATCTTAGAGTTATTGGTTTCTGTATTTATTTTTCACACAATATAAAACTCCATGTTATCAAGAACATTAGTGATATAACATTTCTAGAAAAGCACACTCTATTATTGTATTGGATTTTCTTCCAAGCTATTGAAATGCCTTTCTGCAAATTTCAAAGCTCCTGAATTTAACAAAAGATGTCAACAGAAAGTTTTCAAACAACAATCAGGCTCATCTCTTGTTCAAGTTGTCCCTTAAGTAGTTTTTTTCTTTTCTTTTCTTTTCTTTTCTTTTCTTTTCTTTTCTTTTCTTTTCTTTTTTTTGCTAAAGTGCTCATTGTCTGCAGGTTGTATATTATGCAAGCAGCAAAACCAATATTATGATCATCAAATGTAAAGTGTAGCCAAATACCGTTGTGGAAAACAATATTTTTAAAAGGTGCTGGCATCATTTTTTTTCCTTAAAAATATAAACAATAAAGCAAGCCTTTTTTGAGAAAACATTTTTGAATACTATATTCTCTTATCTGGAGTAGAAATTCTCTTTAGTTTGGACCTTCTAGAATTTGAATGGTTTCTCTCATGGTTTGCTTTCAAAAATGATTTTAATTCACACTCATCAATGTAGTAAATAGCAGTGCACTTGTTAGCACATCTTTCTTTCGAAATCAAAATACTCCTTTTAGAAAAGTCTCGATCATTTGTAGTTTATTAAAAATTGCGAAAACTGTGAATAGTTTGCAAACATTTGAGAAAAAAAAGAATATATCACAAAATGCACTTTTTCATTTTTTCCTGACAACTATTGTTCAATTTTAATGATTTATGATTGCATTTTAAATCACATTGCTAAATGAGCTGTTACGTTTATGTTTAGAAATATATAAACTCTCCATGATATCTGAACTCATTAGTGCTTACTGTTACTAAAATCATAGAAAGTAATATTTTTTAAAGACTGTGTCATTATTTTCAAATAAATATAAAACTATTTAGCAAAAGCTATAATCTGGACTATGTGAGAAGATGGATTAAAAAGTGGACAACTGTCCACAAAACTTGATTTATCTGGATTCATTCAAATCCTGAAGATAACTTTCCTTCACTTAGGAATCAGCTGAATATCCACCTCAAGATCCCACCTTGACATGGTACAGTTTATATTACCAATGCTTTGACTGGCAGATGTGCATACTAAAATATGAAAGCCTTCTATCTATAAAAATGACAAATATAGAATAGACTGGAAAATATGCTTTTAGATACATATACTTTTTTATATAAAATAAAAGCAGTATTATAAGTTACAAGGAAATAATTAAAACTTAGAGGGCCATGCAGCAAATAGTTAAACTGGCACTGTGGCTACCCTAGGGAGGGTGCAAGTTTCATTTAGTAGCTTAATCCAATCCACAGTCGGAAAAAGATATGAGACGCTGTGCTTCACACTGTGGGAATTAGGACTAGAGCAACACATAAAGTTTTGATCACGAAACAACTATACCATCAATAGAAACGAGAGGATCAAAACCTTCTTCCTTTGGTCCAGTGTGTTAAAATGCTATTCAGATCACTTACACAATTTCTGAGTGGAAGAAAAAAGAAGACTCCAGGATTCCTAACCAGCAGTTTCCCTTCACATTAACTTGAAGTTCAAATTTCGATTACCCATGTAATCTAGCAACTAACAAGCAGAAACATAGTCCCCACATTTTTATTTCAGAGCTGTTATTATCCCTGAGATACCCCAAAAAATCTTTGGGGTGATACACCCTGAACTCAGACTCCATAGTATTTCAATGTATTAATGCCCTGCTGTAGGTATGCTCTCTAGTTAATATTACATAAGCTATAAGAAAGCAGTCCACAAGGCTGAGAATTAACAGACACTACAAACACAGAATTATATGCCAAGGAGCCTCAGGTAACAGAACTCTCTCTGATACTGGGTATAAGGCTAAATAAGTAAAACTGTGAGAAAAATAACAAGACATTATTAGCCAAATGTGTGGTTTTGCAAAATAACCCAATAGATATTCTCGAAATAAAAATGGCATGATTGAAATTAAAATTCTGTGGGGAATTCCAATAGCATATTTGACACAGATAAATGGAGAACTGAAGAGCTGGAAAATAGAAAAGCATATTTAACAAAAGTCCACACAGAAAAATAAAGATACGAAGGATTTAGTGTACAACATGGTAACTATACTTAATACTAGTGTATTGTATACTTAAAATTTGCTGAGAGAGTAGGTGTCAAATGTTCTCAGTACACACACACACACACACACACACACACACACATATGTAACCATGTCAGGTGATGCCTATGTTAATTAGCTCAATTGTGGTAATCATTTCACAATGTACATGTAGATCAGAATATCACATTGTACATCTTCAATATAAACAATTTTTATTTGTCAATCATATCTCAAAATTGGAAAAAAATCAGATGAGGTACAACATATAATAACTTTTACAAAAATAGAACACAGGAAATGAAAGATAGAAAATACTCAAAGATATTATAAATGAGGATTTTTCATATTCATAAATGTCATATATAATAATAAAGCCACACCCAGGCTAGGTATTGAAACTATACAGCTACAGAGACAAAGTTTCTTTAAAATAGTTCTCAAATATAGAAAAATTAAACTGATTGCAGACTCTGCAATAAGAAAAAATACAAGACACTGATAATATCGTCAAAACATAGAAAAATATTTTTTAATGTAGAACCCTATATTTAAATGATCATTCAAAACTGGAGGTGAAAGAAACACATTTTCAGGGAAACAAATACAACTGTTATTGAAACAATGACCAAAGGAGGTACTTGAGAAAGAAGGAATTGACCGCAGAAGAAAGACGCGAGGTGACAGAAGGAGTGGTGAGGAAAGATTTTAGCAGTCAAGAGAGCAAAGGTGAGTGGGATTTTGCCATTTAAAAATAAAATTACTTCTTTGAGAATAAATGATTAATTAGCTGACAAGCATGCGATCATAATGATTATTTGGTAAAATTAAGTTTAATTAAATAATAAGTTTTAGGAAAAACTAAAATGCTAAAGAAAAATTTTATGTGAGAGAGGGAATGAAATCAGTTGGCATTAGAGTGTTGTAAATATCTTAGTCTTGTGAGAATGAAGTGACAGATACAGTGTGGATTTATTAAATCAAATATGCACATACTCATTAAAATAATTAAAATGTTATGTGTGACAGAAGAAAAATAAATTAGAATGACTATTTCACAAATTTGAGTGATATACTGTTAAGACAAAAGAAGCAAAAACATAAAGGAAACACAAAATTCATTGGTATTCAAATACATCATAAATTTGAAAGCTAAAGCATTTCAGATTGATCAAACATAAAATTTGTTGCTGTATTCTGTTTACAGAAGATAAAAGTAAAATTTAATAGCTAAGAAAATTTGACACTAAAGGAATAGAAAAGAGATATACTTTTTAAAAAGTGAAAGCTAGTGTGCATGAATTTCAGAAAAATAGGCATTAAAGCAAAAAGATAAACTTGATTAAGAATAAAGGCAAAGCATGAGCATAAATATTTTGAAATTTGCATGCAGTGAAAAAAAATGGTAGAATTACAGTGAAGAAACTGACACATCCAAGATCACAATGGTAGATTTTAATAACCTCTCACAGTAGTTGATAGTTTAGGAAGAAGCAAAAATTACTAAGAACATTGTTCCTGACACTATATTTTGACCATCCCAATCCCCTGCCTCTATTCCCCACTATTCATAATTCTCTTTCACCTCTCTTTTTTTTTTTTATAAACAGGAGTGGCTGAGCCATCCAGTTCTGGTCTGTGAGAAAGTGAAGTTTTCATTGTTCAGTTCCCACCTATGAGTGAGAACACGCGGTGTTTGGTTTTTTGTCCTTGTGATAGTTTGCTGAGAATGATGGTTTCCAGCTTGGACACAGGAAGGGGAACATCCCACACCGTGGCGTGTTGTGGGGTGGGGGGAGGGGGAAGAGATAGCATTAGGAGATATACCTAATGTAAATGACGAGTTAATGGGTGCAGCACACCAATATCGCACATGTATACATATGTAACAAACCTGCATGTTGTGAACATGTATCCTAGAACTTGAAGTATAAAAAAAAATAAAAGAAAATAAATAAATAAAATAACACACACACACACACACACACACACACACACACACAAAGAAAGTGAAGTTTTGGAGTGGGGCTCTGGGCTCCAGATACACATTCTAAATTACAAGTCTAAGCAAATGAAGCCAATGAATTCTACTGGGACTCTTGGATTTTGACTCGTTAATTATCTATCAGGGTGGAAGATAATGTGGACTATATAAGAACAGTGTATGTGGACAAGTTACAGTGGGGCTGAGTTTATCAAGAATGGGCACAATAGTGCCACAGTCTCTGTTCTAACTTTGACACTGTACTTACTTCTTCAGTTGCTTTCAAAGCATGAAAGCTATTGTAGGAATTATGGAGACTATGTTTCCTGGCATATAGAGTACGCTACATACTGTTAGTTGGAGGAATAAAAAGATGATTTCTTTTAACATATCACACTGAAGAAACATCTGCCTGTCTTCGGTTAGCTCTTTACTGCCATAGAAGAAAAAATATGGAAGAACAAGGTTTCAAGTTGTGTTTGAACATTAATCCATGAAGAGTAATTTTTCTGACTTGTATTTTTCAAATTTGCAAAATGGAAAATACGCCCAGAGTTTAGAACTTTCTAAGTAGTATAGGGGAAACAAAATCCACACAACATGTGTCCATAACAATCAAAAACAAGGCTCATGTAACCATTTTCAGCTTACATGAACATATTTAATATGCTAAGAAGTATGTAATTTTAATAGATAAATATAATTTCCTGTGAACAACATGGCTTACATATTTAAATGGTTATATTTTTATATTTACCAGTCTTATCTCTTCCCATTAATGAGTAAAAGTTAGGAGAAAATTTTGGATCCATGATAGAAAAAAATGTAAAATTTAATCTTAGAAGAATTTCACCTCATTTATTAGAGTTTTCTTCTGAGGTAACCAAAATAGAAAATTTCTCTAATCACTTTTTCCCATTTTGATGAGGTGGCCAAGTGTTTGGATTTCACAAGTCTTGTTTTATAACTGGAGCTTATAATTCTATATCTCTCAATATTATTTTAAAAATATATTTTCTGTTATTTTCAAAAAAGCAGATTAACAAACACTTTTTATCCCTGTTCCTCCTCAACACCTCCCACATCCCAAATTGATTCTCACGAATACTGTGCAAATGGATGGTTTATAAAAACAATTTGTCTTACTCTTTCAGTGGCCTGTTCAATGAAAGCAATCTAGAAATTTAAAAGAAAGTATTAAGAAAGTTTCTTTTCAAAAATGAATCACTATCAATACCTAACAAATGCCAGCATTTCTAATCGTAAATTTAAATGTCAGACAGGGAAACACTTATACAATTAAAACAAAACAAAAAAAGTTTAAATGATTGATAAAATGTCTGACATGACACAATGTATTAAACCATCACTCATTATTAGAACAGCTTCTGTGCCATGCCAAGCTCACACACAGATCACATGCTCCTGACCCCTGCTGTTAGTTTATGGTGATGAATGTTGTAGCTGTGTACTTACTTAAAATATCTTATAAGAAGCAAAATACAAAGACCACAATAAAAATAAATAAAAATTTTACTAATTAGTGACACATTTAATAAGAAATCTTTTAACAGAGGAAACATATTTCATATCCTTAAGCAAAAATAATTCTCATAACATATGTAGACATATGGGTACTCTCCAATGTGTTATAATTTGTTAAATAGTACACTTGAGGGAATTGCACAACATGGTTAAGAGCTCTAACATCGGACCGGGAGCGGTGGCTCACGCCTGTAATCCCAGCACTTTGGGAGGCCGAGGTGTGCAGATCACTAGAGGTCAGGAGTTCGAGACCAGCCTGGCCAAAATGGTGAAACCCTGTCTCTACTAAAAATACAAAAAATTAGTCGGGTGTGGTGGCGGGTGCCTGTAATCCCAGCTACTCAGGAAGCTGAGGCAGGAGAATCACTTGAACCCGGGAGGCGGAGGTTGCGGTGAGCCCAGATTGTGCCAGTGCACTCCAGGCTGGGCGACAAGAGTGAGACTCCGTTTCGAGAAAAAAAAAAAAAAAAAAAAGAGAGAGAGAGATCTAGCATCAAACAAACTGAAACTTAAGTATAGTTTAGTTCCTCACTATATAATATTGAGCAAGTTATTTGAACTCAGTGAGCCTCAGTTTCCCTCCTGTAAACTGAGAATTATTATATTCTACGTGGGGTTTATATAAGAGCAAAATGAGTTAATGCAAGTAATTTTTCTCAGTATAATATCTGCTCATAGTGCTTAGTAACTGCAACTCTAATGAGTTCTGTGTTTTAGCTTAAAATATATTTAGAAAAGACAATTTAATATTTAAAATGCTAAATTTTTCAAGTGTCTCAGTTCTATGGCATAGTTTGAGAGTAATTTTTTTTTCTACATAAGCCCATTTTCTAATGTGGTTAAGATTTAAGGTTGAATGTTAACTGTCAATCATAGCAGGCCATATTTTTGTAGAGGGCACTTAATGCTTTCATCTTGGTTGCCTATCCAACAGGCATCCTTGTCACTTTCTTTGTAGCAGAACCTTGTTGCCTTTATTTTAGGTTATAATGATCAGCCCATCTCTGTGCCTGGGGTATTAAACATAATTGTCTAAATCAATCCAGATAATCTTGATTTCATTTTCAGTGATTGGCTTAGTGCTGTAAGGTTATTAAAAGGAAGAGTACTGTGGGTAAGTGGAAAGGGTCTCTCAATGAAAGAAGTTTACATGACAAGTCCTGTGACTTCCCGTCTGTAGATGGGGTTATATGTGAGCATTATGCAAATGTAAGGAGAAGACAAGAGGACCTGACACCATCTAGCTGGTACATTAGCCAGCCTAGAGCAACCTCAATTCTAGATTTGTCCTGTGATATAATGAATGCTTTCAGTGTTTAGCAGTAGGCCATTGTTAGTTGTGTTTTCTATAACTTGCATTCAAAAGCATCCTAACAAATACAGCACAATTTCTGAAAGAAATAGTCATGTATTTTTGTTTAACTAAACAGTTTACCAGTGTTCTACGATAGAAAGAAAACCAAAAGGTGCTGCCAGGCTGTGTTGGATACTTTGTCTATGTGTTTACAAACAAGCTATACAGCTTCTTTAGGTTTGGTTTTCTAATTCTTCAGAAAGTAGTAACTCCTTCCCTGAATTCCTGTCCCTGGTGATATAAGACCAAATAGTGATATTTGATAATACATATAAAGTTTTAAATGAATTTTAACAAGTTTATGATTAATAAGCTTATATTTACATCTAAGTGTATTCATAAATTTTTAATAAGCTATGCCATGCTATAGGATAGTAAAGGAAATGTGAATGATTACATATGAACACGTTAGGAAAATAAATAATGCCCAGGAATGGTTTGTTTTCTGTACTCCTGTTATAGTAGAAGTTTGTCATATTGGGAATAAGGCATCCAAACACCTTTCAATTGAAAAAAAATAATAACCTACCGATGAGGTAGAACCTTGGCTCCCTCTACGTTAGACCAAAAGGGTTATTTGCTTCCTCTCCCTTTCCTTGATATCTTGCATGTTTGGGTAGAACAGAGCTTGGTAATTGTATCTATTCATTGGAACTTAGATTCTTTAAGAGTGAGGCAAGCTGTAGGGGATAGTCAGAGATGACCAGACACAGCTGCGGAGCTAGTAAGGTCTGATGCGCATGTGGGGAGTGGCAGCAGCAGTCCTGTCCACAGCCAACTGGTCAGGAGCCTCCATCTTGTTTGCACTTCATAGCTCTAAAAGCTGTGGGATCTTCTTCTCACATGCTTCCATTTGCTTAAGTTAACCAAAGGGTTTCTGTCACCTGCAGTCAAGAAGCCTGCCAAGTACATCTACATTAATGCATAATTAATTTAAAATGTAGGGCAAATTAGAGATTTTATTTGTAAAACCTTCTAGACTATTAACTCTGTGACATCTTTCTATGTCTATTGTTCATAGAAATCATTATGATTATCTAAAAAACTGAATGCGATTCAGGAGAAGGTTTTAAAATATGTCTATGAGCATAGTTTTATTAAATTTACATTCAATTTCTCTCATTTAAATAAACTTTTACTAAGGAAATTGGCTACTTTACTAATAATGATGTTACTATTGTAGAAGCTGAATAAAACTTGTTAGATTAGAAAACAGATTAGAGTTTTTATCAGTTTGGATGAATTTTTCTAAGCTTTTGTATAAATCTCAAGAAGGAAGGCAGGACATTGGAAAAGTTTCCTATAGACCATCCCAACTGGTATTACAATTTCACGTTCTTTAACATCTTTAAAAAAGAAAAAAAATAGAAAGAGAAGTAAAAGATTAAAAGTTAAATTTTAAGACTATTTTATAGATAGTTTGGGTGTCGTTGCATTATATAATACTTAATGTATTATTTACGGGGAATGGATATATTAAGACTCAGTCCCTAGTTCCCAAAATGTGATCCCAGAGCAGAATCAACAGCATCATGTCAAAACTTGCAACAAATGCAAACTCAGATCTCAACCCAAACTTACTGGATCGAAAACTCTGATGGCAATCCCTGGTGACTTCTGATAAAGCAAATACTCCATGTTCTGCTGCATTTTAAAGCTGGAAAGCCACTAGAGCAAACAGGTAGAAGAAAACCAAAGCAATGCAAATAAATCATTCAACTCTACTTCTAATGCTGTCCTTCACTCTCTACTGTAATTTTTTTGATAACATTCCCTTTTCCACAGTTTCAGTTACTGGAGGTCAACCATGGTCCAAAAGTATTAAATGGAAAATTCCAGAAATAAACAGTAAGTTCTAAATTGTGCACTGTTCTGAGCATGTAATGAAATTTTACGCTGCCTGCTCTCTCTTGATCTGGATGTGAATCGACACTTTGTCCAGCATCTCCATCCTGTCTATGGTCCTTGCCACTGAGTCACTTAGCAGCTGTCTTACCTTTCGCATGGACTGTTGTGGCATCACACTGCTTCTGTTCAAGTCCCTTTTCTTTGACTTTACGATGGCCCCCAAAAGCAAAAGTAGTGATGCTGGTATATTGATACAATTGTTCTATTTTATTATTACTTATTGTTGTTAATCTCTCACTGTGCCTCGTTTATAAATTGAACTTCCTCCTAGGTATGTATGTATAGGATAAAAACATAGTGTATGTAGGGCTCAGAACTCTCCAACATTTCAGGCAACCACTGAAGTTCTTGGAACATACTCTCTTTGAATAACAGGGGACTACTATAATTTGTAACAAAAAGTAATGTACTTGCCACATTAGCAAATGTGTTGTACATTTACAAATTTTATCAGTAAAATGTAGAGATTAAAGTTAATCATTAGAAACTATTACTTTGAGGGACAGACTCCCAGGCATAGTTTGCGATCAAGGCCAATGCCTCTGATTATATTCATGACATTTATATTTGGTTGAAATTCAAAATAATAGATAGCTGTGAGGACCTCATATATAAGGTAAGCATAATTTATTAAGTTTTGCCAATAGTCTTTAAAATAATTTATTTTTCCTAAATGTGAGTCCATATATTCTTTAAAAAACACTTTTACTGAATTACACTATAAATAATTGTTTTTAAAGAAAAATTGAAATAGATTACAATGCACAAAAATACAAAATAAATCTGTATCTTATGTCTTGCTATATAAATTCTAATTTTATCTGTATATATATGTTTGTACATATTTGCAACAACTCTTCTCTGGGAAAAATGTGACAGTAACATTGTTCCTTGTGTTATAATCACACAACTACATAATTTCAATTATTATGGGTAAATGTAGTTGTATATATTTATGAGCTATATGTAACGTTTTCACACAGGCATGCTATGCCAGGGTAATTGGGGTATCCATTACCTCAAGCATTGACTATTTCTTTGTGTTAGGAGCATTCTAATTCCATTCGTTTAGTTATTTAAAAATATATAATGGCCAGGTGCAGTGGCTCATGCCAGTAATCCCAGCACTTTGAGAAGCCAAGATAGGAGGACCACTCGGGCCAGGAGTATGATACCAGCTTGGGCAACATAGTGAGACCCTGTCTCTACAAAACTAAAAAAAGAAAATTAGCTGGGCACAGTGGGGCACACCTGTAATCCCAGCTACTCAGGAGGCTGAGGCTGAAGGATTGCTTTAACCCAAGGGTTGGAGGCTTCAGTGAGCTATGATTATGCCACTGCACTCCAGCTTGGGTGATGCCATGAGACCTTGTCTCAAAATAAAATAAAATAAAATAAAATAAAAAGTATTGTTAACTGTAGTAGTTATCCTATTGTACATCATTATTTTAATGGCTGGATCATGTTTCATCAAAGTGTTATATCATAATTTGCTTAATAAATTTTAAGCTGATAAATAGTAAGTGGCTTCTTTTCTAATTTTTGCTATTTTAAATTATGCTTCCACATACATTTTTATACATACAGCTATGAAAACTTATTTCCTTATTATACATTCCTATATGTGTAATATAAGAATGGGAAGAGAAATGTTTGCATTCCTTAAATAGAATTTTAAGTGTTATTTTTAAATATCTCTAGAAATCTTACATCAATTTGCATTCTTAGTGTATGCCAATTGTCCTACAATTGCCAACAGAGAATATTTTAAGCCTTTCTCATCTTTTTCCAGTAAGATATGCTAAAGAAAAACTGTCTGGTTGGATTTTATCTTTCTGTCTGGAGAGGCTGAACAATTTTCAGTTCTTTCTTGCATTTATTATCCATTTTTATTTTCATTTTTTGTCTCAAAACCTTGTATCTTTTTGGTTACTGACATCTTTTCTTATTTGTTTTTAAGAGCCATCAGTATTTACCATATTAACTCTTTGTAATGTTGAAAATACTTTCTTAGTTTGTCATTTGTCTTTTATTGTTGTCACAGGTTTTAATATCAGAAAGTTTGACTTTGCTTCTTATGTAGTCATATGTATGAAATTTTCATATAGTTTTTCCCCTGGAGTCATATTTAATTTTTTTATTTGCAACTTCAATGTTTTATAATTTTGTTCTATATTTTCTTCAAGATATTATATAATTTATCTTGCTTTGTTTCACCTTTAATCCATCTAGAGTTTATTTTGGTGTTATTTCAAGGTAAGAACCAAACTTATTTTGTTCCCTTCACTTCCTGGTAACGACCATAGCAGTATATATAAATCTGTTCACACATGCTCATATGTATTTAGATATTTATAACCACAGACATGCATTCAAAGTTAAACAAGTATTGGAAGTCTTACAAAAGAGACACAGCTCAATAAGTTAAAGCTTATATTTACTCAGAGAAGCTTTACTTTAGTTTCAGCTAATCTGAAAAATTTGATGCAAATTAAAGAGAAAGAACAATCACTGGCAAAATGTAACAAGAACAAAATAAGTTTGAGTTCTACTTAAGAACATGAAGTGACTGATGAAGGAAGATAGCTTTGGTTTATTTACTATTACAGGACAGGTTTTGCACTGAGTACTTCTCATTTGCTACTTAATCTTCAAAATAATGAAATGGGGATTTTTATGCCCACTGTACACATAAGGAAGATGAGTCTTGTATAAAGACACCCAGTAGAATTGACAGGCTAAAACACACCCTGAGGAAGCCCCAGAATTCCTCAGCAAGCTACAGCTGATTGCAATCAGCTGGTATCTTTATCCTACCTACGATCAAACCACACGGAATGTCATCTCCAATGCACAGAGTGTGTTTCAGTCTCCTTATTTACACAGTAGATAGAAACACATCCTTATGAATCTCTGTTTGTTTTTGTTGTGTTCTTATTGCATGCTCCCATTTTCCCCAAGAAAAATAGTCCTTTTATTAAAAAATGCTATATTTTGAGAAACAAACCAATGTATAAAATGTAGGTGATCAAAAAATGACTTGCAATTTTAGATGATACATATAATCTAGAAAGTGGCTATGGCTGAACTGTTAGAAACTTTAAAATCATTTAGCAAGAACATCCTTCTACTCCATTTCTCATGTTATTTGTAAATATATATAACATAACAAAATCACAGTATGGTGAGGATAACTTCTATTAATACATTGGAAGTGATTTCAGAAGCAGGGAGCTGGGTTTTCTTAAGCAGCAATCAAATTGCAAATAAAACCTAATGTCTTGGGGAACTAGTGGTTATTGTGAGATTCCCATTGAATAAAAGAAGTATTTCTAAAATTGTTACTCAATGTCACAGTGCAAGATAAAATATGTTGATACCTACGAAAGGAAATATCTTACTCATGTGCAAAATTTTCAATACACAACTGGAATTATTTCATGACAGTAGCTGCTTTCCCATGATTGAAAAACCTTATTTCATGGACCTGTAAGATCGAGAATTATTCTGAGTCATGATGCTATAAAATTTCTTCAATATTCAGACAAATTCAATACAAAGCTATCAATATTTACTAATTTAGGAGTTTAAACTCTCCTTTAAAAAATGAGTGTGAACTTACAGAAACATAGTTTCCTATGATCCTCTTCTATCAAGAAAGTTTTAAGGGACAAAGGTGTGGAGAATGAGTAAATCAGGATTGAATATTCAAAATTGCTTTTTAGAGGCAAAGAAAGTTTCCTCTTTGCTTGGGAATAAAATACTGAACATCATAATCTGGAAGGTATCCTGAGGTAATATCTAGGCAAGTAATAACCTCTGGTTATTCGAGAACAATTTATTAAAAACCCAAAATGAGGAAGGTAAATATGTCTAGACAGTCATATTTAAAGAGAAGCAAAATGAGCTTGCTATAGGATATGGTTACATTCCAGACCTGTGAGAAGACCTGTGACAGCTTTTTAAAAATGTATTGTAGGAAAAATTTATGAAGATTGAACAAGCATATTTAAAAGAGCTAGCATGCAATAAAGCTGTAGCATATATATTTTCATTTCAAAAGTTCTATTTTCGATAGGTATCTTAGGATTATTCTGTCAGCTATTTACTGATTTATTGACAACATATAGCAAATGACAACCATGAAAATGGTCATGCAAATTAGAAATTAAGGATTAACCGATGAATCTCTGCTCAAAAATAAACTTTATAATTAGCTGATTGTGTGATCTTTACTACTATACTGTATTCCATGACTCATTTTTCTCATCTGTAAAATGAGAATGATCATAGCAGCTATATCACTGAGTTGGTATAAGGATTAAATGAGATAATGTGTCAAGGAAGAGGTCTGAGCAATACCAGGATTTGAAACAGAAATTCATAGAGTAGAAGAAGTCCTCTTGGAATCCTTTGGAGATTTGTATGTGGTCTAGGACACAGCTAGCCACACAGTGAAACGGATTTTCCAAAATGATTCCAGCAGAGAAAAGTCTCTCCTCATTGTTGATTTGTTTGGTTTTTAATGAAGAAAGCACAAGAGTGAGCTTATGGGACTCAGGGACAAGCAGACTGCTATGGCAACAAAAAATTGGAGATAAACAACTATTCAGGGCAGGTTAGGGGAGCTGGCGGAAATACCTGGAAATTTTGAAGAACTGAGACATTTTTCCCCTCCAAGCTGAGGTCAGGAATGGCTTCTCTTCCTGGAAAGCGGAGCCCCATTTTTCCAGCTTAGCAAGTTCATGCCAGGCAACCCAGACAGTGCTCCTGAGGTCATTACCAGACAACACTGCTTGTATACAAAATTCATAGGGCACCGTTTGTAATGGGATAAGGACTTCTGATAGCTATTTTAATTATTTGGTATGTATAAGTCCTTGAAAGCAGCACATTGATGTGAGCCCCCTCAGTGAAGCAAAATGGGATAAATCTCTTCTAGGAACTCATTTCTGGGTTTGTGGCTTATTTATAAATGGCTGAAGTAGCTACAAATCTGATTATTATCTTAAGTATAACGATTTTATTTGTTATTAGACAGATAGAAAGTGTGGTTTAGAGATTTGAATATTAATGGTGCCAAATGTAACTGGCTTGAAAAATGTAATATTGCTTTATGAGCTCGACAAATTTCTTATGGCTTCAAATTATCCCTATTATAGTTATTATTATTATTATTATTCTTCACATACCTAAGAATGTCAATACTCCCAAATAAAACTCTCAGGTAAAAATAAAAATTTGGAACGAAGGTCAATAGTATGTAATGCACCAATACTCTAAATAACACACTTCAGATATTGAAAATCTAATAAATATTTACCATTAACATCAATGTGTATTATCTGTCTGTGGAGAAGTATCATACCATTTCAGATCGGTTCAATTATGTGAATCACTGTGTAACAGTGTAATTGCTTGACATTGACATTTATTTCTGAAGAACAACGCCATTCTACTTTCTGTATCTTTCCTACTTTCCTGACTGAATAAAGCATGGATGAGAGAAATAAATGAAAATGATCCTAATCAAAAAGTGGCCCTGTGAGGAGAATGAAAGGTACTACCAAACGAACTATGGGTGTTCTGCACCAATATTATTTTTATTTCATTTTTGAATATCATGTGAAAGGTATATAGTGAAGTTTCTCTCATTCTGTTTCCAGTGCAACCACTTACCTTCTCCAGAAGCAACAGTTTTTAATAAGCCTTCCTGTATTCAGTTTAAGCGATATTCTATAAAAATATGAGCATATTTATAAATATATTTCCCCTTTAAAAACAAAAATGGAGCAATAATATACATAGTGTTCTATGTATAACTTTTTTATTAACAGTAATGAAATTTTCTCCTTAAAAGTCATAAATGCTTTTTTTTTGTAAAGGCGAATCTCTTAAGTATGGCAGGGTGTGTAGATTTATCTCCATTATATTGCCTGTTTGTCTCTCTCTTTATCAACAGTGTTTTATCAAACTTTCAATAATCTGATATTTTAGTATAGTTTTAAATTTTAAGTGAGTTTGAACATTGTGTACATATTTAAGAGAAATGTTACCGGAGGAAGGTATCCAGATTCTTGTCATTTTGAACAAATAATTGTACAAAACACACAAAGCAATGAAAGAAAAGCACAGATTTATTAAAATAAAAGCACACTCCACAGAGTGTGAGCTGGCTCAAGCAAGTGGCCCAAGAGCACGGGTTACAGAATTGTTTGGGGTTTAAATACCCTCTAAAGGTTTCCCACTGGTTACTTGGTGTAAACCCTATGTAAATGAAGAGGTTGAAGTGAAGCTACAAAGTTATTTACTTGGTGTACACCCTATGCAAATGAAGAGGATGTTTCTTGGCATAGCTGAAGTGAAGTTACAAAGTTATTTACTTGGGGTTAGAAAGTTAGGGTTTTTCCATTTAATTTAGTTCTAGGAAGTCTTTAGGTTCCCTGCCTCCAGGCCCTATTTGCCTGCCTCAGAAATATGCATTTCCTCTTTTGTGAACTGCCAGTTCAGATAATTTGTCCACATTTTTAAAAATAGGCTTTTTCATGTCGATTTGTAGAAGCTATTTATATTTTAAGGAAATTAGTTATTTGAGATGCTTGTTGCAAATATTTTTTATTTGAAAAAATATTTATCATTCTAATTTTGATATTATTTATATTGATTATTATATTTACATATTAATATATGATTGCATATGTGATTTTATGGCTTCTGAGTTTTATTTCTTAATTATGAATTATGGATACAAGATAATTATCTTATTTTTTCTAATACTTATATAGTTTCTTTTTTTCCTTATTTTGGGGAAGGGTGATTCTCGTTGAAGTATTACATTTTACCAGGTGTTCAGCAAATTCCTCTTTGCTTTAAACTCATTAATCTGTACCATGATTAGGGATGCTCTGCCAGCAAATGAGACATGGAGTTTTCTTGGAGCTTACATATAGGGGAGAGAGCGCAGTGGCAGTGGCCTGAACAGGAAGACTGCAACCACTTACAAAAGGCATGCTGTTTATACAGAACTTTCTTTTAACACCCTTTTTCCTAACAACTTCCACCTGGCCACCTTCATGCAACTTAAAATACGGGGTAGGGGGCGGCAGGGGGGACTATAGGGCCTGCATTCCATGGCATGGGCCGGAGGCTCGGATGTCCCTCATAGACAAGGATTGATTGTCTGGATTGGCCATTCCAGAATTCCCCAGCTAGAAACACACATTCAGGTGCCTGTGCCATACAGGGTCATTCTCAGGGTATGCTGAAGTTACTGCTATCAGGTGCGTTTACCATACAGCAACATAGGAACATTTCTAATAAAAATTGACAAACATGAAAGGAAACTATAAAACTCTTAGACTAGAAGGAAATAAAGTGATTCAGAAAGGCATAACATGGGTTCAACTCTATTAATAATGCTTCACTTAAAAAGATACAAAATGATTAATTCTACATGGTAGCTTTTTTCTCTTTGTTTATACAAAAGGACCCATCATATCAAAGCGTTTTAACAAAATGCTTGGCTACTTTTGCCTAGTCTTTGCATAATCCAGGAGCACATTTCTCCCTTTATCCTCAAAAACAATAAAGCTTTATCCAAAGATGGATTCTGTGGCTTTGCATCAGAAAAAGCTATAGAAAATTTTTTGGAAATAACAATTTAAAAATTCACTTCACATGTGAAAAAATATGTCCTTCCTGTTAAGATCTGATAAGGTGATCAATTTACAAAATAGTATGTTCTCTAGTGAACAAAACTTGGGTAGCAGAAGATGGATAGATTTTCTAGTGTTAATCTACAGTGCTGGTTTCCTCATGAATTGGCCTTTTCCACTCTGGGGATATTTGTATCTATGGAACTGGGATAGTCATCTGAAATTAGGCCACTTGGTCTCTTCGACCTTTCAGTAGAAAGGTGATGAATTCTTGTTTCTTTTTTTTTTTCCCCAGAATTGTGGCTATTTAAATCCTTTTGTATTATTATTGATGAACTTCTAAGGATAATAATTAATTATGCTTTTGTACTCTTCTGATTTTCCCAACAAAACTCTATAATACCAGGAAGAAATAGGAGATTCAAATATTGTATTCAATGATCAGGCTATCAACCTAATTAATGGTAAGGCTGGACTAAAAACTATGGGTAGAATAGAAAGTCATCTTCAAGCTTCCTCACTGTTACCCAGGCCTAGGCCTTGTGATAGCACATACAATGTTGAGTTGGGTCTACAGAATGGAGACGTTGCACACTCACTTTCTCACACTGGTTAGTGCTTAGAGAACTCAGAGAAAAAGGTGCCCAAACCCTTTACAAGAAGACAGACTTGGACCTGACTCAGGTGACTTTTGCGAGGTGGAGGAAGAGCAGGACGTAACATATGCTTTCTTTAATAAGAAAAAACCTGAAAGAGAAAAGAATGTGTTAAGCCACAAATGCTCATCCTTCACCCCAAGCCTATCAAACAGCTACTCACTCTTCCTCCTGAAACTCTAAAAGAAGATCAGCTTGGCGGGGCAAGGCAGAAACAACAGAGAGGGAGAAAAATGTTCATCTTCCACTTACACTTTTTATGAAAATCTCACTTATATCATCAAAGCATGGTTAACTGTTCTAAGTTTTCTAGTACTTAACACAGACTGTGTGTTGAAGTGACTGCTTTCTGATCACATCTTTGAGGACTAAAAGCTTCATAACTTTTTTGTCATGGAACGTTTCATTGACTGTTTTCCCTTGCAGACTGCGTTTACCAAAGGTAAAATCTGTTCTCCACTAAACTCCACTACACAAAAATAGTACCAGGAATAGAGTGAGTCTTCAGGAAATATTCACTGAATGAATGGTTTTAATCAGTGCACTTTCTTCCAACTCTATTGTTGAGTGGGCTACTTTGAAGAAGGATCCATGTAAACAGTTTACCATCTATTTATGATATGCAAGCTTTTTAACTAAAATGAAGAGAGAGAAGCTGACTCTCATAAACTCCAGGATTTTACTGACTATGCCTAAACTATCTCCTACCCCAGATCAATGTACCTCTACAGAGGATGCACGTTGGAATTAACTAGGGAGCTTTTGAAAATTACTCATGCCTGGACCTACCCCAAATTCTGATTTAATTTGTCTGAGATGAGTCCTGGGCATTAGTATTTTTAAAAAACACTCCAGGTAATTCTAATGTGACGTCAGAGCTGAAAACTTCTAAGTATGGGGAAGGTTCTACAAATGTACACATGGCTTTAGTATGACAGATGATTTTGTTCTTATATTTTTTATTAAGGGATCTGATGTAGTCATCAGAAAAGTTGTTCTTTTTAGATATTTCTAGGATGACTCCAATGCTGTTTTTTTCTCCTTTAGGAAAAAGAGGGTTAATTTTGAGTTAATTTTTTAAATCAATAACCACTTTATTTCCCTTGGACTTAGAAGATTTAATTTATAATTTAATTTTCCTTATTAGACTTAGACTTGCAATTAGTTCCCATACCTTAAATAGTAAATCAGTAAACCATCTTATTTTTGGCAAATAATAAGATAGAAAAGTTTTTGCATTTTGTGTTTAACCACTAATTTAATATCAAATATCATGGCACTTGAAATTTTCTGGATATTGTATTCACCATTCCTTACAATTTTAGTTTTGTTGTTATACTTATAAACAATACCTGCACTTCATGGTATCCACTGGAGTTTTTGATTTGGTGAGATGGCAGTATCTAAAATATCTAGAAAATCTTTTTACTATATATTGAAGTATTTCATCATCTATATTCATTTGCAATACACACAGGCACAACACACATACAGATTTTTAGAAGTTTCAACTCCAAGTGTCAATGTTAATTTTTTTTGCTTTTGGCTGATCTTCCTAATTAATTCAAAATGGTTTTTCAACATCTGTTTTTGGCATCTTGGTTTAGCTTTCAGATTAGGCTTTTTTTTGGTCTATTTCCAAACTATTATTTTTTTATTCCTAAATCCTTTAATTGACCTTTCCCTCCTGAATCGTATATTGCACATTTCCATCCTTCATCTTTTTAATAAAGTGTGAATAACAACTCCACTTAGAACTTGTTTCAACTCAGAACAAAAACATCTTTGGGATTTTCCTATCATAGTAAAGAGATATTAGCTACTTTCAACCCTTCCCTTAAAAAATGGAGAAAGTTTGCCTTTGGTGTTACTTAGATGTGCTGTTCAACTCTACCTTTTACATCCAGGCCTTATCTGCCTTTGCAATGGAATGCATGGTTTGAACTATGAGCTCTCTACTCTCTTTTATAAGTTGCCATGTAGACATTCATTTATAATATTTGTTTAGTAAAAAGCCCATGACTAGGCACTAGTTCCTTCACTCCTTGGGCTTAGTAGAAGCTTAGTTAGTATTAGCTATTAACAACTATTTTCTTTAAATGAATGGACAATGGGAATGACCTGCAGGATTGAGAAAACTGGGGAAAAAATAGTAGAAACTTAGCAACTGCATCAGAGCCCTATGTAAGAAAAAAATGACTGAAAACTTTTCAGGAAGCTACCAAGTAACAAATAGTAGTTTATAATATTTTTAAGGACTAAATAATAATCTATGTTTATAAATATGAAGATTCAATATTATAAAGCCATTAATTGCTCCCAAAGTAATAAATATTTTAAAGCATTTATAATGAAAATCCTAAATATTCTTATTGGAATTAGATTTTTTAAAAAGTCTTTAGGCTGGAGTATGATGGCTCATGCCTGTAAACTCAGCACTTTGTGAGGCTAAGGGCAAAGATCACTTGAGCCCAGGAGTTTGAGACCAACCTCACAAACTGGCGAGACCTCCATCTCTGCAAAAAATAAAAGTAAGTTAGCTGAGCATAATGTTGTGCACTTGCAGTTCTAGCTACCGAAGAGGCTGAGATGGGAGGATCCCTTGAGGCCAGGAGTTCCAGGCAGCAGTTAGCTGTGATTCAGTCACTGCACTCCAGCCTATGCAACAAAGTGAGATCTAGTCTGTAAATTAAAGAAAAAATAAATAATTTTTTAAGTCCAGTTGAAAGCGTAAGTCTATGGAAGTAGCCAAAAATTTTTGAACAGAAAGGTTAGAGCCCAGATTAGAGATTATCAACATGTACTTTAAAATAACAGCAATTAAAACAGAGAGGTATTCTTTTAAAAAGTGACAAATATACTTATAAAACAGAATATAGGACCCAATAATAGAACTATATAAATGACATTTTAAATGCAGAGGGAAGGTTTACACAATATATAATGTTGTCAATACTGGCAGAATGTCTACAAATAAATACATAAATTACCAACTGCAGGAGTTTCCACCTGTGTCAAGCTTGTCCAACCCATGGCCCTCAGGTCGCATGCAGGCCAGGACAGCTTTGAATGTGACCCAATACGAATTCGTAAACTTTCTTAGAATATTATGGGATTTTCATCACATAAACAGAACCAAAGACAAAAACGACATGATTATCTCAATAGATGCAGAAAAGGCCTTTGATAAAATTCAGCATCACTTCATGTTTAAAACTCTCAATAAACTACGTGTTGATGGAAAATATCTCAAAATAATAAGAGCTATTTATGACAAACCCACAGCCAATATCAAATTGAATGGGCAATAGCTGGAAGCATTCTCTTTGAAAACCAGTAGAAGATAAGGATGCCCTCTCTCACCACTTCTATTCAACATGGTATTGGAAGTTCTTGCCAGGGCAATCAGGCAAGAGAAAGAAGTAAAGTGTATTCAAATAGGAAGAAAGGAAGTCAAAATGTCTCTGTTTGCAGACGACATGATTTTATATTCAGAAAACCCCATCATCTCAGCCCAAAAACTCCTTAAACTGATAAGCAACTTCAACAAAGTCTCAAGATATAAAATCAATGTGAAAAAATCACAAGCATTCATTTATACCAACAATAGACAAGCAGAGAGCCAAATCATGAATGAACTCTCATTTACAATCTCTACAAAGGCAATAAAATACCTAAGAATACAGCTAACAAGAGATGTGAAGGACCTCTTCAAGGAGAACTACAAACCACTGCTCAACGAAATAAGAGAGGACACAAACAAATAAACAAAAATTCCATTCTCATGGACGGGAAGAACTAATATCATGAAAATGGCCATACCACCCAAAGTAATGTATAGATTCAATGCTATTCCCATCAAACTACCATTGAAATTATTCACAGAATTAGAAAAAAAAATTTTTAAATAGTTTTTTGTGGAATCAAAGAAGACCCCATATAGCCAAGACAATCTGAATCAAAAAGAACAAAGTTAGAGGCATCACGCTACCTGACTTCCAACTATACTACAAGGCTACAGTAACCAAAACAGCATGATACTGGTACCAAAACAGACATATTGACCAACGGAGTGGAACAGATACATCAGAAATAACACCACACATCTAGAACCATCTGACCTTCAACAAACCAGACAAAAAAAAGCAATGGGGAAACAATCTCCTATTCAATAAATGGTGCTGGGAAAACTGGCTAGCCATACGCAGAAAACTGAAACTGAATCCCTTCCTTATACCTTATACAAAAATTAACTCAAGATGGATTAAAGACTTAAATGTAAAACCCCAAACCATAAAAATTCTAGCAGAAAACTTAGGCAATACCATTCAGGACATAGGCATGGGCAAAGACTTCATGACAAAAACGCCAACACCAATCGCAATGAAAGCCAAAATTGACAAATGGGATCTAACTAAACTAAAGAACTTGTGCACAGCAACAGAAACTATTATCAGAGTGAACAGGCAATCTACAGAATGGGAGAAAATTTTTGCAGTCTACTCATCTGACAAAGGTCTAATATCCTGAATTTACAAGGAGCTTAAACAAATTTACAAGAAACAAACAACCCCATCAAAAAGTGGGCAAAGGATATGAACAGACTTCTCAAAAGAAGACATTTATATGGCCAAGAAACATGAAAAAAAGCTCATCACTGATCATCAGAGAAATGCTGCAAGTCAATACCACAATGAGTTACCATCTCACACCACTCATAATGGTGATTATTAAAAAGTCAGGAAACAATAGACGCTGGCGAGGCTGTGGAGAAATGGAAATGTTTTTACACTGTTGGTGGGAATATACATTATTTCAACCATTGTGGAAGACAGTATGGTGATTTCCCAAGGATCTAGAACCAGAAATACCATTTGACCCACCACTCACATTACTTGGTATATACCCAAAGAAATATAAATAATTCTACTATAAAAACACATGCACACATATGTTTACTCCAGCACTATTTACGATAGCAAAGACATGGAACCAACCCAAATGCCCGTCAATGATAAACTGGAAAAAGAAAATGTATTACATATACACCAAGGAATGCTATGCAGCCATAAAAATAAATGAGATCATGTCCTTTGCAGGGAGATAGATGAAGCTGGAAGACATCATCCTCAGAAAACTAACACAAGAACAGAAAAATAAACACTGCATGTTCTCACTCATAAGTAGGAATTGAACAATGAGAACACATGAACACAGAGAAGGGAGCAACACACACTAGGGTCTGTTGGCAGGTTGGGGGCCAGGGGAGGGAACTTAGAGGACGGGTCAATAGTGTAGCAGCCCATGTTTATCTATGTAACAAACATGCATGTTTTGCACATGTATCCCGGTTTTTATATTTTTTTGAAGAAAAAAGTTATGAGGTTTTTTTTTGCATTTTTTTCTTTTTTTTTTTGGCTCGTCAGCTATGGTTAGTGTTAGTGCATTTTGTGTGTGGTCTAAGACAATTCTTCTTCCACTGTGGCCTGGGGAAGCCAAAAGAATGGACACCCCTATGTGATGAAGTGTCAATTTACTCCTCCTCCAAAAAATATCTATTGAAAATTATTTTTAAAATAGAGCATTTAAAGAAGGATCTAAGTTATACAAAGGTGGTGTATGAAAATATCCTTAATCCTACTATTGATTCAATTAACTCAAACTACTATCTATATATGTCAATATAATGATATACAAAATAAATGTTTTACAGATATATATGTATATGCACATTTTTATTTATTGAAAAAAGACATTTTCATCATTGTTATTCACAAGGATCTGGCTCATAACTGAGGGAACATTTGTCAGTGAGTATATTTGTAGATGTTAATAATATGGGAAAGAATGTCCTTAAAGGCCATCTTTCTTTTCAGTTTTTGAGTAATTAGGGAATGTCAACTATAATATTAGTATTCTCTGGTCACTGAAATAAACAAATAAAATAAAATAAATCTCACTCTATTAGTAATATAGTATTCACTGTATGTTTTTTATTCAATCAAAAATACCTGGTAAACACCAGGCACTCCCTACCTTCATAGGCTTTTCAGTTCTCAGGGGAACAGATGACAAAGGAAGATAACTCAGTGTATGGGAGGTCACTGAAAGCCTCCCCAAGAAAGGGAAGTGTGAACAAAGACAACTGGTGGATCCTTGGCCACCTGAACCTCTGAAGTGAGAGTGTTCTAGGTGGGAGGGAGACCAGTGCAGGGCCCTGAGGACACAGCAGGCCTAGTGCGCATGTCTAGAGCAGAGGGAGGCAGGGAGGAACAGATGGAATGAGGTCAGAGATGATTTTAGGGCCCTGGGGGTTATCACAAGAACTTTGGCTGTTAGCTGTGTGTGATAAGAAACCACTGGAGAGTTTTAAGCAGGGAGTGTAATAATACGCCAGAATTTAAAAGGTTCACTTTGACTGCTTTGTTGAGAGTATACTATAGTGATGAAAGGGTGGAAGCGGGAGTCCAGTTAGGAGGGAACTCATAGATGAGTAATTACTTGTAGGTAAGTAATCATGCTGCTTTGGATTAAAGATGTTGGCAGTAGAGGTGGTGAGAAATACGGTTTGGAATAAATTTGAAGATAGGTCTAGTAGGATTTGCTGATGCATTCAATGTAAGCTGTAAGAAAAAGATAATTACAGACACTTCAAAAATGCACCCATCGTAAGATAAATGAAAATTAAAACTATACCGATATACCATCTCTCACTTGTCAGATGGAAAGCGCAGTGTATGGGCAAGGCTGTGGGTAGACAGGGTTATACACAGCTAGCAGGCAAACAAAATGGTTCAATATATGTGGAGGTGGATTTGGAAACATCTAAGAAAATTGCATAGACACACTCAGCAAACTCAATTCTAAGAATTTTCTCATGAAGAAATATCTTCTACAGTACAAAATACATATGCATAAGTTTATTGGTTATGGCATTATGTTTTATTGCAAAACATTGTAAATAACCTGAATTTCATACCTAAAATATTGGCAAAGGATGAAGCAATACAAAAAACAGACTGGTATGTATAAATTGTTATGTAATGATTTGTGATTTCCAAAATATATTGTTAAACTTAAAAAAGGTAGCATGCTGTTATGTATCTATATATGCATGTGTTTATACATATGTATTCCTCATTTTTGCAAATAAAACATAGAAAGGCAATAAGAAACTACGAAATTTGTTACCAACAGAGGATGATTTTAAATATGGGAAAAGGAATGGAGAACCACGTAACATTACTTTGCATGTGCTTGTTTGCAAAGCTTTGACTTGGAAACATGACCATTTGCATATTTATAAAGAAAATTAAATCAGCAAAAATGAGGAAAAAATTAAAATTGAACACAAATAGAAAACAATGAATCAAATTGTGTTGCCAGTTAGCAACACATCACAAAGAAGTAAAAATGGATAAACACAAGTAACTTTTGAAAACAGTACTTAGACTATATTCCCTCCCTCTACATGTAAAAAGACCTTTAAGAATATTGATTGCTAATTAGCATGTTTGTTGTTCATAGTGATAAGGGCATAGCAATTTTGAAACTGCACTGTGTGTTTTGTAGGATTGAGCAAATGAGGAAATGTATTGATGCTGGGAGCCAGAGTTTCCATGTAGCTACTTAGCTGTAGTTACAGAGTGCTCACGTAAAAGAAAAGGTTGATACGGCATGGGAGAAGGCATGAAATAATTCTGCAGTATTGAATTGAAAATAGAACTATCAGTATGAAGGTATGACTTATTTGTGTGTATGTAAAATTTATACATATATAAATACAACTAACACATACACCTTAGTTTCTAAATAATTGTCCTCATTAGAAGTAATGACAGCTCCATGTATGTGGAGGCTAAAGTAATTCCATCCTGGGTGCTAATCCACCATTTTGACTTCTGATTAACCCTGCTAGTTCCAGGAATGCCTCTAAAATTTCTATTTTCACGTACTTACCATGAATCCTGCCATTAGGCAAATTCCTATGGTATATAAGACCTGGGTCTGAGGTTAGGGTGTAGGGATCCACTGCCTGGTCTCAGGGCAACCTGAGACATGGATTTGGTTTGTAAGTCCCTATTAAATGTTTCTTTCCAAGAAATTAAATTTGTCAGTCACCTTCTTCAGCCTCTCAGCTTCCTTGGCCTTTTTATGTAGGTTTACATAAACCTGCACAACACGGAACAATGGAGGAATGTTTAATTCCAAAGCTGCATTAAGGGAAGTAGAAAGTGAGCGTGGGATATCTTGGCATGTCAGAAAGTAGAGAATTAAAAACTAATGAGTGCATAACAAAAGGCCATAAGACCCACTTTAAGCAACTTCCACTAGTCAAATCTGAGACTATTTGAGCACCAAAAAAAAAAACACTGACAGTAGTGAAAACTCAAGGAAAAAAATAAGCATCCATGAGGCCAAGGTTATGACATAAATAAATACACGAATAAATGAATTAGCTAACCTATAGGAAATAAGGGAGAGCTCTTCCTTAGAGTGGAATATTAATGAATAAATGTAGAAAAAATGAAATAGTAAGAACATCCTATTTTGAACCATCATAATTATAATTAATTTATCCAAGAACGATCAATAGATGCTGGAAATATTGGGGGAGACTTTGGACATTGGCCAAGTCATTTTTTCTCATATTACAAATGCAAAATGGTAATGCAGTGATTGAGAAAACTGGCAAATGCCATCTTCCCAAGTGAGCAAAGTTCACATCTCCAATATTGGATCGAACTGACATGATGTGCCTCCTAAGGTGCTAACACCACTCATGTAGTGTTCCCGCCCTGCATAACCTGAAAGTAATCAGGAACAAACTCCAGACAACCCCAGTCTATAGAAGAGCAAGTCTAATCATCCACAATAAAAATGTCAAGAAACACAAAAACTTTCCAAATTAAAGGAGACCAAGTATGACAGGTAAATGCAAAGGGTGATTTTGGTTTGAATTCTGGTTTGGAGAAAGGAAATACATAGAGGAAATTACTGAATAATGAGAACAATTTTAATACGGGCTATCTCTTAGGTAACAAAATGTACCCATTTAAAATTTCATGAATTTAATAATCATGTGCACAGAAGT
Organism: Homo sapiens; assembly: GCF_000001405.40. Taxonomy (NCBI): domain Eukaryota; kingdom Metazoa; phylum Chordata; class Mammalia; order Primates; family Hominidae; genus Homo; species Homo sapiens. The sequence continues at coordinate 30,436,533 of NC_000018.10, read as the reverse complement.
GAATGTTCTTATTTTTAAGAGGTATATACTCCAGTTACTCTCAAATTGTTTAGCCAATACAATAGTACCAATAATAATAATTTATAAATAGAGAAAAAGTGAATGTGGCAAAATGCTAAAAATTGGTGAATATAGATGAAGGGTATAAGGCAGGTTTTTGTATGATGTTTGGCATTGTCCCATAAATTTGAAATTACTTTGTAATATACAATTAAAAGTTTAATTAAATAATTGAAACAGTTCTCTACTGTAAGATTTAAGGATCTTGTCGCTTAAATATCAGTAGAAAGTTGTTAGAATTACATCAGACCTCTTATAACATGACATCCTCTCTAGGTCACTTCAACATTTGTGTTGCTATCTGCAATACTAATTGACATTTTGCCTTATATTTTAGGTAATCATACAAGACCATGTTCCCCAAAATGGGGCCAGGGAAGATCATTGAAAAAATATATTAATACCGTATTATCTTGCCTTGAGTAATTTAGCATCTTGTTGGGGATACTAACATAAAAACAAATTTGTTTAATGTAGTTTATAAAAACTTAAGTAGGAGTCATGGCCAGGTTCAACGGCTCACATCTGCAAAAGCAGCAGTTTGGGAGGCCAAGGCAGGAGGATCACTTGAGCCTAGGAGTTTAAGACCATCATGGGCAACATGGCAAAATCCTGTCTCTACAAAAAATACAAAAATTAGCCAGGCATAGTGTCGTGAACCTCTAGTCCCAGTTACTCAGGAGGCTGAGGTGGTAGAATCACCTGAGCCCGAGAGATCAAGGCTGTGGTGAGCCAAGTTTGCTCCACTGCACTCCTGCCTGAGCAATGGGAATGAGACCCTATCAAACAAACAAAACAAAGGAATCAGATAGAGTATACTCTAGGGCACCAAAGAGGAATGTCTAATTGAATTGGATAAAGTTGGAAAGGAGCAAGAAAGGCTTCTAGCAGGAGATGGCCCTGGAGCTGAATCTGAAGGAGGTAGATGAAAAGTAGGTGAAAGTGTGTATTCCTCCACGTGTAGGAGTAAAAACTAAAAATAACAGTGTAGTGTGTTTGAAAACTACAAACAAAAGCATAAACTATAGGAGGAGCAGAGTTGATGCCTCGATATAGGAGTTCAGGTTTGTGATGAAAGAGGATCCATTTCAATGTTCAAATGTTTTAATGACCTTTAAATTATGCTAATGGAGATATATTAAATTTTATTCTCTCATTAACATTCATAAAGAAAACTGCTACTTGTATCTTTATCTACAAACAGCATTTTTTCCTACTCAAGAGAAGTGTCATGAATTATTTAAGATCGACCTCCCTGCTAGACTGTAAGCTCAGTGAAGAAGGGGTCAGAGTTTACATAGTCAGTGCTCTTTACATTTGCCCTCAGATTTAAAATTCCTGTGCACTATTCCTACTTGCAAGCTATGCCTTCGATTATCCTTCTTTCTCAAATGCATTCTTCAGTATTTCTTCAACAAGGATTTGTTAGTGATAAACCCTATGGGTTATTGTGGGTCCACAATAATAACTATTAACTTCATTCTTTGTGAGTTTAGATGATTGTCCTTTTCTACATTTGTTATATTTTTATATTTTTTTTATGTGAAACGATTTTCTCTCAGCACCTTAAAAATACTCCATTATCATTTGGCTTTTACTGTCATTGGTGAGAAATATGCTGATAGACATTATTTTTCCCAATAAACAGATTAGAAAACTGAAGTTCAGGAAGGTTACATATCCCAGAGCTAATAACCAAATGCTCTTTTTAAAGCCAGGATCTTTGGCTTTGGTATTGTTACACAGCCTCTCCTCTTGCAAATTCTGCCTCTTTCCTTTATGTCACATGTAGGAGAAAGAAAAGGTTTAAGCCAATAAATCCATCCAGTGGCCCTCACAAAGTTCTAATGTTTCCATTCTTCCTTCACCCACTGGGAGTAACATAGATAGCACCTCGGAATGATTACATCACAGGCCCTGAAATCATTCCATTGTGTTTGTCTTCCAGTTGCAACTCAACACATGTCACCCCTTGCAAAAAAAAAAAAAATTCTCTGTGCCTCACTATCTGCAAAGTGGTGGTAAACGATATTATCCACCTTACAGATATATGAGTATTAAATAAATTATGAATAAAAACAATTAGCACAAAGTCTGGCACTTAGAGATTGCTCAAATGTTAGAAATCATTATTTTGAATATAACTTTTTATGTTCCGATTCCTTCTAGGACTGGCTGAATACTGAAATAGCCAAACCAAATCTTCCACTCATTTTGATAAACTCTTATGAGTTTGTTTATGCATGGTTTAAAACAAAACTCTGTAAGATATATATCACGATAATATAGATGGGCAAAAATTAATTCAACGTGTTAAATATAAAATAAATATTTCAACATTCATAGATGAGCATGTTGCATAATAATTTTTAGTTTCTACATTATTTAGAGGGATAAATTGAACGTAATTTGTTTGTATTGCTTTTGGCTCAATAAATTCAAAGACATAATGCCTGAGTTAAAAGCATCCAAGAAATACTCATGTGGCAAAGACTAAGCGATCATGAGTATACACATATTTGTCTTGTTAAATACATGGAAACATCAGATATAGCCACAATTCACAGCAAAGGTTTGTAAAAGCAGGGTCAATTCTTCAGATAAAAGTATGTGGTTCCCAGGGACCATTACCTACAACATCCATAATTTTTGGTACTCTCTAAATACCTAAATACAGACTTATAAAGTATAGCTAATGTCCCATATGTCAGGTTTTAATCACCATCTTTTAAATTTTAAGAGTATTTGTTTTGTGATACCTTTATTAGAAATACACCAAGAAGAATAAAGCAGAAATGCACACAACATGGAATATGTTTGCCTTGACAATTTGTGCCTTCAGAAATGTTCAGCCTAGATGTTTTTATTTACTAATGATATTATATCTTGGTGGCAAATTCTAATAACTACTGAAAATATAAAAAATAAAGATATTTATTTTAGACTGAACACATATTTTTGAACTTTATAAAACAGACTTATACTTGAAAAGTTGTTTAATTATATTAACTTTCACATGCTGTCCATATCTCAGTTCAGTAAGACTTGCCAAATGGTAATAAATTAATGGTCTTGCACATCAGACCTGTCTCTTTTAAGTCACCACTTAAACAGAGGAAACAAATGCAGGATTATATTGTTTTGTTTTTACTTAGTGTTTTGCCTGTCATCATAAGCAAATTTAATCTGCATTATTAGTAACTGTCAACTGCGTACTTTGAACATAAGGCAAATACAGCAGGTGGCTTAAAAAATGGCTGAAAGCAAGAAATGCAAAACAAATGATTGCTAGAAAATGCTAATCTATTTTTGCATAAATTTAAAATAAATTAAAATGCCTGCAAAGCTCCCACTAAAGGTTAACACTGGAAAGAAAAGGAAATAAATTAGCCAATGTTTGTGGTTAGACCATTTGTCTAAAAGCTAAAGTGTTAAATATTTTACTATACACTAATTGCTTTGATTAAAAAAATGTGGTTTACTCACATTTATAAAATATGAGAAAATATAAGTTAAAATTTAACATTTGTAACAAATTTGAAAGTTGTGTTTGTCACAACATATTATTTTTATGATGTTTTTACTTTTAAAGTAACACCAATTTTATCTAAAAAGAAATTACAGCACATTTAAATAGGAAATGTGTAATGCAATTTTTTTATTCTGATATAATTATATATTGAGCCCATTTAAGGTTGTCTTCCTGGTTTGGAGCAAGACCAGGTAAAACATATTATACTAGGTGTTCTGCATTTATTAAGATCCTGACATATAATTATACTGGCAGATAAATAACAATTTAAAAGAGAATTAACTTTGTTTCTCCACCCCTGTTTTTTTTCCCCTCTTACGTTGGGGAAATCACTGGAGAATATCTTGTGTGCTTGCTCTAGATATCATAGAAACTGTCATTTGAAATCATGCTGCCAGATATCTAACAGGTGCTTAGACGATAGAAGCAATTTTATCACTAAGAGAGAATGTCACTCCAGAGAAACATTTACCCACCTGCCAACCTAGATATAGGAATCTCAAAGGGGCTTTTGTTATTTTAATCTTTGGAAAAATTAAAAGGTATGATAAAACAATTGAAAGCAGGGACTTTGAAATGGCTAACTTTAAAGTCTTTCAGAGTGGGCCAAGGAAAGAAAATGAAAATACAAATGAAATGCTTATGATCATCAATTAAAGTTTAAGTACCCACAGAGTACAGTTCCAAGTGCTGAGAAGTCCTTGAGAGAAAAGAGCTGGTTATGCAGCACAGACAGAATTTTCACATTTGCAAGAAATTTTATGTCAAATGTATCTACCTCAGTTATCATATGAAATATTTGTTTATTTTGAAAGAAATCTCAAAGTTCAAAAAATGACACTAATCAGTTAATTCCTTTCAAAAAATTCTATGAAAGTCATTTTTCCCCAAATGTGATGTAAGTTAAAGTGATAATTATTTTGACCTAATAGCTATCGATGCTGATTTAAACCAACAGCAAACCTATAATGGTTTCTCAATAATGGTCAGTGCAAGGATGGGAGATATATTAAAATATACTTCAAGATGTCTTATACACCTTTCTTTATCCCTAATGGTCTTTCTCCTTAAACAGATGTCATTTTCTACAGAAATGACATCTTACTCCCCCAAATCACTCCCAAACAAAACTCCGTTTGTCACAATATGTATGCATTTCTTTCTCTCCTCTCAACTTTTCCTGAAAGCACCATTTTTGCTTCTGTCACCTAATTCAGGCTTACTATTTTAACTGTAAGTCCCTACTTCATCGTCTTTGCTTTTCTCTATCCCTTACTCTAATTTTTCATTGCAAAATCTCAAAATTCAAGCAAGAATATAAACAATTCTTATTTTCTTGGTGATATTAGCAGGGAGTGCCATAGTGAGAAAAGTTGTGATAATACAAATGTCTCTGATTTTCACTGCTTTCATAATTACATGTAGATTTCAGGAAGAACCAAATGTTCGATGACAGTTTCACCAAATTAAATATGCTACTACCTACTCTCTGGGCATATTTTGGTTATTGTCAAAAATGACCAATCAATGAGCTAGGCACTGAGTTAGATGCTAAGAAATTACTGATTATCTGAATAGAAATTATTCCTGCCCTCATGTGGTTTATTGCCTAATAGAGAGCAGAGAAAAGTCAACCCCAAATTATTTGGGGATTCTCATGTAGGATAAGTACATATGATAGAGTTTACAAAAATTAAAGAAAAAAACTGAACCTATAACATATAGTATATACATTTATCATTGCTCAGTAAAAAAAAAAACCAGGACTACAGAGGAAGGGGGAAGGGAATGATGGTGGAAGTGAAGATCTGTGTGGGGAGGCGGTGAAGGGCATTTGAGCTGAAAGGTCAACAGTGCTGCAAGTTAATTCTAATCCCAATAAAGTTTTTTTTTTGGCCTGGACAACCTGCGCTAGGATCTGGAAGTTTCTTTGTTTGTTCGCTTTAAACTGGGGCCTAGTTTTTTTTTTTTCCTTCAATTTTGAAATATAGAACTTTTCAAAGTTAACGTAATTATAAAATAGCTTCTGTTTGAGAACTATGCTAGAAAAAAATCAACAAAAAATCAAGTATTTGAATATTAGCCTTACACTCACTATGAAACCAATTTATGTAAAATAAATATATGTATGATGTGACCTCCAAAGAAAGATCTAGTCTGTCACGAGCGCTTTGAGAACAGAAAAATGTAAGATGTAGAACATCTGATGTATCCGAATCCGGACTGAAGGGTTGGGTTAGACTGAACACTGAACACTGCATTTATGAAGGGTGTTTATAAGAATTTTGATAGACTGGGGCCTGAAGGACAAATAGGTATTAGTTATTCAGAGATACTGTGGGAAAATAATAAGATAGTTTCAGCTGGTAGGAGTCGCAGATGAGAGGACTCAGTTGAGATCCAGCAAGGTATACTTAGGAATTAGAAAATGTTCAGAAGGAAAGGCATGTCACATCGTATAGTTTGGTCATCATAGCAAGAGTAATGGGAAGGCAAGGGTAATAGGAAGCCAATAAAGGGGTTTAGCAGCAGTGTGATGTAATCAGAACTGTATTCAAAAAGATGCATGGAAAAGTGGAGAGAAGTAATAAAATTGAGAGACCGTAGAAAGCTTTGGAGTTATAGTTAAATTCAATTACTAAATGCAGGGCGTTAAGTAAGTCACTTGTTTCTTCTGTATCTGTTGAATCATCAGTAAAATGAGGATGATATAATTACTACTACATATTAATTTGCTGTAATTATTAAACAAGATTATTTTTATAAACCAACTCTAACAGCTAGCAGTACATGGTAAGGTTTCTGTAAGTTTTAGCTATTACTATTACTCCAACTACCACTACTGAATACCTATTGTAACAATTACTTAGGTGGCTGGCAGTGATCCATGTGAGAAAACTGTTTCTTAAAATACATATATGTCAAGTAAAATGATGATCATGAAATATTAATTGAATACATTTTTAATGTGTCCTTATAAACAGCATATTATTGTTATATTATGCTTATTTTTCCCCAGTCTCCAATCTCTACATTCATACTTTTAATTTATTTATACTGGATTGGTGCAAAAGTAATCACAGTTTGCCATTCCTTTTAATGGCAAAAACTGTGATTACATTTGCATCTACCTAATATTCGTTGTAGTTTTGATATACTTGGATTTAAGTCAACCATTTTGTTATTTGTTTTCTGGTTGAAACTTCTTTTTTCCTTGGCTGCCTTTATTAATTAAATATTTTTATATATTTATTCTATCTTCTCTATTCCCATTTTACTAATAATTTTTTGCAACATATTTTATTGGTTGTTCTGGAGACTATAACATTCATCTTTAATTTATCACCATCCATCTTGCATTAATATTACATCACTTCAATTATAATGAATACTAACCAAATCAATACACTTTTCATCCATTTCTACACTTTGTGCTATTGTCATATATTTTATTTCTGCTTATGATATTAGCCCTAAGAAGTATTGCTACTATTCTTTTGCTTTAGAAATTTAATTAATTTTCTATGCATTAAAAAAATAAAATATACTTTACGATTACTCATCTGCTTACCATTTATAATTTCTTCTTGTAGATCAAATCTAGTATTATTTTCCTTCTTTTCTTCTTTCTGAAGAGATGTGCATTCTCTGAAATTCACAGAAATTTTTGTATATGTGAAAGTGTTCATTTTGCTTTATCAAATTCATAGTATTCATTTGTGTCTTCAAATGGCATATTGGAGAAACATATTCAAATTTTTCAAATATTATAAACCACTGATCCAGTGTTTAACCTTCTAAAATGAAAATAATACCAGATATTATCTACAAGAAGAAATTGTATATATGTATATGTATATATAATATATATACACACATATGTGTGTGTAGTCATATATGTATATATACTCATTTTTTAGTGAAGATTTATTCTGGAAAATTCTAAAATTCTGCCAGACATTTTTTCTATAATGTTTTTATTTTACTTGATACACTTTTTTTGTGAATATATAATAAGACTAAGAGTGTTTATTTCTATTTTTTTTATTTTACAGTTATTTGGGCTGCTTTTTAAAGCAAATTTGGGTTCGGGCACCGTGGCTCATGCCTGTAGTCCCCACATTTTGGCAGGCCGAGGTGGGTGAATTATTTGAGGTCAGGAGTTCGGGACCAGCCTGGGCAACATGGTAAAACCCCGTCTCTACTAAAAAGAAAAAAGTTAGCCGGGCGTGGTGTCAGGCGCCTGTAGTCCCAGCTACTTGGGAGGCTGAGGCAGGAGAATTGCTTGAACCCAGGGGGTGGAGGTTGCAGTGAGCTGAGATCACGCCACTGCACTCCATCCTGGGCCACAGAGCGAGACTCTGAATCAAAAACAAACAAACAATAGCAACAACAACAAAATAAAGCAAATTTGGAAAATTGTGAAATTACTGAATTATTTTGTTTTAATGATTTTTATGGGCGTCAATCTTTAAGTTCCCCCTTCTCATATTCTCTTGTGTTCAATCTTGTATTCATCTTATGCAACACATACTTTTTAAAATATTGGTTAAAATTTTGTTCTAGGATGTCCATCTGTTTTTCTTTTTTTACAATTTCTTTTTTCTTTTCTGTTGTTGAGACGGTGTCTTCTTCTGTCACCCAGGCTGGAGTGCAGTGGCGTGATCTCGGCACACTGCAACCTCCGCCTTCCGGGTTCAAGTGGTTCTACTGCCTCAGCCTCCCAGCTAGCTGGGATTACAGACATGCACCAACATGCCCGGCTATTCTTTTCTTTCTTTCTTTTTTTTTTTTTTTTTTTTTTTTTGTAGTAGAGATAGGGTTTCACTGGATTGTACAAGGTGGTCTCCAACTCTTGACTTCACATGATCTGCCCACCTCAGCCTCCCAAAGTGCTGGGATGACAGGCATAAGCAACCACGCCTGGCCCTTTTTTTTTTTTTTTTTTTTTTACAATTTTCATGTCTCTGTTGATCTTCTCCTTTACCCAGTATGCTTATTACTTCCTGCATTTCCTTAACATACAGACTGCAGTTCTTTATCCATGTTGTACCGTAAATTTCAACATCCAGGTTATCTGAGTGTCAGTGTCTATTGGATGATTTTTCTTTTGACTATCCATCATCTTTTCTGTTTCTTTGCATGCCTAGTAAGTTTTTAATTGTACAATGGACATTATAAATGATAAACTTTAGAGAACCTGTTATCTTTCTCTAGAGAATGTTGTGTTTTGTCCTAGCAAGCAGATAAAATACTGGAATATTGCCTTGAACTTGTAAAGACTCACTTTTGAATATCTCTCTCTCTCTTTCTCTCTCTCTTTGTGTGTGTGTGTTTGTGTGTGTGTGTGAGAGAGAGAGAGAGTCTATTTTAGTTTTTATCTTATGCCTGGGACTTAATATTTACTTTCAAAGCTTGGCCTGTCTTGACTTTCACTCGCAAGTGTCTATACAAATATTTCTCATTTTTGGAAGAGGTTTATAATTGTAATTGGCAGCGTAGTTAGTCCATGTTTAGTTACTCCACCACTCACAGAAGACAGAAAACCTGTGCAATAGACTTCAGAAACTAGAGGTTATTGCTTACTTGCTCAGAACATTTTCAGGAGGATCGCAGGATGAAAACCCCAAAGGCAGGAGGAAAAGCCTGGATGTAGTCAATTGAGGAGTGAATAGCCTTTAACAAAGTATGTGCATTTAGTATAAAAGTCTGTCAAGAATTTTGGCAGTACATGGGTAGGGACAAGATTATACATTGGATGAGAGTTGAAAGACAAAAGAAGGTCTGTTTGCTTGTCCAATAAAAATATTCAAGAATAAATTTTTATTTACTTAATGTAAAAGTAAAACATGTTTTTTATGAGATGCTCAAACAAAACAATAAAGCATTACATTTCTCTCTATTCATGACCTCTTCTAAATCATCAGTAACTCTTTGCAATATATCTGCTCCAATATTTGTATGAATATATTTTTATAAAAATGGGATCATAATATAGCATGAGTGCCCTTAACATAAGCTAAATAATTCCCTGGATGAATGTCTATGAATGAATTTTCTGAAGAGATAAGCATTCTCTAAAATTGACAGAAGTTTTTGTGTATGTGCAAGTGTTCATTTTGCTTTGTCAAATTCATAGTTTTCATTTGTGTCTTGTGGCATATTGGCGAAACATATTTAAACTTTTCAAATTTTGTAAAGCGTTGATCCAGTGTTTAACCTTCTAGCAATTCATTATAATAAGATATATCAAAACATACATAAAATATATGTTCAAAACTATTGCAGCGATGTTTAAAATGGCAAGATATTGATACTATAAATGTCAAAATAGTTGATTGCTTTAAAAGAAAAGCTATATATTATATTACTATGCTTCTAGAAAGATAGACTATGTTTACTGGTATGGAAATATTTTTTGATAAATCAATATATTTTATCTGAAAACAGCAATTATGAAATAGAATATGTTATAAAGAGACATCAATTATATAAATGATATATATTTACATGATCCTAATCAGTATGTTGGATTGTGTGATTTGGAACTCTAGATATTTTCTTATTGTCTTGTTTCTTTTATCCTACAGTAAATATGGACTCTTACAACAAAATTAGAGAGAAAAATCACTAGAAGCATACCTCAGAGATATTGCAAGTTTGTTTCCAAACCACTGCAATGAAGTAAATATGCAATAAAGGGAGTCATACAATTGTTTTTTGTTTCCCAGTGAATATAAAACTTACGTTTATGCTATACTGTAGTCTATTAACTGTGTAATGGCACCATGTCTAAAAAATGTACATACCATAATTAAAAATACCTAACTGCTAAAAAATGCTAACAATCATCTGAGCCTTCATTGAGTCATAATCTTTTTGCTGTTGAAAGGCCTTCCCTAGATTATGATGGCTACTGATGGATCAGTGGTGGTTAACTACCTATTGTGTACTATGTTCACTACCTGAGTGCAATATACCCATGCAACACATCTGCACATGTAGTCTCTGTATCACAAAGAAAAGTTGAGAAAAAAAAATTGAAAGCAATGCTCTCAAACGCTGCCATTGCTTTATCAACACAATTTAGGCAATAGTCTACATCCTTTGTCGTCACTTCAACAATGTGCACAGCATCTTCACCAGGAGAAGATTCCATCCCAAGAAACCACATTGTTTGCTCACTTACAAGGAGCAACTCCTCATCCATTAAACTTTTATCATGAGATTGAAACAATTCAGTCACATCTTCAGGTTTCACTTCTAATTCTAGTTCTCTTGCTGTTTCTACCACTTTTGCAGCTGCTTGCTCCAGTAAAGTCTTGGATTCCTCAGAGTCATCCATGAAGGTTGGAATCAGCTTCTCCCAAACCCCTGTTAGTTTTGATGATTTGACGTTCTTCCCTGAACTAAGAATGTTCTTAATGGTATCTATAATGGTCAATCTTTCACAGGTTTTCAATTTACTTTGCTCAGATGCCTCAGAGCAATTACTATTTATGGTAGCTATAGTTAGACTTATTAAATATGTTTCTTAAATAATAATACTTAAAAGTCTTATTATTCTGTGGTCTATGGAATGCAGAATGGATGTTGTTGTGTTAGCAGGCATGCAAACAACATTAATCTCCATGTACATCTCCATCAGAGCTCTTGGGTGACTAGATGCATTGTCAATGGGCAGTAATACTTTGAAAGAAATCTTTTTTTTTTTTGTTTTTCAGAGTAGTAGTCCTTGACAGTGGGCTGAAAATATTTAGTAAACCGTGCTGTAAACAGATATGCTGAAATCCAGGCTTTATTTTTCCATGGAGCACAGGCAGAGTATATTTAATGTAATTCTTAAGGGCCCCAGAATTTTAGAAATGGTAAGTGAACACTGGATTTAACTTAAAGTCATCAGCTGTATTAGCCCCTAACAAGAGAGTCATGTCCTTTGAAGCCAGGCATTGACTTCTCCTGTAGAGCTATAAAAGTTCCTAGACAGGATTTTTTGTTTTTTCAATAAAGGACTGTTTGTCTACATTGGAAGTCTGTTGTTTAGTGTAGCTACCTTCATCAGTCAACTGGATCTTCTCGATAACTTACTGCATCTTCTATATCAGCACTTGCTACTTCACCTTGTACATTTATGTTATATCTGTTCTTTCTTTAAACCACATGAACCAGCTTCTGCTAGTAAGCTATATAAAAAAAATCTTCAGAGTGTTTTTCTGTGCTTCCTCATCTCTCTTAGCCTTCATAGAATTAAAGAGAATCAGATCCTTGTTCTGGATTAGGCTAAGGTTTAAGGGAATATTGTGGCTGGTTTGATCTATCCAGACTAATAAAACTTTCTCTATATTGGCAATAAGGATGTTTCCATCTCCAATAATTTATGTGTTTATTGAAGTTGAATTTTTCATTTTTTTCAAAAACTTTTCCTTTCAACTCACTTCACAAATTATATGGCACAAGAATCCTAGCTTTCATCCTGTATTGAATTTCAACATATCTTCCCTCGCTAAGCTTAATCATTTCTAGCTTTTAATTTAAAGTGACAGAAATGTTACTGTTCCTTCCATTTGAACACTTAGAGACCATTATAGGGTTATTCATTAGCCCAATTTTAATATTATTGCGTCTCAGGAAATAAGAAGGCCCAAGGAAAGGGAGAGAGATGGGGAAAGGCTGGTTGGTGGAGCAATCAGAGCACATAGAATATTTTTGTATTAAGTTAGCCATCTTACATGAGTGCAGTTTGTAGCACCCCAAAACCATTACAATAGTAACATCAAATCATTATAACAGACCTATTAATAATTAAAAAGTTTAAAGTATTGCAAGAATTACCAAAATGTCACCCAGAGACACAAAATGAGCACATGCTCTTGGAAAAACGGCTCTCATCGACTTTCTAGATGCAGTGTTGTCACCAGCCTTTCAACTGTAAAAATTCATTATCTACAAAGTGCAATAAAGCAAAGCTCAATAAAATAACATATACCTGCATACTTTCTACACATTGTATGCCAAAAGTAGAATGAGGAACATGGAGGTGTTGGAAATTTCAACCATTCTGAAACAGCCTAATGCGGCTTGTGAGGAAAATGGAAGAATCAAAATGGGAAATAAGCAGAGGCATTGAATGATAAAATATTTAATTACTACCAGTTTGAGAGATTCCTTGCCTAAACAACGTAGACATACACTGGTTTCCACATCTCCTGTTTCTGTTTTTACTTTACCATTGTTTATTAGATTTGACAAACTTCTTCTCATCTTTCCATCTCCAGTTTTGTGGCCACTTCTACTGATCCAGGTCTTAAGTTTTAATTATTGAAATTTCACTTTTTAATTTCTTATATAATGAATGTTTACATCATTCATACTTATATATGTGGAAAGAAATCTTGGTTAAAATCCTCCTTTTTAAGATAGTTTTTTTCATGCAATTTCTTTGTGAAAAACTAATTTATGAAATCAAAATGGCCATAAACTTACATCACTGAAAAATTCAAATAACTTTTCTGAAGGAGATGATAATTATAGGTCTATGTGTGGATTTCTAATTTAGCCTTGACTAATAATATCTAAATGATAAAAAGCTTTATTTGAGGAATGAAAATCAGCAATAGACATTCCACTTTTGTTCTAATTTAAGCCTCTCACATGCTAAAGAGTTTTAATTATAACGCTTAGATAGTGCAACTTCCATATCATGTGAATTTCCTAATAATTTAGCTTGAAGTTACTTTTAAATTATTTTTCTATAACATAACATATTTATTTATATACTTATTAAAACCTGTGGCTGAATCAAATATTGTAAGAAAGAGAAACCATTCTAGATGTTTATGAAGACAATTATAACTTCATCATTGCTTTAAGTTGCCTGGCATTGAGATAGCTGAGCCTAATACCCTCATTTCCAGCTGAAGGGGCTGCAACTTCTGGAGTTGAGATCACTTGTCCCTACTGCTCAGAATGTTCCACAGGTCTAAGGATGATGAAAATCTCCATTTCTACGCAGTTAGAATCTCCCAGCATTCTCCTGTAAAGCAGGCACGTATGGTCTGAATGCATGATTTCCTAAACCCCAAAATGCTAATTTATGTGGTTACTCCCTCTTTTCTTCCATATGGAGTAAGAACAAGCAGACAGAGTTTCTCTCATGCAGAGTTTCTCTCATGGATCCTAGTCTGTAGATGTGTTCATCCGTACCTTGGTCCAAACATACCTCTTTGCAGGATGCCAGGAAAGTAAATGATTCATTCTCTTACTGGCCCTTTAAATGTTAAGTTCTGACATGTGCCAAGTGCTTTTAGCTATAGTTTATTTCCATCATATAAAATTTCATGTGAGAAACAACAGGTTACAAAAACGTTGGAAGGACTAGAGGGGTGAAAATCAGGGTTCTAAACCTCTATTCATTTTGGGGTTAAACTACCATCTCTGTGATCCTGAGGTCAGCAAGCTCCTACTTCTGTGGCTATCACTGGTGCCAACATCACAGCTTTCTCACACCCAGAAGACTGGTGACGGATCATCAGACTATGGGAAGTGGTCAACAAAAACTCTCCTATTTGTCAGCACTTGTCTAACAGTGCCACAAGCAAGGGAATATCCCTTCCCTTCCTCCTTTCTTCTTCTTTTTTTTTTTTTTTTGACAGAGTCTGGCTTTGTTGCCACGGTGGAGTGCAGTGGTGCGATCTCGGTTCACTGCAACCTCTGCTTCCTAGGTTCAAGCAATTCTCCTATCTCAGCCTCCTGAGTAGCTGAGACTACAGGCACATGCCACCATGCCCAGCTAATTTTTGTATTTTTAGTAGAGACAGGGTTTCACCATGTTGGCCACGATGGTCTCTATCTCTTGACCTCGTGACCTGCCCACCTCGGCCTCCCAAAGTGCTGGCCTCCTTTCTAATCATATCATATATAAGTGACACTCTCAAGCAGGAGCTACTTTACTTCACAGTTATTGCTACAAGGAAATCTGGAAAATGTGGTTCTTCAGTATCTAGACACTGAGATATAGGAGGAAATATAGAAGAGGGTGAGCATAGACGTCTTTGTTATATAGTCATTTTCAGAAGCATGGATTTGAGTGTGGTAACATAAATACTCTAAATAAGATTGATGTATAAATTACATGTTTTCATGTTAAACTAAGAAATACAGATGGGGAAAGAAAATGCCATGTTGGTTTGACAATTTCCTTATTGTAACACTGATTCTTGATTGCTCAATTGTATCTGTACTCATTTTTCATTTTGCTTCTAATCATACAGTGTTATTGAAACAAAAATACATTACACATTTATAAAGAGAGAGTTTTTTTTCCACTATCTTTAACAATTTTAACAGCTAAGGAAGGGAAGATTTTCTCCAAGAGACAACCAACTCCATGGTATAGATGCAGCATGAAAACTTACCAGTCTCTCTTATCTTTCAATTGACTTTTGCTAAGAGGTATTGGCGGAAGTATGTATTCTCTGAGGTATGAATGTCTAGGACTTATCCAAGAAAGAAGTTCTGTAAAGAAGACAGATTCAACTGAAAATCAGAAATTAAATGATAATACACAATTCAAATTGATGACCTATAAGATTCTTTCAAAGTTTTCGTTTGGAATTCAGAAAAAAACACATTTTCCTATAGGGTTTCATGTTTAAATTATTGACAAAACACTTGGAGCAAAGTAGTTCTGCACACTGCAGTTTATGGAACATTTGTGGGAAGGAGAGGGATTAGCACATGCTGACGGCATTAGATTTACAATGGAACCTCAAGCCTCATATTCTCAAGAGAAATTGATGAGATGGTGTTTAGTGGACTAGATCCAGTGATGTTTGCCATCTTACAATGCATCTAGACCCAACTTCATTTGTCATAAAAAAATTGAGTGATTTCTACTATATAATTTTTCAGTTTTACTGCTTTCATGCAAAATAAAGGAAGATTGTACTTTCTTTTGTTTAGAATTTTATCGAGAATTGCCTATTTTAGAAAATCCCATTGGTGTCATGAACATTGAGCTTGACACATTACACATTAATTACCAATATTCATTATGGTTTCATGGATAAATGAGTTTTATTTTTTAACATGTTTTCCAGAGCAGTCATTCTCAAATATTTAAATATTAAAATATGCACAATCTTATTTCAGTAATTTTATTTCTCTTTTATATAGCTTAAGGACATTACATTATTTTTTAAAAATTGTTGGAGTAGGTATATATATATATCTTCTATGTATTTTCTTTCATGTTAATAACTGAGTTTTTACATGCTATTTACTGTGAAAAGAAGCTATTTTATTTCACAGGTTGAGAACAACCATCACAGGCTATTTCAGCATTTAAATTATAAAACTTCTGTGGTCAGATTTGCATAATTGAAAGATCTCTCTTCCAGCATTGAGAATAAACTATTAAAGAATGTAAAGCAAAGAGAACACTTATAACCCTATTGCTTTTGTGGATGAGAGGTGAAAAAGACCTGAAGTAAAATAATGACGGTGAGAAAGAATAACATAAAAGACTTTCTGGAGATAAGAAGACTATAGAATAGAATTGACTTAGAGGATTGAGGCTGATTCTCAAGTTTTTACTTGTTTGTTTATTTGAGACAAACTCTTGTTCTGTTGCCTAGGGTGGAGTGCAGTGGTGTTGATCTCTTCTCACTGCAATCTTTGCCTCCAGGATTCAAGTGATTCTCCTGCCTCAGCCTCCCAAGTACTGGGACTATAGGTGCATGGACCACACCCGACTAATGTTTGTATTTTTAGTAGAGACGGGGTTTTGCCATGTTGCCCAGGCTGGTCTGAAACTCCGAGGCTCAAGTGATCCACCTGCCTCAGCCTCCCAAAATGTTGGGATTACAGGTGTCAGCCACCATGCCCAGCCTCAAGTTTTTATTTAGATAACAAGTGTGTCTGGAATTGGTTCCTTCCGGTGGGTTCTTGGTCTCACTGACTTCAATAACGAAGCCACTGACCCTCGCGGTGAGTGTTACAGTTTTTACGGGTAATGTGTCTGAATTTATTCCTTCAGATGTTTAGCTGTGTCCAGAGTTTCTTCCTTCCGGTGGGTTCGTGGTCTCGCTGACTTCAGGAGTGAAGCTGCAGACCTTTGCAGTGAGTGTTACAGTTCTTAAAGGTGGTGCGTCTGGAGTTGTTTGTTCCTCCTGGGGGGTTCGTGGTCTCGCTGACTTCAGGAATGAAGCCACAGACTCTCGCGGTGAGTATTACGGCTGATAAAGGTACTGCAGACCCAAAGAGTGACTAGCAGCAAGAGTCATTGTGAAGAAGAGCAAAAGAATTAAGCTCCCACAGTGTGGAAGCCGACCCCAACGGGTTGCGGCTGCCAGCGGGGGGTGGCCAGCTTTTATTTCCTTATTTGTCCCCACCCACCTCCTGCTGATTGGTCCATTTTACAGAGTGCTGATTGGTCCATTTTACAGAGTGCTGATTGGTGCATTTTTACAGAGTGCTGATTGGTGAATTTACAATCCTTTAGCTAGACACGAAAGTTCTCCAAGTCCCCACCCCATCCAGAAGCCCAGCTGGCTTCACCTCTCACAAGGAGGACAAATGAGGGCATAATTCTGAAATTATAGGATCAGAATAATTTAGAAAAAATAAGCTTGGTTTTTGGTTTCTTTGTAAAGTTTAGATAGATAACCCTGCATCAAAGACATTGTTTTAGAAATTTGGGGTATATACTTGTGAGTGCAATCCGTTAGTCAGAGTGTGACCACTGAAAATTTACTGGAAAAGAGAATCAAGAATGGAATGCAGAGGAAAAGCAGTGTGTAGAAGGTGTCTCGAGGCAGAAACGCCTGTGAAGGAGACTGAGGTAGCCTGAGATATAGGAGAATGAGAAGAAAATGGAGTAAAAGTAGATACGAAAGCATTTCAAAGACATAACAATCAACAGCATTCAAAGCTACAAACAGTCAAAAGAAATAAAAACTGTAAAATGCCCATTGGATTTGAGAATCAGAGAAGTTTACAATGGTGAGATAGTGAAATAAGAATTTTAAGACAATAAAGCACTAAACCAAATTCAAGAAAGGCCCTCTGAGCTTTCACCTGTGTGTGACTCTGCATGCCCATGAAGCTGGCCCAGGGCGAAAGAATGAATAGGGTATGGAAGAACAGATGCAAGCTTAAGACTTTTGTTGAGAAACTTTTTTAAAAAAAAGAAAGAGATAGAACAGTATATTACAAAGATAGAGCTGTGGAGGAAGGGATTTTGTTTATGTAGTAGAAACAAAGAAGATTTTATACATTAAAAAAACATTAGAGTATAGAGTGACAAGTGAGAAAGGGGTAATTGATAAAGTGAAAAGCTTAAGACTTGTGTTGAGAAACTTTTTTTAAAAACAGAAAGAGATAGAACAGTATATTACAAAGATAGAGCTGTGGAGGAAGCGATTATGTTTATGTAGTAGAAACAAAGAAGATTTTATACATTAAAAAACCATTAGAGTATAGAGTGACAAGTGAGAAAGGGGTAATTGATAAAGTGAAATGCAGAGGAATTCCAATTCCCAAATGGCAGTGTGTCTCAAAATGTGGGACACATACAATCTGTATTAAAATTACCTGGGGATTATTTTTAAAAATTTTGATTCCTATGTGATTATCCCACTCTTCAGGTAAAGACTCTCTGGAGATGGGGTTGAAAATAGGGAGTTTATGAATTCGCTCACTTTATTTTTATGAGCTATTGCAGATTTTTGAACTTGGTTGTACACTAGAATTACCTGGAGAGCTTTAAAAACTCACAGATACCTATGTCCACACCAAGAGGTTTTTAATAGGTCTGGGTAGCAAGACGAGTGTTCAGAATTTTTAAAGTTCCCTGTGGGTCAAAACTACTACCTAAGGGATCCTGAGCAGAGTTCAAAAGAATTACCTTCTGCAAGACTATCAATACTTCTAAAACAAGAGGAATAGGTAAGGAAAGGAGAGAGGGATGACCAGAGGAGACGAAATCCAAATGGTCATTTACAGTGCAAACGTAAAAATGCTTATCAAATGATTCCTCAGCATTTGCTACGAAGTGCTTACCAAATGGTTTCATCTTAAGAGTTCTTTTAAAGTGTATACCAATGATTCATCGTAATGTAACATCAGATCAGGAGTAATTCTGGGACCCTTTCCCTTAGCAAGTGTGTATCACTTTCCACTTTGGATGGATGGAGGAGTGAGGGTTAATTTTCTGCAAAACCATTCAAATTTAATTAATAACAAAACTTCAGCTGTCAGATTATTTAAAAATCCTGAGGACTTATTTATATGCTTTTTGGTTTGACTAAGCTTTTTCTTTTAATTAACCTGTTAATGGAAATCAACTAAATTCTAAATCAATTTGAGTTATGACAATCAAATTTATACCTCACCTAGGAAAGTGGCAAGAAAATATCAAAATAATCAACTAATAATCTTTTTAATAAAGTGACAGATGTATTTCTTTAACACATAATTTTAAATTAAGGAATTATGTTAGCTGTAGCAACACAAATTTGCCAACTTGCCATTGTAAAAGCTACATAGTTACAAATATTCAACAAAACTATTACAAATCAACAGTGTGAAAAGGCAAAACTGACCGTTTTCATTTTCTGATAGCTATGTCTCCAACAGTACAGGGCCAAACATGGGGTGAATGATGGCTTTGGAAATGGGTCATTTTAACTTTCAAATCACATTAATATGGGGATGTTTAACAAATGAACTGAGTGAATATTTCAATCTGACCTGTGGATTTTGCCTCTGACGGGAGGAGATTTCACTTGGCTCATCTTCTCATGTTGTTTATCTCATTTGTCTAACAGTTTGTGATGCTTAATATTCACAGGGATTCAGTGTAAAAATAAACTATTTTACTGCAAAGGTCCACTATCTCATTGTTGTTCATAATTGTTTCTTTCTTTTTATAATTTATTTGGGTTTTTCCTGGAGTGACCCATAGATACGTAGGCTTTGCTTTCCATGGGTCAAATTGCCATTAGAACTCACTAGAGGGTTACCATTTTCATTCTGTATCATGAGGAGTTAAGCCCTCATGGCTAGTCAACAGCATGGATTGGCCATGTGGTGCAGTTCTTAAGAAACTAGATAGGAGGAGAAAAGTGAATATGAATACATAGCCCCTAGTCTGAGAATCCAAGCAAATATCCATGAAATCTGTAGTGTGATTCAGTATTATAATCTCAGCATTATTCTATACCACTAAGTTTTCTGTATTTAAAAGTACCTCCTTTATTCTCACATAAAACTTTCCTTATCAAACATAAGCAATCATAATATACACATAAACTCCTGATAAATATTTAATAGAAATAGATGATTGGAGGCAGAGTGAAAGTTGAGACCCCCATATTTGGACTACCTTTGTTATTGTTATCAGTTTCCTAGTTGATGTAATTGACCTGGTCATAGAGACTCTAAAATATCATGTACCCACATACTATAGATACAGGGTAAGTAATAGATGGTATAGTTTAAAAAATGTGAAGAAGTCATAGTCAATAAATATAGGATTGTTTTTCTTTTAATACATTAATTGAATGGAACATGTAACACAGTGCTCTTCAACCAATTGTTCATTTATTCTAGGAAAATTCTTTATATGCTGGGACAAATTTACTATTCAATATAACTAGAATTAAGCTTATTTGTTACTTGTTCACTTATGAAACAATTTCATATAAAAGTGATGCAGAGAGTTTGATTTATAAGTATAAACACATAAAAATTAGTCATTGTAAACTATGGGCATGTTCTCTGATGAAATTTCTCTAATAATACGATAATAAAACCATATATCAGTCTCTAAAACCACATTGTGACTCAACACTGTGATGCCTTTGTAAATGGTACTTTGACATGCTGAACTGAAGAAAAAGCCTCAAGGTCTCTCTGACCTCTCCCCAATTCCACATTTCTCAATCCTCTCTCTCCCAAAGCACAGGATGAAGTCGTTCTCTGAAGTTCCCTTATCAACCTAAAGTCTGGACCAACCAAAGAACAAAACAATTACCTCTAATCCCTCTACTGAGTTTTCATTAACTGAACTAATATCACAGAAAGAAAGATGGACGTCTGTCAACACACCCGGACAGATTTTTGTCACAAACCATCATCTGCTTTACAGGCCAAACAGACTTTGTCATGTTCCTTGAGGAACTTTGTATGTTCCTCAAGGCAATTGAATTTCCCTAAAAATAATTTACTGCCCCCCTAAAATCACCCACACTTCCTCATCTCCCTTTCCCCTAAGAAGAAGGGCATATAACCATCTGTACCTCATTGTGTGCTGGAGCAATCACTTCATGACTTTCCCCTTTACACACTAATACATTTGCATGCCATTTCCCCTATTAATCTGCCTTTTGTAAGTTAATTTTTCAACGAAACTTCAGAAGGTAAAGGGGAAATTTTCCCCTGGCTCCTACAACACAAACATTGTTTCGTACACAAAATTATTTAAAATATTGTATAAAATTACCTTCAGACCTTGCATATAAAGTGTATATGAATCATAAATAAATGTTATGTTTAGACTTGGTTTCCTTCCTCAAGATATCACAGTATGTATTTGCAAATATCCAAAAATTTGAAAAAAAAAAAAATCAGAAACACTTCTGGTCTTGAGCATTTCAAATAAGGGGTAGTCAACCTGTATTTGTTAAAGGACCATGTAGAAATTCTGTAACTTACAATTTCAATAACAGAAATTAAGATATAAGTAGATGGTCTTAATAGCAGATTAGTTGTGGTTGAAACGGGAATTAACAAATTGGAAGATAGAGTACACATAAATATTCAGAATGAATCATGGAGTAGCAGAGAGATTGAAAATACAGAGGAAAGAGGATTAGAAATATTAAACATATTGGGAGTCTGAGGCAGGCGGATCACCTGAGGTCGGGATTTCGAGACCAGCCTGACCAACATAGAGAAATCCCGTCTCTACTAAAAGTACAAAATTAGCCAGGCATAGTGGCAAATGCCTGTAATTCCAGCTACTTCGGAGTCTGAGGCAGGAGAATTGCTTGAACCTGGGAGACAGAGGTTGCAGTGAGCCGAGATCATGCCATTGCACTCCAGCCTGGGCAACAGGAGCAAAACTCCGTCTCAAAAAAAAAAAAATAAGAAATATTAAACATACAGGGAAAAGCTTTATCATACATTTTATTGGAATCTCAAAAGGCAATGACAGAGACAATAGGATAGAAGCAACATTTTTAGGTATAATGGCTAAGAACTATACCAAACTGATGAAAGAGCATCACTTATTTAAGTATACAATCAGGATGAATAAAAAGTAATCGGCACATGAAACATGATAGCAAAACAGCTGAAAAACCAGAGATAAAGAAAAAAAATATTAAAAACAAGAAAATAAAAAAAGAGATTACTGTCAAGGAGCAATGACTAGATTATTACCTTTCCAACACAAACATGCAAGCCAGAAAGCAGTGAAATTTAAAGTTCTGAAAGAAAAATTGTCAATTTAGAATCATGTACATTAGAAAAATATTATTCAAATGTGAAGATGAAAGCATTCTTTCCCTTCAGAAATAAAAACCTAAGATAATTTGACAACAGATGAATATTCCTAAAGGAAATATGTAGAGGTTTTCTTTAGTCATAAGTAAAATAATTTTATATGGAAGATCAGAGATACAGGATGAAATGAGGAGCAAGGAAATAGTTAAAAAGTATAAAAGAAAACATGATACTGAACCTCCCATTTGATTTTTACTATTAACCATTTCCAAAGTCACATTAGTCAAGTGGTCACACCAGAATTGATATAATAAATGTTACTTAGTTGAAATTTCTTTTGTAACTGAACCATTAAACTGGCTTTATTACCAATTTTTGGTACCAGTAAAGCACCACATAAAAACTTTGTTACAACGTTGCATAATTTTTTGTACTTAGCCTTTACATTTATCACAGCTTTAAAACATAAACTGTCAGATAGACAGCATTATTGTAAGTTACTGAAATATAAAATGACATGCATGAGAAAACAAGAATGTTTAGTTTTAATAATTTACATTAATAAAGATTTATATATTTGTCACAAACTCAAGGAGGTTTGAGTAATTCCTATGGCTAATATTTACATTAGAAAATACACTTTTTAAAGAATTGACACATTGTAAGTGTGCATGTTATGGGGTACAATTTGATGTTTTAGTGCATATATATTGCATGCTGGTTCAATCTGCATTTTTAGAATATTCATCACTTCATGCATGTATCATTTCTTTCTGGTGAGAACATTCAAAATCCTCTCTTCTGTTTGTAATATACAATATTTTTCTGTTAACTATAGTCATCCTACTGAGCAATAGAACACAAGAATGTATTCTTCATATCTAATTTTAGTTTTGTACCCAATGACCAACCTTTTTCCATCCTCCCTTTCTCCTCCCTCCCCAGTCTCTGGTAATCATTTTCTAGTCTCTGCTTACATGATATCAACTTTTAAAAAAAGTTTCACACATAAATGAGATCATGCAGTATTTGTCTTTCTGTCTCTGGCTTGTTTGACTTAACACGATGTCCTCCAGGTTCATCTTTGCTGTCACAAAGATGGGATTTTATTCTTTTAATGGCTGAATAGTTTTCAATTGTGTATATATACTACATTTTCTTTATCCACTCATCTGCTGTTGGACACTTAGGCTGATTCAACATCTTGGCTATTGTAAACAGTGCTGCAATAAACATGGGAATACAGACATTGCTCCAATATACTAATTTCATTTCCTTTGTATATATATATCCAGCAGTGGAATTCCTGGTTCATGTATTAGTTCTGTTTTTAATCTTTTGAGAAATCTCCATGCTATTTTCTATAATTGGTATACTAATTTACATTCCCACCAATAGTATACAGGAGTTGTCTTTTCTTCATATCGTCAACACTTGTTTTCTTTTGTCTTTTTAATAATAGCCATTGTAATTGGAGTGAGGTGGTTTTTCATTATGGTTTAATTTGCAATTTCCTGATGATTAGTGATGTTGTACATTTGTTCATATACTCATGTCCATTTGTATGTCTTCTTTTGAGAAATGTCCATCAAGGCCTTTTGCTCACTTTAAAATCATATTATTTGGCTTTTGTTTCCACTGAATTGTTTAAATTCCTTATATAGTCTGAATATTAACCAATTGTCAGATATATCATTTGCAAATATTTCTTCTCATTCTGTAGGTTGTCTCTTTACTCATCCAAATTTGGAAGGAGGAAGTCAATTTGTCTCTGTTTGCAGATATCATGATCTTATACGTTGAAAACCCTGAAGACACCACCAAACAAACTGTTAATTTAATAAGCAAATTTGGTAAAGTTGTAGGATACAAAATCATATACAAAAATAATAGTTTTTCTATATGTCAATAGTGAATTTCTGAAAAAGAAATCAATTAAATAATTTAATGTATAATAGCTACAAAATAAATAAAATACTTAAGAATAAACTTACCCAAGTAGGTGAAAGATTTCTATGCTGAAAACTATAAAACATTGATGAAGGAAATTGAAGATGATGCAAATAAATGGAAAGAATAGAAAGATATCCTGTGTTCATAGAATGGAAGACTTAATATTGTCAAAATATCCATAATATACAAAGTGATCTAAAGATTTAATGAAATTAATATCAAAATACCAAGATCATTATTTATAGAAATAGAGAAAAAAAACCTAAAATGTATATGTAACCACAAAAAGACCCTAAACAGCTAAAGCAATCCTGAGCAGAAAGAACACAGGTAGAGATATCACACTACCTGACTTCAAACTATATAACAAAGAAATAGTAAACAGAACAGCATGATACTAGCATAAAAACAGACAAATAGACCAATGGAACAGAATAGAGAGCACCAAAATAAATTCATGCACTTTCAGCTATCTGATTTTGGTCAAAGGTGCTAAGATACATGTTGATAAAAAGACAATCTCTGGCCAGGCGCGGTGGCTCACGCCTGTAATCCCATCACTTTGGGAGGCCGAGGCGGGTGGATCACAAGGTCAGGAGATCGAGACCATCCTGGCTAACACAGTGAAGCCCCGTCTCTACTAAAAATACAAAAAATTAGCCGGGTGTTGTGGTGGGTGCCTGTAGTCCCAGCTACTTGGGAGACTGAGGCAGGAGAATGGCGTGAACCCGGGAGGCGGAGCTTTCAGTGAGTCGAGATAGCGCCATTGCACTCAGGCCCGGGTGAAAGAGCGAGACTCCATCTCAAAAAAAAAAAAAAAAAAAAAGACAATCTCTTCAATAAATGGGGCTAGGAAAATTGAATATCCACATGCAGAAGAATGAGACCAGACCCCTATCTCTCACCATACATAAAAATCAACTCATTTTGACCTAAATATAAAATCTCAAACTATGAAACTACTGAAGAACTCATAGTTTAATGCTTCACCATATTGGCTGAGCAACGATTTTATAAATACCTCAAAACACAGACAACAAATGCAGCAATAGACAAATGGGATTACATCAAACTAAAAAGCTCTTTGCACAGCAAAGAAAAAGAAAACTATTAAGAGAAGATACATTTTTAAAGTCAGTGATTTACATTATTGCTAAAAATTGCAAAAGAAATTAATTCTTGAAATATAGAATTAGAAACAATGTTCTTTCTTTTAAAAATTTCCCAGAATTATAAGCCATATTATGCTATGTAAACATGTTTTTAATAAAGTAATTCTTACAATTTCCTCTCCTAAAGAAAAGTGACCTGGATTTGAAACTATTCAAGAGGAAGGCAAAACTGATCTAGGAAAATCAAAGCACTCAATAAAATGCTTTCTCAAGTTTGCTTTATTTTATATAAGCTTATGAGTATATATTAGAAGCAAGTCATAATACTTATTTAAGTTGTTTTAAAACTTACTTTTATTTCAATATTTGTCCTTAAATCTGTCAAAATAAATTAAAATATTTAGATTTTTAAATTTGAATGGTTGAATTGAATTTTGGTGTTAGTTATGCTATGTTACCAAATTTAGAAGAAATATATACCTGACTTTAAAGATAAGATGCTTCCAGAAATATATTTATAATAAAGACAATTGACAAATCTATTTGAGAAATTCATCAGGTTAGAAATAGAACTACAGATTACTTTCATTTGTGCATTACATTTTTATGAAATAGTACAAATTTATCGCAATAACTTTTTTTTTCTTTTACGAGCATTGCTTCTATGTTTTCTATGTTTGGTATTGGCAAAAATTTTACAAATACAAAGACAGGAATGGTAACTATGATCACAGAATATATGTATATGTTCTCTTTATTAAGGTCATTAATTATTCATTTTTAAACTAAGCTATTGCTGTATATTTGACTGATGATCAGCTGTAAAAGTGAATCTGCTTTACACAATTGTTACTTTTCAAGGTAATAGTCAATAATTCTATTAAAAATAACTTGATTTTTAAATGATTCCTAATTAGATTAAAATACTTTTTGCTATGCTAATTTTGTTTTCTTTTTCTCTTTATGTTACTATTTCAAAGAATGTCAAAACAAGAAGTTTTTGTATAGGTAACATAAAACACTATGGGCACATGGAAACTGGTAGAATGATGCATTATTTTGAAACATTCCTCCAGTTTTTCTCTTGATGATTTGAGTTACTTTGTTATTTTTCCTATTTAATCCTGTTCTAACATATCCAACATACCCATTTTCCACTTAATGGTCATCAAAGCCAGAATGCCAAAAAGCACCCAAATGAATGTTGGGATTATCCTAAATAACTACAGTGGTTTGTAGGTGGGTTGTAGAGGATAATTTTTATTTCCATGCATTCTCAGGAAAATAATTGGTGTCTTTCCCCCTGTTTATTCCTTTCTTGTCATTAGCATGATTTTATGTCCGAAAAGCTGCACAGAAAACTTAAAGATCATTCATGCCAACAAGATATCATCTTAATGTCTTCAAGATTTGAAGAATAACTAGGCATAACGATTAAAAATATTGAAAATAGTAGCAGGTAAAACAGAGATTAGTTCAATGAAAGCTTGGAAGCCTTAGGTAACTGTGTAATTTGAACCCAGATGAAATGTATGTATCGGTATTCCTTGTTTCAACAATAGTCTTCACATAAAGACCACCAGAAATGCACCTGCAGTGGAAAGTATTTGGGTTTATTCACTCAGTGCAACAAAGTAGGCCTCACACAAGGGGAATCATGGGTTGTCTCAAGTAACAAGGCTTTAGAAAGGACTTATGTAGTATCTGGGCTTATGTTAGGTGATTGTGGGAGGATTCAAGGAAGTTGAAGTTTGCTCTGAATTGTCAAGCAGTGTGGGTAATTTTATGATTGGGTATCTAAATTATTCTTGTCTAAAAGGCAAAAAGAATAGAGTAAGACTAATGGTTGTGATTGGCAAAGGTGAGACTCATGTTAGTCAGAATAAGGGGTTTGTGCACTTTATGTGGTGACTTCAGTTTTGTTTATGTTTTGACAAAATTAGGAAGTAGTTTTGTTTTCATCTACCGTCATTGTTGTGGGAATCAGGAGGGCCAGAGAGACCTTGGGGTGTATATAGGAGGAGCTTTATTGAGTGCACTCAGACCCAGCACACTTAACATCCAAAGACTGGGCCCAGAACAAAGACAGCACTTGACTTTTATACACACTTCAAAAAGGGGGTGGGCTAGCCTGAAACAAGTTTACAGTGGCACGAAAGTGAGGATACAAAGGCAGAACAAAGACAGTTAATCAAAATGTGACAGGTGCATAACTCAGGATTACACATGACCGTTGCTATGTAGCCCAGATGGCTGTTATCTAGGTTTGCCCTAGTGCCTAGCACAGCTTATGTCCGAAAAGCTGCACAGAAAACTTAAAGATCATTCATCCCAACAAGATATCATCTTAATGTCTTCAAGATTTGAAGAATAACTAGGCATAACGATTAAAAATATTGAAAATAGTAGCAGGTAAAACAGAGATTAGTTCAATGAAAGCTTGGAAGCCTTAGGTAACTGTAATTTGAAGGCCATGACCTTCACTATGGCCCCCAGGTGGCTGTAGTTCAGGCCTGCTCAGATGGCTTATGACCTTCACTCCACTGCTTAGATAAAACAGAATACATGAAGTTACTAGTTAGAGAGAACATGAATCTCTAACCTCATACCATAAGAGAGAGGAAAATTAGTTTTTCTCCTCCCTATGTTTAGGAAGTGCTGGGAGAGTCTTCAGGGCATATCAGAGATAGTTTATCAAGACTTTCCCTGGGTCTGGGCTGTGCCTGTTGCTGTCTCTGGAAAAAGTCAGGTTAATACAGGAAAGCTTATTTCTGTCTTTTTTTTAAAAATTTTTTCTTTCTTTCTTTAATTTCCCACCTTATCATAATCATCCAAGAGTGACCTTTCTAGGTAGTGGGGTTATGTGGGATTTTTTATATTCAACAAGACACCAAGGCCTAACTCTGATTGCCAGAGCAGCTTCCAGCTACATGGAGACCTACTTGAGAGTGCCAGGCCAGTCCTGATCTCAAACCTTGGGTTTCTGTTTTTCCCTTACTATTTTTTTTTCTTTCAGACAGGATGTCACTCTGTCACCCAGAGTGTGGAGGCACCATCTCTGCTCACTGCAAATTCTACCTCCCAGGATCAAGGGATCCTCCCACCTCAGCCTCCCAAGTAGCTGGGACCATAACCACGCACCACCACACCGGGCTAATTTTTTAATATTTTTTGTAGAAATGGGGTTTCACCATGTTGCCAAGGGTGGTATCAAAATCCTGAGATCTGCCTGCCTCAGAGTCCCATAGTGCTGGGATAATAGGTATGAGCCACCATGTCTGGCTTCACTCTAATTATCTAAATATATCTTATGATGACTTGAAAATGTTGTTATCAAAAACTCACTTTTCAAACTGAAAAGCTGGTTTAATAAATTTGTATATACATATAGATTATTTAAAGTCTTTAAAGTCCTGTGAGCCTGGCCAGGAAGTCCTTTGATCAATCATTTAGGCAGGTTTATCACTATCATCTTCCTCACCTTCCTAAATATTATTAGCAATTTCAATTTGTTTGGATGTTTATTTTGCTTTGTAAGTATTATTTACTTGACATATTACATTATTTACTGTGGTCAGGAATTAAATGGGCTGATGATACTCCATGGGATATACTCACGTAATGCACTAAGGGAGGTGGATGATACAGAGAACAAGAGAATGAAATGACATGCAAACTTCATAGAGGGCTAAAATTTCCAGGCACAGCAACCAGACTTCATTCTGTCTCTCAAGTTTTGTTTCATCTTCAAATCATGACCACTAAGATACATATAAAATATCAATACCTTGGTCCCTGGATATGAGTTTACTAAGGGCTCTTCTTACCACATTTATCGTGAAGCCTAAAACAAAGTTGTATGATGAGGTAAATTGGGTGCAGACATCAATCTATACTTTATCAATAACCAATAAAGGCCAGCTGATAAAGGAAACCTGCTGAGGAATTTCAGACTTTAAACGCAAAGTTATAGTCAAGAACATATATTTTATCTTTAGGTTTAAAAGTCAGTATCCCAGTTCTAAGCTACTATGGACAAGCTTTAAATTAACCCTTTGCTTATTCAGTTGTGTTTCCTTAACATACTATTTTATTGCTTATTTATATATTCTTTTAGTATAGAAGGTAAATGCAATTTTTTCCAATATTGTGCAAGATCATTGGATCCTTGATATATTGTCTTATAAATTTTAACTGTATTATGTGAAACCAAATTTCCCAATCAACTTCTGGAATGCAACTTAAACACAGGAAGATACTGTATAAATGTAGCAACCATCACATTGGATTATAACATGCTTAAAACATCTCTTTCTAATATGAGAAACTTGTTACTCCTGTACATAGGAAACAAAAGTGGTGGTTTCTATGGCAGGCTAGCCAGTTCATCTTCGCTGTCCGTTTCCTATGTTGCATAACTTATGCATTTCTAAGTTCAGAGTTAACTATATTTTTTCTACTTCCTGCCTGGGTGAATCATTTCTTGGTGCATGCAGCATTCTTTTTTCAGTCAATAAATATACGGAGTGCATTCTATATGTGTGCTGTGTGTGGTACCCACAGTGACCAAAACAGTAAAATAAAGTTTACATTTTTCTTA
The DNA here is from genome assembly GCF_000001405.40 of Homo sapiens. NCBI lineage: Eukaryota > Metazoa > Chordata > Mammalia > Primates > Hominidae > Homo > Homo sapiens. The sequence goes on along the minus strand of NC_000018.10, from coordinate 30,406,769 downwards.
AAGAACCAGGCACTATGCAAATAAATATAATAGAATGTTAGATAAAAATAAGGGCTAGGAGTGAAACGAGAATAAGAAGATATGTGTTATTTTCCACTCAGGGATCAAGAATAGCTTTTCTAAGAAATAGATATTTGAGCAGAGAGCTGAATAAAGAATCCATTGAATTCTGTCAGTTTTATTTGGCAGAAATTGTTTTTGGATATGTGGGCAATTCTTATCCTTAGTTTCTTCTGCCAAGGATGTATACATATTACATATACTTTTGTATGGACATTTTAACAAAACGCTGAGTGTATTGAGATATTAGAACTTGAACCTAAAGCATTATTTTAACCCAGAAGAATCTATCTTATTTATTAATAATGACAATTAATTTTTAAAAATTTTAAAGGATCTACCTTTCAAAATGACTCTAGTATGTTTATCTCATTAATATTAATTATATATAAAATCAGAAAAAAATTTAGAGTAGAAATACACTAATGATCTAAAAACCCCCAAAACATCTTTTACTTCCTGCATAATCTTTGTAGGTTATTATTTAAACATTGCCATTGATTTTCCAGGTTGTCTGTATTCTTAATATAATCATTTATTTCTGAATTAATTAGGCAAAATTAACTTGGAAATGAAAGAGTTCTGCATAAACATCATGAAACACTCACTATTCATTTTCCTTGGGAGAAATAGGATATGAAGCTGCTGAAAACAAAATCTACCACAGTTTATGTGTGAAAAATCCTTTGTATTTTAAATTTTGAAAAGCCTATTTCTACTCTGTTGTGGTCAGTCAGACCTATTTAATTTAGATTTTAGGAATACATAAACATTTAGGCATCATATGAAAATATTTCTGGCCCTTAAATTCACAATTTTATCTCCTGCCCCAAATCATTTAAGTGTGTTGGTCTTAAAAATTATGAATTATTTAAGTTAATTTAACCCACATCCAATTGTATTTTAATAAACATTTAATCTAAAACTGTGACCAGCTTGAATTTGAACATCACTCAACATAATTTCATTCTGAAATAATATTTTGTGTAAATGAAAAAGTGGATATTTAAACTCCTCAAAATATTCCCCAGGGCGTCAGACTATTTCTAACATCTCTCACATCATGCCTGCACCTACATCAGGATAACTAAATAAATAAAGAAAAAAAGAAAATGTTTTCTAATAAAGATTAAGTAATGATGAGAACAATTTTTATTTTGTTGTTAATTTGGTTTGGATAAAAATTGCCTATGGTAAAATGTGTCTTTAAAGTAATGAGAACTTTAATATTCATCACTGAATATGGTAAATGCTTTTAGGAAAGAAGCATTCAACCATATATATTTATGAAATGTTAACTTTCTGTCTGCTGAATTTGAAGGAAAAATAAGTTTGTTGATAGAATAAGGAAGCTAAGTGAGGTCAGACATTTTAGCCAAGGTTTCACTGCAAGTAAATCACAGAGCTTGGGACTCAAGTCTTCTGTCTACCAGCCTAGGGCTTCTGCACTATTAACATCCCACCTCGCACAAGTCAAGAACAGTATCAAAAGAGGAGCTTGACACAGCACTTACAGTTCATCTCACTTGCTAATTTTAGTCATTACTTTGATAAGGTTGAATACCTGCACCCTCCCAGCTTTTATCTAATTGTAATCAAGACCTCTTAAAATTTTTTTCAGGAGCTTTTTAGAATAATAGGTCAACAAAGGAATTTATGCTCTTAGATTTTATATAAGGTAACCTTTTATGATTTTCTAATAAAAATTAAAGTAGTTGTGTTATTTAATTATGAAATATGTAACCTCATTTTAGCTTTCTGTATCAGGCAAGTATTGAAGCTGACACTTCAATTGAGTTTACCCAAGGGTTCATAAGCTTGGAGAGTTAAACGCAAGCAGCTATCAAAGCACAGGCATCATCACAAACTCCCCATACCTAATTACTACAAGTGAAAAGTTTCCTCCTGAGAGAGACCACTTTCATTCCAAATCTGACAGGTAGAAATTAGTTGCCTAATGGAATGGAATAGTTCTGCAAATTGAAGGAATTAAGTGTGCTTTTTAAATTTAAACTCCGTCTAAATTAGATTTTAATTTGGATCTAAATGTGAAGAGGCTGATGGCATGAAGCAGCTTTGGCTGGCCCAGAGCCAATTATTTTCTATTGCCCTGCTCCATATACAGTGTGTCTCCTTTATAGCCACCAGCCATTATGGGACAGAAAAACTGCCATGCCTTAATCAAGGGGAGTTTTCCTGAGACCAGTGTATCACTTGGGGACATTGCTAAGTGGTTTGCTTCTCTCCCTATGTCAGAGGGACATTAAACATTGAACAAAGGATGTGTTTGTATGTGGATGTGAATGCTTGTTTCTAATAAATATTGTTGAAAAAAAGAGTGAGGAATAAAGTATTGCCACATCAGAAGGAGAAAACAAAAAGAGATCATTGACACATCCCTGGTTCAATTATAGAGTCATCCTTCTCCTGAACAATAAAACATCTCCATTAAAGAGATCAATACGGAGATTGTTTCTTATAATAAGTGATACACTAGTAGAACAAAATGACTGGTAGAAGACTCTGAAACACATCCACTTCATTCAATTAACATAAATATACTGAGTGTGGCTAATGGTCCCCAAAGGGCATCTGTGGATGTTATCGGGTTGTAGATGAGTTGAGAAATTCAGCTTTTTACTCAAAATAAATATATAGACTAATTATATTTGAAGATATGTCACATTAAACTCTAGTAGGAATGAGCTTCTCTAACTTTTCTTAACCTTCAGATAGTCATAAAACCAATCAATAAGTCTTTAACATTTAAATATGCATGCAATGATAATGGTGATGGTATTATATGCCAATATTGGTGTATGGAGTCCAATTTATGAAATAGTGACAGGAAGGGGAACCTTGTGTTAAGGTATAGAAGAACAGGTAAAGGTATTGCACATGTAATGATCACAAAATAATTGCCTTTTGGGGAATAGTGCTGAGAAAACATTTATCATTCAAACTACAAAATATTCTTCATTTGTCACTAAAAGCCAAGCCAGCCTATTGCTTCTATTTCACTAATGACCAACAACTGTGTTATTCCTTGGTCACAGATAATATTCAGAACATTCTTTAGGAGGGAAAGAACCTCTTTAATAGCCAGCATTAACATTGGCTTGGTGGAAGACGTGGATAATGGGGAAAAGCACAAGAAAAAACTGGAAATTCAACAAAAGTGCTCTGCTCAAATAAGAGTTTCAATAAAAAACAGATAGATGACTCAGCGCTAGCGTCTCTTTGGGTAGGAAGTATTTACTGATATTGTTAAAATACCATTTCTTAACTATAATTGAAATGGCAAGATTTAGGGAAAAGTTAACTTTAAAGGCTTATATATCTATGCACTCTCTTATTTATTCATTGATTTGAATGATATTATTTATTTTATAAAGATATATTAAATAGCCCTAGTATCACCAAATGAAATATAAAAACAAATGATGGAATTATATTTTTAATAATGGTAGGTTGAGTTACTTAGACTAATCCCTTCCCTGAAAACCAAATGCTGAGAAAAACATATTTTCATTAAATATCAAATTAATCACAACGAAGAGCTGACAAGATTGTGGAGAACTCTGGGACCCAGTGTTGGAATAGGTCTAAATCTAGTCAAGTAAATACAGCGCCAGGCACCTATGTCACTTTTGGCCTGAGGCCATTTACAGGTAAAGGGAAATGTCAGTGTGTCTGGGTGCATATGTGTGTATTTCACAGGTTGAGAAGGTGAGAAATGAAGGTTAAATGCTAACACAAGGAGGGAGTTTGACAAAAATATTTTCTGTATTGAGTTAAGATCTCAAAGGCCTATAGACTCATAAGAAGTATGAACCTGATATACATCTGACGACATGCACCTTGACTGCAACAGTCTATGCAGAAGGGCTTCCAGTCATGTATGTTGTTTGTTCATTTTGTTTTGCATTGTTTTGTTTTGTGTAATTGTTTTTCTTTTGGCATTAAATGGACCAGAGATGTAATAGTAAAGATAAAAACAAAGTCCCAGCGATGTTGCAACCCTGTGATGTTTGTGGCCAGACTTGGTTTCAGGTTGCCCTCAATAGATTTGGTGCATAGTTGCATGGAAGAATCAAACATAAATCTCCCTCAGATGAAAGTTTGTTGTTGTTGTTGTTGTTGTTTTTGTTTTTTGTTTTTTTTTTTTGAGATGGAGTTTCACTCTTGTTGCCCATGCTGGAATGCAATGGTGCGATCTCAGCTCACTGCAACCTCCACCTCCCGGGTTCAAGCGATTCTCCTGCCTCAGCCTCCCACATAACTGGGACTGTAGGCATGAGCCACCACGCCTGGCTAATTTTGTACTTTTAGTAGAGACGGGGTTTCTCTATGTTGGTCAGGCTGGTCTCAAACTTTCGACCTCAAGTGATCCGTCTGCCTTGACCTCCCAAAAGGCTGGGATTATAGGTGTGAAACACCACGCCCCACCAGATGAAGGTTTTTTATCCTAGGCCCAGGGAATTCCTGCAAATAAGCTTTAAGGTTAGTGACTCACACCAGCATTCTGTAGAAAACCCACTAGTGAAATGGAGCAGAAGCAAGAGATACTTGCTAATGGGTTCAACCTAGTCTGCTGTCTTTTCTGGAAGCAAACATTCTCAAATACAAGCTTAATATAGAATTTCATCAAGAGAAGGGAGAAGAATGGAACAAAGAAAATATTTGAAAGATAAAAGCTGGTTCCAAAACAGATCACAGATGCTATTTAAAGAATGGCTTAAGTAAGAATAGCTTCCTAGAATAAATAAAAATGTCTTATATCGAAAGAGAGGTCAGTGAAACTGCAGAGAGCTTAAGAGAAAGTATTTTTTTTAAAAGGAAGACAGAGAAAAAAGTTAAAGGGCTAACTCTAGAACATGCAAAGAACTCCTTAAACTGAATTAAAAAACAGACTAATAGAAAATGGTAAAGACTTGCAAAATTTGCCCAGACACACCTCTAAAGAGACAAGCCAAGTGACAAATCACATTAGGAGTAAGGGAGAACAAATAAAGCCTGATGGGGATACTAACAAAGCGACAAAACGTAATATTTTACACTATTTTTGGCAACTGGAACTCTCAGGGCTGGTGAGAATATAATTGGATACTATATCATTATAAAATAGTTTATCATTATCTACTAAAATTGGATATACAGGTACCTCAGGAACATCCATTTCAATCCTAATTAGGACTGTGTTGCTGAATGATGAAGACAGATTTTGAGAAATGTGTCATTAGGCAATTTTGTGGTTGTGCAAACATCAGAGTGTACTTACACAAACCTAGGCGGTATAGCCCACGACATACCTAGTATTCATGGTGTAGCCTACTGCTCCCAGGTTATAAACCTGTGCTGCATTTGACTGTACTGAATATCGGAGGCAATTGTAACACAATGGTAAGTAGTTGCTCATCTAATGTATCTAAACATATAAAAGATACAGTAAAAACACTGTATAAAAGGTAAAAATGGCACAGCTTTACAAATGAAGCTTGCAGGGCTAGAAGCTGCTCTAGGGGACTCAATGAGTGAATGGTGAGTGAATGGGAAGGCCTAAGACATTAGCGTACTCTACAGTAGATTTTATAAACACTGTACGCTTAGGCTCCATCCACTACATTTATAAAAGTTTTCTTTCTTTGATAATTAATTAACAGTTTAACTTTTTTACTTTATAAACTTTTTAATTTTTTAAGCTTTTTGATTCTTTTAAGTAATACTTAGCTTAAAACAAATTGTACAGCTGTACAAAAATAGGTAGGTTTTTATTCTTACTCTATAACATTTTCTTTATTATTTATTTAATTTTTAATTTTATGTTTTACTTTTTAATTTTTTTAAACAAAGACACAAATATACCCTTTAGTATAGATGCACATATGGTCAGGATCATCAGTATCCCTGTCTTCCACCTCCACATCTTGTCCCACTGGAAGGTTTTCAGGGGCAATAACACACATGGAGCTCTCGTCTTCAACGATAGCAATGTCGTCTGGAATACCTCCTGAAAGACCTGCCTAAGGCTGTTTTACAGTTAATTCTTTTAATAAGTAGAAGGGGTACACTCTAATGTAACGATAAGATATAATAAACACATAAACCAGAAAAGTAGTCATTTGTTATTATTATCAAGCATGATGTATTGTACATAATTATATGTGCCATACAGAAATTTTACAAGCACTTAAGTAATGTGTTATGCTAAAATGTTATGATGACTACAATGCCATTAGGCAATAGGAGTTTTTAGCTCCATTAAAATCTTATGAAACCATTGTCATCTATGTGGTTCATCACTGACTGAAACATCATTACGTGGCACGTGAGTGTAGACGGTAATGGAATGTGTGCACAAGAACACCAGGATAAATAGGAAAGAATGTTCATAGCAGCATTGTTCTCAAGATCTCAAACTAGAAATATCCAAGGGTCCATCAACTGTAGAAGGGATAAAGATTGTGTTCCAATAATGCAAATTAAGAATGCTATAAAAATCAATGGATTATGGCTGAACAATAAAAGAATAGGGCCAGGTGTGATGGCTCACACTTGTAAGCTCAGCACTTTGGGAGCCCAAGGTGGGAGAATCACTTGAGGCCAGAAGGTTGAAGCTGCAGTGAGCCTCAGTGATCATGCCAGTGAACTCCAGCCCAGGCAATAGAATGAGACCCTGTCTCATAAAAAAAAAAATGAACAAAACAAACAAAAAAAGATGATTTTTACAAACATAATATGGAGTGAAGGAAACAAAATTTAAAAAGTATATTAAGTGTGTTTCATTCATATAAAGTTAAACTAAATTATAGATGGTTGAATTCCATTAAGTAAAAAATTTTTCAAAGCAAAGAAATTATTATCAGCATTATTGTTATCTCAGTCCTTTTCTATTCACAACCAGTTCCTTCCCTCCTTTTGTATCCTCTGTGAAAAATAGCCAAGATTCAAGTTTTCTTCAGTTGTGGGATTCTTTGCAACAGAAGAGTTTAAACCACTTGCTCAAAATAATGATTATCAGGACAGGTAACAGCTCTTCAGTGAATAATTTCTTTTTTTTTTTTAATTGAAAGATGTGGACACCCTCTTTTAAAAAGATGTGTAAACCTTTAAGTAAAAACAAAAAAAAAATGTTTTCCTTAAAATATCTGGGCACCCTGTGTCCCATTCACATTGACATATGTGACTCAGACACAGGCTGTCCAGATATTTGGTTAAAGGTGCTTCTGCTAGAGTGTTTTCAGATTAGACTAACTCTTAAATTGGTAGATTTTAACATTAGCATTTTAATCAGTAGTGTAAAGCAGACTTCCTTCCACAATGTGGATGGGACTCATCCATTCTGCTGAAAAGGCTGTAATAGACAAAAAGAAAAAAACATTGTCCTCTGGGAAGAGAGAATATTTCCCAGGTGACTGCCTTCAGACTTCATCTGCAACACTAGCTCTTATGCCTGAGGGCCTTCGAACTGGGGTATGAGCTCTCTCCCTGGGCCTCTCACACCCCTAGCCCATCCTGCAGATTTTGGTCTTGCCAGCTTCCATAATCACATGAGCCAATTTCTTATACTAAATCAATCTTTCTCTCTCTCTCTCTCTTTCCAAGTACATACATATATATTAATGGTTATGTTGCTCTGGAAAACCTTGACTAATAAATATTGTGATATCAGCAGTGGCTCTATAGGAAAATACAAAAGACAATTTTTAAACATTGGTTTTGAGTTTTCTGGATGAGATTTAAAGACACTAATGACTTTTATTTCCACTAACAACTCTTATTTCTAGTAGGAAAGCAAGCACTGACAGTCCACAAAATGACCTGGCAATAGAGATACACAGAATGTCACCATTGGATACTCTTAATGAAACACTTATAAGAAGCAAAGATGTAGGTGACCATGTGTATGATACTTTCTAACATTTTTTTCAAACTGAGTATAATGAGATTGGCTTGGTGCTCTCAATATGTTTGGACAACGTGGGGTAAAAAGATAAACTCAGGGATTGAAATTCTTAGCTCAAGTACCACATAAATGACCTGAAAGCTTTCATGTCTGTCTGTGAAAGACCTTTATCCTCTTTAGCCACAGGCCTGAGATTGCTGAAAACTAAATTCAGGATCTCATCTAGCAACTGGTTGAATTGCAGTGAAAATGGAATCTCCAGCCTTGTAAGATATCTATTGTTAAAGTGAAGGCATTGATTGGAAAGAAATTGAATCCTAAAAGTTGAAATGGGGAATGGCGAATGACCCTGATGGAGCTGGGGACATTGAGCTCCCACATTCTAATGAATCTCCTTTGCTAGTAGAAGTGGGCTTTCTTCCCCTTGCAAAAGAACCCTCATGATCCCTAGTAAAAATGGTCTTTCCACCCCAGTCTAAGAGAATTAACTTTGCATTGCCTAAGGGAACTGAAATGGCCTCCATGCTGGCAAGTTTTATTTGAAGGCAATGCTGAGTTTCCTCAAGACCCAACTCCCACCTCCCTTCTTTGCTCCTAATCTTATAACTAGGCTCATGTTCCAATAGGCCCATACAGATGAGGTACAAAGTATGATCCATGAGGTGATGCACTATGCCTCAAAAGACCTACTTGAGTTTTCTAATTTATACCCACAGAATTCTAGGCAATATATGTGAGAATAAATATAAAGGATGTGGTATAATTGTGGAAAAAATGTAAAGTTGGATCAGGCTGAATATACTGACATGGGCTTACTAAGCAGGGATTCTGCATTTAATGTGGCAGCTCAGGGAGTTAGCAGGGGCTCTAACAGTTTGTTTGGTTAACTAAAACATGGACCAAAAGCTAACCCACAGTGAGTGAATTAGAAATGCCAGGCCTGTATTAGTTTATCGTAGAGGAAAGATTTGAAGCCTTAGGGGGACTTGACTTAGAGTGGCTTTGCATTTGAGACCTACGTACATTTGGGGAAGGTCTAGAAGACACACCTTTCACCACAACTGTGGAAAATAAGTTTGTAAGGGGAGCCCCAGCATCTTTTGTGAGCTCTGGCATCACTATTCTGTGGAGACCAGACCTTGCAGTGGGGTACTGTGGCTGCTGAATAGGAAAACCTAAAAGCAATGGGGAGGGGCCAAGTGGTGGTTCTCAACTACCAATGGCAAGGTGGGCATGGATTCCATAATGGACAGTAGATTCAAAGCAGCAATAAGAATAGCCTGACCTATACAGACCCCCAGTATTGGCTAGTTGATCATGGTGTTTCTAGAACTGAAATAGATACAAAGTCTATCACACTCTACTTGATTTGTACAAGCAGAAATATAGATAAAGTGAACAAAAGACTAATCTGAATCATAAAATAGTCATAGCCATTTAATCAATTCCCAAACTTGAGCCGGTTTATAGATCTAATACTTCTTGAATGAAAGGAAGGCTGGGTCTCTTTTAAGGAGGATCCTGTTATGCTGTCCAACATTTATACTGATAATCATTTCCTAACCTTCCTCAGAGGGACCTACAGTATTTTACCAGGGTAATGGTGCACTGAGGAAAAGGAAACGGTTGGACCTCTTGGGGACTGCTGGATATTGGCTCTGTATTGATGTTAATTCCGCAAGACTCAAAATATCACTGTGATCTACCAGTCAGAGTAGGGACTTGTGGGGGTCAGCTGGTCAATGGAGTTTTAGGTCAGCCTCTTACAGTGGTCCCAGTGGATCGCAGAACCCATTTTGTGCTTATTTCCCCAGTTCCAATGCACAATTAGAATAGACAATATTCAGCACCTGGCAGAATCCTCATATTAATTCTTTGATACTTGGAGTAAGGTTATTATTGTGAGAAAGGCCAAGTGTAAGCCACTAGAACTGCCTCTACCTAGGAAAATAATCAACCAACAGCAATACCACGTTTCTGGAAGAATTGTGGAGATAAGTGCCAACATCAAGGACTTAAAAGATAAAGGGGTAGTGATTCCTTCCACATCCCCATTCAATTCTCCTATTTGGCCTGTGTAGAAGACAGATTAATTTTGGAGAATGTCAGTGGGTTATTGTAAGCTTAACTAGGTGGGACTTTAACTGCAGCTGCTGTACCAGGTGTGGTTTTATTGCTTGAGCAAATTAACACATCCCCTGGTATTTGGAATGTGGCTATTTATTTGGCAAATATATAATAATAGAAGAATGACTACTTTCCAAGGCTTCTCTGTAACTGGAAGAATGGATGAGGGCAGACATTGATATCTCATTTATTTGTAGCTCCCTGGAGATAGATGGGACACTAAAGATGATGGTTTTGCTGATAACCATAAATGAACTGTTAACTCTCCCTTGGAAATACTAGAAAAGTTCCAATGGCTTAGTTTGGGGAAGAGTGAACATGCTGCCACCATGTTTCTGAGAGTGAACCAACAAGAACATTCTAATGAAAATCACAATTGACAGGCACAGAAAAACCTTCCTAAGCAATGCCTCATCTCATCTTTTCACCTCTGCCCTCTAATAAAGAGATACCTTCTCAAATAACTAAAATTAGATATTAACTTATGTAGGCAAATAAGGGCTAACTCAGATTTAATTTAAGGAAAAAGAAAAGAATATTAACCATTCATTCATCCAAGTGAAATGGAATTGTTTATCCTTTTTAGACAAAACAAGGAGGAAGAGAAGCCATACTTATTTAACTTTTAAATCACTCAAGTCATGCAATAGCATGGGTTTTTTAAAATCAGTAAAGTGATACTTGTTAATGCAAATTATATCTATGGCTAATAAAAGTGCCATTTACATATAAACCATTCATATTCCCTATACATAATATAGTCAGTAAAATGGTAATATAAATGAAAGTAGTAGTAAAGCAAACACAACCAGGTGAGTAGTAACCTGTAAATTTTTAAAAACTGTAAAATGTTTAGTTCTACTGTAAATACTTACAGAGTTTTTAATTTAAGCTGACATTTAGAGGTTCCTCACCATGATTCAGCCTGGCTGTGGACATTTTGAAGCTTTCTTGTCACTTGCTACTTTTCTAGAATGTTCTTTCTTAATGCCGTTATTTAGCATTAAGACCTCAACCCAAATATCATTGAAAGTATTTCTATTGTAGCCTGCTTCCTAGAACCCCTTTAAATGGTTAGGTGTTTTCTCCTATCTTTATTCATTCATTGAAAATGTATTGACAACCTACTATATTTTTATATTGGTCATAGACTTACAAAGACAAGCAACAACAAAATCTCTAAAAATTGTTACTGTCCAGTGAAGGACACAATATAGAGAAAATATTGGAGTAAGGAACTACAGGGATATTTGTATAATATTTATAATGTGTCATGACCGTCTTCTACAGCATCTTCTATAGGACAAGACCTGTATCATATTCATTTCCTAATATTTTACTGCATTACATATATATAATGCTTAGCAAATTAAGATAAAAGAGTGAATGAATAAAAACACTTTATTTTAACCTGATAAAACCCATCACCACAGAAAAAGTGATGGTGATTAAAGTAGTATTTAACAGAAAATTTCTACATCTGGAATGATTGAAAACTCAAGTTGCTGCCAACAGTGATCTGTTTCCATAGTGACTTTCCTATTATAGGTGCCATTTTTCATTGTAGAGTTATTTTTCCCCACTTTATTTCTTCAACTCTTCTTGAAAGTCACCATTTATCAGACATTTGGGATTCACCTGTTTTTCACAACAGGAAATCCACCTCTCAACATGGAAATTTGCTGGAGCAGTTATCATAATGGAGTTGGATTTACTACAGAATTCAAATCATCCTAAGCAAGTGTGATAACATCGGTATTAAAATTCTGAGGTTGAATTTCCATTGACAAATTGCTTCATCAGTAACAAACATACTAAAATGCATTGTAATATTTTATGTCAGGGTAAAATTATAATGTCATTACTCTACTCTTTCTACTTTTTCCTGTTTCATTATTGCATATTTTTAAAAATAAGTAACATATGCCTAATTATTTAAAAATTCAGGCATTTCAGGAAGTTATAAAGAGAGGTATTAAAATTACTTTGTCTTCCAGCAGAAAAATCACTACTGAAATATTTTCATAAATATATTTCAAAAATGGGGACTTACCTTGTGCAATTTTGTAGACTATTTCTATCCATTAACATTATAATCTCAGCATCTCTCTAGGTCATTAAACATTCTTGAAAAAAATTATTTAAATATTTGTACCAGAACCTCTCCTGCCCTCACTTCCCTGGCAGCTCCCAACTCCACTCATCTTTCCTAGGCAGGATACTCTCAAGGAGCTCCCACTATGGTGTTAAAAATTGCATTACAAACATTTTAATTTATGAATATTTAGTAGCCTGTTATGGGAAGCCTAGATGACATCCTTATTTGAAGTAATACACCTTCGAATGAATATATAAATTTTTGTTTACATGGCTGGTTATTTCTTTAGAATGGTGTTATTCAGATGGAACATATCGTTAAAGCTTTTGATATATATTACTAGAGTTCATAAAGTTTAGATAAATTCACATGCTTTTCAGAGTATACAACAACACCAGTCCCAAAGTATATTTGCCAGTGCTGGGCATTATTATTTTTCCAGATATTTGCTAATTGATGGTTTTAAAATGTTACCACATTGTTGTAATCATTATTTTTTATGTTATTAGTCAGTTTGCATTATATATAAGTTATATATATATATATGTTATATATGTGTGTGTGTATATATATATATATATATGGTCCCTTTTAAATGCATGCGTATAAATGGTCTGTTTACTTTGTACGATTGCTTACTGGTTTGTTTCATTATTGGTTTATAAGGGATTTTAAAAATATATTAAAAATATCACTGTGAATATAATATTTGATATAACCATTTTCTAGTTCTTCTTATTTAAATTTTATTTGTTGTTTACTCCATTTTGTTTTTATTTATATTTTTATCTCCTATGCTTATTGTAGCCTTATTATATTTTTTACTCTAAAAGTAATAAATGTTCATTGGAAAGCCTTGAGGAAAAAAAACTCGAGTATAATAAGTAAAAATAAGTTTATTCAATCTTAATACAAAGAGAATAAGATTGCTAACAGTTTAGTGCTTTACTGCCTTGGATATAAGCCACGAGTTCCAAGCTTGCCTGATCATAAGAAGTAATTAATATGTTCATTTAAAATTCATATTTCCAGACCTTTTTCCAGAATTTCTCATTAATAGTTTTGTGTGAAACCTCTCCATCTGTATTTTATAATATATTTTTTTTCATTTGTATTTTAAATGCCTAGCTATTCAGGGGATTCTTTTGAGGAGACACTAAGGAGAAAAAGATATAAAGATATACACAATCAGTCAATCTGATGGATGAAAAAATGTATTTTACTTTTGTTGTAATTTTTAAATTATCATAAGGTTGTAAATCTTTAAAATATGTACTGTCAGAATTATTTCTTTGTAAATTACTTCTTCCTTTCTCTTTTTTAATTTTAGAAGGTTTGTTATTGAGTTATGAGAATTCACTAAATGATAAATGTAAATACTTATATTCTGATACATAAATATATTTGTAAGCATAATAAAATATTTACTGTTTAGTATATATATATTTGAAATGTATGTGTGATAATGTTTTTCCATATTATAAACTTTGTGTTTAAAACCATCTATTTTTTCTCTTAAAATTTTAATCTTTAATAATATTATTAGAAGTTCTTATTTTCTAACTTCCCTCCTTCCACACTAAGTTAGATGAATATTAACTTTTAATTTTGTCTGTACCTTAAAAGTATTTCTGGGATTTATGTTTCTGCTGTGCTGTAGGTATATAATACAAAAATACTCCTTAGGAATTACATTTTTCCAACACGATTTTATTGTGTAGTCTATACTTTCCCACCTGTATCATATAATACACTTTTACACACATACACACACATAGTATATTAGGGCTTCCTATTATTACCTCATCATTCATCTGGTCTTGTCTCCGTGCCACATTTCTTTAATTTTTCTATCTTGATGCAGTCAAATCTATGACGGCAAGTTTGGCATTCCATTCTTCTTTTCCTTGATTTTAATTGTATTTTTTACTAATAATTTTCTCAAATTGGATTCATGGTTTCGTAGGGTTATTTTAGAAGGATTTGTATCTTTACAATATTGAGTTTCCTTTCAAAGACCACGATCTCTTCCTTTCTCCTGCAAACTTTGGATAAATTTTAAGACCGATGCACTTGAAAATAAATCCCAATTGCTTAATATGCTATGTTTTCTCCACAGAAATTGTCCTTCTGATAATCTATTCATCCACAAGAATTTGGGCAAAACCCAAAAGTGTCCTCAAGAAAGCAAAAATCAAGATTCGTTAGACAAGATTTTTTAAACAAACAAATCCAAGACCAGATACTTTCTAGGGTCTTTGATGACACACCTTTACAAACTAAAGAGCTGAGTCAGTATTGACTTCGTAACTCTGAAGACATTTTTCCAAGTCCCAAATAAACTGTAACTTTGATGACATCAGAACTCATGAAAAAATAATAAATAAATCAAAACCCTTCACCACCATGTTCTAAATGAAAGACAACATCTAACATGAATCTATAGGACAAAAACCAAAAACAAAATTAAAAAATTATGTCACGTCATGAAGTCAACACAGCCAGATTTGCTCTAGGCTATATATTAGATGGGTGCAAAAGTAATTGCAGTTAAAAGACATGTTTAAAAATAAAGGCATGAAAGAAAAAAAACAAGATTAAAGAAAAAGAAGTAACATCTAAAGAATTAAGGTTTAAAAATCGTGAAACTCACTGAAAAGAAATATCGATTGGCTACTCTTATCAAAATAATTCCAAAATTACTCACAGGGACAAGTATGCCTAGCTATGTGAAACTTTGAGGAATGGTGCAGTGGGGAGGAAATGCTAAGACTGCTATAGTTGATGGCCTTTCCAAACTTGGGGTTGACCTCCTCCATTGCAAAGCATGCAAGTGTTTCCAGGTTTTCTCACCTGGGAAACCTATGCCCATCTTTTCTGAATCTCTGACAAGTTACCTCACAAATAGCATACTCCCTCTCTTATGCTAATCATGTACTTCTATTCCCTGCTCCTTTGAGAAGGCTTGATATATTGCCCTCAAAGAGTCCAGATCTTTGAGAATAGCATGTTTCCTATTCCCTTGAGAGCCTCAAACCTGACGAAATGAGAGAGTTCCCTGACCCCCCTTGCAGGACATGAAACAGGGGTGTGGCTCACCTGTTCAGTTGCTGCCACTGCTCAACCCCTGATGGGAGGGGGGGGCACCTGTAGACGGGCAGGTGCACAAGCCAGGGCAGGTGATTTGGGCTCTGGCCCTGCGTTAGTGTCTAGGGGTGGGTACCTGTGGCCCCAGTGCTACAATGCTCTTTTAGCCTTGCTGTCCACAGATGGTTTGAGTGTTAACCAGCTCAATGGACTCTCTACCTTTTCATAAGGGCAGAGTGCCAGTGTGACAACTTTCTGTACCTCAAGCTCTTTCCCAGAGTACTGGAAGAAGAATCTGGTCACACACGGGCTTGAAGGATGAATGTGGGGTTTTAACTGAGTGGTGATGGTGGCTCTCAGCCAGACGGATGGGGAACTAGAAGGCGGATGGAGTGGGAAGATGATCTTCCCCTGGAGTTAGGCCATCCAAAGGCTGAACTCCCCTCCGCCCACCCCCAACTGAACCCTTCTGGCATTCAGTTGTTCCCTCTCTTCTTTCTTTCTCTCGAGCTACCCTCTTCCACTGTTCATCTGCTTGTCTCCTTGTCTCCTCCTCTCCTTGTCTGCCTTTGGAGCCTGGAGTTTCGGGTTTATATGGGTACAAGATGGGGCGTGGTGGGCCAAAAGGCAACATTTGAGGTGTGAAAACAAGAATGCCTGTCCCAATTTAGGACCACAGGTCCAGGGTGGGGCCTTTACTGGGAACCACCCTCTTCTATCCAGTATTTCTATCTCTTGTCCATATTGCTGGAACATATAGGATATTTCAACTCTCCAAACATGGGTAGACAAAAAAAGCTATTCATTTCTGATGAACCTATATGTTGAACAAATCATATGTGAGGATTACATAATTTAACAAGTAATGAGTGTATAGATTGGTATTTGAGAGGTAAATAAGTATTAGTTGTTAATATTCATATTGATGATGGAAAGATGTCTAAGAAAACAAGACAGATAAGCAAAAATAAATTTATAAGTGTGAATTGCTTAATTTTTTGGAAGCTTTCAATATTGGTATTTTACATGCCACCCCTTCAATTCTTTCTAATAAAACATAGTGAAGTCAGTTTTAATTAGGCTATATTATCATTTATGTCTCAGTGATAACCAAGAATGAATTGTATGTAATTATTCTATTAATCAACAGTATGCTCACAGAAATTGATGTTATATCTATAAATGTGTTTTGACTTGTTTTTCCTGTTTTTGTTACAAAGAAAATTAATAAATATGCTTCCAAAAGACCTGGAGTTCAAAGGTTATTTTACAAGCAAAACTTATAAATTAGTCTTTAAAACATAGCTTAATATTATAGAAACTCAAGAAAAACAAAATTTCCAAAGTAAACAGCATATAATCACATGTTAAATCTGACTCATAATTCAATTATTTTATCTTTTAGATATATTGTGCTGTTCATTTTCACAAAGTTTAATTACTAAGATGTTTAAAATAATATAAAACCAGAAATTCTAAATTTAGGGTGGAATTTTCTAAATATTCCTCAGTGAGAAGCTGTTTCTCTTATTTCTACTTTCTTTTTCTGTTAAATGAGAGATATTACAATATTTATATTTTGCTGACATGTAAATATCAATATAATAAGATGGAGACTATTGAGTTCACCAAATGTTAGAGATATTGTTGTATTCTCTCAAAAGCAATAGCTTGGTAAGAGGCTTGGAATGAAAGGTAAGATCTCAAGGTAGAAGCCAAAAATGGAACAACTATCATATGATTTCTTTTCCTGTACTGTGCATTAAAGTTTTGAAATGGTTATAAATATTCAGAATCGCTGTTTTTCTTGTTATTCTGCAGACTGTCACAAGGCTTGCTATCTTCCTTCCTTCAGGTTCAAAATCATAAGGTTTTTTTTTGTTCCACCATCAAAAATAACTCCTTCCATCAGTCATTCATTCTCTAACACATTATCCTAATTTATATTTCTTTCTTGTACTTTTCATTATCTAAAACCATACATTGCATTCACTTGTTCATTCAGTATTTCACCTGCTAGTGTATAATCTCTATTATTTTTTTTCTTCATTTCTGAATTCCCTGTGCATCCAATAGTGATTGAGAGCACAGATTTTAGAGTCAAATAGCCTGGGTTTGAAACAAGTGCCACAACTTAAAGCCATGCAAATACATTCGATGCCCCAGTTTCTAATTTTTAAAATGAAGATTATAATGCCCATGTCTCACAGGCTTATGTTGATGACTACGTGACATCCTGAAATAGTACTTGGCACTTTTTTAGCACTATTTAAATGGTTTGCAATTATTTTATTTCCTCCTTATTTCCCTCTCTTCCATCTTTCTTCCTCCTCCTTTTTTCCTCTTTCCCCTTCCTGTGTCTCTTGTCCCTTCATTTCTTCCATAAAACAGATTTACATATGTTCTGCTTTTATTTTCCCATTGGGCCCATGTTTCCTATCGGCAAGGATTTCTAAGCTTCACCTTTCCTTATGAAGTAAAAGTCAGTGATCATTAAACCAACCGCCACATACTCCTAAAATCCATTCTCTGATTTTTAAAATTTTCCACAAGTTGTTTAAATAATATTGTTCATGGAATATTATAAAATCTTGAAATTTTAACACAAAGTTGTTTCAGTACACTTTAGATGTATCCATTGGAATCTAGATATCACAGCATTTTGTCATCTATGTTCATCAAGAATATTAGCCTGTAATTTTCTTTTCTTGTAATGTCCTTGTTTGGCTTTGACATCAGTGTAATACCGGCCTTAAAAAATGAATTTGGAAGTATTCCTTGTACTTCAGTTTTTTGAAGAGTTTGAGCATTCTTGATATTCAACATTATTTAAGAATAGAAAAATAACTCATCTTTATCAATTAGAACTTTTAGAAAAGTGTTTCTTTAAACTCCAATTTCCATTTCAATTCTTCCACACAATTTTATTATAATGTAATATATTTTATGCTTGAATTTGTTTATTTTTTACTCTACCAAACTTCTTTATAACAATATGTTTATACATTGAAATCATTTCATGGTCTATGTCCTAAAATTTGTTCTGAATTGAGTTTTCATTATAGTGTTTATTAGTATACAACCGATCAAAACAATAGGATATGTTACAAAATTTTATGAGTAATAACTAAACGTAAAATTTCAGAATTAGACCTCCTAATAAGATGTAAGAGGTGTATTTTTCTCCTAACTAGTTGAATTATTTGAAGATGAACATTTTTCAATGCATGAATGAGAAATGATTCAGCATCAATTCTATTCTTGTTTTTTCCTTTTGAATGTGTAAGCACTGAGAAAATTTGTTCACATTAACAAATAGATAGGATTGGATGGAATTTTATTATAGAAGTATAACTTAATTATTTGAATTCAAGCCAAGTTATGTGCCAAAAATCATAATAATGTATCATCAAGAATTGCCTTTAATGATTTATCACCTGACAGCCAGATTAGATTTTACTTCAATTTCTTTGTTTCCAGGTAATTTTTAATTGCTTTTTGAAGTATTTTTGCTTTGGCTCCTTTAATATCCTTCTGGGATAATTCCAATATCTTATCTGTATGAGTGTTGGCTTGCCAACCATCTTTTCTCATTTATGTTCTAATGTTCTTGTTTTATGGTATGAACAGTGATTTTTTTCCATTAATCCTGGACATTTTGAATATCATACTATGAGACTGTGTTCTACCATTCTTTTCTTTTGCAAAAAGTTCCTAATTTGAAGTATAGCATGAGAATTAGGTGAGCATATATGTTCACATCACTGACTCACAGTGCCTTGTTGCAAAAGAGTGTCCTGGAAATTCAGCCACTCCCTCTTTCCCAGAAGAGGCTGGAAATAGATTTGCAGCAACTAATTCCTTGCAAGGGTGGGTGTAAGATAAGGTCCCACTTGACAACAAGCAAAGGTTAGCACGAGGGGATCTTGTTGTTTTATTGTCATTTGTTGCAGCAGGGTCGGGAGGAAGCTCAGCTCCCTGCTGGGTTCTGCTGACAGCAGGGAAGGGGAAAGAAGAATCAAAGTGCCAACCAGTTTGACCTCCCACCACCACCTCTGCCTGTTTGATGCCAGGTGGAGGTGGAAGTGGAGCTCCCTATTGGCCCTTATGGACATCATAAGTGGCAGAGCATGGAGCACAGCACATGTTAGCCCTGACTTATACTTCTTTGTTCAGTCTTATTAACGCCAAATGGAGCTGGAGGCTGAAATCCTCACAGCCCCTGGCTGACATAGGGAAAAGGGTAAAGAATATTGGTGACTAGCTCCACCTTGTACCATTTCATCAAATTTTGTTGCCTCTGCTGCTGGACTCCACTGATACTATCCTGGCATGAGAATCTGAGCAGCAGCTTCTTCTGTTTGATGAAGGATGGAAGGTCAGTTCCCTGCTCAGCCCCTCTGCCCTCAGTAGGGTGGGATGCAGTGGGGGTGGAAAATCAACTCTCTGCACTGCCCTGCTGTAATAGCAGTTGCGGTGGTGATTTTTTTTTCCATTTATGGAGTAAGTTGAGTATTACTAAAACGTTTTTCTATTGTTAGGCCATCCTTTTCCTTTTCCTTTTCCTTTTTCCTGGCTAGAGAAACAAGCTTTCCTGAGAGGTTTTATTGACTGTGCCTGTTTGTTGCTCCAGGCTGGAAGCTTCTGTGGAGCTCTGTCCAGAGTATATGGGAGGCAATACGGAAACCCACAGACCTCTCCACAGTGTAGACACACAGATCCCAAGCACTCTGGACAGCCCCCTTCTTTCCACCTTCCCGAGTCTTCCTAGGCCTGTTTGTTGTATTATTTCCAGAGATTTTTTAGTTATAATTGTGAGGTCCTGGAAGGACGGGGGCTACTCCATCTTGGTGAATTCAGAAGTCTCCTTCCTTCAATTTTTGGAAAGCAAGAAACTGGAAACCACTTAATTTGCCAGAATTATGTTATCCAGCTATTAGATTCAGCTTCTCAATTCTAGGAAAGTGCATTTAAAATTGTTTAACAAGCCTTCTTAAATGATTTTTAATTTTGTATGTTATTCTTTCACTTAAAGCCAACATCTTTAACTCAATAAAATAATTTTTGATAATACATTTTAATCTTACTATATTTTTTGTATAAATCTTCAAAAGCTTGGGAAGAGCTTGGGAAGATTTTGAAGATTTAAGTTTATGAATTTTTGATTGGCATTCATAATTACAATGATCACTTTGATACTCTGGATAATTTTATGTCACAGGACAATGCTTCATAAGGTAAGTAATAATGTTTTGTTGGTGGGAGGCCTTCTTCTAAGGCAGTACATTTTATGAATTACTATATTATGAATGAGTGCCTGGGGAATTTGAGTCTTCCTTCAAAACTGTGGGTGTATGTCTGTTGAAAATTGTTGGAACATCCTTAGGAATATGCAGACTGGTTCAAAGATCACAAGTACAGGTAAATAAATACTCCCTGACTCTTTTCATATTTAGGAATCAATTTCTTTCCCTCTGACCACCTTTGCCTACTATTTTGGGAGGGAAATATCAGCTTTCTGCATTGGTATCTTAGTTGTTTGACTTGGGCCCCTGTCATAGTCTGTCAAATGCAGTGAGCTCAAGTTTACTTTTTTGGGGGGGTGTATCTTATGCTAGCATAGGAGACTCTTGGGTTTAAGAGAATTCCTCCAAGGTAACCTGTGTTCCTGGTAACCTTACTGCTTTCCTACTAACGTTAGTAAAGTTGTTTCTTTCCCCTAATGTTATCTGTTTCTCCAAAAATGAAATATCCACTATTTTCATTCCTAAATGGAAAACATAAGGTTACCCATTTGTATGCTTACATTAGGAGAAATTAGGAGAAGAATTTCAGATGTTACTGAGTAATTTGAACAGCTTCTGTGTGAGTTGCGGCTGGGGTTTATGGCGTAATCCTCTTTTTTCAAAAATTGCCCTTTCAATTATTTAGGTTTAGGCATTAGACTATGCCCCTTTAATGCCTTTAAATGCCTTCCACTACATTTAATCTGCTATTATAGATAGAATAATTTCTGATCCAGTTTCATATATTGTTTTATCTATATGTCCTATTTATTGGATTTTTATTATTCATTTTTCTTTCTCATGTCTGAAATGGAATGTCCATTCAGATCAGTTTGTAAAATTACTACTCCCTTAGCTGAAAAAAATACTTTGTAAAAGCAAGTGAGTGAAATAATCGGGTAAAAAATATATTTAAGAAAGTGGTACTATGCTTTTACCAGTTGAGCCATTCTAGTATCCCGTGACCTAGAGACCTCATCTCGTGCATATATTTATTTCTGAGGGCTGCCACACATAACCTACTTATGTTGGTAGCATTTTTTTGTCCCCTATGCCAGGCTAAGAAAAAAAAAAAAGCAAAGAATTCACCATACTCAATTTCCACCACTACAGCTTTGTTTTTCATCAAGAGTTTCTATAAACTTAATTATGTGAATAAAAGTTATGTGAATGGAAGAGCATAGTGCATTACATTAAATATTAGCATATGTGTAAAATCTAGATTACTTGTGATCACAGACATCAAAAAGATTTTTTTTTTTCTAATTTGTGACTGTTAGATTGAAAAAAAGTTTAGGTCCTATTTTTTTTTGAAAATTTTACTCTATTTCCCTGATTGAAAAAAAGATAAAGTAACAAACTGTTTCTCCACGTAGACTGATAGGAGTATGTTATCTCTGAAAACTATTAACAAAAATCTGAAGGCCCACGTGACCTTAAGCACTCTTCCTTCTCCCTTCTTTGGGGTGAATTTCAGGAAAATTTTCTGAAAAAATAAACTTTTTAATTAATGCCTTTGATAACAAAGACATTCTTTTTTCTTGACAAAATTAGTTCTTACCATTAATATTTATTTCAACATAATGAAAAACACCAACTTGTAAAGTTTAAAATCACACCTTCAGAAACAAACATCATGAGTTAGAAATCTTTAAGCCTTTAAGTTCAAGGAATGTGTGAACATTTGAAAAGTTGATCAAAATGTACACAGAGTCTTCCTTGAAGAAAAATAAATAAATCAGAAAAAAAAATTTAACTAAATCTTTAATGTTGAAATCTGTTATAAGGAACAAATAGAAGTATTTCAAAAGATCCAGGAAATATAAGCAAAATAAGGGATTCACAAACATGTTATAGGATTTCAGATGGAAAACAAAAAAAAAATAAATAAATAAGAAAACATCTACGCTTTTTCTAGTTGGATAATCTGAAGCCTTCTATACACGCTGCTTAAAATGTATATATGTTGACTATAATAATGTCTTTTGGTTTGACTCTGAATGAATGAAAGCTATGGTTGAATTTGAAGAGAGGAGTAATGTGATCTGAGGCATGATTTGTCAAGTTAAAACAAACCTCAACTTAGATAGGAGAGACTTTATTGGAAAAGATTAGCATAATAAGGGAAAGGAGAATATTGAATTAGGAGGAGAAAAAGCCAAAGGTCTGGGAGAAGGGAATTTTCCTTTCTTGCCATGTGAACAGCTACTCTGTTGCTTCCAGCTGCTGCATCATTGCGTGTTATATGTGTATCCACCACATATAACTTATCCATTGTCCCCCAATTGGCCAAGACACATATTTTATCCAGATTGGTCATGATTTACAAACAGTTCAGATAATCATTAATGAAGCAAAGAATAAAAATTTAGGGGATCTGTGTCTGTCTTTGTCAAAGAGTAACAAGGAGGGCATCTATGAGTCTTATGTGGAGTCCTGTGAAGAAGGGTGGTGCTCTGCAGTATGCTATTTCCTGGAACACAAAAATGTGGGTGATTAGTTAAGACCTCTCTGTGTTTCTGTGCTGCAGGGCTCAGGTGAAGTTCAGCATTATCATTTTTATAAAGATCACTGGTGGCTGGTGTGGTGACAGTAGACTCTTAGGAGCAAGGTAGAATGAAGAAGGCTAGTTGAAACTGACTCAAGAGTCCCATAGACAATTGTTTGGGGATGAACATAGAAATGAACCCTTCTGCTGTTAAAGTTTGAACCTTACATTTGTTTTAACTGAGTTGCTTCCTCAGGAAATTACCTTCAGGCCGCTCACAAAAAGTATCAGTTGGGCACGGTGGCTCATGCCTGTAATCCCAGCATTTTGGGAGGCCAAGGTAGGGAGATCACTTGAGGCTAGGATTTCAAGACAAGCCTGGCCAAAATGGTGAAACCCCATCACTACTAAAAATACAAAAATTAGCCGGGTGTGGTGATGCATGCCTGTAATCCCAGCTACTCAGGAGGCTGAGGCATGAGAATCGCTTGAACCCAGAGTGATTGAGGTTGCAGCTTGAATTCAGAGTGACCGGAGGTTGAAGTGAGCCGAGATCAGGCCCCTGCACTCCAGCCTGGGTGACAGAGCACGACTCTGCCTCAACAAACAAACGAACAAAAAAGTGTCAAAGAACTGAAACCAGATCACCACATCAGATGCTGGACCCCTCATTCACCGTGATTGCTTCCTTTCCCCCGGCAAGTCCTGTTTTTTAATACATTCTTACATTTCTAACCTGCTATATAAATCCCTGGTGTTAGTCAGTCAGGGAGATGTATTTGAAACTGAGCTCCCATCTCCTTGGCTGCAGCACCGAATTAAAGCCTTCTTCCTTGGCATTACTTGTTGTCTCAGTGACTGGCTTTCTGTGTGGAAAGCAGCAGGACCTTAGACCAAACCCCTGGTGTTTTGTTAACATAGTTAAAAGCTCATCACAGGAATGATGCCTGCTTGAATCTAGTAGGTGGTAAGATTTCATATATATTTTGAAGTATCACTGTCAATATTATCCATGTTGCCAAGTGAACAGCTACTCTGTTGCTTCTAACTGCTGCATTATTGTGTGTTATGTGTGCATCCACTAATATATAACAACCACAGTACCAGGATTGAACCCTCAGATTGGATCCAGTTTGAATCACTGTTTTTACTATTATTGGATCTCTGTTTTAATACTCTACTATGATGATAAATTGAGGGACAGTTAATCTGTCAGTATCCTTCCTACCTTCCTTCTATTACGTATAAAAAGATTGACTGCAAATGGTTTAAAGTTGAATTCTCTGTTTAGGGTTCATAATGCAGATATTATATTTTGATTAGGACGTCGATATACTTTGGATATCACCTTAGTAGGTAGTAACATTTGCCATTTTGAAGAAATAGAGGAATCTAATTAATACTAGCACATCATAAAATTAATTTTGTGAGAAGCTATATCTGAGATAATATGCATCACAGCAATTTATAAATTCCCAAAGCATTAGATAAATTACAGTTTACCGAGCTGGAGATCCTTGGCGAGAGAAATGATGAGCCAGGATTGGAACTAGATTCTACAGAGTTGAACTGGCAGGTTGCATCTGTCAGAACTCTGTTTTGTTTTGTTTTCACTTTTGTTTTACTCTTTTCCTCATTCTCCCTGCTTTTCTGTAAGAAAATGCAATGATTCACATCTGACTGGAGCAGCAAATATTTCACTGGTGGCTTGAGAAAACCTTGACTATACCAATCTCTAGCAGAAAAAAATGAAAGATGCTTTGATGTTTGTTATCTTTTCAGTTAATTGCATAATTTGCTCTCTTAGCTGCCAAGAAAAAACAGAAAACCAAAAACCAAAAAGACAAACAAACAAAAACCAAAGGGTCCCTTCATCACTCCCAGGCAAAACCATTTTTTAGCTTCTGCTAACAATAAAACATCACAATATGAAATTTATTTTATCTTATTTCATTTCCAAGTGTTAGTTTCTCTCAAACCGTTCATTACTTGTTCTTCTGCTTAAAATTGAGAGTTTTCAAATATTTTGGCAAACTGAGCCCTGAGATGCTGTGAAATAATGACACTTGGAAAAAGATAAAGGTGGCAGATGGTTTCATGCACACAATAAAACAAAGCTCCCATAATACATTCTAAGAGGCACTTTACTATCCTATGGTCCCTCTGACATCCAGTCACAATTCTTTTCTTCCTCAGTCCTAACATTGATTAACAAGATTCTCTTTAATTTGGAAAATTAATCTAACAAATTAATGATATTCATGAATAATGTATCAATAGTAATTCTCAAAGAGTTAATTGTGGCATAGACTCTTTAGGTACAACATATGGTATCAAGCAGAGAACCTAAACAAAGTTACCTTAGCCATTGTATAATATAGTCTTCATGCTGATTGATATGGTTTGGCTGTGTCACCATCCAAATCTCATCTTGAATTGTAGTTCCCATAATCCCCATGTGTTGTGGGAAGGACCCGGTGGGAGGTAATTGAATCATGGGGATGGTTACCTCCATGAGGTTCTCGTGATAGTGAGTGAATTCTCATGAGATCTGATGGCTTTATCAGGGTTTTCCCCTTTTGCTTGGCACTTCTCCTTCCTGCCATCATGTGAAGAAGGACATATTTGCTTCCCCTTCCACCACGATTGTAAGTTTCCTGAGGCCTCGCCAGCCATACACAAATGTGGGTCCATTAAACCTCTTTCTTTTAAAAATTGCTCAGTCTCAGGTAAATCATTATTAGCAGAGTGAGAATGAACTAATACAGTAAATTGGTACTGCAGAGAGTGGTGTGCTGCTATAAGGATACCAAAGGATGTGGAAGAGATTTTAGAACTGGGTAACAGGGAGGGGATTGGAACAGTCTGAAGGGCTTAGAAGAAGACAGGAAAATGTGGGAATATTTTCAACTTCCTAGAGACTTGGAGGGCTCAAAAGACAGGAAGATGTGGGAAAGTTTGGAACTTCCTAGAGACTTGTTGAATGGCTTTGACCAACATAGTGATATAGACAGTGAAGTCCGGGCTGAGGTGGTCTCAGATGGAGATGAGGAACTTTTTGGGAATTGGAATAAAAGTGACTCTTGCTATGTTTTTCCAAAGAGACTGGTGGCAATTTGTCCCTGCCCTAGAGATCTGTGGAAGTTTGAACTTGAGAGATGATTTAGAGTATCTGTTGGAAGAAATTTCTAAGCAGCATAGCACTCAAGAGGTGACTTGGGTGCTCTTAAAAGCATCCAGTTTTCTGTTTTCACAAATATATGGTTTGGAATTGGAACTTATGTTTAAAAGGGAAGCAAAGCACAAAAGTTTGGAAAATTTGCAGCCTGATGATGCAATAGAAAAGAAGAGAAGGACGTATTTGTTTCCCTTCTGCCGTGATTGTAAGTTTCCTGAGTCCTCCCCAGTGCTGTGGAACTATGAGTCAATTAAACCTCTTTCCTCTGTAAATTACCTAGTTTCAGGCAGTTATTTATAGCAGCATGAGAATAAACTAATTCACTGATAATAGGAAAAGGATTCCTTACAAAAGGCAGATAGACCTTTGCATAACTAGCCTAAGAATAATCCCAATTTACTAACCCCATCTACTCTCCATAAGAAAGAAAAAACTCATGCTATGGTGGTGCCAGCAGGTATTAATGTACCATTGAAGAAAATTTCTCTTTACTTTCAGAAAATTGATGAACTTTGGATATTTGTGAAACACCTGAATTTTATTAAAAAGTAAATTGTTTTATTGGCATATTTACATATTCTGCTTTACTTGTTATGACGATACTTAAATATGAGCAATTGTAATTATCATGTATTGGCAAATGAAATAATAAAATATTATTTTCTCTTAGAAAACTTAAATTATATTATTAAAAATTCACAAGATGATTTGCAATGTGCTATGGTGGATTGGTTGTATGGAAAATACACCATCTACTTACATAAATAGGGGTAAAAGTAGTGGAAGGAAAGAAAGGAGATTTTCAGTCCCTGCTGTTATTTTATTTCATCTTATGTCTTTTTTGGGGGAAGTTGGTGGTACTATACATTTACGGTCTAGAAGTTGACATAATTTTAACTTTGGAAAATAAGTTTGACATCAAATGATAATATAAATATTATCAGTATAATCTTTTCAAAATTTTTTTGTTACAGAAAGTTTAGGGTATACCTAATAAAAATAAACAGTTATAAGTTACGTTGAGTTTACTATAAAAAACTACATTTGTGTCTGTTGAAGGAAGTAGACATCTAATTCTAAAATATAGCATTTTAGAGTAGATAATTATAATTTTATAATTTTATTATAATTTAACATTTTATTGAAGTTTTGAGAAAAATTAAATACTTTTAGCACATAGATGTTCAACATAAATAGGTAAATGAAAAAAAGATACACAGTTTACTTATGAAGTGTTACTTATATTTTGTGTTTTTCAAACTTTATTGTTTTTTATGATCTTTGTTTTCAACTGAAATGATTATTTTAAAAGCAACTCTGAAAAAAAGCATATGTATCTTAGACTCTCTTCGTCCACAGATTTTTACTGATTCTTTTTGGTTATTGCCCTATTCCATCCCATTACGCAGTCCTATTTTTTCCACAGTTGCTCTTCATTTTTCCACTCTAATACTCTCCATCTATTTATACTCCTTTCCTTTACCCCTCCCCCAAGAAACACACACCTCTCATGCTGTTGGGTCCCTTTTGCATTTTCAGACCATAAAAAGACTACCAGCTAGGCTTCTCCCTTTTATTCCAATCTCAGCTTAAACGTCACTTCCTCAAAGTGACTTTCTTTGACTGTCCAATCTACATTAGCTCTCCAGATCTCTACTACATTATCATATTTTATTTTCTCCACTGGACTTATTAGAATTTGAAACTGTTTTGTTTGTATTTATTTAGACTGTAAGATTTATGAGATCATTTTTAACTCATAAAAGAATAGCTTTAATGCATGATAGTAAATTAATAAATATTTTGGTATTAAGAATATGAGCTGTCATGGTTCAGATACCAAGCCCACTGGTGATACAAGTTAAATAGCATTCTTTTCTGTTGAATGATGTGATTAAATATGTAAACTAATAAACTCTCTTTAGGCTACTTCAGCATCTTGGTGCATTTCTCTGTGGGTGTTTATTTTTATCTGTTTCCTTTCAAGATAGTATTTGAGTCAATTTTCTTTTAACTATAAGTGTAAGAACTTCTCACTCTCAGGAGAAAATATTTGGAAGTTCTTCAAAACAGTTGCTCCACCATTTGGGAAAAATAACTGAAGTTAAGCAGGATATGAAGTGGAAACTTTGTAAGTTTCTCTTCAGTTCATTCCACTGCAATTCAATTCTAAGCAGCCCCAGAGCTATTATGCGTTTTAGAATTGCAAGCAAAGCATGTCTTCTCTGGACATTCTTTTGAATGTGGTTGCAAAGTTATGTGCAGAAAAGTACACTACAAGGAAGAAACACATAATGTACAATGATTTCATTTATGCTCCTGCTCTGAATTTAATGTTGGCCATGTATTTCTCTAAGTAGTGTATTTATGATATAGACATTTGGTGTCTACAGATGACCAAAGCATTGCATGAGGTACTGCAGTAATTATGGAAATGATTGGAATCATGTTTCATCCTTCCAAGGGTTCACATTCTCACTGGCATGTGTAGAGGCAGCACTTAATTTGGCTAACTATTGGTTACTTTACATGTCCTGCTATACAGATAGTTATACTTGAAAATGGATGGCTTGGGATATACATCCAAACAGGAAAGAAAATCTGTCAAGGAGAATAGATCACCAGAAAGTCATAATGAAAAAAAGATTTATTTATAGTGGCAATTATTACCTTTATTAATATATATCATTTAAAACATTTAATTTTATTATGAGAAAAATTACATATGTTCTTTATAGAAAATTAGTGATTAAATACATTTTTAAGTAAGTCACAAACAATAGAACAATGGTAATTGTTAATTTTTGTGTATGTTTTCTTGTGAACAAATTATGTCTAATAAGTGATGTTGTGTATGCAGAGATTTTTTTAAAATATATAAATATAATTCAAATATATGCACAAAATAAAATGTCAAAAGTAGAGAAAACATCAAAATCTCCCTCTATATTTCTTATTGCCTCCTTGGGGTATAATCACACTTAAGTGTGAATGTATTATCTTCATAACTTTAAAAGATTATAAGTTATTGTTTTTGTGTGTGATTGTATGTGTGCGTGAATTTAAAAGAATGTACCTCATAGAACTCCAAATAACTATAATGCTAAGGACCTCAGTTACTGCCCTCTGAAAACAATCTTTTAATTTTACCTAACATGCTTCCCGTGGCATAATCCTAGTCAATGACTTAGAATGCCCAGGATGCTAAGACAGACTCCTTATCAGGGGACGTGGAACTTCTCTGACAACCAGTTTTGGCTCCAAGACTCTATCTTCACTGAACTTCTTTAGCTGGGATTCGTACGCCTAATCTTCCCTACCTCACTTCTTTATTAAGGATTGGATTGCTCTGCGCTCTGATGGAGTGAGGGCTGTATTTCTGGTGTAGTGCACTAATACTAGAGACTCACTGCCATCATCCTGACACATTTGTAGTGTGAAGGTTCTATCCTGGGAGAGGCAAGTTGAGAAGGCTAGAGGCTACAGAACCCGTCTCAGCAGTCACTCCTATGACAAGGGTGTCACTCGGAGAGAAGCATGCTATTATCTCTGCCCCCGCTGCAGACTCTTGATTCAGATTTCTTCGTGTGTGCAAATGGAAAGAGATATAATAAAACAAAGATCTCTGAAGCCCTTCTCAAAGAAATTCACTTCATTATACAGTGTGGAGTAAGTTCAAGATTAAGGCAACTGTCAATAACAATAGAGAATTTGGTGGAAAGAAATGAGAGGAGACTGGTAGTTTTATTGTGATATACCAAACCACGGGCAGCTAGTTTACCTAAGTGAATCAGGAAAGAGACAGCTCAAGAGCGCCCTCCTGGTGTCAAAGCAAACCGGAAACTCAAATCTCAAATGCTATCTATACAAAGGAGCCCACATTTAATTAGAGCAGGCTGTGGAGTAAATTGTGCCTGAGGGCACACTTGAAAAAAAAATTAAATGGGCCAGCAATTAATGGAGCTTAATTGTATGTGTTGTCAAGGAAAGAGGTAGAGTCCTATTCGTCAGAGTCTTCACACTGAGGAGAAATAGACTTAACTAAAATAATCTAGCCTTTCACGAAACATATAAACATGCACATAACAATAACAAGCTTAGGGTGGAGGAAGTACCTGGAATTACTACACTATATTATCTAAAATTT
Organism: Homo sapiens; assembly: GCF_000001405.40. Classification (NCBI taxonomy): domain Eukaryota; kingdom Metazoa; phylum Chordata; class Mammalia; order Primates; family Hominidae; genus Homo; species Homo sapiens. The sequence continues at coordinate 30,376,393 of NC_000018.10, read as the reverse complement.
CTAGTTTTCAACAAAAATTTGTAAGAAATGCAAAGAAACAGAAAAATATGACCTATACATAAGGAAAAAAAATAAAAGGTAAAGGAAGCTGCTTATGAGAGTGACTAAATACTAAATATGCTCAAAATACTAAAATAAAATATTCTAAAAGACAAAACTATGATGACAATGTCACATCAGGAAAGCATTAAACAATAGGAGTTATTGAAAAGAATCAAATTGAATTTCTGAAGTTTAAATGTATAACAAGTGAAATAAAAAATACACTAGAGGAGCTGAATTGAAAGAGGACATATTAGTAAATTGAACATTTATAGAGATCATGCAATCAAAAGAATAGAAAATAAAAACGATGAAGAAAAATGAACAGTGCCTAAGAGAAATGTGGGACAAGTTTAAGTGCATAAAGAAATGCATAACTGGAGTACAGAAAGATGGGAAAGAGATAAAGAAGCAAAAAGATTTTTGAAAAAACAATGGCTGAAAACTTCTCATATATAATAAAAAACATTAATCTACACATCCAAGAGTCTTATCACACTCCACGCTGGATAACATAAATAGATGTACACAAAGACATACCATAGTGAAAATGTGTAAAACCAAAGACAAATCTTGAGAGCCTTAAGATAAAAGTGACTCATTACTTAAAACACCAATAAGATTAACAGTGACAATTCACAAGAAACAGTGTAAAAGTTATAGAAGAACAAATAAAAATGAGACATAAATAATACCCATGTAATATGGCAGGTGCTGACTCCACTATGTTAATAATAATAATAAATATGAATAGATTAAGTAGTCCATTAAAAACGTATGCATTTTTAGACTGGATATAAAAACAAAACCCAGTTATATATTTTTCTACAGGAGACATATTTTAGATTCAAATATATAAATAGATTAAAATTAAAAGGATAGAAAAAAGTTGTCACAGAGAAAATATAAGACTGAAGTGGTTATACTCATATCAGACAAAATAGACTTTAGAACAAAGAATGTTACTGGAAGTAAAGAGGGACATTTTATAATAATAAAAGTGTCAGCCCATCAGGAAAATATGACAAGCTTAAACATATGCATCCAACAAGTAAGGACCAAATCCATGAAGCAAAACTTGGAGAAGTAAGAGGAAAACTGTATAATTCAATAATGATAGTTAGAAGACTGAAGACCTCATATATTTGTGGAATGATTAGACAGAAGAACAAGGAGGGAAAAAAGATTTGGACAGTACTATAGACCAATTTAGACCCAACAGGTATCTATAGAACAGTCTACCTAACAACAGCAGACTAGACATCTTCTCAAGATTACATGAAACATTCTCCTAGATAGACTATATACTATACTACAGTCTCAGAAAGTTTAAAATACGTAAACATCACATAGTCTGTTCTCTAACTAACATGTAATGAAATCAGAAAGCAATAACAGAAATAATTTTGGAACACTTAAAAATATGTAGAAATGTTAAAAAATCCTAAATGAAAAATAGATCAAAGGAAATAATATGCAAGTAGTTAGAAAAAAATGAGATAAAAGGGAATAAATGCACAATATAGTAAAACTTATAACAATAGAGCAATGCTTAGAGGAAAATTTAGGTCTATAAATAACTATATTAAAAATATACATTTCAAATTAATATCTTTTCACCTTAAGACAGTGAGAAAAGAGATCAAATGAATTCCAACATAATACAGAAAGAAAAAACTTAAAATATGGCAAAAATTAGTAAAATAGAAAAATATTAGAGATATAAATGAAACCAAAAATAGATTCTTTGTAAAGATCAACAAAATCGACAAAGCTTTAGCTAGACTGAGCAAAAAAATACAAAAAGAAGGATTCAAATTACTAAAATTAGAAATGAAAGATAGGACATCACTACCAGCCCTACAGAAAAGGTTTAAAAAAGATTATAAAGTAATGCTATGACAATTATGTGCCAATACATTAGTCAACTTAGCCAAAATGAACAAACTCCTGTAAAGACAAAAACTACTAAAACTGACTAAAGAAGAAATGGAAAATCCAGTAAGGAGATTGAATTAGTAGAAAACAAACAAAAACTCCTCAGGCATTCATGATCTCACTGGTGGATTCTACCAACATTTAACAAAAATTAATAGCAATTCTTCATATGGTCTTCCACAAAATAGAAGATAGTGCTTCTCAACTCATTCTATTAGGCTAGTTTTACTCTAATATCCCCTAAGATTAGGAATAAGAAAAGAATATTTTCACCACATCTATTCTATACTTAGGTTCTAGCCAGAACAATTAGGCAAGCAAATGAAATACAAGCTATCAGGACTGGAAATTAAAAAGTAAAAATATCTGTATTTACAGACTACATGAATTTATGTATGGAAAATCTTAATCCACTAAAAAATCAAAGCTATTAAGTTCAGGCTGGGTATGGTGGCTCATGCCTGTAATCCCAACACTTTTGGAGGCCAAGGTGGGTAGATCATATGATCAGGAGTTTGAGACCACCCTGGCCAACATGGTGAAACCCCGTCTCAACTAAAAATACAAAAAAATAGCCGGGTGTGGTGGCACATGCCTGTAATCCCAGCTACTTGGGAGGCTGAGACAGGATAATTGCTTGAACCCAGGAGGCAGAGGTTGCAGTAAGCCGAGATTGTGCCACTGCACTCCAGCCTGGGCGACAGAGCAAGACTCCATCTCAAAAAAAAAATTAAAAATAAAAAATAAAATAAACAAGTTCAGAATTAGTGAAGGATATGTTTAATTTATAGTAATCAATTATTTTCCTATGCGTTTTCAATGAAGAATCTAAAAATGAAATAAGAAAAACTTTTTCCACTTACAATTGCACCAAAAATAATAAACACTTAGGAATAAAATTCACAAGACAGGTACAAAACTTATACTCTGAAAACAACAATATATTGTTGAAAGCAATTAAAAAGGATATAAAGAAATAAAAAACCATTCTCTATGAGCTGAAAGACTTACTACTGTAAATATGACAATAGTCTTTGAATTGTTCTATATATTAAACAAATCATTCTGAAAATCCCAGCTGGCTTCTTTGTAGACATGACAAGCTGATTCTAAAATTTAAATGTAAACTTATGGGACACTGAATAATCAAAACAATTTTGTAAAGAACAAAGTCATAGGAATCACACTTCCTGATTTCAAACTTATTATACAGCCAGTGCAATCAATATGACATGGCACTGGCATAAAGGTAGACACAAATCAAAGGAATAGAATTGTGAGTTCAAAACTATCCCTCACATTTATGGGAAATTGATTTTCAACAAGATTGCCAATATATTTGGATGAAGAAAGAATAGTCTTTTCAACAAAGATGCTGAGACAACTATATACCTGCCAGCAAAAAAAGGAAGTTGTACCCATATCTTCTACCGTATACAAAAGTTAACACAAAATGACTCAGAGAACTAGATGTAAGAGTGAAAATATACAATTTATTAGAAGAAAACATCTTATAAAGGCAAAACCTTATGACCTTATATGTGGCCATAGTTTCTTAAGCATGATACCAGAAGAACAAGCAACAAAAGAAGCAGAATAAATAAATGGTATGTATTCAAAATTTAAAACATTGTGTTTCAATGGACACTTAAGAACGTGACCAAAGCCCACACAATAAGAGAATATCTTTGCAAATCATACATTTGAAAAGGGAGTTGTATCTCAAATATATGAAGGATTCTCACAATTCAATAATTCAGAAAGCCAATAAAATGATCTTTTTAAAAATCACCAAAAGATCTAAGTGACATTTCTCTCAAGAAAATATGCAAATATCTAATAAGTACATAAAAACGCTCATCATTAGGTACTAGCAAAAGGCAAATGAAAACCACAATCAGATAGCACTTTATACCCACTTGTATGGCTATAAGTAAAAAGACAGATAATAAATAATGTTGGAGCGGATATGGAAGAATAAATATCCCCACATGCTGCTAGTGGGAATGTAATGTGATGTATAATCACTTTGGAAAACAGTCTGACAGTTACTGAGAAAAGTTAAACATACAAGGACTATTGGACCCTGCAATTCTACTCTTAGGGGCATATGTTTACGTGTGTGTGTGTGTGTATGTGTGTGTGTGTGTGTGTGTAGTGTGTATATAAATACATACATAGATATATCTATATAAAGAAATGAAACGTATATCTACAAAATAACTTGTACACCATAATAACCAAAAGCTAGAAACACCCCAGATGTCCATCAACTGATGAATGGATAAACTGATGAATAGATATATTTCATACAATGGAATATTATTCAGTAAAAAAAAGAAATGAGTACTGATACTACTACATAGATGAACTTGGAAAACTATTTTAAGCAACAGAAGCCAGTTATATATTGGCAAATCTGTAGAAACAGAAAGAGATTAGTGGTTTCCTCTACTTGAGTGAATGAAGGTAGAAGATAGCTAAATTGTATCAGGTTTCTTTTTGGGATTATAATGATCTAAAACTGATAATGGTGATGATTGCATAACTGTCAATATACTAAGTACCACTGAATCGCACTCTTTAAATGGATGAATTGTATGGTGTATAAATTATATCTCAATAAAATTGTTACTTTTCCTCCTTGAAGAGGCAGACACTAAGATGGGATTCCATTGTAGGGATTTTATTAGGAGAAGTGTCTGTGTGAGACAGAAATTAGGGGAAGCTGGGAAAATCTGGAAGAGCAGTCAATATCTTAGAAAACAAAAAGTAGGCAAGTGGAAAGAAGCCTAGAATACTAAAGGAAGCAGAAGCCTGTGGAGGAGTAAGGCAGTGAGAACCAACCTCATTTCTGCCAGTTATGAGCAGTTTCATGAATTTGAGGTAACATGTACCCCTAAAAGAGGGGAACTGAGTTAATAACTAGTAGCTGGTTAAAAGCTTTACATTAGATAACAAGATATCTTCTCTCAACTTAAATCTAGGTCACTTGTTCTCTTTTATTCTAACAGAAGTTGGGAGGTTTATTCTAAATGTAACAGAGCAGCTTAACTTCAAAATGCATTTTAAACTTTTTTTTTCGTTTCTCTTGGGTGTCAAGATATAACCTTGAGGCAAACTGCAGAAGCGTTTTCCCTTAGCCTTAAAATAGACTCTACATCTCTCCCTTTCTCACTGTGTATACTCCCTTCACATTTATCTAACCGTATGCTAGTCTGGGTACTCTTAGAAGTTCCAGGGGCTACTCTTTAGACAGACAGACCAAGTCTAGAGACCCAGCTGCAAAGTTCCAGAGATTACTTCAAGGAGGCTAATTAACCTGGCCATTATTGCAATGGCATGAGCCTGAAGACAAAGTGGACTTCAACCACTTACTTTGGAGAGGAATCGGCTGCTTCCCCTTTACCAGTTTTGGTTAATAAATTCACTTTCTTTCTCCCAGACTTCACTCTTGTTAATTGAACTCTGCAAGTGGTGAGCATCTGGACCAGCATTCAGTTACATAAAGCGATTAAAATACAAAATCTGAGCACCAGGAGACATAATTCGCAGATGAGGGCAATGGAGGGGTACTTTACTACTAAAACCAGACAAATTAACTAATAGCTTACGTATTTTAAAAATAAGGCCCATCACTCTTTGTTCAACCCTTCAACTTTTTTCTCAGAGTAACATATAGGCATAGTTATTCTATTGTTCCCTGGGAAGATAATTAAAGCTTTCCCCTACCCCTCTCACTAGGGAGACTGGCCACCAGAACTAAATGCCTCCTCCAGCTAAATTCCTGGATTTTCTACCTAGTTATACTACAATTAAGTTCAGCAAAATTGATACTCCCCCCATTACATGCATATAGCCCTTCAAATCAACTTGTCTTACTCTTAAACAAAAGTGACTTTTAATGACCATCAGACATTTGAGGAAGTCTTCTATTAGGAAAAATAGATACTAATAAATATATAGGGGAAAATCAAATATAGAATGCAGGATTCAGAAGAAAAACTGATTACAACCAGCAACACAATATTAACCTACTATGATAGTGTTAATCAAATAGGAGAATCAGATATTGCAGCCTTGAAAGGAAAAGAAAATGTTGTCTAAAACATTAAAATCAAGGAAAAAGAAGGTGATCTTGGAAACTAACAGAAAAGCCGGGAGGGGTAGCTCACGCCTGTAATCCCGGCACTTTGGGAGGCCGAGGCAGGTGGATCACTTGGTGTCAGGAGTCCAAGACCAGCCTGGCCAACACAGTGACACCCCGTCTCTACTGAAAATGCAAAAGTTAGCCCAGCATGGTGGAGGGCCCCTGTAATCCCAGCTACTCAGGAGGCTGAGACAGGAGAATAGCTTGAATCTGGGAGGCGGAGGTTGCAGTGAGCTGAGATTGTGCTACTGCACTTCAGCCTGGGTGACAGAGCAAAACTCCCTTTCAAAAAAAAAAAAAAAAGAAAGAAAGAAAAACAATAGAAACAATACATTCAATAAATTCATTAAAAGATTTGGAAATTTAAATTGAGGGATTTTCCCAAAAAGTAAAACTAAAAGCCAAATCCATGAAAATACTTCAAAAACTACAAAAAAAATAAAAACAATTGTGCTAGAAGACTCAAGAGCTAATAATACAAACTTTAGAAAGAGACAACAACAGAAAACAGAGGGAAACAGATTCTCAAATAAATGACTTTAAAAATCAAAATTCCTACAATTGGAGGAAATAAAAATTTCTATTGAAAGGTCCCGGAGATTACACCCGGGCACATTATAATAAATTTCGGAACACCAGGGACAAAATGGATATTAGGAAGCTTTATCAAAGAAATGTTGCACTGGACGCCTGTTAAAATCTGCGAGAAAGACTTTATTCAAGATAGTTGTAGTAGGAGTCAAGACTATTGCAACTGGAGGGGAGAGACTGACCTCAATTCCACTGAAACAAAATGTAAAGAGGCTTTTTTTCTTTTCTTTTATTTATTCATTTATTCATTCAGTTTTTTTGAAGCAGAGTCTTGCTCTGTCACCCAGGCTGGGGTGCAGGAGTGCCATCATGGTTCACTGCAGCCTTGACCTCCTGGGTTCAAGTGATCCTCTCACCTCAGCCTTTCAGGTAGCTAGGACTACAGGCGTATGCCAGTGTGCCACCATGCCCAGCTTTTTTTTTTTTTTTTTTTTTTTTTTTTTTTTTTGTAGAGATGGTGTCTCAGCATGTTACCTAGGCTGGTTTGAAACTCCTGGGCTCAAGCAATCCTCCTGCCTCGGCCTCCCAAAGTACTGGGATTACAGGCGTGAGCCACCATGCCCAGCCTCTAAGGATTTCTAATTATGGGATGAGCTAATGGAAATGAACTGAAGGACTTAGTGGGAGTGGGTTTAGGTTGTGATTAGGCTATCTCTGTTTGTAAATTGACACTCATGAGTTAAACTCCTGTCTTCCCACTGTGACTGGAAGATAGAGGGGCTATCTCCTTCATAATTAAATGTCAAAGGGATGGCTCCTACCTATGTTCTTGAAAAAGGTATTTCTGAGTTTTAGAAGATTTATATCACAAATGAACAGAGAAATAATTTACAATTGCAATTTTTTTTTTTAAGACAGAGTTTTGCTCTTGTTGCCCAGGCTGGAGTGCAATGGTGCGATTTTCACTCACCACAACCTCCGCCTCCCGGGTTCAAGCGATTCTCCTGCCTCAGCCTCCCAAGTAGCTGGGATTACAGGCATGCACCACCACGCACGGCTAATTTTGTATTTTTAGTAGAGATGGGGTTTCACCGTATTGATCAGGCTGGTCTCAAACTCCTGACCTTAGGTGATCTGCCCACTTTCCGCCTCCCAAAGTGCTGGGATTACAGGTGTAAGCCATCGCGCCCAGGCAAATTGCAATTTTTCTGAAGTAAATACTCTAAGAAAAAGAAGATTAGAGGTCTATAATCAGGAATAAACCTGCCTAAAATTGAGTCAAGCTGACTGGAACATTAAAGCCTTCTTGGTCAGCTTTCAAAGTGAAAGATAAATTGGGAACTCATGTCTAGAGATCAAAATGAATGGTGATTTTTAGTGACAGCTAGAAGACAATAAAGCAACACCTTCATTCTCAGAACAAATTTATTTTTAACGTTTGATTACGTATCAAGCCACAGTATCAATAAAGTGTGATAAAGAATACAAAAATCAGACATGCAGTGTCTCAAAAAAGCTTACCATCTATAGGAATCAACTAGGTAATATGAGCCACAAGTAAAAAAATAAGAAAAGAAAAAAAAAGAAAACAGAAAAAGAGTAAGACATGGCATTTAGGAATTTGGAGCACACCAAAAAGGCAAATAAATTCCAAAATGTAACTCTGCACAAGGGAATTACCAAGGAACAAAGACTCCAGAAAATATTTTTCTGAGGAGAAACTAAAATGGAAAATATCTGAAGTATTCAAAAGGCTTTCAGGGAAGTTTTCAGTTCTGCTGAAGACTTTGGAAGTAGTGGGCAATCCATCCATGGATAGCTAAAATAATGTAATTAGGTACAACTAAACCCCAAAGAATATTAAAAGATATTTATGATAGAAATACATCTTTATATAGTACATGGATTTACTGTGAACAAAAATTACATTGTAAACACTAATATTGCTTTATTAAAAATGGCAACATAAAAAGTGGTTAAAAGAACAGATTTCTTAGTTTCCAATTAGGAAGTCATTTTATTTCTGGTAAAAAATGTTTTTAAATGTCTTTAGATTATATTACTGATGGATATGAACATAACTGCCTATGGACAACATCTGAGAATTGGAGGAAAGGATATAAGCTTATTATTTTATAACAATACAAATGTATTACTAATATTAATACTATTACTGATTATTACCAGACACAATTATTATGCTAATTATTATTACCATATATCATTAGCAGTAGTAGTGAAAACCTTATAATACTACTTGCTTTTTAAAATAGTACATATTATCTTTTAAATAAAACAATTCTAAAAATCTATCTTAAGGAAATAAGCAAACATACATGTATGCAAAGATATATTTATAAGAATCTTTATTGAAGCATGGATTTAACAGTGAATAGGAAATAATGTAAATCTCAACAGGATTGACCCATGAAAATATAATTATATATAATGGAATATGCTAAAATTATTAAAATAACATTGTAGAATAAAGTTTAATGTCATAAAAATGTTTATTATACATTGTTAAGTGACTATAAAAGAGACTGTAAAACAGCATGATTTCAATAGTAGTAGTTAACATTTGTTGACTACTTCCACTATTTCTTTTTATGTGTAAGGCACTGTATTATATGCTACACATGGATTTTTCTCATTTGTTCTCCATAATAGCCCCATGAAATAAAAAATGCTAATAAAGTTAAGAGGCTTTAAACAAGGGTATAAAGTATGTGTCATAATGCTTCTGTGCTTTTAAAAATCAATGAAATTAAAATATACAAGCATATGTGTGTATGTTTGTGTGTACACACAGACACAGGTATTAGTGGTTATCTCTGATTGAAGAGTGATAGTCATTTTATTCTTCTTGTTGATTTGTATTTTTTAATCTTCTACAAAATATATGATATGTTTGATAAGAAAAAATCAAGTAAAAGATTTTTTTCAAACATAAAATATTTATTAAGCCACTGTTGTGGGCCAGATACTGTGCTTGGTTTGGGGGAAAAATATTACAATACTGTTTCTGCCCCTTTATAAATAAAATTTATAAAATATAATTTTTTAAAAACAATTTATTGATTACCTGCACTATCATGTGGAGTTCTGAGGTTGATGATCTCATTATATGACAGTTTATAATTTTCAAATATCATAGTATATTTTCATGACAGCTGGAAGCTAGTAAACTTTTATTTAGTATGAAGAAATAAATAGGATGCAGAGTTTTTTGTAAAGCAACTCATAAACAAATTTGCAGGGTTAACTTAAAATCCTTGCTGAGATATACAATTTCAATTTCATCTTTAATCTCCTTAATTAAGTTGCTGCAATATTAAAGATATTTGAACTGTACTTAGGCACCAAAAAAGGAGACAAAACACATAACATACTTTGCTGGTTGAATGGAAAGCCTTTGAAGTTTTAGACCGTTAATGTTTGCTATTTTAAGATTTTAGTTTTCCTACTTGGTTGTCTCCTTCGTTCAACAAATACTAATTCAGCAGTTATTATGTCCCTGATACATTTTTAGTGATGGGGATAGAGCTTCGAATAATGGTAAAGTGTCTGCCACCGTGAAACTTCTGTTCTGATGAGAGGGGACAGATTGAGAAGGGAAGGCAGACATACACATACACAGGTGTGGTGTTATGAGATATATATACATATATATGTGTATATATACACATACATATACCCACATATATATATGCACATATCCCATATGTATATATACACATATCTGATACATACATATATGTGTGTGTGCGTATATATATATATATACACATATATATGAAATAACAGGTAAGCAAATTAATATAAGTAAAATTTATATATTTATATATACACATATATGTATCTATACATATATTTATGTTTATATATATACACATATATATGTATGTATCTGAGATATACAATTACAATATAGCATATACGTGGGGTTTCTCCTACAGTTCCTGGCTTATGACTCCCATAGCTCTTGTTACAATCTTTTCTTGTAACTTTGGGTATGTTAGGCCTCAGGAGCAGGCCTCAGGAAACAGAGTCTCTCTGCCCTCTTCCCCTCTTTCACCTGTCCCAAGGCACAGGTGATCTTCTTCTATCTTTCTGATTGTGGAAGTTAGGACCCTCCCCAGAGAACATTCTGCCCTGTACCCTGGGGAAAGGAATGCTGACATCATGAAGCTTCCATAAAAACCCAAGAGGACTGAGTTTGAGGAGCTTTCAGAGAGCTGAACACATGGAGGTCAACAGGACAGTGAACAAGAGCTCATCCATATGCCAGGAGGATGGCACATGCTAACTCCACATGAACAGAAGCTCCTGTGTTCCGGAAAGATAGCCCTATGTATCTTTCCATCTGGCTGCTTATTTTTATCCTTTAACATATCCTTTATAATAAGTGGATAAATGTAAATAAATGTTTCCCAGAGTCCTGTGAGCCACTCTAGAAAATTAATTGAACCCAAAAAGGAAATCATAGGAACCCTAACTTGACTCTTGTCAGTCAGAACTTCCACAGGCCTGGACTTGTGACTTAGGGGAAGAAGGAGTCAGTCCTGGGGACAGAGTCCTCAATTTGTGAGATCTGACACTGTCTTTGGATAGATACTGTCAGAATTGGAGGACACCCAGTTAGTGTGTGCTGCTCGTTGTGGGGAAACAACCCCAAACTTTTGGTCATGGGAATCTTCTGTGTTGGTGATTATTGTTACATTTGTGTGAGGATAGAGAAAAAACATGGTTTCAGAGTTTTCTTGAAAGAATAGATAGGCAAACTAATTTTATTTCTTTTCATTAGCAATAATCACTAGTGTCTTAGTCAAAAATATCCGCTAAATGTATTTTGTCTTGTATTTCATGAATTCCTTTATTGCATTAAAGCTCATCACAATCTAATTCATACCTTTGTTATTTCATAACCAGTCCTCCTACCTATTGACACCCTTGTAAATTAATCTTTTGCAGGTACCACTGGTAACTGATATTTCTACAGCAGTATTTTTCACACTACAGACATACAGCATGAAATAAATGTAGTGAAGGCAAACCAACATTTTTGTAATGAAATGGGAGAGAAAGGGAAAAGAACAGAAGAGAAAACACCAGAGTGCTAGTGACAATATTTCCCAAAATAGTTTTTCATAGGAATATATAAGTGAATAGAGTTTAATGTAAAATGTATTTGTTACTGAAGATCATGGTCACGATGTATGAAAGCCACACTACACTCCTAAATTATAATGCTTACCATGTTAACAATATTATCAATATCCTCAAAAGCACACTGTAACATATTTTCTGCTTAATTAAATATCAATTCCTGTCACTGACTTGAAGTAAACTCCTTATTGACCTGTAACCTTAGATATATTTTTCTCCTCACGTTCTCTCTCTCTTTCTCGCTCATATCTATCTAATCAAACCACATGTTGCTTCATGCTTAATCTTTATGAAGAATACTATTTTCCATATGTCCTCTGTCAAAAGGTTCTTCATTTTGCAGGATATAGTTCAAAGCCATTTCTTTAAGAAATACAGTTTTTATCCAAAGTAAGAGCTCCCATTTATCTTAATTACATAATTACTTTAGTAACATTCTTCAAAATGTGTTTTTATAGGGAAGAGGTAAATTGTTTTGTATTTCTTGCAGTGCCAGCATAATTACTTTCTTACAGTTTTTGCTCAATACACTAAATTCATTGAAGTCGAATTGAATAGAGATGCCAGATTTTTTTGAATTGAGGATCAATCACAGAAATAAACACTTGCCCAAATACAAGAATGAGAATCTGTAGGAATTTTCCTTTTATATAGCAATGAAACTTAAGAGTTCCATGTCATTTTATTGTTGGTCTGTGCCTAGCCCATAGTAAATATTCAATAAATGCCGTATCTCGATAGAATTTGCAGTGCTCAAAAAGTCTACTACCTTGAACTACTTGAATATTTCTAACTTTCTAAATGAACAATGTGTGTGGAAATAAAAAACATGGCAGAGGGCTTTTGATTCTTAGGTTGTTGTGATTATAATGTGTTTTCTGTGTCCCATTGTGTCATCAGGTGGAAAACTAACTGATTATCCTGGCTTTCCTGCAACATTCCATATTAAATTTTTTTATTATTTTTACTTTATTATTTATTTGTTTATTCATTTATTTATTTGAGACGGAGTCTTGCTCTGTCACCCAGGCTGGAGTACAGTGGCGTGATCTCGGCTCACCGCAACCTCCGCTTCCCGGGTTCAAGTGATTCTCCTGCCTCAGCCTCCTGAGTAGCTGGGATTACAGGCATGCGCCATGACGCCCAGCTAAGTTTTGTACTTTTTTATTAGAGACAGGGTTTCGCCATGTCGACGAGGCTGTTCTCTAACTCCTGACCTCAGGTGATCCACCTTCCTCAGCCTCCCAAAGTGTTGGGATTGCAGGCATGAGCCACCGCGCCCGGCCTATTTTTTTTTCTTTTTTCTTTTTTCTTTTTTTTTTTTTTTTGAGACAGAGTCTCGCTCTGTAGCCCAGGCTGGAGTGCAGTGGCATGATCTCTGTTCACTGCAACCTCCACCTCCTGGGTTCAAGTGATTCTCCTGCCTCAGCCTTCTGAGTAGCTGGGAGTACAGGCAAGCGCCACCACTTCCATCTAATTTTTGTATTTTTAGTAGAGACGGGGTTTCATCATGTTGGCCAGGCTGGTCTCAAACTCCTGACCTCAAGTGATTCACTCACCTTAGCTCTCAAAGTACTGGGATTACAGGCATGAGCCACTGTGCCTGGCCTAAATTATTGTTTTTAAAATTTTTGGTTTACTAACTACAAAATGAATTTCTGTAAATAGAGAAAAATAGGTAAACTTGAATGATTCTAAACAATATTTGTTTACTTTATTCATTTTTGAATTAATCATAGTGGAAAATGTGAATGAATGATAACCAGAAATTTTAATATTTATTTTCCACATCTTTCTGCAGCTTTTTTTACAAGTGGGATTGCTAACTGTGTTGTACTAGAAACCACATTCCACAAAGTGTTGTTACACTTTAACGATGGTAACACATGCCCAAGCAGAAGCATGTAAAAACAATGGCACTAAGTATATTAAGCACAGTTAAAAGTTTGGCATATATGACCACACCACAGCAGATGTGTAGCATAAAACAACACAGAATTAGCTCTCAACAATTCATTTTAATGCCAAGAGATTGACACAGGATTTTTCTCAGTCACTTTGCCACCTGAGGACCTCTGCGGCTGGTGACGTTCCTGCCTAGACCCTTGCTTGGTCCTGGGCCTGCTGCAGGAGGCGTCCCGTCCACTCAGCTCACTAAGCCATATCTGGCTTTCACACTGGCCCAGATGCTGTGGCCGCAGCAACTGTGCACTCAGCCCCTGGTGGATGGGGGTGTGTGAGTGAGCAGGTGCAGGGTCCAGCCAGCCATTCAGGCATTGGCACAGAATCAGGCTCTATACGGGGCTTGCAGCTGGACAAGGCATATCACAAGCCACTCCCGTGGTGGACTCCAGCCTCTAGACAAGGCAACATGGTGGCACCCAGACAGGGGTCCCCATGATCCCGAAGCCCCAGAGGGGATATTACAGTGTGCTAATTAGCTCTTTTAGTCCTGCCTTCGGTGACAAGTTAACAGCTCTGCCAGCCTCTGCCTCATTCTGGCCCATGGCTCCAGGGCTGGCTGGACCCCACCGCTGCTTCTCATTGCATGGGGTGGCTGCCCTCCACTGGTGGCAGGCAGAGGGCCACAGTTGTTACAGCTTTTGGTGTACCCACATTCAGTTGGTCCCAAGTTCTCATTCCACATCCAAGAAGAATGAGATCGCACTGACAATTGAAGAGTGAGGAGGGTGGAGAATAATTTTATTGGGCAACAAAACAGCTCTCAGCAGAGAGGAGACGTGAAGGTGGTCTCGCAGGGTGGATTCTCTCCCAGTGTGGCTGGGTCCAGGGATTGTAAGGGCTCAGAATGGGGGAGTGCTTGCTGATTGGTTTGTGAGTATAGGGAAAAGACTAGAACAAAGGCACCTCTCAAAGGTGGGCACAACAGTGTGAAAAACCAACTAGGGAAGAATAGGCTATATGTAAAATAGGTGAAGGGTGGGGATTAATCAGAGGAAAGTGTGCCAAACGGGAAGACAGGTTCTCAGTCTGCTCTGTGGATTTGACTTGCAGTTGGCTTTCAGGCTTTCAACTGTCTTTGGCTTCAAGGTAGGGTTTCACTGGGGACCCGGCCCCTGTCTGCCTAGGATCTGCCTGCCTTCTGCCACTATCAAGATTAGCTGCTTGTTCTGTCTTACAATCCTCACACAGAAATATTAAGGCCTGCTAAAACAGAGCAGTTATATTTTTGGTATCCTGGATCAGAAATAATGGTAAACTAGAAATCTCTCCCTGTCAAATACGCTCAAATGCCCTCACTTAGTTACATTACCAGTCATGATGTGAGAAAGGACTACAGGAAAGTTTTCAGTTTAACAGTGGGGAATTTTGATATTATAAGTGATTAAGTTAATTAAAAATGAAAAGCAATGCTCCAAAGTTATGTGATTCTAATGCAGTATAATGTGTGAAATATGATTAAGTAGAAAAGGATACACATTATTAATTGATGCAAAGGTAGATTATGAGTGAACATATAATGAAGCATTAACAAGCATGAGAAGGGACTCTGAATACCTAAACAAATGTCATAATTATCGATAACTCTTTCCATGCTAAAATACCGCTGATTCAACTGACTCCTTATATTTTTATAAGTCTTGGGAAACTGAGGAGTCCAGTTTTGTCTATTTCATTAGGTTGAGCAGTAGGACAGAGAATATTTTACTGCTATTTTAGGGAAAAAAACATTTTGAGTCAAAGGTGATGACATAGAGAATACTGCTGACTAACCCTCTAATTCAAAAATAAGTGGTCAAGTGTAGAATTGAATAGGATGTGGTTAATGGATTGAAGGAGTAGGATAGGTGGTAAACAAGATGAAAAACAAAATGAAAATGTTGAACCACACAGAATTTTGCACCTTAATGCTTTCTCAATTTTCTTGTTTAGGAAAGTATGGATGAAAATAAAGTATTTAAATTAGGGCAATTATTTTATTGGGAGCTAATGTCCTCACTGAATATAATAGTAGATGTATTCTGCTGAAATTATGAAAGTAGATAAGTTCTGCTGCACAAAAAGACAGGATTAAAATATTAATTGATCTTTTTAATAATTACAATTATTTTAGATAATAAAAATAATAAAATTAAAATAAAATGTGTTCATAAAATTAATAACACTACATATTCAATAAGATCCTAAATATTTATTATAAATACTATAAAGTAATACACAAATATATTTAAGGTGGCAATTGGAAATTTTTATTTCACTTGTACTGCTTTCTTTATTTTTCAAATTTTTAAATAATAATTATGCATCCCTTTTACAATATGAAGAAAGCGAACAATATGTAAGAGGAATCTGTAAAAGTGATTCAGTCATCAATGTTGTGGAAATTTTCTGGCTTTGCTTATTCTGCTTTTGTTTCCTTTTTCTGAAATGTCAAGACAATATGTAGATATTTCTGGTAACTTTTTTATTATTTCATAGGCCAGTCAACTAGGAAACACATGTATAGTAATCGTTCTCTACTTTGTGCAGAACAGTGATGTGTTTTCTATTTTGTGGGGAACAATTTAATTTTAGGCTTAAAGCGAGAGTAAGAATTCAAATGCAACTGATATTCAGATGTGAATAGTACTATAATAGCTTTAAGCTGTGGCATAATTTTCGGGTCATGCTTGTGAGCCCCTACCTTTTGTGTAGTGGGAAAATATAACTTTATTCTCTTCTGTTCACTTTAAAATGCTTCAATCATTATGTTCTCTTTAAGTTACTCTGTTTTTTCCAGGGTGAGTCAGATAAGAGAATTGGTAACTCCCCACCCCCCGGGCTCTTTCACATCCACTCCCCACATGTCATTCTGCTGAACCAGGTTGAGGTGGGGCTATGAGATCATGTGGCTCCTTGGTCTCTTCTACCCTTTTCACCCATATATCTGTTCTTTGGTCACTGCTTTCCTCTTTGGCCTTTATGTCCAAGTTACCTCATGGTAGAATTTAAGATCTAATCTTGTTTCCTCTGACCGGCTAGTGGGAGAATCTCAAGTGTACGGCTTCCTTTTTTGCAACCATGCTGCTCCACCAGGTTGTGTGGGAAATGGCTGCTTGCTTGAATCCTCGGCTGATGGAAGGATGGCTTAAAATTAGATCTTCCTTTAGTGCTGTCTGCCCCTGGAATGCTTAAACATATATGAATGTTTTTAAAGATCATCTTCATTGATGTGTTATTCAGAACACGTTAATATTTTCCAATATATCACCCCATTTCACAAGTAGTGTTGACATTACTATTAAGCATAAACATGAAGTGCCTATGAGACTAAAATGAATAATACTGTTTGCATTTGGAAGATACAAAACCTCTAGTGCTGTGCTTGATCTTGAAGGAAAATATTTGGTTGATGCAAATGTAATGGTTTTTGCCATGGTGCAGTTAACGTTTGCACCAGCCTAATACATCTGGATTCTGCTTTCACTTGGCTGTATAAATACTTTCTGCATCAGCCTCCCTACAAGAAGCATTTCTGTTTAACTCACTAAAAATATTATTTGAAACATGTGAACACAAAGGAGAAGATAGCAACGTCTTTTGAAGGTATAATTTCAAAGGTACCCAGTGAAATTTTATTTCTTCTAGCTGTGATTATTGCTTTGAAATTTAAAATAACAGATCATGAATTTCCCACTTTATATTCCTGAATTCACATTTACATCAGATTAGGTCAGTTTGTGTCTTCCTGAATAGCCACATGGCAACATTTTACTAGGTACACAAACCTTATTCTCTCATTGTTATTCTTTGGCTAGACTCTTGATGTTCATTGCAACACACATGATTGCCACAGCTCTCTGGGTTTTTTTCTGACTCTAATTTTGCTGTTCTTCATGACTCATTATCTAGCAGTCACCACAACAATAAGAGTTATTGAACATTCACTCTATGCAAAACCATGTCCTATACAATGAACAGTAGAGGATTACAAGAGAATAAAATACTTGCTCTCTGCTGTCAATGACATTGCAATCTAATGGGGTTTAAAAATCTCTAGTGTCTAGTGTTCAGCCTGGTGCCATATCAGTTTCTATTTTATATCAAACATATCAGAAAATCACTAAAACACATTTTACTACAGAGTAAAATTTGCTTTAAAGAAGGTCAATTTTTGGCATCATTCTTGGTTATTGAGTCCGAAAGATGTTCTTAAAACTTTCATGGATATTGAGGATAATGCTATATAATAATAATTTTAATGTATTTAAATAGCATTTTACATTTAAAAACACGTTTACAAGTATATGCTTTATATAATGCTCTATATGTTAAAAGTATATAATATATACAAACATAGACACTTTATTCTCACAGCAAAATAGTTGATGCTATAGTAGTTTTATGTTGAGAAAATCTAAGCTCATGGTAGAACTATGTTACTGTGTAATGGAAATAATGTTGGATATATAATTAGAATTTATACCTAGTACCTTTTGTTCCCGTTGTTGGCTTTTTCAGATTACTCCTTTATTAGTGATGCTTTCATTTAAGAGGATTGAAGTAAAAAACTAAAGAATTGGTGACCTACCAAGTAGCTATGTATGTCTCTTATGTGGGAGTTTTTTATTTAGGATATTGTAACTATCACACTTCTATGTACTGTGATCTGAACCAGACTTAATGTGAAAATATTTATTGAGTGTCTACTCTGTGCCAAGCACTATTCTTACTTTGAGATGTCAGATTATTGAAGTTTTCTCGTTAAGTGGAAAAGGAAGACAAACACACAATTATATATATAGTGTACATAAGGTTATATACACATATATAACCTTATATATAATATATAATTATATATAATCATATTATATATAATCATATGTGTGTGTATATGTACATATATACACACACATACCCACACATACATTATATGCAATTTTACATATATATGTAAAATACATATACTAAATTACATATAATTTCAATAATTGCATATAAATTTATATAATTACATATAAATTCAATAAATTACATATATATGTGTAAAATCCCTAGTGTTTTGAGAGTCACAAACCTCACATGCCAGGTTTTATGAGAGTGTAGAAGGATATTCAAAATAGCCAAATTGTTCAGAAAAGACTTTCCTTTAAAAGGGTCCTAGATTGACAGCTATACATTGAATAGAATTTAACAAGCCCAATGAGGAACAAGAGCATATCAGGCAGACGTAACAGCATGTAGGGGATGGAGAGACATGATGAGTGGTGAAGCTGGGAAGTATGCAGAAGTCTGCCTATATGGCATTGTAGGATTTTGGCCAATATCCGTAAATCCTTTATCCTGCAAGGTCTTGAAGATAGAAACCTTTATCCTAGGGATATTTATAATCAAGATCTTAAAATTAATATGTCAATCAGCATATTGGAATTGCAAATAGACAACTAGGAAAGGCTTACTGAAATTTATTATTGGAAATATTATATACGTTTTTAGCCAGCACTAGAGATTAGCAATTGGCACCTTCAATTTCAGCTGGGACTAGAAGAAAGGGTTTTAGGCAAAAAGTGGGGCTTGAGATAGATTTCTTTGTGAATAATCAATTGTTGAACAGAGGAGGGTAAGACAGGGCCTTCCACTCAGGACAGACAACAACCTTTACTCAAAGATTATTTTTGCTGAGACATTTATGGAAAGTCAGGTTGCTTCAATCAAAGAATGAGCTGGCATAGACTAGTAAAAAAACTCTTAAATTTAGGGGTAGGAATACAAACCTAGCTTCATTACTATTGCGGAATTATGTTAAGTTTTATAAGTGAACAGTCATCAAGAAAATGCGTTAAGAAAATCAGTCTGTGAAAATTTACAGAATGAAATGTAGTAGAAAGAATAACACAGATTTGTACTATGTTGACAGCAATAGGAAAGGAAAGTGAAGGGTAATTTCAAAACTTACTACAAAGTATGACTTTATAATATTTCACAAATTTGCCTACATTCTTAATCTTTACCAATTGCCTCTACAGATACATTTATTTGTAAAACTTTTAAGTACTGTTGAAAAGTCACAAAGCCTAAAAGGCTATGCTTATCAACCCATAAATAAAAAAATATACTACATTTACTATGCAGAGCTTCATTATTATCAAAATAAAATGTAATGATTAGGCTAGAGAGTTCATAAACACACTCATGCGCCACGTAATGATGTTTTGATCAATAGTGACTACTATTTATGATGGTGGTCCCATAAGATTATAATATTGTGTTGTTACTGTACCTTATCTATGTTTAGACATGTTTCGATACACAAATACTTACAATTGTGTTACAATTGCCTAGAGTATTTAGCCCAGTAACATGCTATACAGGTTTATAGCCTAGGGTAATAGGCTATACCATACAGCCTACAGGTGGGTAGAAGCCTATACCATCTAGGTTGGTGTAAGTACACCCTATGATGTTTGCACAATGATGAAATTGCCTAACAACACATTTCTCAGAACATATCCCTGTTGTTAAACAACACATGACGGTATCTAAGTAATACAAAGTTAAAATTTGAATTTTAAAATAGAACTTATTGTGGTGTAATTTTAACTTCTATTCTTATGTGACGATGCTCCAATCACTTGTGGGGAAAGTTAGAAATAAACCATAATCCTAAATCTAACTAGCTGTACTAAAAATGTAGGAAGCCAATTTATATAATTCCTATTCGAAACAATAATTCCTCCTAAAAATGTAATATCACAAAGATTATAATGATGAGTAAATATTAAATCCTTGAACAGAAAACTAAAAAAAACTGTAGCTATTAGAATGTCTTTAGTATCTTGGTACGTGAAGAGAATTAATACAAAACATAGACTTGCAAAATTTGTGGGTTTTTTTTTTTTGAGAAGGAGTATCACTCTATTATCCTGGCTGGAGTGCAGCGGCATGGTCTCGGCTTACTGCAACCTCCGCCTCCCGAGTTCAAGCGATTCTCCCGCCTCAGCCTGTACCTGAGACTACAGGCACCTGCCATCACATCCAACTAATTTTTGTATTTTTAGTAGAGACGGGGTTTCATTATGTTGGCCAGGCTGGACTCGAATTCCTGATCTCCTGATCTGCCTAGCTCAGCCTCCCAAAGTGCTGGGATTACAGGTGTGAGCCACCGTACCTGGCCATATATGGTATATTTTATACTATGGAAAACAAAAACAAAGGACGATTAAATCTAATTTTCTTAACCATTCAGTGTATTGTACATTATTCGTAACTGTTTTATTAAATCTTTGGCATTTCCTGTGTAGAGTATTTTAAAAAGTTAAATTGTACAAAATACATTGTATCTGTTACTTACACATAAATAATTGTAAAAATTCAACAAAAGTATACATTTACATCAAGATTCGGAATTTTATTTAGGAAACAAACCATGCTGTCTTTTTTAAAGAATTATAGTTTTTATTTAATATGGAATTATAGACTTTATTCAATTGATAAAAATGTGATCTTAGCTAATTAGAACATAACATGTAGAGCTGTATGTAGACATGGGCTATTTCCTAAGCCTTGAAGGACTTAAAATTAGCTTAACAACATGCTGACAAGAATCTCCAATTATTTAATATCAAATCTTTATAATTCAAAAAACCATCATTGCTCTAGTAGCCTGAAGCTCTTACTCACTGGCATTCAATCTTGAAAAGATAAAGGGTGTCCAGTTGAGTTATTCCTTGGTTTAACAATTTCTGTAGCATTTTAGAATGCCCTCTGATCATTATAGTTCATATCCTTGCAGAGATCAAAATCTATCCAGAGAACACCTTTGCAGTTCTCTTCTTCCCATGGGGTAGTTTCAAACGGCTTGTCTTTAGGCTTGAAGTGTTTTTTCCCCCTAACATTAAGAAATAATTTCTTTTAGAAGCAAGAAAAATGAGTTCACTTTTAGTAGCAATCTTTTATTCTCTAACACACTGACAAGTTATGACCATTATTCGTTTTTTCAGGAGGAGATACTCTTGAAGATTGTATTTATTATTCATATATATTTTTTCAAATGCTGGAGTGACATTTTAATTTATTGACTCTGAAATCCTGGGTATCAAGCTACAAAGTAATTTTTTTCTGATGTTATTAGGAACTTAACCCTTTCTTTGTACTGTACAACTACTTTCCTGACATGTTAGAAAAAATATCCTATAAAAATAAAACACCTTACATTATTTTATTATGACACAAAGATATAGATAACTTTATAAAGGAAAAAACGAGTATGTGTAAAAGGGGCATATGTATTTGATAATCCTTAAAGAAAATTCAATCAGTTAAACTCTCATTAAACTGCAGTCAGGACACTGGGTTTTTCTAGATTAATCTAGTCTCCTTTTTATCATGTAATATAGCTATCTCATTACCTATGTGTTCTACTTTTAGATAGGAGTAAATTAGCATTATGTTGTTATTACCTAGGATCAAACTATTTTAAATATTATTTCATTAGCTATTAGATTAAACCGAAATCTGTCTATTAGGAAGTTGTTGGTAGACTTAACAATTATTTCATCAATACATTTTACTTCAAATTTGCATGCCTTAACTAGGCTTCTAAATATAATCTGTAAGAATTATTTAGATGTGTATTTTCCTATCATTAATCATAATTACATCTTCTATTTTGATAAGCATGAACCATATTTACATGGTTTATGTGAGACATGATCAGCTTATACATAAGTCTTCTCAGTGGCATTGTCACAGGATGCTTAGGGTGTTGCTTCACCAGCCAGAAACTTCTGTGTCTGGTGGCACCTTCTGCCTGAGTATTGCTCGTGTCCACTGGACTCATTCCACACACTTGGCCAGGAAGGCTGCACTCAGCTCACACTACTGGCCTGGATCCCACACCTGTCAAAGGTGAGCCAGGTGCGAAGTGGTGAAGGGTGTGTGGGCGAGCAAGAGTGGGGTCCAGCCACTGCTTACAGCCAGACACGCTGGCTGTGACAGGGTGGGCAGCTTCAGGCACTGGCACAGGTGCTGACTCCCTGTGAAGCTGTGGCTAAATCAGATATAGCGCACATGGCTTCCACTGTGGGCATCCGCCTGTGGATGAGTGAACACAGTGGTGCCTGGAAGCTTGGAGATGCCAGGAACTGCAGAGCCCCAAAGAGGTTGTCACAGCCCTGACTCAAGGAGTCCCTAGGTCTGGGATCCCGGAAGGGCCACAACAATTCTCTTCTTCTCTGGGCTCCCAGAGGGGCCACAGCTCTTCTCTTCTGGTTGACTGCTAGGTGGCGAGCAGGGTCGAAGGCAGGGCATGTGTTTCAGCCCTGTTTGTGTTACAGCTCTTTCAGTCCCACCATTTGACAGGTCCCGAGATCTTGTCCTACATCCAGGAAGAATCTCCTATGTGGACAACTGGAGGGTAAACAAGGAGGAGAGGAGCTTCGTCGAGTGACAACAGCTTTCAGGACCCCTGCAGTGGGTAGCTCCTTCCTGCAGCTGGTAGTCCTGATGTCAGTCCTGACATCAGTTCTGGGTTATTATGGGCTCAGAAGGAAAGAAGTGCGTGCTGATCGGTTTGTGGGCAACTGTGGGCAGGCCCAGAAGAAGCATCATACCTTCTCACTGTGAGCCGCAGACTCCACCAAGAACTGGCAGCTTGAACCCCAGGCTTCAGGCCATCCCTGGCTTGAAGATGGGGTTTCACCGGGGACCCGCCCATTTCCACCCAGGAGCCTGTCTGCCTCCTGCCGCCATCAACATGCCATCCATCGCAGGCCCAGGTTGTTTGTGTCAAGGGGCGCCTGCACTGAGCCTCCCTAAGCCTCGCCTTGGCCTCCCTCCCATGCTCGTCAGTACCCAAAGTCTGGAGGGGGCCATGGTGACCGGGGGCTGGCATGTCAGTGTCGCCCCGAGGCCGCGCACACCCGACTGGGTTGCAAGAGCACCCGGCCGTGGACACAACTTTGCTCTGCCCTAGAGCAGGCAGAGGCCAGGGAACTAGAGCAGGCATTTCCAAGCCTGCGGGGGAAGAGGGGCTTCCCGGGCTCCCAAGAGCACAGGAATGCCTGGGTCTGGAGCCTCAGCTGGTCAGCTACAGCTGCGCCCAGGAGTGTGGGGCTCCTGCCTCACCAACTCGATAAGAGGCGGGGTTCCCACCTGTTCCCGGCTCCCACAGTCTCCAAGGAACCTGTCCTGGCTACACCTTCCCTACTGCAGCATCTTCGCAGTGGCCACTGCAGACAGGCTGCTGCGGCCATTAACATTAAGTTAGAAACAAATCATTGATATGAACACTTTCCAAGAGTCCACAATGTGTTCGTTTTGGTTTTTCCTAGGAGACTATGTGCCCTCACACGTTCTTAGTTAAGAGTATCTTATGCTAATCTGAAATAGAAAGCAAGATAGGCCAAATTTGGGGGTTCATAAAAAGTATTTACATAAAAGTTGGCAATAATTATTAATAGCATGTTTCAATATATTGAATACACTAGAGTAATATTTGGGTAAAGTTGTATCAGTGTCTATGCCTAATTCAAAAGTGGGGATCTACCTACCATCACTGGGTTGATAATTTTTAATGAAAAACTTGCAGATAAAGAAAATGCCAAAAAAAAAATGGGTGACAGAAAAATAGCCAATGGATTTTTACTTATTCTCATTGCCTCTGTTCGTTTGTTTGTTTTTATATAATGAGCTAAAGAAAGTAATTGAGAACAGAGCTGGGAGATTGAGAGAATAAAAAAATCTTAGAGATTTTACCAAGTCATAAATAAGATTATCAGTGATATTTCCTCGTATCTTATTGTCAATAAAATTCTAAATGGCACACTAATAGAAAATAAATTTGCATCTGTTTAAAAAATGACTTAAACATTATATTGTTTAAAAGAAATAAATCCATTTCAGTTATAAAAAGACCCATTTAGTGTTATTGAGAATCCTCTAATAGACCCTTCATTTAAGAGTAGAGAATCCCTCCTCAAATGTAAATTTTTCTTAGACAGAAGTTGGGAGGAGTATTTTTAAAAAGTAGAAATAGAGTCCACCATTCAGAAGACAGAAACTCTGGATAACTTAATTTTTCTGATGAAGTAACTGACATAGAATAGAAAATGATTTAAGCCTCTTAGAGTGTATTCTATTCCTAAAAAGACAAAGTAAATTTTAAAGATCTTATTGAAGCATTAATGGAATGGAGATGTCCTAGTAATTTTATAGCAAGAAGTTTTAATTATTTAAAAGACATGCTTGAAACCTTTCAACAATCCCCATTTTACTCAGAGCAAATGCCAAAGTACATCCAAAGGCCTACGGAGCCTTATACAATTTGGGCCCTGTCACTTCTAAGACTACATCTTCTAGGATTTGTCCCTTCAAGTCATGTGACTTCAAGCCCACATGGTCTTCTTGTTATTGAATATACCCAACCTGCTGCTGTGTAGGCCTTTTATTTTGTTCATTCAGACTGCCTTAAATATTTTTTCTACAACCATTCCCTTGGCTCATTCCCTATATCCTTTAAGTCTTTGCACAAATCACTGAGGCCTGCCCTGACACAATCCATCCCCTCACCTTCATAGGAGTCTGTATTTCTTTACTACATGCGCCATCTTATAACATATAATGTGCACTTCATATTCATTATGTTTTTGTGTTATACTCTGCTGTGTTAAAGCATTGTTTACTATCTGACTTATCTGATTATGTGTCAGCTCTATGAAGGCAGGGCTTTGTGCCTTTATGTTAATAATAATAATGTTATTATTTATTATTATTATTTAGAGATAAGGTGTTGCTCTGTCACCCTGGCACTCTGGCACAGTGGCATGATCGTAGCTCACTGCAGCCTCGAACTCCTGGGCTCAAGTAATCTTCCCACCCAGGCCTCCAAAGTAGGACTACAAATGTGTGCCACCACATCCAACTATTTTTAAATTTTTAAAATGTTTAATATTTATTTTTTTAAAATTTTTTGTAGAGACGAGGCCTCACTCTGTTGCCCAGGCTGTTCTTGAACTCCTGGGGTCAAGTGATCCTCTCAAAGTGTAGAGATTACAGCCATGTGCCACTGTGCCTGGCCTGCCTTTTATCATTTTTAACTGCTATATCCCAAGCACTTAAAGCAGTGCCCAGCACATAGTAGGTACTTCATAGATATTTGCTGACTGAGTAAATTATAACACAAAGTATGTATTTAAAAGAGAGTCTCACAATGATTTCAAATGAAGGTTTAGCAGTCTTCTGATTCCAATGGAGTGGTTTTGTCCTTCCTTAGGAGAACTGATAATTCTGTCCTCCTTCACACTTTGGCACACCACAAAAAAGGCAGTGAATAGAGTGATCTTCCTATGGACTTTCATGATGACCTCTACTTCTGCCTCGCCTAGTTACTGAACACCCCAAGAATGTTCACTAAAAGGCAAAGCTTAATCCACCCACTTAAGATACCTTTGAACTTGTCATTCTGACCTTATTTCAAGTCAGGTCCAGACTCCTTGATTTAACACTTCAGGCCAAGATGGAGTTTTCAATATTTTCTTTCACCAGAATTATGGCCTATTCTCTCTGTCCTGGATGAAGTAGAATCTCTATTGCCTTCTCAGTGTTTTATAAAATGCCTAAAAAACAAATAAATTAGTGGACACACAAAGAAAATCTGATCCCAGAGTACACTTTCATGTCCTGCTGACTTTCTCCTCTCTTTTCTCTTGGGAAAGCCAAGAAATCCATACATTTCTGAGACACAGCTTTTCCACTAAGCAATAAACATCAGTTGCAGGAGAGACTGAAATGAAAAACCTAATTTTTTTTATCAAAGCACACATTTATTGATGCCAAGTTAATGTATGGTAACTATTTTGCGCACATATACTTAATAATTGAATGTGTAACTGTTCCACACACAAACATTCAATGGAAGAACAAGTTGAAAAGAGCTTACAAGCAATATTAGAAATCTACCAGCTGTTTCACTGGTAAAGAGCCCCTTTATACCTTACATTTTTATTTTACAGTTCAACATTTACACATGTGTTTTCGTATAAGTTTATTATTTCAGACAAAACAAACAAGTGGGAACTTTTCTTTTTCCAAAAGTAGAGAAAGAGAGTGATAATCATCCTTGAAACAAGATCTGTTTTTAAAGTCTGTGATATGTTCCCTTTACCTTGTCGTACCCACACAGGCACTATAAACTTCATTTATGGATCCAATTCTGTCTGCTTGTATTACAAGAAAGTATGAATAGAAAATAAGGCAGCAAATGGTGGATTTTTTCTCCTTGTGGAGCTTCAGAGTGTAGTTAGTAGTAAGAATAATCTGAGTTGATAGGAATGATATGGCAGAGTATTCCTAACGTGTCCAGTTTTTCAAGCATAAATGGTCTTTTAGACATTCTATCACTTTTAAAACATTTCCTTTGACGCTGCAGCTCCATATGTAAGAATCTATTCTAAATCCATTTATGGAACACATAGACATACACACAAAAACAGACACACACACACACACACATATTCATTAGGTATTAGCTTTTCTATTAGTTTTTCTATTTAGTTCTCTGTTCCTCATGTAAAAGTCAATATAAGAGAGAGGAGTTTCTGATGCATTCTCTGAACCAAATGTAAACATACTCACTGTGCTGCTCTGGTAGGTAGGGATATTTAATATGCCTCTAGCCCTCAGAGAATAAGAAATCTCCTGAGATGCTGATATGGCTTTGCAGTGTCCCCACCCAAATCTCATCTTGAATAGTAACTCCCACAATTCTCACGTGTAGTGGAAGGAACCCGATGGGAGGGGATTGGATTATGGGGGTGGGACTTTCCTGCACTGTTCTTGTGATAGTGAATGATTCTCATGAGAACTGATGGTTTTAAAAATGGGACTTTCCCTGCACAAGCTCTCTCTTGCCTACCACCATCCATGAAAGATGTGACTTGCTCCTCCTTGCCTTCTGCCATGATTGTGAGGCTTCCTCAGCTACGGGGAACTGTAAGTCCATTAAACATCAAGTTCTTCCCAGTCTGAAGTACATCTTTATCAGCAGCATGAAAACAGACTAATACAGTAAATTGGTACCAGTAGAGTGAGGCTTTGCTGAAAAGATACCCAGAAATGTGGAAGCGACTTTGGAACTGGGTAATAGGCAGAAGTTTGAATAGTTTGGAGGGCTCAGAAGAAGACAGGAAGATGTGGGAGAGTTTGGAACTCCCTAGAGACTTTTTGAATGGCTTTGACCAAAATGCTGACAATGATATGGACAATGACATCCAGGTTAAGGTGGTCTCAGATGGAGATGAGAAAGTTGTTGGGAACTGGAGCAAAGGTGACCCTTGTTATGCTTTAACAAAGAGATTGGTGACATTTTGCCCCTGCCCTAGAGATTTGTGGATTCTTTAACTTGAGAGAGATAATTTAGGATATCTGGTAGAAGAAATTTCTAAGTAGCAAAGCATTCAAGATGTGACTTGGGTACTGTTAAAAACATTCAGTTTTATAAGGGAAGCAGAGCATAAAAGTTAAGAAAATTTGCAGCCTGACAATGCAATAGAAAAGAAAATCCCATTTTCTGAAGAAATTCAAACTGGCTGCAGAAATTTGCATAAGTAATGATGAGCTGGATGTTAATCCCCAAGACAATTGAAAAAATGTCTTCAGGGCAATTCAGAGGTCTTCATGGCAGCCCCTCCAATCACAGACCCAGAGGCCTAGGAGGAAAAAATGGTTTTGTGGGCCAGGCCCAGGGTCCCCATGCTGTGTGCAGTCTAGGAACTTGCTGCCCTGCATCCCAGCTTCTCTAGCCATGACTAAAAGGGGCCAAGGTACAGGTCAGGCAGTGGCTTCAGAAGGCGCAAGCCCCAGACCTTAGTAGCTTCCACATGGTGTTGAGCCTGCAGGTGTACAGAAGTCAAGAATCGAGGTTTGGGCACCTCAGCCTAGATTTCAGAGGATGTATGGAATGCCTAGATGTTCAGGCAGAAGTTTGCTGAAGGGGTGGGGTCCTCATAGAGAGCCTCTGCTAGGGCAGTGCAGAAGGGAAATGTGGGGTCAGTGCCCCCACACAAAATTCCCACTGGGGCACCACCTAGTGGAGCTTTGAGAAGAGGGCCACCATCCCCCAGACCCCAGAAAGGTAGATCCGCCCACATCTTGCACTGTGGGCCTGGAAAAGCAGCAGGCGCTCAATGCCAGCTCATGAAAGGAGCCTGGAGGAAGGTTGTATTCTGCAAAGCCACAGGGGTGGAGTTTCCCAAGACCATGGGAATCCACCTCTTGCATCAGCATGACCTGGATGTGAGACATGGAGTCAAAGGAGATCACTTTTGAGCTTTAAGATTTGACTGCTCTGCTGGATTTTGGACTTGCATGGGACCTGTAGTCCCTTTGTCGGGGCCAATTTCTCCCATTTAGAATCGTTGTATTTACCTAATGCCTGTACCCAAGTTGTATCATGGAAGTAACTAACTTGCTTTTGATTTTACAGGCTCATAGCTGAAAGGGACTTGCCTTATTTCAGATGATACATTGGACTGTGGACCTTTGAGTTAATGCTGAAATGAGTTAAGACCCTGGGGGACTGTTGGGAAGACATGATTAGTTTTGATATGTGAGGACATGAAATTTGGGATGGGTCAAAGTGTGGTTGATATGGTTTGGATTTGTCCCCACCCAAATCTCATCTTAAATTGTAACTCCCACAATTCCCACATGTCATGGGAGGAAACTCATAGGAGGTGATTGAATTATGGGGTGGGTCTTTCCTTGAGCTGTTTTCATGATAGTGACTTAGTTTCATGAGAGCTGATGGTTTTAAAATGGGAATTTCCTTGCACAAGCTCTCTCTTGCCTGCCGCCATCCATGTAAGATACAACTTGCTCCTCCTTGCCTTCCACCATGGTTGTGAGGCCTCCCCGACAATCTGGAACTGTAAGTCTATTAAACCTCTTTTCTTCCCAGTCTTGAGTATGTCTTTATCAGCAGCATGAACAAAGACTAATACAGATGCATATCATAGTTTGTGTTCTAGAGTATGTATCTTTTAGTGAGGAGCAATAAGATATAAATGTTAAAACATGTATAATTTACTAAAATGATAGAAATAGAAAATAGGAAGTTACTGGGTAGAAGAAAATGAAGAAAAAGAAAAATTGCTCATTCAAAAAGAAGTCAGGAAAAAAGAAAAAAAAGTAGAGTGTAGTAAATATAAATTCCAAAATAAAATGTCAATAATAACTCCTAACATAACTCCTAAAATTAATATTCTAGACCAGTCTGGACAACAAAGTGAGATCTTGACTCTAGAAAATTTTTAAAAATTAGCTAGATGTGGAGGCATCTGCCTGTAGTCCTAGCTACTCAGGAGGCTTAGGTGAGAGGATAGTGGATAGCTTGAGCCTGGGAGGTCGAGCCTGCAGTGAGCCATGATCACACCACTGCACTCCAGCCTGGGTGACAGAGCAAAACCCAGTCTAGAAAAAAAAAAATAAAACCATGTATATATATATATAAAATATATATATACATGGTTTTATATGTATATTTAAAAAATATATATGGTTTTATATGTATATATACACATATATAAAATATATGTGTATATATACATGGTTTATATATATGTGTGTGTGTGTATGTGTGTGTGTGTTTGTGTGTGTGATATACCTCTCTAATTAGGAAAAAAGACTTTAAATTCAGCTATTATGCTGAATACAAGTAATAAAACTAGTTAAGTAAACACAGAAAGTTTAAAAAATAAATTTTAAAAGATACATTTGTTAAATGTGAAGAAATTGGAGGGTAGCCAGCTGATGGAATTTGATAGCATTTAAATTAAATTATATCTATTAAAATATAATATTGATTGAAATATGGTATATAAAACAAATTTATTTCCTGTATATGTATGTGGTTTTAACATACACACACCTACCTTGTGAATGTGTGATATCTATAAAACATGAATGGGAAAGATAGGCATCAAATTATGATAGTGCTTGTCTCTGAGGAAGGAGAGTTGGGGATTGAACTGCAAAGGAGAAATACCAGGAATTTTAATTCTGATAAATTACGTTGACAAATTACTTATATCTATTAGTTTTGGCAGATTGGTAAATGGTTATATGCAAGCTATTCTGAGTAAATTTCTGTTTCCAACTTATCAAAATAAAATAAACAAAAATTCATACCCTACTTCATGATGAGGCTGATCCTCTTATGTCCCCTCACTCTCTGCAGTGCCTTAATATAACCTCAGGAACCAGTGGAAGTCAGAGTGATCTATTTACTCAATTCACTCCTGTATATCCTTCAAAATGCTTCTCTGGAATCGTTTGTTTTAGGATGAATTTCTGAGGCCCTGTATTACTTTTCACTTTTTTGTGAAACAGCCAAAAACCCAATTCAAATGCCTTAAACAAAGAAAGCAGAAGGTGGGAGAAGAATATATTGGTTCATAAAACTGAGTAACTGGAGCATCCAGGTTGAATCTAGCCTCAGGCAAATCTGCATTCAGAGTTAGAGTAAGGTTATAGGACTGTTTCTTTCTATTTCTTTGCTTTACTTTTCACTCTATTGACTTAATTTTTAAATGTCTCCACTTAACATCATAAATGTTTGAATTAACCTGATATCTTCTAAGCTTCAGTCACAAAAGAAAGAGCAAGGGAGCTGTCAGATGCACAGCAAAATTCTTACAGGAATGAACTAACTATAACTAGGGTTGGGGACAGGAAAGCCCAGCTAGCCTGCGTCAGTAAGGCCTAACTACAGGGAAAGGCTGAAGCTACTATTTTCAAGACTTTGCCTAAGCTAGTTCTTGAAGTGCTGCTTTCTTCACTCTGTTAACAGTCTCCCATGACAGTTCATGCACCATCATAAATAACTTACACATAAAACCTTGGCTCAAGGTTGGCTTTTGGATAACCATACTTGAGACAGGGTGTATTAATTTACACACAATTATAAAGCCTTGTATCTGGAGCAAGAGTGAGGTCAGTAGACCTAAACCCCATGGTGGAGTATGCATAGGGTTTTCTCTCAAGCAAAACTTGGAGTCTTGTTTTACCAGATT
Organism: Homo sapiens; assembly: GCF_000001405.40. Taxonomy (NCBI): domain Eukaryota; kingdom Metazoa; phylum Chordata; class Mammalia; order Primates; family Hominidae; genus Homo; species Homo sapiens. The sequence continues at coordinate 30,344,554 of NC_000018.10, read as the reverse complement.
TTTGTAGCTTGTAAGAATTAAAGAGAGAGGAAAGAGACAGAAAAAGTGGCTTGACAGTTAAAGACAGGTTTATTTTAGAGAATAAACATGAGAGGGGCTTCTGGCCAAGTTAGGTCAGGGGCACTCTCTCCTATGGACTAAGAGTTTTTAAGGATTTAGGGTGGGAGAATTTATCAGAGGCTTGGACTGCTTCTGTGTTTCTTTGTTGTGCTTATTTGGGAGTGAGAGTTGTATGTCTGTTCCCATACATCTTTCTACAGCTGCAGGCATACCCACCGAGTCTGCTTTTAGTTTCCCTAACTTAGTGCACCTGAATATAAGTGCACCTTCCTAATAAAGGAATGTGCTTATTAAGGCCCACTTTTACTGGGGCCCATGTATGAGGGTGAAGTGTGGAAGTTACCCAAGAGACTCCCCCGCCGGCTCCCCATGTCCAAACTGTCTGATCTGTGTTCTACTGTCTGCTCTTTCTGGCTCCTTGTTGTTAAAAGAGAAGTAATTTTCTTGAAATGCATGAGGCTAGGATAGAAGCTGGAACTTGTCCGAAAGCTGGTGTTTGTCTGAAATACTGGTGCTCCTGCTCTGTCATAGCTTTATAGTAAGCTTTGAAATTGAGTCTTGTGAATTCTCCACCTTTGCTCTGATTCATAATTGTTTTGGCTCCTTGGTTCCTTAACCTAAATACAAATTTTGTATATAGGAATATTGAAAAATTTTGTAAACTGCTATTGAATCTTCCTACTCAGCTAAACTTATGTATTAATTTTATACTTTTAGTTAAATCTAAAATCTTTACCGTAGTTTAAAAGGTTTAGCCAAGCTCTACAAATAATTTTGTATTCTCTCTCTTAAGCAAATAATTCTTTCAGCCCACAAATGTTCCAGGCTCTCTGTTTCTCCTCCAAATGGTTTTATCTGTAGTTACTTCTCCCTGAAACTTTTCTGTCATCCCTCTAACACAGTCACCTAGTTAACTACTACTAAACCTTGGGCTTCACTTCTTCAAGATGGCATCCCCTGACTTTCTCACTCCTAGATAAACCTTGTCATTATTGCCATCCAACTGTTATGAGGAAATGCAGAGTCCTTGGTTCTTAGTCATACTTGCAGAAAGAATTCAGCCAAGAGAATAATTAGTACTGTAAGCAAAAGGTTTAATAAGAAGATAATGGTACACTCCAAGAGAGGGCTGACCCCACTGGGAGCAGTAGCCGGAGCAGTAGCCATATTTATTTAAAGAGACAGTACACTCTGGAAGGTAAGGGACAGTGGGCTGCTGAAAGAATGAGCCAGAAGCAGCCCCAAGAGTTCTGCACTGGGTTTTTATGATGTTGGATTTTTTTTTTCATGAAGCTGCTGCCTGTGTCATAAGTCTCCACCTTTTTCATTTGTCTAGTTTTACCACGTCTGCCTTAAGTCCCTGCCTTTTTCCCCACCTAGTTCCCCCCTGGGCTTATTACACCCTCTCTTACATTAATAATAGGTGCTGTACAAACACTTAACAATTTTCCACTATAACAACCTGATATTTAGCTATTTTACTTCCTCTTGCTCTCAAATATATAATGATGCTGAATTGGTTGGTGTGCATGCGTGGGCCCAATGTTGGACACAAATTCTACCTAATGGCTGCATGACTCATTACCACCATGCCAGGAAGGTCCTATAGTGGTCAAATCTATATTTATTGCACCTGCGTGGCTCTTAGGAGTTTCTCCTTTGCCCTCTTTCCCTCCTTATAAGCATGTAGCTCACTACATTCTGACAGATTAACTGCAGAGTGAACAATGACTGAGCATGTTAGGAATCATTTCTCTCTGCATAGGTATTTCCTTTCCTCTCTGCTCATAACTTGCATCCATGTTTTGGGTGGTCTCTGGGATGTGAGATTTTCCAGACCTGTCTTTTCTTAGGGGCTCCTCCTCCTGTTCATGTCTAGCTCTCTGCCTACTCTAAGACAACTACCATGTTTATAACACTTATTGTAATTGTAATTATGTATATTCAATATCCATTTACTCACTAGGCTAATTTCATTGAGGCAGAGAGTAAATCTATATTGTTTATTCCTGACTCCCAGTACCTAATAGAGTGAGAAGCTAAGTTTTGCACATCTATTTTAGATGGTCTTTATGTATTTCTTGAATAGTTAAATGAATAATATGAAAACAAATAATATATATACAAATTACTGCATATGTTAAATTCTGGATCATCAAAAATATATTTCTTATTCTAAATGTAAAAGTCTGGGGTGTCAGGCTAATAGCAACCTAAATAATCACTACCATTATGGATACCAGTACAACTTTGCCAAATACTATTTATTGAGTACGTTACATATAATAGGCATTTATAATGGATACATTATAAATACAAATACTTTATGATTTTCCATTATAACGACCTGATATTTAGCTATTTTAGCTACTCTCACTCTCAAACATGGAATGATGCCCACATTTTAAAAATTTCGAGGTAATTTTCTGAATTTCACAAATGAGAGAAATCCACCTCACAAGTAAAGTAAATCATTTATGTAGCATATACAGACTAAAACATCCACAGACATGAGTTTAAGGCAGTTCCACTGTATTCAACAATTATTTATTGTTTACCTGATAGGCACTAATCGTTACATATTGTACAAATAAATAAAACATAATACTTCTTTTCCCAATTGAGGATGTGTACCAATGAATATGTCAATGATTCTAAGGTAAATCAAACAATGAAATGAAGAACAATACAGGCATAAAATGTTTTGAGGCTTTGGAGAGAGAAAGATCAGTTCCGAAGTCTTTTAGGAGGAAATGATATTCAAAGAGATCCTTAATTGGCAAAGAAAGAAAAATATCTGCAAACCATCATGTAAAACAAAGAACCAACATAATGATATAAATAAGTTTGAAGCCTTCATTATGTTACACTTTAAAAATTAAATAATATGAACTAAAGCTTCTACTGTTTTGTGCTTCAAAAAGGTAAAAACTCAAACTTCGTGTCTTTCTTTCTTTAGATTAGTAGTTACTGTATTTATAACTCTAAACATTGCCTTTGTATTTCCCAGAAAATGCAATCAAAATAAATATTTCTACTTATTTTGAAATATTGTCATATATCTCCATCTTTATATTTAATATGCCTTAAATGTTACAGTTTCACCATTGGATGGCAATATTGCTTGTTATTTTCTCTTCAGTATTCTAATAAACTTTTAGCTAGTGAAGAAATATATATGTGGTTGAAAAATTAAGATTTGCTATTCAACTTCATTTATTTATTTGTGTTATTTTACTTAGTATATCACAGTAAAAACATGCACAAAATGATGCCACCTCCACATTGTTGAAATGGTCTCAGTTAAGAACTCAATAGGTTTAACATTCTTCTTTCTACATGAAAGGAGAGGTTACCTTATATTGAGCCTGGAACTATTCTTAATTTGCTATTTTGACTAAATAAATTGTGCACCAGCCTTCTCAAAGGCAAAAATCCCCACTATTAAGGACCATATGAAAAGAGGTCCATGGTCATTGGTTGTGACTCATTAGAATCTCAATTCCCTGAAAATCACTTTTGCTCAATAAATATTGTTAAAATATTTGAATTGCTAGGGATAAATTTCAAAGAAGAAACGTTTTAATGGGTGACTTCAGTAACTGCAACTTATATTCTGATTGGTTGATCACCTCCTTTCTGTTTACTTGTCTTAGAAGTGGTCCAGCCCTAGATAACAATGCAAATGCTAAAGTATTTCCCAAAGGAAAGGGTAATTTTCATAGCAAATGATGGTAACCTTCAGTTCTTACAGAAAGGAAGACTAAGAATTGTTACAAAATTATACAATATATCAGATGTTAATAAGACCATTTTTAATCAATTCATTAAGAGTTATTGGATTATTGTAGAGAATTTTTATCTTGCCCACAGTCCATGACAAAAACATATTCCTAGTATGCATTTCCATTAATGAATTATAAATAACTGAATTTCATTGTGACTCCCAGAGATGGATTAATTACAAACTGTATAAAGATGTTTATCTATATAAAGTTTACTTTACTCAAACTAATATCAATTACTTTCTCCATTTAGTAATGTACCATGAATATTCAATATGTCTAATCTTTTTAAATAAATTGGGCAGATTTGTACAAACTATACCTTTGAAAATTAAATATTGAAACTAAGGTCATTTTCTAAGTAGATAAATCATCTAACTTGCTGACATGTTTATAATTTAGTTTTATTTATAGTAGTGTACCATAAAGTCGTGCATTTTAATAAATATAAGACTAACCTATTGTTATTTTCTATTATGCTTTCTATTATGTTTACTAAAATTAGTTTCATTATGTTAGGAATACACATCATTTTCCATGTAGGAATACTATTTCAAAACCGATCAGACGTGCATTTGGTAAATTTGGATTTGCGCATCTTTTATGACTGCATTTGATGAGTCTACCTGCAATGACTGCCATAGTAATATTAAGGGTGTGTTATATACAACTTCACCATTTTCTCTAATATCTAATAAAAAGGACTTACTATTTACTATTCACAAATGATTTTTAACCGTTTTCTCTTTTTCCCGGAGAATACTCACCGGCGGCACTTGCGGCTGCAGCATTTACCCTGAGATAACTTTGCCACACAATATCTCATTTTATTATTATTTTCACATTGCTCGAGTATATCAACTTTGGAAACAAAAGACATCATTCAATTTATAGCATTCTGTTTTTAGTAGTGGTGTTACCGTTTATAAAATATAGTGATTCTTGATGGCTGAAAATGTCAAATCCTAGAAAACAGCTTTCTTATGCATGATGTTAACATCATTCTACAACAGTTGTTGGTCGAAACTTCATTTGATGGATCTGAATTTTCCAAAATAGGTAATTCTTATGATTCAGACGATTTTGATGTTAGTTCTGTCTAGAAATAACTCCAAGAACAATTTTACTATTTTATTTTCATATTGAATATCAGTCACATTTGCTTCATCCTCAAAGAGCATGTTTACGCAAATTAAATAACCACTTGCAGCAAGCTGCACTTTTTTTTCTACATGGGAAATGGATTAAAGGATCTTAATTTGTGATAACGTTAGATATATTTCTGAAAAATGTCCATATGGAAATAAGTTGCTTAGTTATATTTACATACTTTGGAGCATCAATATCTATAGTAATTGGTGAATACTCCAAATACATATTCAAGACAAATGAGGAATCCATATTGCTTCAATGGTCCCAGAGTCAGACATTCTAGAGTATTCACGGGTTTGTCCTCAAAGAGTAAAGCATCTTATTACAAGTTGAGCCCATTTTCTAGGAGACAGTTTTCATAAAATTAGAGATAATCATTTTACATAAAAATGTTATATTTGTTGTATTTTAGAAACACAGCCTTTGCCTTTTACATAAACACATAGAATTTTAAAGATTTGCATTTATTAATACTGACAATTTAAGAGGAAACCATCCTGATTTTACCATTGGCCCCATGTTGTCACCCGTTTCTCCCTACTCAAACATATTATTTTAATTCTCTCTTATTTCCAATTATGAAATCAAATAATCAGTGTTTCTAAAATTGACTGATAATGCACTACCTCCGTATATCATCTATTTTGATAAGTAATATACTCGTTTTTAGTAAAATGATTAAAATCCTAAATATAAAAATCCGGTCATTTTCAAGTACATAGCTTTTTCAGTCTGCCAAAACTATAGGCAGACTTCTATGAAAACTGAGTCATGCAATAAAGGCTAAAGTTAAAATATTACATATTTTATAAATCTCAGATTATTCAGTACATGACAAATAACTTTCATGGGTAAATACAATGAGAACAGTGAACTTCATAAGTACAGTATTCATTTATTTAAGAAATAGTCGTTCTTTCGGATACCATTTGACAAATGGCACTGGAGTTCCTTCAACCCTTATTTTCATATCTATGACCTGAAAGTAACAATTGAAACAGTAAGCGTAGCCTGCTTTTATAAGTAGGAAGAATACTTAGAATTGTATGCAGACATCCATGCTGTCTTTTGAATTGAATCTAATTCAAGGAAATAATTATTAGATACATAGCCATGGTAAGGCAGTAAGCAGAGTTTCTATTTGCCCTCTGTGAATTGTATTGACCTGAAATGTTCTCTTGTTTTTTTTGAGTTGTTATGACCTTCCTGGCACCGTGCTGCCTGTGCCTCATTTCAATGAAAATGTACAAGTTGATTACCTAATGTCAATTATAATGAAAGAGGATTTTGAGTGTTAGCTATTTATGGCTCAGGAAACTATCTGCAAACACAATTAAACACTTCATTTAAAACTTTATATCAATTATTAAAACCAACAGAATCGCTATGGTAACAACATACCACACAGAATCAAACATTCCCAAATGACTTTGTTAGGATTCTTTGAATCATGAATAAATGAATAAAAAGAGATGACAGGGCTATTTGAAATGTTTAAACTTTGCAAAACTGAAATCTTTTTACCTGCTTGGTGATTAGATATAAATAAATCAACTTACAGCCCTGATCAAATGTCTTCATTTAGAAGGCATTCACATTTAGTTGCTAAACCTTACCATAGAAATTTCAGGGGAAAGTAATTATAGAAGCAATTTCAATTTAAAGCCACACAGGGAAATAATTAGGGGTAATAATAAGCATGGCCTCTGAACAAAGACATAGAAAATAGATTCTGTATATTATCTAAATGAAAAAGTTTAAAAAGAAAAATAGCAGTGGATATGGCTTTTAGGTTAAAATCAGGAAAACCACAGTATTAATAGAGCATCTGTTTCTAAGTACATATCACTCACACAACTATGTATCCAAGATTGTGCTTTGGTGGTGTCTAGAGATAGGTTTCAAATATGATATAGATACACATAAATAGGTTACAAATACCTTTTCATATATTGTGCTAAATATTAGCTTTGGTCTGATAGCTTCAGTCCTCTGATAATCACATTTCAAGGACTGTCTTTTGGCTCTCAGTTTAAGTTTTCAGGACTTAGGTGTTCAAAGAGGAAAGAGGAGTGGGAGTAGAAAGAGGATAAAAGAAAAGGAATAGTAGTAAAGACAGTGCAAGATAATATTACGGTTATTTGGACCAAGAGAAGCAGTATATCAGAATGCTTAAGACATCACCTTAGTAACTAGAATTTAAGATTCAGACCCTAAATTCACAGTTTACAGGAAGTATAACTTTAGTACATTATATAAGTCTTTTAATTTTTAATTTGGAAGATAATATCCAATTAAAACCAAAGTTTATGTTTAATTTGCTAGAGTAATAATAGAGAGATTATATTTACAGTATTTTAAAGAGTGTTTAGTATGTACTTGATAAATTTTTAAGGATGATGATGGTTATTATTATTTAAAATTCCTTAAAATAATCTATTCTAAACCAATCTTCCTTTCCATTCCCATTTTCCATTTCTCCCTGTCACTACTTATTATGATCCAATAATTCTGTACAACCGAGAAATTCCTGAGTCTATTTGCAATATTCTCTCTCTCTCTCTCTCTCATCTTCTTATCTATCTTTCTTAGTTTTGAAGAAATACTAGAGGAATCAAATACTAAAGGAAACTCCAAGAGAGTTAGAAATTTATAGGTCAATGTTCCCTGTTAATATCCTTAGTTAAAAGAAAAGAATGTATAGCAAAAGTAGCCCAAGTACATGGGTAGAATGGGTATAGACTGACTGCCCTGCCCACACTATCTCTGTGTCAATTTTGGAGTTTCAAAAAATATAGATCTTACAGAAATAAAACTTTCAGTATATAAATCAATACCAGGTCTGCAAATATATGCCATCATACAGATGAAGGCAGACAAAAATGGTCCTCCTTCTGAAAGGTAATATGGAAATTTATATGTATTTTTAAAACACACAGAAGTATTGAACTATGTGACGGTTCGAATGTATTAATAGAAATTAGCACATGTAGCATATATATACATATACATGCTTCATAAAGATTAGTATATAGACAAAGAATAAGAAAAGTTGATATCACTAATAGTTTTTTCAATATTTGTAATACACACAAGATCTTTTATTTTTTTCTCTTCACTCAGGTTGAAAAGAAGCACTGAACCACATATCTTGGATCCACAGATAACAGCTATTCTAGAATTTTAAAGATTGTAGAACTATTTTTAAATGACTTGAATGCTTATGTAATTTAGTATTGTTTAAACTAAATGATCATTCTGTATTTTACAGAAAATTTGAGGAAGGCAGTTTTATGTGACTTAGCTCATTTTTCAAAATGAAAATTGGTAGTTTAGTCTTATGATTTTATTTTCTGCTTTATTCCCTAATAGAGTAAGCATTCAATGAGTTATTTGGTAATGCAGCAAACCAAATATATAAATTTGCAAAAAAAACTCATATTATTATCTAACACAAGGAAATAATTACATTTTACATATGTAAATGTTGTTAACATATACACATTATTTGCATATAATCATTATTGAAATGCCTTTAAAAATAAGACTTCTTTTCAATTTTCACATTGGTGACTACCAAAGAATGAATTGGATATAAAAGAATTTGTATTTTAAATGTGTACTTGAATGTTTGAAAGCTCAGAAGAAACACATAAAATAGCTTATAAAACAGTATAGACTATAATAATGTATTCATTATATTTCTTAACTTTGCAAACAATATTTTCATATATTCATATGTTTAACACTATCAAGCATTTGTGATTCATAATGCTCTTTTTATCTACCTCAAAGTCTATTCTAGAGTTAAGAGGTTCAGAAGTGTCCTGAAAGTAACCATTTTGCTATACAAGTAAAGTATGGTATCACTCATAAATATGTTTTTTAGTCTAAATTAATAATTTATTTTTAGAGCATTGAATTTAAATCATACATTGATTAATATGGTAGGTATGTAGGTGATGAAGGGATGAATAAAATAAATTCTCTTTTACCAAAAATCCTAACTCAAAAAATTAATGTTGAAGGATTTTTTCTTTTTTTTGAGATGGAGCCTTGCTCTTGTCGCCCAGTCTGGAGTATGTTCAAGGATTTTAAGATATGCTAGGGGTAAGCGAGAAATGTTCAGGTATAACTCTCATGAACTCTGCCTTATTTACCCAAATAATACTGATCCACCATCTGTAGGATTGATACCTCATTTATTTTCCTGTCAGGGATAAAAATTTACACTGACATATTTGTAGCCACCTCCTGATGTTAGGGTAGGTAGATAGAAATGAGCCAGGCAGGGTAAGTCCCCAGGAATGTCAGGCTACTGTCAGTGAGAAGCCATTGTCAGGTGGCCTGCTAAGTGGTCACAACCATCCTCAAGGAAGGATAGCTGCCTGATCAACAGGGAACATCTGAGGTTTGGAGGTAAAAGCTCCCTGATAAAATCTTAAAAGTCAGGCAAGAACACTCAAGAATGTGCACTAAAAGAGAAAATGGCCGAGTTTGACTAGTATGTAATCTTTCTCTGGAAATGCTCAAGAGAGCGTGTGCATAAGTTCAGTAAGCACACTGGCGTGCAGCCCCTCCCGAGCGCTAGCCGGCCCCTGCACACTCAGACAGCCCATCCCAAGATAGGGATCAAAGGAAGAGAAAGGTAAAACCCGAAACCAGCCAATGTATAAAAATCCCAAGTTAAAGGCTGGATGGAGCACTTGACCTCTCTAGTCTCCTGCTTGGCCCTCTTCCAAGTGTACTCTGCTGTTTTTGTTTGTTTGTTTTTCCAATAAACCTTTACCTTTGCCTTAAATCTACTTCTGCCTGGGCTGAGTTCTTTCCTCTGACGAGGCAAGAAGCAAAGTTGCTATGGATCACTGCGACTGACTGCCAGTTCCGACCCATCACTGGTAACACTGGTGCCTCCTTACCATTAACAATTTGATCTTGGGCAGTATCTAAGAAATAAAGAAAGCCAACTACTTTACAGAGGTATCTCATTTTCCTGAAAACTTACCCAAGCAGAAAACCTATGTCTGAATTCATCTATCTGTGTTGCCTTTCTTGCTCATAACAAAACAGAAACAGTGTGGATAAGGTGATTGAAAATTCATGGTCCAGAATCTCAATTAATTCATCTATATATTTTTAGGAAATGTGTATTCTCCAAATTTTCCTGTGAATACAATGTTACGGAAAAGTGCTAATTCCAGTGTCATGACTTTTGACCTCACCTTCAAGCAAAAGATTTTGCCATCTCCTGTAGTGTTCATTCCCCAAATATCTATTGATCTTTCAGCCTGTCCTATTATTAAATCTAGTCTTACTGTGCACTACTCAGTGAGTATCCATTGGATACCTGTTACAACTGAGAATTAGGAGGGTTGAAGTGCAGAAGCTTCTTATAGGCAGTGGATGAAGTAATTTTCTTTTCTTTGTATGTGTTATATGTTCATTGGGAGATATCAGTTCTGTGATTTTGGTGTCCAGATATCTTTCAAATATTTTAAATGAAACTATTTTTTCAGTTTTTACTTATATGTTATTTGTTTCATGCAGGTTTTAACTGTATGTTCCACAGAAACTGAGCAAGAAAACAAACAAAAACAGTAAGATTATGTATGAACCAAGCTTTACCCAGCATTACTACTCTTTTCTCCTGGAATGTATTGAATTACTTTTATTGAGGTGAGATAATCATGATTAACCCTTTTTCCCCCTTGGGATAACTTTTGTCTCAGAAGGTGATTTCCCCTATTAAAAATAGTCTTATAGCAGACTTCTCCCACCTGTTTCCCAGACATTCTCTGGCATATCAGAAATTGATTTATCTGTAAATTGGTAGCCTGTTACAATTCTGTCTCCCCCAGTAAAGATTATCATTACCAAGAAAGCCAGTTCAGACATTTTCAACATTCTTTTAACCTCTCCTACCTCTTTCCATGCAATAATCCAGCCTCCCTTATAGCTCACAGAGACCACAAGCCTTCAAATGAACACTCGCACGTGACCTGCCACTCTGCCTTTACATTTTCACACAGTGTCACATATAATCTTGCCTCACAATAAAAGAGATGTCTTGCATTCTGTCAAAGATGAACACTTTAAATTTTTCTCAGGACTCCATTGATTTCTAATGCTTTGAGAGCCACAGACAAATTGCACCATTATCTTGTATCTTCGACTATCCCCTTTCTACTGGTTCATTTCAAACAGCATTTAATCGTCAAGTCCTTTCTTTAAGATAGTACATCTCCAAACAAAAACACTTATTTTCCTCTTGTCTTATTCTCTTTTTTATGTTGAATCCTCTTGAAAGAATCATCTCTACATGATGTGTCCAAATTCACATTGCTCCTTCACTTTCAAGCTATAACAATTTAGGTTTCCTCATGACATTTTCCATAGCAATTACTCTAAAGAACATCACAAACAGGTCACCTTTTTGTCAAATCCAATGGACAATTTTTAAAAGTTCCTCACCATACAAGTCTCTATAACATTTACCCATAATGCCTTTCTCTCCAAAATTACCCTTATTTGGTTTCCATGGCATCATCCAGTTTGGATTTTCTTCTTTGTGCTCCATCACCAATTGTATTATTTTTTTTTCTTCCATATAACAGGTAAATGTTTAAGTTCCTCTGATGTTCGATATAAGGTCTCTTGTTTGTTATGCATTCTGCTTTAATAATGTCAGTTATTCTCCTCATAGCAATTACTTATTAAAATAGTGATGACTCACAGATATCTCTGATTCTTTTCTTTGAAGTTCAGATTTGTTACTTTCAACTTCTTAACAAGAATTTCAATTAAAACGAAACATATCTTAAACTGGGCTTAATCCAGATACTTACTGAATACATGTAATAAATGCCATAGTCGTACTTCAAATTTGAGGCCAAATGTGGTGGCTCATGCCTGTAATTCCAACACTTTTAAGGCCAAAGTGGGAGGATGGCCAGAGGCCAGGAGTTCAAGACTAGCCTGGACAACATAGTGAGACACGGTTTCTATAAAAAATTAAATTAGCCAGGCATGGTGGCACATGCCTGTTGTCCCAGCTACTCAGGAGACTGAGGTGGTAGGATCACTTGAGCCTAGGAGTTCAAGGTTGCAGAGAGATATAATTGTGCCACTGCACTGCAGCCTGGGAAAGAGCTAGACCCTGTCTCTACAAAAAATAATAACAATAGTATATAAATAATAAACAAATTTGTGATAAGTACCTTAACTATGTTCCTCCACAGCACTCTTAATATCAGAGGCATACAACTCTGTGCAAGCCAATACTTGGAAATTCCCCTTGATTTCTTTCTCTGCCTTACATTTATCCAATTTAATTTTTAGTCTTATCACCTCTGAAGTATAAATATGTTGATATCTACTTTTTTATTTTTATATATGCTGTGGTTACCTTATTCAAGGTCACCTTCATCTTCTGACTATAATATATCTCATAACTTGACTATGTGTCATCAATCCAGTCCCAATCTAAGCTATTCTCCACAGTGAAGCTCAAATTATCTTTCTATAAGGTATGCTTTTCTGAAATTATCTAAATGCATGAACTTGTCAAGTTTGATCATGTGTTCCCTTACCTTTAAAATTCAGATACTTGTTCTATCAATTTTATTGAGTTCTTGTGAGGGTTAATTGAGATAGTTCACACAAAGCACTTAGTACCAGGCCAAGCACAGTGGCTCATGCCTGTACTCCCAGCTACTTGGGAGGCTGTGGTAGGAGGATCACTTGAGCCCTGGAGTTCCTGGCTGCAGTGAGCTGTGATCACACCACTATACTACAGCCTGGGCAACAGAACAAGACCCTGTTCTCAAATAAATAAATAAATAAATAAATAAAAGACACTTAATACCCAATTTCTGGTACATAAAAATGACTTTTAAAAGTTAGAAATTATCAATATCATCATTATCAACATGATGATCCAATTTTCCTGAAAACCTTTTAAAGACTGTTGATGCCAGAAAAAAAATAAAAAAAATTAAAATAGTTTATAATACCCTTCATAATTTGTCACTGCTATACTTTCATTCAATTCTCAGTCATGCTATTTATGCCTCCACATATTCCTGCTCATTCTTTCCTGCCTTTGGACTTTCCTTATCAGTAGAATATTTCTCCATGCACTTTTGTCTTTAGAGCAATCAGGTAGGGGCTATACTGAACATAGGGAAGGAGGTTCACATGCTATATAGCCAAAATTAACAAGGATTCATTGCAGTATTTTTTGTGGAAATGTATCCACTTTACCTAGGTTTTCACAATTTCAGCATTTATACATTCTTAATATTTTTGTATTATTTTGGTAATACTGTCTTTATAAATATTTCTCCTTTTTTATTGATTCTGTATTTTTCTACTTTCTCGCCTTTTAGCCTTTGGTCAGTCTTGCTGGAGTCTTTTTCAAACTAATCAGTCTTCTCATAGAACCAGCTATTTGGTCTATTATACTTTTTATCAATGTTTTTAAATCCATTTTGCTAATTTCTATTTTAGAGTTTTAATTACCTTATTCCTCTTTATATGCATTTTGCAATAAAAATGAACAGTGTAAAACAGTTGTTCACTGTTTTATCTCCAGTTCTTAGACTCATCCCTGGTGAATATTAGGCTCCCAACCAATATTTGTTTAACTAATGGATGAAGGTAAAAATTTACACATTAGCTTCTTTATGAAGTTTTTATTATTATTATTATTATTATTATTATTATTATTATTATTGCCCATCCAAAACTGATTTCTGTGCCCTTCTTACCTTTTCTGAATGTGGTCCATGCTACTAAAAGCACATTACAACTTGTCTAACTCCCCAACAGACATTAAGAAACTGAGAGAAGGTACTGCATCTTCTTCAACATTTTTGTCTAAGCACCTAGCCAGGTACTTAGCATTTAGTAGGAAATCTAACAAATGGTTATGGGGTGAAAGAAATGTATTTTTACAAACTTTGCAATGTAAAGTGGATCTCTTTATTCTATACCTACTAAGGTCATCAAATTTCCTGATTATCATAATAGTGTTTGCCAATCCTTCACATGCACGTGACATTCTATCTCCGAATGATAATAAAACCTGTCTTCAAATACATGTTTTTATTTGTGTCACTTTCAAAAAAATAGGAGGCTTGTCCTGTAAATAACTGTTATCCACAATTTTGTCTAATAATATCTCTAATGTAGTTATGTATCACATTGGGAGTTAATAGATCATCCTGACTTTCTAGAATATTTTTTTAAACACATGATTTTACAATAAATTTATCTCTATCAGTAGTCAATGGCTTTTAATGATTTTATGTTTATAATTATCCTCAACTTTCATGATTTATAACATCATTCATGTTACCAATCCTCCTTCAATACTTTAAGAGGCCCCTTTTTGTTGGATATGGCCCATTATAATATGCTGACTGCATAACAAAGTAAGTTTTCAGTAAATTATTTCACTTTTCTTTCTTTCTTTCTCTTTCTTTCTTTTTTTTTTCTTTATCTCACTCTATCACCGAGGCTGGACTGTGGTGGTATAAACACGGCTCACTGTAGCCTCAACCTCCTGGGCTTAAGTGATCCTCCTACCTCAGCCCCCAGAGTAGCTGGGATTACAGGTGCCTGCCACCATGCCTGGCTAATTTTTGTAATATGTATTTATTTATTTATTTATTTATTTATTTATTGTTTTCATACCGATAAGATTTCACCTTGTTGCCCAGGCTGGCCTCAAACTCCTGAGCCCAAGCGATCCATCCACCTCGGCTTACCAGAGTGCTGGGATTACAGGCGTGAGCCACTACGTCTGACTTACTTCACTTTTCTTAGTCTCAGGTTTTTTACCTTTAAATTATTAAGAAGTTAAGTAAATAAATAAATAAAATGAATACTTGCCGGATAGAATTGACATGAGGATTAATGTATAATTATTTACATTAATGTAAGCAATGAGATTACCTATACTAACTCATAATGCTAAGTGATGATAATGTAAGGAAAGTTTCTGCTGAATATCAGAAATTCCTGTTTCTCTAGTGAGGAGGAGTATTCAAAATTGTACCCAGTATAAAGTGCAAAGATATCAATATTCTAGAAGGCTAAAATAATGGGTCCTGTTTCTCCTACCTGATAGTTTTTCATTGTTCATCACTTAAGTGATCTTTTTTGTTGAAGTATAATGTTAGGCCACTATCTTGAGAAACCAATCTGGCCTGATTTCCTTGCTGTCAACTAAGAGTTCAGAGCCCCAGTTCAAAGATGTGTCATTTCATTTACACTGGACCACTTACATTCTCCTCAAGAGACCTGTAGTGATAATTTCATGAATCTTTAAAACCCCTGATACCATTATAGAATGTAATTTCTCTCATAAAATTCAGTAAAACATGAAGCTCCTGAGCGACCCCTTTGGATTCTTAATGATTTTATAAATGCATTACTGAAATAATTTAGAAGGCAAAGCGACTCATTCAACACATCAGTGTGAGTAATTCAAATAGGTGCTTTAGCAAAATTCCAAACTGCAAAGTCATAGACCTTACGACTCTATTCCACTTACTGCTAAATACATCTCCTGAACTATATCACTACCTTCACCTCATACATTTTGTAAACCTGATGATTCCACACCAACTTTCTCAGATCTTTCATTACATTGACTGCTTCCTGAATACATGTCACTATTTACAGTTCTTTACTGGAAAAATTCATTTATCAATCTTTATAGGACTTGTTTGTGTGTGTGTGTGTGCGCGCGCCTGTAAGCATTTTGATTAAATAATATTTTTTGTTTTGTTATCAATAATAGTCTTTAATTCATGGATATTTTGCTTATTTTTCTGATGAATGGAAAGTTTTTGTTACTTTTCTAAACAATATTCAATTTTGCTTTCATAGACATCATGGTAAAAACTAACATTTAAAGTTAAGGAGTACCTTGACTTTTATACATCTCTGCACACACCCCCCCCCCTTTTTTTAAGAATTGAGATGAGAGAAGCTATACAGCCTAACTTTGCTTATCTAAAAAATATGGATATCTTATGTGATGGCCAGGAGGATTAAAAAGAGTAAAATATATTAACACTTGTTACAGAAAATGTGCTCAATAAATGTTAATTTTCATCACATTTTCTTCTAATCCCATAGTTTTACTTCATGCTCTCTTATGTGATGAATGGGACGTTAGATAAGATGAGCAATGCGTTTTTACATATTTTCTATTATCTTTTTCTACATAAAATAATAAATATTTTCCTACATTCACTTCTTATGTTGAACATTTAAGATGGTATTTTCTTCCCAATTTGTTTTTATTGCTGGCAAATCTTATTTTTTAAAAAGCTATATTATTCCATACTGTCATTGTTATTTCTTTGATCATTACCATTTAATAACAGGCATGATTTCTATTTGTGGAAAATTCACTATTTGACTTTGGATACAGCTTTGTTTCTTCATAATTTTTAATGCCTTTTAGAATTATTGGGCTAATTCATTAAAGAAGGTATTTTATTTCCAGTTTCTTTGATATATGTGGAGATAAGGACATAAGAGATGTCATAAAGTTACAATAACAGGGAAGATGTAGGCTCCCATAAAGAGTCCATTTATAGTCATTCACTAGCCACAAGTAATGCTAAATATGCTATTTCAAATAACAATACGTTGAAACAAAACAATTCATAATTGATTTACAGTTAGCCACAATTTAAATTTTTATAAATTTACAAGGTCCCTGTCAATATCCAAATCTCGGAGTAAGCAAATCTTACACATGTTCCTGATGAAGATACAGTTAGCATCTTTTAAATAATCTCTTCCTACTACTCTGTCCTTTGACTTATATGTGTACTCATTCCACAGTGCATATAGAAAAGGTAGAGAGGTCTTTATGTTCCCTTCATTTCTTGTTCCTTAATTGTTTTTATTTGCATTATTATTTTTAGTTCTCTCAATACAGACATTAAATCTTTTGTTCTTTAAATAATACTCTGCTTTTCAATTTTCCATTTACTTTTCAGATTTTTCTAATATTGTGATCAGCATTCTTCCTTAAATATTTCAGTTGTTTTATTAAGCCTTCTTTTGCTTTCCTCATTATGGAAAGATAAGCATGATTTATAAGCACAGGAAGAGGTAGTCATACCATCTGTACTAGTCAGAATTCTTCAGAGAATTAAAAGCAGTGGGATATATCTCTATCATCTATCTATCTATCTATCTAAATTTACTTTAAAGCATTGGCTTGCTGGATTACAGAGGCTGAGAAATCCCAAGATCTGCAGATGGTAAGCTGGAGACCCAAGAGAGCCAATGGTGTAGTTCTAGACCAAGAACAAAGGCCTGAGAACCAGGAGAGAGAGTGGTGTAAGTTCCAGTCTGAAAGTTTGGAGGCTCAGGACCCAAGAAGAGCCAATATTTCAGCTGGAATCCAAAGGCAGGAAAATACCAGTGTTCCAACTCAAAGCAGTTAGGCAGGAGGGGTTCCTTCTTGCTCAAAGGAAGGCCAGCCTTTTTATTCTATTCAGGCCATGAACTGATTGGAGGAAGACCTCCCACTTCAGGGAAGGCAATCTTCTTTACTCAGTCTACCCACTCAAATGTTAATCTCGTCCAAAGCATTCTCACAGATATACCCAGAATAGAGTTTTACCAAATACCTGGGCACCCACATCCCAGAATACTTGACATATAAAATTAACTATCATACCATCTCTTTTTTTTCATAGTGTTGGAGAGACATTTTAAATGTTTTTCAGTTATGTGGAAAGCAAAACAAGTTATTAAGGCAATATATTGTTTTTAGGCTCTGCATAGCCAATAAGTAAAATAATGGCAGCCTTCCTGGAGATGCACTTGTTTTTTTAGAGCTTTAATAATATCTAAGCGTTTTCTCAGTGTGGCTATAGAAAGAATCAATCAAAAATCATTACAGAAGAAAATTTAATTACTTTCTAGGATTAAAATTTTAATCATGAGTATTCAATTAACTGTTAATATTAAGATTTACTCTTCAGATTTTTATGCAAATGTGTCCTAATACACAGACTGAGACTGAAGATAAAGAGGTTCATAAAAAATATTTTTTAATCATTCACTAAATCAGTGATAATTTACTTTGAGGAACATTTTGTGCTTATGACATGGAAAGTGAAAATAGTTCCACTCTTGCCTGATCTATTGGAATAAATTTTGTTAATACAGAATGTGACTATATAGGATAACTTGGGGACTACCTTTACACAAAACTGGAATTGATTCAATATTTTAGATAAAAAATAAATAAAAGCAAACACAGTAGAGTTTGATATTTTTTTTGCCACTCTTTAAAAAGTTGAAAGGATAATGTATTTTATCTAATTTAACTTTCTTAACTTTATAGATGAAAAATCTGGGGCCAAAAGAATTATATATGTGAGAGACCAGAATATGCCACCTCAAGATATGAAGGACTGTTGAGTTGAAGACAATTAAAAAGCAGCAGATACAGGAATGCTCTCTGACCTCCTCTATTTGCCTAAAAGCAAAATGTAGATTTTCAAAGACAAAAGGGATCCTGGCATTCCCTCCTCCCTGCTACTTACAGGGAAAACAGAGATTAACCACTAAAGACAACTTTAGACACATATCTTCTGGAGGTGGTACCAGAGGCACCTGCCTTAACAAGTTTCACCTAATAGTCTTTACCTGCCATTTATTTGCCTTCCCACAAGTTGCATCCTCTAGAGACTAAAAGTTCTTTTACTGTGTCTTCTCAATTCTCTAAAAATTTACTGTTCTTTCTTGAATATGCTATATAAACTGGAACTCAAAGCCACTACTTTGAGAAATACTCATTTCCTGCACGTCATTCATGTATATGTAAAATACACATGCTAATTTTTTTCTCTTCTTAATCTGTCTTTTGTTACCGGGGTTCTTTCCAACTAAGAACCAATGACTGGGGAGGCAGGGTTTTGAAGAAAAATTATTCTTCTTCTACACATGACTGTCAGTAAAATGTCAAGAAAAAGATGTTTCTGCTCGAAAACTGTACCACTACACTATTCAACATCACCTATGGAAGAAATGAGCACCAGATCACAGATCAGGTGACTGAGTTTTACTTCCAAATTCAGTCACCTGGTCTGTGATGTTGACCAAGTTAGACTTCATGCTTTTGATTCTTCTTCTTTAAAATGAGGTTGTTAAAATACGTGATCTCTGTGGTACCTTTCAACTTTAACAGAGGGGAATGGAGGTAAGAAAATATATATAAAAGAAAATACAAAGAGCTTTACGTTGGCAAATGACAGTGTTGTATGAACAACTTATTTTAAATCTCTTCCCCAGATATTTCTTAACATAAAAAGATAACGTATTAAGCATTTTATTTACCTATATGATACATGTTAATAGCAATATTTCAAGTATTCTCAATTAAAACTTTGAATCAGCAATATATTTTTGCAAATCAAATTATAAAATAAAGTTTTAAATTAAATTTAATTTCCTAAAATCTGGTATTTTTATTAGTTATATTTAGTTTTCCTCTGAAATTTGAAATGTCTGAATTTTTTGGCTAATAATTTAATGTCATATTCTGTTGGGGTTTATTAAAAAGAAAAAAAATCCTCTTAAGAACTCTAGAAAAATGTTTTCCAAAATTTGGTTATTTTACTTATACAAATATTAAGTCTGCAATTCTACCAAAAACTCAATGAATTGAAAACAAAGATTGGAATATATATTGGGAAATTAGTTCATGGCATGGTATAGTGTCAAATTATGAATGAAAACATGGATGAACAGTAAATTTTTGTGACTAAACTAGAAGTTAGCAGACATTTTTTTCAGTTAGGCACATATTTAAAATAGCGTGGAACTGCATTCTGGTTGTACGACGTGTGTAATGCAGGGAATTCTTAAAATTAAAATCTACTTTTAACCACTATTTTCTTTGCTGCTTATAAAATATTTTTATATTCTTTCATTGATATTATGTTACATAGTTATAGTGAGAAATATTGGGTCATGCAGGCTGATCCCTCATGAATAGGTTGGTGCTCTCCCCACAGGAATGAGTGGTAATGAGTTCACGTGAAACCTGGTTTTTTAAAAGTATGTAGCACCTCTCTACTCTCTCTTGCTCTCTCATGCCATGTGACATGCTGCCGCCCTGCTCCCTGACCCCCCACCTCCGTCTACCCTCCACCATGAGAATAAGCTACTGGAGGCCTCACCAGAAGCCAAGCAGATGCTGGTACCATGCCTACATGGCCTGCAAAACTATGAGCCAAATAAACCTCATTTGTTTGTAAATTGCCCAGTCTCAGGTATTCCTTTGTAGTAACACAAAACAAATTAACACACATGGTATACTTGCATACACATGCATGCACACACACAAGATTTCACCTTTTTAAAATGTGTTTGCCATAATTAATTTAGATAATTTCATTATGTTAAACTGGTAAGTCTACTTGGAAATCAAAACAAAATATGAATTTATGGTAACATTTCTAAAGAAAATCCCATCTTAATACATTACTTACTATGGTCATTTTAATAGTGTCTTTTTCAATAGAAATAGCCTGGATAATTTCAAAGATAATCCACGATCTTATTCCATGCTATCCTAAAATAGAGTCTTAGGCAAGGGTTAAGAGCTAATATCTTATTTTGAGATAAAATCCCAGCCAGCAAAAGTGAGGGAAAAGGAAAGGAAGAACAGAGGATGGAAAGTAATGCAAAGTGACGTGTTACTGGCCACTCCTTCACACGCAGCTGTATAACAGGTGCCATCACTTAATAGGGAGCCACAGGACATATCTGGACAAGCAGTTGAGAGAAAATGTCCCAGAGTAGTGCACATAAGGGAAAAAAGATAAAGTTTTATTGTTCTGTCTACTCTTTCTTACTGGTCAGAGTAAGACCAGTAAGACATTCTCAAAGAGTTAATGGCTTTTTGATTCAGAGTTGCTTTCTTGGGCCTTTTCTCCTTTGTCAGCTTCTTTAGAAATCCCATGCTGCTCCAAGTTGTTGGGATGTTTGAATATCTGGAAGTGATAAGAGATGACAGAAAGTCAAGGTATATGACTAGAGCAGCAGCCACCAAGGTTGAGTTCCTAGTCTCCTTAGGAAGTGACTGGTCACTCAAGGTGGTAGAATTAAGAGCATCACTTTGGGGAGAAGTAGCTACAGATGCAGCTAGGGCAGATCAAGTTGTTAATGGTCTGGAATTTGTGGAGGCACACATTTGTCCAAGCAATCTATAATAGCTCCTTAAATGTTTTACATGCTTTAATTGTATCATATGTACTGTTGGATACTGATTGGTATCTAACCTTTTTAGATAGCATTTTAATACATATAAGCAGTGGAGCTGTACTAACCTAAACACATCATGGATTTGGATATTTTTTTCCTTTTAAAGACGACATTATAAACTGAAAAGTGGCAAATATAAATATTCTGAATAATTGGTGGCACATTTAAAAACATCCATTGCCTTTTGCTGTGATCAGTTCTGTTACTGGTATTATTTTCCCTCTGTAACAGCAAAACCTGTAGTATGCAAAGATTTTTAAATGTTCCCAGGTCATCAGACTAACAACACCATTTAATTTATCGAATTGCCTTGGAAAATGTTGAGCTGCAGTAACTGATTGTGTAATATGCAAAAATCTTACTATATCACCAACTTCCACAACTGAGTGTTATTTATGTTTCTAAAAATATAATTTTAGTGAATTATTACATTTTTTCAAAGTTTACTCCTTTTGATTTTTTCCTCCTAAGTGTAAAATGTGTTAGTTCTTTGGTATAATTGTATTGAGGGAAGCTAATTATTTTCTATTATCATTGAATGAGTAGAGAAGATAACTCCAAAATAGACATAGAGAAACTTATTCCAAAGATTTATAGAGACAGAAATATGAATTGTTCACAGTTTGCAAGTGGAAGCACTCTCATAAATTGCCTCAGGAAAACCAAGATCAAACTGACACCAACAAGCCTGGATCACGAAGACCTCTGTATTGCTACAGAAAGAATCAATGTCATGAAACAGTTTTTACATACCTTATTGCATTAAATTAATTTTATCTGTAAATTTCCTTCATGTATGCTAGTTTCTAAGACTTTTTTCCAATTATTATCCTCAAAATGTAATATTGTAATATACTTTTTTCAAAATCATAATATGTGAAGATATCCTAAAACTTTGACCTATATTTCTGTTTTAGTAAAAAACTCAAATTACATTGCAGAAAGAATAGTGTCATATGAAAATAAGAATTAGATTCCTAGGTATTGTGATGCTTATTGAGTTAAGCAAATAAATGCATCACATATAGGAGAAGTTTCAATAAAACTTGGTATCCCTGAGAATTTATTAAAATTTTATATTGCAACATGCCTTGCAATGGTTTTTTTAGGTTTACATTTTAAATATTTGCTAATAAAATATGCACTGCATATAAAATTTTAGGTTCTTAATTTAAATTATTGAATACTATTGAATACTTTTGCAATTTATGGCCTAAAAACAAATTTTATTTAAAATGTTTAAAAATATAGCCTTTAGAAGTAGTATAATTTACTAATTTTTAAAAAGTGTATATTTTACATTATTGATAATGTTGGCTTTGCAATTCATTATTGAAATTACCAAGCTGGTAATTGAAAAATTGGTTAAATATGGACATGGATATTTGAACTCCTTCATGAGAAAAGGTTTCTTGACCAAAATCAGCAAGCTTTGATTTTTTTGTTTCTAGTCATATAAACATGTGTTAAATGCATGAATGGTTAGGAACATTTTACTTCTTCACCTCTCTTTAACAAGTATTTGCCTGTTCTAGACATTGCGTGCACATGGAGAAGTAAATACATGAATGAGATTATAGTCCTTGCCCTCAAGGGGTTTTCAGTCTTGCCCTATTATCTTTATGGCTATGTCATGGATTAGTGCGTAACTTTGACTAATCTTAAGAATTCAATGTATGGACACAGAATAAAGTAAACTAATTGCATGTGTCATTGAAATTATCATTTCAACCAATTGGTACCTTTAAGAAACTGAGCACCTAAAAGTTAAACAGTATAGATTTATGAGACATTTCTAAAATGTCAACATTCTATTGACTATTCAAATCAAAGCTGATTGCCAAGTTTTATATGGACTCTGAGAGATATCCAAGTCAACACATTGTTATAGTTAAC
This sequence comes from Homo sapiens, assembly GCF_000001405.40. Lineage (NCBI taxonomy): Eukaryota > Metazoa > Chordata > Mammalia > Primates > Hominidae > Homo > Homo sapiens. The sequence continues at coordinate 30,321,350 of NC_000018.10, read as the reverse complement.
ACTGCTTTGTAAATAGCTATTGTTTTGTTATAGTAGCCATATATAATTAGAATCAAATGAATACTTTATCTAGTTTTGTGTCTTTGTGTAAAATCTATTAACATTACATATGTATACCAAGTAAATACACACAAATATAATTTGAAGAACAATGTCTAAGATATCTACAGTGTTTTACACCTTAATTTTTCTTAAGTTTCAATTTTAGGATACTCTGTAATTTAATAATAAAAAATTCATTATTCTTGGTGTTTTTATAGAATGAAATGCTACATCATTATTGTCCCCTATATTTCATGTTGAAAGGTGATTTCCAGTGTTGGAAGTGGGGCCTGGTGGGGAATGTTTGGGTCATCGGGGAAGATCCTTCATAAATGGCTTGGTGCCCTCCCCATGGTAATGAGTTATGAGGAGATCTGTTTATAAAAAGAGTCTGGGACCTCCCCCTTCTCTTTCTCTCTCTCTCTCCCCATGTGACATGCATGCTCCCCCTTTGCCTTCCACCATGATGAAGCTTCCTGAAGTCTCATCAGAAGCAGATTCTGGTGCCATGTTTCCTGTATAGCCTGCAAAATCATGAACCTAACCCTTTTCTTAATAAATTACCCAGTTTTCAGTATTTCTTTATAGCAATGCAAAATGGACTAACACACCGTGTCAACCTAATTCAGTTTCAATAACCTGTTAAGACATCTCTGGCATTTTAAAAATTGTTTTCTCTTATAAGCACCAATTCTACCTAGAAATACTATGCATGGATTAACATAATGGCAAGGAAACTTTAAATAAGCTAATGTCTAAGATAATTATTTGTCAAAGTGATTAGATGAATTTCTACCACAAAAGCCACATATGGATAATGATCAGGGCAAGAGATTAGGCTGGATTTCTGGATAATCTGATTAAGATTCCTGGGAGCAAACATTACAAACATTTAAAAGTAAGATGGACCAGAGTTCAGGAGATAAACTATTAGGATTGAGGACAAAAGATCCTAAGGTAGAGTGAGAACTAAATCAAACGAGTTTCTGTGAATTTTACAACAAGTGAAGATGGCTTTTAAAAAGAGAACATTTTTGGGGGATCTGGAATAAAAATATTTCCAACCCATTTTTAAACCTAAAGATCTTTGTCTCTAATAGGCATGCGACAGAGTATGCTGATGTTGATTCTCATTCCATTCTGCAATCGAGTTAGTTTAATTAACAAAGTAAGTGTGTTTTTGCTTCATCCATAAATAAATGGAGTTTCTCAAATTCCTAGTTCCTGTGTGTGTGTGTTTTAACAGGTTGATACACATTTTCTTATCAGACCTAGTAGAAGTTCAGTATTTTTGATCTAGGAATTGATGAGGATCCTGATAAGATGATTCACTGCTCTGCATGGCTGGCTTTCTCTGTTGATTATCTTTGTCCTCTCCTTCACAATCTCTTTTTGCTTCGGAGCTCTGTCTGTGCCACATCATTCTCTTTTATCTTGTTATTTGCAACATTAATTTCTGACATGGTGATTTATATACATTTTATATATTAACATATACAGCAGAGGATCTCAGAGATTTTTTAAACAATTTAACAGTTTATAGGAGAATATTTTTTGTTTACTTCTTCCCAGTTCAACATTTAAAAACAGCAGGCATTATAGCATTTCTAGGTCATGACTATGAGAAAGGTTTCCATTAAGTACAATGTGTTATTTAATTTCTAATTTTTTTCCTTGCAAGATTTTCAACATGATAATTTTTAAGTTTGCCTTTTCCTCCACATGTCTATGACAAACATCTTAGATAAATTGTAGTTGTAACTATTTTACCTTTCTATTTTTACTGTCTAAAGGATGTGAAAGTTGAGGACACATAAGGAGTAAAATAAGTGAAGAAAGGAAAAAGTATAGGTTTTAAGACAGCATCTGGTTCAGAAGAGGAACTAGATTAGAAAGGAAAGTAAGGAAATTTCCTGTTTTCTCCTTTGCAAATTAATTATAACCTTGGTTACATATAGGAAATTATGCCTTCAACACCCTAATATTTTAGCTCATTTTATTAACTGAATTGTATATTGTTATTTAAAATATTAAAGTTTCATATATAAAAATGTGTAACTTCAATGTGATGAAACCCGTCTCTATTAAAAATACAAAAAATAGACAGGTGTGGTGGTGCACGCCTATAATCCCATTAGAAATCTCTATTCTTTATTAAAAATACAAAAATTAGCCAGGCATGGTGGTGCACACCATAATCAGGAGGCTGAGGCAGGAGAATTGCTTGAACCCGGGAGGTGGAGGTTGCAGTGAGTAGAGATTGCACCACTGCACTCCAGCTTGGGCAACAGAGTGAGACTCCATCTCAATAAAAAACAAACAAACAAAAAAAGTAACTTCAATAAAGCCCCGTATCTATGTGTATCTAACTCATCAAAATAACACCAAAATACCAGTTCAGCATCAAAAATGATATAAAGCAATGTACATTTTACTGAAATATCAAGGAGAGTAAATTTGTAATAGTTCTTAGAATTTAAGGAAAAATGTCTTCTGCTCCTTTCTGTTTCTTTTAATTTTTATTTTTTATTACTTTTAAAATTTTAATGACAGATTCCAGCTCTGTTACACAAGCTGGAGTGCAGTGCTGTATCATAGCTCAATGCATCCTCAAACCCCTGGGCTCAAGCAGCCCTCCTACTTAGCATCTTGTGTAGGTAGGACTACAGGAGTGCGCCTCCCCGGCAGGCCAAATTTTTTAAAAAGACTTTTTGTAGAGACAGGGTCTTGCTATGCTGCTCAGGCTGGTCTAGAACTCCTGGGCTCAAATAATCCTCTTGCCTCAGCCTCCCACAGTGCTGGGGTTACAGGTGTGAGTCACTGTGCCTGGCCCCTCATCTCCATTTCAATCCTTATCGAATCATTCACAAATCTGACCAAGAAAATTATCTTACCTCTCTCCCCAAATATTTGTGGCTTAACTCTTTGTCCCACAGATCAACTTAAATCACGCTGCTTTATACAGTTGTCCTCTTCCTCTTCCGTTTTGATTTGTGATTGCAAGCTGCACCCAACCACGTGCTGGAAGAGGAATGGTTATAGGAGTTACTAAATCTGAGTATTTCTACCCTTCATAAGAATCTTAGTCATACTGATATACTTAATAATAGTTTGCCCTTCTGTATATCCTCTCTGTGTGTATATCCTCTCTGAATTTAGAATTTCTGGTGGTTTGGGGTTCATAAAAAATATCAATGGCACAGCCTATTGAGCCTCACATAGCTGGTGACCTTTCTCTACCTTCAAAGTGTGTTATCATTTTATTTTCATAACAATTTCTAAACATGATTCTCCATCCATTTCTTCAGGCAATGGAAAAATAAATATCCAAATTTTTCCAGGATTTTTTGTTCTTTTTAACCACAGCATATTCTAAAGATTTTAAATTTCAAATAGCACAGTAAGAGCCCAGCCTACAAGATTTTAATGTCTAACATCATTGTTCACATTGTCCAGAAAGACTAGTTTCTTAAGAAACAAGGTATACATGTTAAAATTTATTTTAAATCTTCATATCACTATGGATTTTTTAGGCTTTTTTCAATAACTGAAACCAAGAGGTATATTTGGTTCTCAGAGAAATGCATCCAATCACATTTTTCACACTAGTTCCACAATTATAGTGTTGATCTCAGAGTGATTTCCGTCATTGTCTTTTAATTGTGTATTATTCTAAAACCAACATAATTGATGTTCTCTCAGTCAGCTAAAAACTAATACATTATAACAAACAACTCCAAAACTGAGTAGCACACAGCATACACATTTATATCCCACCTGCATGTCTGTGGCTGAAGAATGGCTAATCTAAGTTGGCTTCTAGTTAACTTGGTCCATAGCTGCTCCACATGTCTTTCATTCTTCTGGAATCACAGGCTACTGTGGAATCTTCTTCCTATGGTGATTGCAAAAGCCCTAGAAAGCACAGAGAATGTTCACTGTCTTGGGCGTGGTGGCTCACGCCTGTAATCCCAGCACTTTGGGAGGTCAAGGTGGGCAGATCGCCTGAGGTCACGAGTTTGAGACCGGCCTGGCCAACATGGTGAAACCCCGTCTCTACTAAAAATACAAAAATTAGCAGGGCATGGTGGCAGGGGCCTGTAATCCCAGCTACTCAGAAGGCTGAGGCAGGAGAATTGCCTGAACCTGGGAGGTGGAGGTTGCAGTGAGCCGGGATCCCGCCATTGCAGTCCAGCCTGGGACACAAGAGCGAGACTTCGTCTCAAAAAACATAAATAAATAAAAATTAAAATAAAAAAAAAGTTCACTGTCTCCTGGGGCCTTGACTTTAACAAGCACTTATGTGGCAGAACAAGTCAATGAGCTTAAACACACACACACACACAACAACAACAACAAACAAACAAGCCCTTCTATGGTGAGAGGTGGGCAAAATGAATTGTTGCTGAATAATAGTCCAAATTTTACCATGTCCAGTAAAATTACATTCCTTTAGATTTTAATTCTAACAGTGGCAATTTAGCTTCAAGACATCAAATTATAGCCTCCAAAATGTAAACTATATTCAAGTAGGAAGCTTCTGGCTACAAGTAATAGAATCTTTCATTCATATTGATTTAACAATAAAGAAATATTTAGGAAATGCAGAGGTACCACTGATGTTAAAGCTGGTTATTGAGCACCCAGGAGAGTGCTCCACATCCCTGATTCTTTTCAATTACTTGTCTGTTATTTACTGTGCTCTCTTCATCCCCAGATTTGTAGCCATATGAGTACCTTTATTTCAGAATTCACAAGACTTGACAATAAAGAGGAAGAGGAAAGAACCACAACTTTTTACATTGGTCTCTATTAGCAGCTATAAAACTTTCTCCGTGAAAATCCAGTACATTTTCATTGATACCTTTTAGGCTGAGAATGGGTTACGTATCCATTTCTAAGTCATTCACTTGGGAATGAGCTTATCTTTAAATCAATTGGTTCCATCTATGGAGCTGGCAGAGCTGGCAGTAAAGTTAATTTCCTCAGATGCACCCAATTTTGCTGGGGGTGGTTGGGTGGGGAGCAGATGAGTGGGACACTAACTAGATCCATAGCAGAATTTTGTAAGAAAGAAAGGAAAATAGGTATGGAGCATCAGCCAACAGTATGCCCCAGACTTCTAAAATGTTCAGTGTTCATTTTTCTTCTAGTCTTATCTAAAGCCAGGATTGTATTTTTAAAACATGATTTAAATAGCCAACTAATTATTAACCTTCCTTAGAACTCCCGTCAAATCCCAAAGAAGAGTAGTATTCACGTACATTCTAAAAGCCTTTTTTAGAACATTCTTCATCAATCTTTCTTACTGAAAATATTAACAACATGGTTGACCCAAGAAATCTCACTCCATGCCAAACTCACTAAAATGCTCTCCTAGATCACCCTTCCCCATCATCTTTTTCCTCCTTACATGTCCTCTCATCATATATATATATATATAATATGTATATAAAACCTATAGATAATTATCGGACTGACATCAATTTTTCCGTCTCTAATAATCCAGATTTTACTCAATAAACAAAACTTAAAACCTGATCCAGGATCTTTTTATGTAATCCTGGCTGGAGTGTAGCAGCATGATCGTAGCTCATTGCAGCCTCAAAGTCCTGGAATCAATGGATCCTCCCTTCTTGGCCTACCAAGTAGCTGGTACTACAGGCAGTCACCACCATGCCGGGCTAATATTTCTTTATTATTTTTTAAAAAAACAGAGTCTCACTATGCTGCCCAAGCTGCTTTCAAATGCGTGGCCTCAACCTATCCTCCCACCTTGGCCTTGCAAAGTGCTGGGATTACAGATGTGAGCCACTGTGCGTGGCCAGTAGGTGTTAAATTTCTATGTAATTCTGGAAGAGTGGCTGTGGCCAAGAAATAACAACTGTTAAAGGATTTTAAAGTATGGTTTTTGTCTAAAGTTTTTATTATATTTTCATGATTACCGAAAGAATGGGTTTTCTGAAAAAATAGAAAAATAAGTTTTTTATACCCATAATCTAACTGCCCAAAGAAAATCATAATAGAAAAATGTGTATATATACATCATAGACATACATACATGCATTTGTGTATATATATAAAACTATATATATCTGCAGTTTTTACAATTATAAATAAAGAAATAGCTACAAGTGTAATTTATACACACATTTTCAAAATATGCATTATAAATTAACATAATAGTATATACAATATATTGTCAACTGCTTTTGTCATTAAGCAATTATAAATATTTTTCAATGCTATTAAATTTTTCTAAAACTTTATTTAGGCTGGTAATTTATTATTACAATGACAATTTAGACATCCATTATACTTTATAAAACCTACAGCTTGGCCGGGCGCGGAGGCTCACGCCTGTAATCCCAGCACTTTGGGAGGCCGAGGCGGGTGGATCATGAGGTCGGGAGATCCAGACCATCCTGGCTAACACGGTGAAACCCTGTCTCTACTAAAAATGCAAAACATTAGCCGGGCGTGGTGGCGGGCGCCTGTAGTCCCAGCTACTCGGGAGGCTGAGGTAGGAGAATAGCGTGAACGCGGGAGGCAGAGCTTGTAGTGAGCCGAGATCGCGCCACTGCACTCCAGCCTGGGTGACAGAGCGAGACTCCGTCTCAAAAAAAAAAAAAAAAAAAAAAAAAAACCAAACAAAAAAAACCTAAAGCTTAACCTATAACCTACAGCCTACCCTATAAAACCTATAACCAAATCCTGCTATTGGATGCACGCACAAACGTACTAGAGTGAAATAATTACTTGAATATGAATAAAGCATTATTTGTTTAAGAGAATTTCTTAAATGTTAATTGCTGGAAGGACATTTTAAAAATTCACACAATGTGTCACAAATGACCCTCAAAGACTATCAAGTCTTTTACCATTTTGGGGTAGCAGTGTGCAACTGTCACTACCCTTTGACAAGGATATATGTGGTCATCTTTTAAAAAACCATATATTCTGGCCAAAGAGAAATAAATTATATTGATGAAGTTTTCATTTTTTCTACTATTTTTTCTAAAGTGTTTTTATTCCATAAATTGCCTGTTTGTGTTATTTGTGTACATAAATTTTTGATTGCCTGTTACAGGTTATATATATATATATAAAACTGACATACTGTCATCCATTTATAATATTTCTACTTCAATTTTGTCATTGGTGTTTCTAAAATGTTTAAGTTGTCATACTTACTAATCTCTTTCTTTATAGTTAGTTCCTTTGAAATATCTCTCATTAAAAGAGATCTCTCAAAGCCAACACAGACGGTGACTACTGGTATCATCTTCTAATTCTTTTATTATTTATTCTTAAAATATTATTTAACTCATCTAGAAGTTAGTAGTGTATGTGTACATGTGTATTTAAATAGCTATAAGGACTTGATTTTGATTCAAATGTTTGACTCATTTTCCTAGCACCATCTTTCTCATTGATTAAAGGGTCTGAATATCTGGCTTTCTTTTGATAGGTCTGCCTATTCTTTTGTAAGTAAGTATCAATTCATTTCTTTGAAACTTTACATTTTATAGTAACACCTGATAATGCAGTAACTCCTAATTTTCTTATTGTTCAAAATGTACTTACATTTCAACTGTTTTTTGGCCAAGATTTAAATTATATTTGATGTGAATTAAATGTATCAAATATTTGGGGGAAGTTAGTCACAATATACATTCATAAAACTATTCTTTTAAATGTCTTACTGACTCACTTCTGAATTAAGCAAAAACCAATTTTTTTGAAAAAAGAAAGAACAAAAAAGAAAACAATACCCATGAAGGGGAAAATAACCTTTACTTCTCATACTATGCATTTTCCCTAGATCATTTTATCCAACTTCATGCTTATGATTGCAATTTATATGCTAAGCTTCTGAAATGAATATTTCAAATTCAGACTCCTCATGTTAGCTTATTAAATAAACACTTACTATGTTCGATCTCCAAATATCGTACAAAGTGCTTTATATACTTGATGTGGGTTATCTCATTGAGGTTAGAGACCAACTCCTTAAGGGTTTTACAGCCAGTATTCATATTTTACAGATGAGGAAACTACAGACAAAAGTGATTAAAGAATCTGCCCTAGGTCACACACTGCAAAGGGAGTTAAGAATTAAACTCGGCCGGATGCGGTGGCTCAGCCTGTAATCCCAGCACTTTGGGAGGCTGAGGTGGGTGGATCACATAAGGTCAGGAGTTCCAGTCTAGCCTGACCAATATGGTGAAACCCTGTCTCTACTAAAAATATGAAAATTAGCCGGGTGTGGTGGTGGGCGCCTGTAGTCCCAGATACTCGAGAGGCTGTGGCAGGAGAATGGCGTGAACCTCTCAGTGAGCCTAGATCGCGCCACTGCGCTCCAGCTTGGGCAATACAGCGAGACTCCGTCTCAAATAAATAAATAAAAATAAAAAAGAGAATTGCTTGAACCCAGGAGGTGGAGGTTGCAGTGAGCTGAGACTGAGCCACTGCACTCCAGCCTGGGTGACAGAGTGAGATTCCATCTCCTAAAAAAAAAAAAAAAAGAATTAAACTCTACTCATATCTTTTTTGTTTGTTTGTTTGCTTCTACTATTATATCTATGTTCCTAATAATTAAACTACTACATTTCCAAATGTTTGTAGCTATATCATAGTCTTATGTTGGCACATCAAACACAGCATGCAAAAAGTGTATTGGTAATCTTTGCCCTTAATAAATTTTTCCCTATAATTTTTCTTATTTTTGATTTGGTGTTACTGTGACATCCCAAGTCACCTAAGATAAAGGTATGCACGTAATTCTTGCCACTTGCTATTCCTTCCCTCCTTATATTGATTCAGTCACAAATCTTGTCAATAGTAAAAATTGTTCCTTTTTTTCTCAAACTAAACCTCATTTATTTTATGTACTATTATTATTATTATTATTCATTCAGGTGTTCAAGTGTTCCTCATCATAGGGGTCCTTCTGAAATAAGCAAATTATCCTACTGGAATTTCTTGTATTTATTTTGGAAGCTTTAAAATTGGTTGAATTAGTTGCTTCCATTTTTTTTGATCCTCTTGTAACTAGATTCAGAACTGTGCCTATGGAAAAATCCAATGTGTTTTTACTTAGATGGAAATGAGATATTATTAAAACAAAATACTATTTTTAAAACGTATTTTTTATTGACAACCATATATATTAAACATGATACTTTTTTTTGCCTCAGTGTTTCTGTAAATACTAATTAGCAGTACTTTCTTATATCAAATTCAGAACATTTCAGCTTAGAAGTGATAAAATATAGGGACAATGAGTAAGATAACTGTATTGTTTGGGGAGCTGAACTACAAAATTTTAGTTTTGGCTTCAGTACTCTAAAAAAGCTTTCTGAAAAGTAGAGTAATAAGCATTTTCAATCACTAATTCAGGTGGGTTTCACCTAAATCTACAGGTGTATCATTGCTCCTGCTATTGAGAAAATGCAGAAGCTTATAATTTTAAATAAGTATAAAATTATATCTAGAAGCTACCCAGGCAGCTTAACACTACAATACTTAGGATGATTATATTTATCTTTAGGAATAATAAAAGTTTAAAACCGAACTGCCAAGTGGCATTTTTGGTAAATATTAGTATTTCAAGATAAAACATATAATTTTGTAGGTAGCACAATTTTATTTAGCATATAAGGGAAAATAAAAGAAAAAGAAAAGAAGAAAACAAACATATAATACTGGAGAGAACCAATTGCTGAGATATATTCAAGGCTGATTTTTTTCCATATATAAGAGTTGGTAGAATTAAAACTTAGCATACTAGTTTTGAATAGGATACATCCTAAGAAAATGACAAGAAGTGACAAGAAGTAATGACAAGATTTTAACATGTTACCTTCTTTCTCTTGTACCAGAATAACTTAATGGTTTAGCATAATTTCAAGTAGGCAGTGTGCTGTTTTAGGAGCAGCTTGTTTTAAAATTTAAGAGGTACAAATCCCAATCCTGAAGCTATATTATCCCTGAACTTCTAGAATATATTCTAGAAGAGTAAATTTTAATCAAGTTATCTTGAGGCCTTTAGAAAATGCTGGACAACTTAAATTCACTTAAATTTAAACTACTAATGGGTATATGTTCTTTTTTATATAAATTGTTCTGTTAATCATTATTTTAGTTTTTTGTTTGTTTGTTTTTACTGGCCCCTTCTGTTTTCTCTTCTTGTGTGGTTACTCTGTGGAGAAATCTATAATATCCTTTCGCATGCACATACGGAAGAATTTTTCACAGGAATGAAATAACTTCTGGAGTGTTCACATTACTTTTATTTTCCCCTATGTGTACTGGTTAAAAGGATCTTAGTAATATATTTTTTAAAACCAACTTTGAATATCTGAAGACTATATTATATAATTAAAATAATTGCTTTTCTTGAGAATAATAAATACATGCATTGATTATATATACAGTTAAATAAACAAATACATTATATTTTATGATGTTGAAACATATTTTTCTCATAGAAAATACAGAAGATAAAAAATATAGCCTTGAGGAATTCTAAACCTGGCATGTGTAGGTGTCTGTGAAAATTCCACAGGATACATTTCTATAATATTGATATGTACAGAATTAATCTAGTGGGTAGATGGTTTTTTATGTAAGGGGTTGAGAGAAATCTGTTGAATGAGAAAAAAAATGCCAATATGTTCAAGCTTTCCACTTTAGTAAATGTGATTCATAGTATAAGTTGATCCAAGAAGTTGTGGTAAATCCTCATTTTCTTTGGTTAAATGTCATTACGTAGGTTTGGAAAACTCCTAAAACTTTAAGTCTTTCAGACATGAGAATATTATATAGAAATGTATAAACATGTTAATATTCATTCTGTGGTTCACAATTATGTCTTTTTTGAAATAACATTAGATGTTTCCTGCTGATTTCAAATGGAGATACAAATCATTAGATATATAACAGAAAAGGGTGCTCAATAGCATTTTAAAGACAAATTGCCTGGGTTCAATTATTGGCTCTGCTTCTTATTTTATTAAAACTTATGTGACCTACCTCTCTGTGTTTTCATTTTCTGAGAAGTGAGGAAATAGTGGGATAAATATACTTAAGCACTTACCTGGCACATGATATGGGCAAAAGAAATATTATTTTATAGACAAGAGCTTAGTTAGTGGTTGGTGAATTTAACAGATGTTTGGTAGGCTTTGATAGAGAACTGGTTGATTTTAAAAATACTTCTAGTGATTTAGAATTTACAAACATATCTTTATTTGTATTTACTTACCTAATTGTAAGGAAAAGTCTAATTGAGTTAGCAGCTTGTTAATGAAAGAAAATGATCTGGAATTAAGGAAAATCAGGCCAGGACTGTATGTGGAATTTATATACTTCATGTGGTCACATATAGGATACTTCCTCCTCTAATAATTCTGGGTTTCTCACACAAGAAGAGGGCAAAATCAGTAATAAATGGAGAAGAAAAAGTTAAGGGTCATAAACAAAAACTTGTAATCAGTTTTCACTTTTAGGAGGAAAAATGGCCTCTTGAGAGGGTTGATTGATCTTTTACCAAAGAATCTTAATCGACGTAAAGAAGGATACATTTTCATTTACACTTTTAATATCTCAGCCACAACAACTCTCAAAAGTAGGTACTAAATTTAACAGCATTCCATTTTGCAGAGGAGGACAATAGGCCTCAAGAGATCTCAAGCAATATTCAAGGTCACTATTATCACTTAGTAAATTAGATTGAGCCAGAGGAAATTTATGAATTACTATTGGAGAAAATAATAAAAAGTACCAGCAACCTCAGTTTCAGGAACTTGGAATTATATACATGCATGATGTAATAGTCTACAAGACCTTGTGTTTCATTTTCTTGAATGGATATAATGTGCCTATCTTGTCACATTAAGATGTTAAATCTTCTCTAACAATAATCTTGGAATTGCTAATTTAAAAATTTCAAGTTTTACAAATCATTCAATGTTTAACATATTCAAAGTTTCAAATAAACACACTAGTTATTCTAACTGAATGGGAATCATTTATTAAAACTGCCATATTTCTACCTTTGAAAGTAATACTTTTTCAAATATAATTTTTCAGATATAATTTAGAATGACAGAACAAAGAACTATTTTGAATTCATGTTTTTAAAAAGAAAAGTTCAATTTAGAACTAGTAGGCTCTTGTTCCAAATTTAGAACCCCACAATTTTCTACTGTGTTCGAAAATTATTTAACTGCTGTTAATAATGTATTATTCACTCTAACATCAGGTCTAAAAAATTGCAACCATTTGGAATGTTATCTCCATTCTATCTTAAAACAGCTTTTTGAAGCCATGCCATCTACACTATTTTTCTGTAGTTGTTAACATCAATTTAGCCTGCAAAATGCCAAAACATGATTTGTTATGCTGTGCCATCTCTCAGCTCTTGTCAAAGTTTACGTGTGTAGATCCATCTACATGACAATCACTAAACTTTTATACCTTTCAGCAGGACAGGACAGGTCTAACAATTAAATCTACATTTTGAATGTCTGAACAAGCCAGAGTTTCTCTAAACATCAGAGGGGAGGAGAGAAAAAAAAGTGACCTCTGCTTTTGCCTCTAAGAGATTTACATAATTATTTTATGAAGATATGTAATGGTTTGTTTAACAAAGTGCATTGACAGGCAACATGGGTATAAAATGTGTACAACTGGGATATAGTTTATATGTAAACAAGCAGGTACCTATATTTTCATAGATAAGAAAGTAACTGAATATTGGGAGTAAGGGACCTATGAGCGTGGAGAAGGGACCTTGTTGGCAGTTTCAGAAAATACCTACACTCTGTAGTACAATGGATTGCTTTAAGAAGCTGATTCAGAACTGACTTCTTAGATTTAAACCTGGCTCTATCATTTCCTCACTCTATCTTAGACATTTAACAAACAGGGATATAGACAGATAGATAGATGATAAATAGATAGATAGTTAGATGATATATAGATAGATCTTTACAAAGGGCAAAATTTACAGATTCCTTACTTTATTCCAAAATATAACTATTTCCCGATATTTTTGAGACTTTTAATGCTTGGTCATTTCGAGAATATTTAGGTCTTTCTATTAAATTATCTTTTGTTATATTCACTATTTTAACATAGCAAGTCCTATCAACATTTATTACATGTACATCAAATTTTTACACATTTATTATTCTTGCTTTGATATTACTGTAAACATAAAAATAATATAGAACCATTACAATCTACATAACTTGTACTCATATTTTCCATTCAGTCATTATTTTGCTAGTTGGATATTTTTGCCTTACCCACTCTACCCACCTCTTCCTTTTTCTCCAGGGTTTTTGCTTTTGTTGTTCATGTTCTTGCTAGTTCTCTTTTTAATAAAGAGAGTCACACTGTTGATAGAATAAAAATAATAAGGACCTGGCCTGGCGCGGTGGCTCACGCCTGTAATCCTAGTACTGTGGGAGGCCAAAGTGGGCGGATCACTTGAGGTCAGGAGTTTGAAACCAGCCTGGTCAACCTGGTGAAACCCCGTCTCTAATACAAATATTTAAAAAAAAAATAGCAGGGCATGGTGGCGAGTGCCTCTAATCCCGGCTACTCTGGATTCTGAAGCAGGAGAATCGCTTTAACCCGGGAGGTGAAGGTTACGGTTAGCAGAGATCACACCACTGCACTCCAGCCTGGGCCACAAAGTGAGACTGTCTCCAAAAAAAAAAGAGAGAGAGAGAGAGAGAGAGGAAATAAGCAGTGCCAACAAGTTTAGAAAAGAAGAAATAAATTTTTTTAAAAAAGGAAAAAAATAAGGACCTGCAATCATAGATATCTGGATGCAAGCCAACTCCCTCTTTTAGAGAAGTCAATTATTTAAAGACTAGTTTCATATTCTTATATGTTACAATGAATAATAATAATAGCTAACTTGCAAAACTGAGGGAAATATTTAGAAGTCTCTATGCAATCGTATGAAAAGAGTACATAGATTCTTCATACATTGCATTTTCTAAACAAAATTTTAAAAAGATATCATGTGTACATACAGGTCAAAAGTATTTGAGCTAAGAATGCCAAAGTCCTTACTTCCCTTGTTTACTTAAGCTATAGCTTAGACACTTGGTATTTATCGATATTTTAAAGTAATCGACCAGGATTTTACATATCATATTCCTTAAAATAAAGATGTATGGTTTGTTTTAAGCTCTTAAAGATTTGTAAATGTTCTATTTCCAAAGTGGAGATTTATATACAAAGATATCTTTACTTTGTTAAATTAAGATTTTACTTATATCTTCTGCTCGACTATTTGTTTTCATCTTTTCAATAAAAAAGGAGGGTCTGAATTGGGAAGGAAAAATCATTGATTGTCTACAAAATGTCAATGACATTCCTAGTTGAGTCTTAAAACAACTTACTGTTTTAGCATCACATTTTGGTTTATGACATTTTCAACTATTTGGACTTGTGTTCTTATATTTCATAATCCTAGAAGTGAATTAATGCAAACGTTCTCACTTGTAATGCCTGGCTTAAATGGACTCTATTCATGTTGAAAGTCTTTTTCAGTATTCAACAGCTAGCTATATTTATTACTTTACCTTCAAGTTACTCTGTAATTCATGGTAGGCAAGCTTACAGTGCATACTAAACACTTACATTCATTCTATGCAAATATTTTATTCTGATTTTGCACCAGATTTCCAAAAATGCATCTACACATACATACAAATAATTTAGTAGTAAATTTTTCACAAAGTATATACATAAAATCATGTTAATTTATAAAACTCTCAATAATAATATAATATGTCCTAATGTGAATTTTATCAAAAAATGCTATCTTCAACATATTTGTAAGAAAGTATTAGCATTTTTGTGTTTTTCTTGTGCTTTTGTTTTTGAGGTATTAGAGAGAAAATTGCAGAAAAGGCCCTCAAACAAAACTGTTTTTCATTCACACTTTCTGGTTTCAGAGGAAGATTATATTAATATGCCAAGGGAAAAGATTAAGTGTGCAGTCTTGATTGACAAATATGCTTACCGGTCATCTAACATTGCAGAAAACATCCAACAGATTAAATAACATACATCTTCTTTACATTCACATAAGTGGGATATTTTAAAACCTGGTAGAACGACTAATTTTAGGGGTAAAAGTTTGGGGACTAGCTACATGCTACAGCTTTCAAATATTCTAGGAATGTGAGAAACACCTGATGAGATCGTATTGTTATTCCACTCCTGAAATACGCTGGGAAATATACTTTACACACATCCTGTCAGAGAGGATGGCAGAGATGAAAATCCAGATATAATAAACTTTCTCCCAAATTAATATGTGTCTAAATTAGGATGGACATGTTCAATCTTGACTTTAATCAAGTATACAAAGAAATGCAAAATTTGGTAAGACAACAATACCTAGTTCATCAAAACGTCTAGCAGTCACCCCACCATAATGCATTTAGGCCTTTCCACTCTTTCTTTTCTTTTACTTCTCCTTTCCTTGTTCGGTCCATTTTTTTTTTTGTTGTTGTTGTTCTGTTTCCTAGGCTTGAAGATGTTGACATATTTTTCTATCCATGAAGGGTGAACAAAACAGAGTAAGATGGGAGAGATGGAGTGGGTGAGAGAGAGAGAGAGAGAATCTTAATTTTCTTTGTTTCCTAGAAAAAGAGGCAAAAGAGAAGACCAGCAGCTAGTTCTATAGTCTGTAAGCCTGCTTGTCCACTGTCACCTAAGAAATGTAAATGCTGTCCATGCAGGTGTCCATATTTATGGCTTCTTCTCTCATATTTACTGCCATGAAGTCACTGTCAATACAAGAAGAGTCATCTGTCAATCAGAGTCCTCACATCTGTGAAGCTGTTGACGATCGCCGTGGAAAAGTAAAAACCTTCTCACTCCTAGGAACTAGCTTCCCAGAGCATATTGTGAAATTATGAAGAGAATCCCTACTGAAGACTTGGACATGTGAAAAAACCCATCCACTAAAAATGTTTTCATTCACTCAATTGTATTGCGAGATTCAGGGAGAATGAAGAAACTACTCAAACTGGAATAGAAATAAGAATTTCAAAAATTCTATACTGAAATATGTTGTGGAAGGGGACACTGACCTTTTCTGGTTTCAGTGGAACTCTGGCGGGATTTAACCCACTCCTCATATTCAGCTCTCTGTTTTATGTGACTTGATTACTTTTTTACTGTATTTTAATTATCTGAGTTAATAGGTTTGCTTTTTTGAATCAGGAGGGGGAAAATTCCATATGGCTCTGGGTTTAGGAAAGAAAAACTTAACATATAAGAACTAGACACAAGAAGTCAAGAATCTTGTCAACTTGATGACTAAAGAAAAAATATCGAAGCTCTTATTTTGGAAAAATAACACTACCAAATTAAAATATACATAAATAGGTACGCATTGTCTTCTCAATTATATTCTAGTTTCTTAAAGGAAAAGAGCTCCATCAGTTCCAGAAACTAACATACATAGGGCCATTTCATTGTGTGTTTTTCAACAGATAAACAAGTAATTTTTAATTTATACTCTATAAAATTCAATAAAGCCAAAAAGCATCTTAACAGTTAATGAGATTCAATGTAATTTTTGAATCATAAACAGAAAATTAACACCAACTTTCATCTGGGCTATAATGGACACTTCTCATGAAACCATTTAGGTAATTTCTGATTATTTCAACTGTCTTTGTTTCAGTTACTGGGTCACCATTTATGTGTGGGCTCTGCAAGATATAATGGGTTCATGAAGGTATAATAGAACAGCACTTCATCTTATGCTCAGACCATGAGCTCTTGCCTTCCGGGGCATTGGCTCTGGATGCAAATGTTCTTCCAGGTCCTCAGTCACCCTAGTATGCAGAGAGGGGTGAGTAGAGGACTGCCCAATCCATACTGTCAATGAGTCAGCCTAGGAAATTAGGTGGTTTACTATTAGGAAACACATTCTTCCTGTATTCCTTAGCCATGTCCTCCAACCATGCCTTTCTCAGTAATGGAGTGATATTTTGGGCATTATCTTTGCTTTAGGGAGGTGTGACAAAAATCTGTTTAGTGATATGGGTATTAATTATCTATGACTAATAATAAAAATTGTGATTACATGAATGATAGACATGTTGTAAATAAATTCTATTTATGATATAAAATACTTTAACTATTATAATATCAATTTTACAGGAAAAAGAGCTTAAAAAGAATAAATTGATTTCCTAAACTTCCAATGCCTGCAAAAAATATCAAGATTCAAAATTGCTATTGTTCTACATAGAATTGTACATAACATTACCTTTTGTTGATAAAGGCATTTCTCTAGAGAACCAAGTGCTTGTGGTCCAGATACATTGCTTTTGCTAATATTATCGTATGTAAGTATAGATAATGTAGATTCATCAGTAGTTGACACACCCATTAAATTGTCTCACTCAAACTTAAGATGTCCCAAATGACACTTTGAAAATTGCTAAATTTTAGACACTTGATGGTCTGGCAGGTTGGTAACCATATGATATACATCTCAGTTTTTAAATAAATTTATCCAATGGACCCATTTTAAATTGTTATTTAAAATTTTAGAGAATAGTTACAAAACTCAATTATCTTTATAAAATATAATTGATGCAAAGTTGCTATTTTTTCCAGCAATAATTAGCCAGTATAAGTGTTTCCAGATAGAACAAGAGCCAAACATTATTGTTTGTATTATTGAGGTCATGCATCCAAATCCCTAATGAGTTCTACCATTAAATATCAATTCAGATACATAGATGTGAAAATGCAATATAAGGCAATCTCCAAAGTGTATTATTTTATAATGGTATTAACAAGAAATACAACTCTGTTAGTTATAGTTTAGAAAACATTTTCCCAAACTTACAGTCCTTCAATTATTTTTATGGCTCGTTTGAGAGCTATCTGACTTTTAGCTAAAGTTTTATAATACAAAATTTAAAAGTCTTTAATGGTCTTAATTGCACATTACAAGTCTGTATTTTGTGTTTTGTTTAATGGCTTATCACAATCCATTGAGTTAAAGACCAATGTAAACTTTTATATTATACTTCCCATTTTTGTGATAATTTAAAATAGTATATGTTAGCAATTATTTTGCAGCAATAAATATTTTGGGGTATCCTACATGTGCCAACTCCTTTGCTAAGTGTTAAAATAATGTGACTGACAAAGGGCTTGCCTTTCAAAACTTATAGTCTAGTAGTAGATGCAAATAAATAATGAAGAAATTTCAGGCCAGAAGGAATCACTCACACCTGTGTTTCCGGACTTTGGAAAGCCACGGTAGGAAGACTGCTTGAGGCCAAGAGTTTGAGAAAAAAAAAAAAAAAAAATTAGCCAGGTGTGGTGGTGCATGCCTGCAGTCACAGCTATTTGGGGAGGTTGCGGTGGGTAAATTGCTTGAGCTGAGGAGTTTGAGGCAACAGTAAGCTATGATTGTTCCACTGCTTTCCAGCCTGAATAACAGAGTGGGATCTTGTCTCTAAAACAATTTTTCAAAACTACAAAACTACAATGCATACAATGCATTTCCATAAATTACATGATGAAGAACTTTTAATATGGAAGTACTCAGACAGGCACCTATCTAGGACCTGCTGGGGGGTTATGTTGGCAACTTTCTGATGAAATGCTATTGAAGTTGAAACTATATGCATATCCTTAGGACTGCTCATAAGTTTTCTGTGTTTTCTTTTTGGATACTTTTCACAAATAATCTAATTATCTTCCTTCTTTGTATTTGGTAGTATTGTACTTCCTCACTCCAATCCTTACTCTCCCTTGAGTTTAGAAATAGCTGTATGTCTTGCTTGAGTCATTGAAAGTGAGTGACAGTGATGTCTTAAATAGTTTGTATATAAATCACCTAAATAAATTGTTGTTGCTATAGGACTTTAAGATTTATTGCAACATATTTTAGTTCTGACTGACACAGATAAGAATGATGACCAACAGTTAGAAAGGGAGGGGTTAAAGTAGAGAATAGTATTGATATGAGAGAACAGATTATGCAAAATCCTACAGGTAAATAGAATGATGACACCAGTTAAACAAGGATTAAGTGGAAATTGGAATTCAGTAATATTTGAAGGAAATCTATGGTGTGTGTGTGTGTGTACACACATTGTGTTTCTGTGTGCAAAAAGAGCTTGTGAGAAATGAAGTTGGAGAGGTAAGACAAAGCATGATCATGCATGTTAAGGAATTTATTCTATGAGCGAGTAAAATTTTTTGAAAGGATTTAAGTTTGCTACTCAGGCAAGTAGATTAGTGTTTTTGAAGTATCAGGCTTATTAGAGTGTGGTAGATGGCTTGGAAGAAAGCAAGACTGATGGCAAAAGTTATGAGTTAGCAGATTGTTGGTATAGGGAAGAAAAAAACGTATACTTGAACCATACTAGTAGCTACAGAGGTGGAGACAAGTGAATGCAGCCATGCCATGTTAGAATTAGACTCTACAAGATTTCTTGACTCGTTGTGCTGGAGTCAAGAATAATTTTCAGGATTAAGTAGGCAGCATAGAAAGAAAAATTGGTTTTATGTAAGAGACAGGGAATCCAGTTGTAAAGAGGCTGAGTTTGAAGAGCCTCTGAGACATCTAGCTCCTGTTGTAGACTTCAGCTCCTGTCCATTCTCATGGAAGAGTATGAGTCTCTAGGAGATCTGGCATGTTAGCTGATATTGGTTAGTCTTAGCATATCACCGAGGGACAAAGAGTATTGAGGAAAAAAATTAGTGGAAGATGTGTTCTTGGAAAATATGTTAAATAAGAAGATATCCATACAGAATATCTGAGAAGTAGTGACTATAGGGACAGAAAAAAAATGTCAGGAGTTTGCAGAGTAAGAGAGGACAAGCAGATGGATTCAAGAAAAAAAAAAGTGCCAAAAAGTATGGAGAAGTCAAGTAAGCTAAGAATAAATGACGGGACTCCTCAATAGGAAAGTTACTGGATAACTTACGGATGTTTCAGTGGAATACTACAGGCAGAAGTCAGATTGTTTCAAGTTGAAGCATTAATAGGAAATTAGTGAAGTAAAGATATGGAGACAGTGGTGCTTGTTTTAACAGAGAAATGGGGAACATGGTAACAGAAACATTACAATAAAGCAATATTTTTTCAATTAAAAAATAACTTGAAGGTATTTGAAGGTCATGAGAACACACCAATAGAAAGGAAGAAAGGATAATAATCAACAGCATACACAATAATCAATACTGTATACAATAGTGGAAGTGAAGGAAATCTGAATGCAAACAGAGCCAACATTTTCCACTGGTTAAGAAAAGAGAGAAGGGAGAAAGACTTTGTTTATGTTAAGTTCCTACGTTTCACATCAAAACATAAAAGTTATTTCTATTTGGTACTGTCTAAGGATGGAAGTAAGGTATCTTATGAGCACAAGAGGAGAGAAAATGAAATCTAAGGTTTGAGGAAAGTAGAAAAATAATGAAATATTTTCTTTCTGACAGAAGAATGTGCAGGAAAATGAAGATGGATTGCTGAGCAGAATTTAGGGCCCAGTAAGAATGGAGACCTGGATATTTAGTGGCACCAATTCATAAATATCCAGAAAGCCTGAGCCACACTGGAACATAAGATAGTAAAAGTGGCATTTGAGATTTAGCAAACTCTTCATCTCAATTCCCAACCCAGAGAATATACAACTTGCATTTCTGAATCCTTCAAGGTTGCATTGTTCTAGGCAAGAAACACCTACCATTTACGACCTCTTGTTCAGAACTGAAAGATGCCAGAGCTGCTGTTTTTGTTGCTGTTGTTACAGAGAACACAATGCAAAGGAATGATTTTGAAGGTTCGAGAGCATTGAAGGTTAAGGTTGTGGAAGGGGAAGCAAAGAGAAGTTAAGATGAAGATATTGCGGGAAAAGAGGGATTAATACACTGTCTTATATCTTGGGCAGAAATTTGAAACTTAAAGGTTTAATTGCTTCAAAATTTCTATTCCTCCTGGTGGATGAGTGTTTAGTGGCAGTCTATCAGTGCTTAGGGAGTCTTAGACAGGAACCCTTAACAGAAGGAAAACATTTATGTATTAATTTTCACTCTTTTCTCAATAAAATAACAAAAAGTAAAATTATGTATGCTCAAGAATCATCAGTATATAAATACAAGAAAATATTCCAAAATAACACCAGGGTATATCTCTGGTTAACGAAATTATAGGAATATTTAATTTTCTTCCAAATGCTTTTTCTAATTTTTAAATGTTTAAAATCACAATTATTAAACACCTTTTCTATTTTAAATATGCCTATAATTCTTCCATTGTAGTTATTATTTAAGGCAAATAATTATCTTGGCCTTGGCGTCAACAGTTAAAATGCAACTCCCCTTAGAACAATCATCATTATATGCTTTAAATATAACAAAAGTTGGTTTATTAAATTACATTTTCTTTGGTAGGAACAAAGTAAGGCAGTGATTTCGAAAATTTTTAAGGCTATTAAATAAAATATAGTGGGGCTACTAGGAATAAACAATGTATTTTCACATCAACAAAAATTACTTATCCTTTGACTGTACAGAAAAGTAATATAAAATAAAAAGAAACAAATACGACCTGCAGGCAACACTCTTAACTGATTTATACCACTTTGGCAATCCCTAATCTCCCTGCTTCAGATCAGCTTTTAGCATTAATACTGTGACACCTAATAGCTGAGCATCCTATCAACGCAAAAAGTGCAACTTTAACTAGGTGTTTCTGATACGTGGCAAAGTCACTGATTTAATTAGAATCATTCCTTTAAATTTCAAAAGTTCACTGTTACAGTATTTTCACAAATGCCTCTAAAATTAAGTGAATGTTTTTGAGTTAAATTTTATCTCATTGATGATTGGTGGCCATGTTACATCATACCATTCCATCTTTCAGTATAAATAAGATAAATCTAGAGAAAATAGAAATGACCTTTGCATCTGATTAAAGTATATTTTGTATCTGGTATTTTAAAATAGGATCATTTAAAGTTTTCTATGGCAAGTTGATTTGAGAAACATTCATTTCAAGAGCCAAAGGGAAGCCTACTAATGCATTTATCTAAAACTAACAATCATAATTAGCTTAAGTTATGCAATGCCCTCAATAAATAAGTGACGGTTTTAAGCCAAGTCATATTTTTGCTACTATTTTGCTAAATATTTGTGGAATAAAATGATTTGAATCATTTGCAAGTTATATAAGCCATTAGTGATTATGGCCCAAGGTATCAACGGAAAGTTATTTAAGTAATTTCCAAGGCCTGTTCCACAGTAGACCAGATGTTAATCATCTTTTATGTCTTTTATAAACATGGAAGCAATTAAGTGAAAATTGCCAGGTTTACACAGAAGACATTATCATTGACAATTATAGTATTAGAGAATAACTAGTGATTTAAGTTTTATTGAAGAATACAAACTTCATACCATATTACAATGGCCCTTTTGTAAACTATAAAACAAAGCAAATTAAGTAAATAAACACAGGAGATTTCCAGAAATATTCATGGGAAGGGAAAGAAAACATTTGCAGTACAGCAGTGAATAAAACACAGTCTCCCTTAGAAATAGTCAAAAAAATACATGTGAATGTGATTAATCTTAAAAATAGTGAGTTAAGGGAGAGTGTGATTTTTATGATGGTCCAGTCTTTTGATTCTGAGAGAGGTACCATACTAAAACTGAGGCTAATCTATTGCTTAAAAGAACCAAATGTGTCTCTGCCAGGTTTTGATATCAGGATAATGCTGGCCTCATAAAATGAGTTAGGGAGGATCCCCTCTTTTTCTATTGTTTGAAATAGATTCAGAAGGAATGGTACCAGCTCCTCTTTGTACCTCTGGTAGAATTTGGCTGTGAATCCTTCTGGTGCTGGGCTTTTTTGGTTGGTAGGCTATTAATTACTGCCTCAATTACAGAACTTGTTATTAGTCTATTCAGGGATTTGACTTCTTCCTGGTTTAGTCTTGGAAGGGTTTATGTGTTCAGGAATGTGTCCATTTCTTATAGATTTTCTAGTTTATTTGCATAGAAGTGTTTACAGTATTCTCTGATGGTAGTGTGTATTTCTGTGGGATCAGTGGTGATATGCCCTTTATCATTTTTTATTGTGTCTATTTGATTATTCTCTCTTTTCTTCTTCATTGGTCTGGCTAGTGGTCTATCTAGTTTGTTAATCTTTAAAAAAAAAACAGCTCCTGGATTCATTGATTTTTTTAAGGGTTTTTCATGTCTCCATCTCCTTCAGTTCAGCTCCAATCTTAGTTATTTGTTGTCTTCTGCTAGCTTTTGAATTTGTTTGCTCTTGCTTCTCTAGTTCTTTTAATTGCGATGTTAGAGTGTCGATTTTAGATCTTTCCCACTTTCTCCTGTGGGAATTTAGAAGCCAGTATTATCTTGATATGAAAACCTGGCAGACAAAAAAATGAAAAATTCATGCCAATGTCCCTGATGAACATTGATGCAAAAATCCTCAATAAAATACTGGCAAACCAAATCCACCAGCATATCAAAAAGCTTATCCACCATAATCAAGTAGGCTTTATCCGTGGGATTCAAGGCTGGTTCAACATATGCAAATCAATAAATGTAATCCATCACATAAACAGAACCAATGACAAAAACCAAATGGTTATCTCAATAGATGCAGAAAAGGCCTTCGATAAAATTCAACACCCCATCATGCTAAAACCTCTCAAAAAACTAGGCATTGATGGAACATATCCCAAAATAATAACAACTATTTATGACAAACCCACAGCCAATATCATACTGAATGGGCAAAATGGGCTTTCAAAACTGGCACAAGACAAGGATGCCCTCTCTCACCATTCGTATTCAAGATAGTATTGGAAGTTCTGGCCAGGACAATCAGTAAAGAGAAAGAAATAAAGGGTATTCAAATAGGAAAAGAGGAAGTCAAATTGTCTCTGTTTGCAGATGACATTATTGTGTATTTAGAATACTCCATTATCTCAGCCCAAAACCTCCATAAGCAACTTCAGCAAAGTCTCAGGATTCAAAATCAATGTGCAAAAATCACAAGCATTCTTATACACTAATTATAGACAAACAGAGAGCCAAACCATGAGGGGACTCATTCACAATTGCTACAAAGAGAATAAAATACCTAGGAATACAATTTACAAGGGACGTGAAGGAACTATTCAAGGACAACTGCAAACCACTGCTCAAGGAAATAAGAGAGGACACAAACAAAGGGATAAACATTCCATGCTCATGGATAGGGAAAATCAATATCATGAAAATGGCCATACTACACAAAGTAATTTATAGATTCAATGTTATCCCCATCAAGTTACCACTGACTTTCTTCACAGAATTAGAAAAAACTACTTTAAATTTCATATGGAACCAGAAAAGAGCCCGTAGAGCCAAGGTAATCCTAAGCAAAAAGAACAAAGCTGAAGTCATCACGCTACCTGACTTCAAACTCTACTACAAGGCTACAGTAACCGAAACAGCATGGTACTGGCACCAAAACAGATACATAGACCAATGGAACAGAACAGATGCCTCAGAAATAACGCCACACATCTGCAACCATGTGGTCTTTGACACACCTAACAAAAACAAGCAATAGGGAAAGGACTCCCTATTTACTAAAATGGTGTTGGGAAAACTGGCTAGTCATACGCAGAAAACTAAAACTGGATCCCTTCCTTACACCTTATATAAAAATTAACTCAAGATGGATTAAAGTCTTAAATGTAAGACCTAAAACAATTAAAACTCTGGAAGTAAACCTACGTAATACCATTCAGGACATAGGCATGGGCAACGACTTCATGACTAAAACACCAAAAGCATGACAACAAAAGCCAAAATTGACAAATGGGATCTTATTAAACTAAAGAGCCTCTGCACAGCAAAAAAACAAACAAACAAAACAACAACAACAAAAAACTATCAAATCAGAGTGAACAGGCAACCTACAGAATGGGAGAAAAATTTTGCAAGCTATCCATCTGACAAAGGGTTAATATCCAGAATCTACAAAGAACTTAAACACATTTACAAAACAAAACAAACAACCCCATCATAAAGTGGGTGAAGGATATGAACATACACTTCTCAGAAGAAGATATTTATGTGGCCAGCTAACATAAGAAAAAAGGCTCATCATCACTCACCATTAGAAAAATGCAAATCAAAACCACAATGAGATACCATCTCATGGCAGTTAGAATGGTGATCATTAAAAAGTCAGGAAACAACAAATGCTGGAGAGGATGTGGAAAAATGGGAATACTTTTACACTGTTGGTGAAAGTGTAAATTAGTTTAACCATTGTGGAAAATAGTGTGGCAATTCTTCAAGGATCTAGAACCAGAAATACCATTTGACCCAGCAATGCCATTACTGGGTATATACCCAAAGGATTATAAATCATTCTACTCTAAAGACACATGCACACATATGTTTATTGCAGCACTGTTTACAATAGCAAAGACTTGAAACTAACCCAAATGCCCATCAATAATAGACTGGATAAGGAAAATGTGGCACATATATACCATGGAATACTATGCAGCCATAAAAAGGATGAGTTAATGTCCATTATAGGGACATGGATGAAGTGGAAAGCTATCATTCTCAGCAAACTAATACAAGAACAGGAAACCAAACACTTCGTGTTCTCACTCATAAGTGGGAGTTGAACAAAGAGAACACATGGACACTGGGAGAGGAACATCACACACTGGGGTCTGCCTGGGAGTGGGGACTAGGGAGGGATAGCATTAGGAGAAATACCTAATGTAGATGACGGGTTGATGTGTGCAGCAAACCACTATGGCACGTGTATACATATGTAACAAACCTGCATGTTCTGCACATGTATCTCAGAACTTAAAGTATAATAATAATAAAGAAATTACCAAATGTTGGGGATGCAAAATGTGCATATCATGTAGTTAAAGGATTTGAAAATATTTAAAATTAAATCCACTTATAAAGCTTATATACCACTTTTAAAAGATTTTAGTATTTTTAATGATAGATCATAGAAAAAATATCCAAACCTAGTTAGTGTAGTTATAATTCAAAAGCAAAAGTTAAAGCTATGTTCAGCTAAAATTTAAGTGTAAGATCTGTGAATATATCCATTCAGTTAGAAAAAATAAAAACTAAATTGGAAGTTAAGTTATATGTCAGTAGGGGACAGGTTGATCCCAAAAATGTTTCTGCAATCAACGTGGAGGGAAACTATCTGAATTGCACTAACAATGAGCCTTAAATTCTCACATCATTTCTGAGCTGCTGATTCACTGCTGTAACCAGTAACTGAGCCAAGTGTTTCACACGTATCTCTTTGTGTCTTTTAACTTCAGATATCATTGGAAAGAATGAGAAAATCCATCTCTTTTATTGTTCTACACTTGACTGAAATATTTATTTTTATGGTTTAAAGGCTCAGGGAAAATATCTTAGTAGAGAAAAGAGAAACTCTACAAAATTAGAAGAAAACTCTCTTCATTAAATGGCTACTTCATGCAAACAAAACAACTTTCATAAAATATCTTTTCCCTGTGAAATGCAAGTGATTCTTCTTTATTAATATGATTGCAGACTCTAAATTCTTAAAGTCTTTTTGCTCTGTGTTTGCCAAATCTTATGGAAACACTTGAGTAAAGTAAAAAAGGCAGCATACTAAAATGATAGTAGTTAAATGTATGCTAGGATTTGGCAAAATTCTTTTTCTTTGTGCCGTAACAATGGAGCTTGTCTAGAAATACAACTTGCTCTACATTTTGAAATGGATAGGCATGCTTAGCCAGAATGTAAGTAAGTAGTACTCTATTCACACACTATTATGTCCTAAGGGGGTAATTTAGACACTGAAACCTCCAGAAAAATGATTGACACTTATTGTCATCAGGGAAGTACTCCTTTAACTTTTTTATTGATTCACTTTTTCCCCCAATTATTTAATTGTTCTTATATTCAGCAAGTACTGGTTGAGTACCTACTATATTTAAGGCATTGTGAAAGACACTGGAAATACAGTGGTAAATTATAAAGTGTTCCTATTTATCTTTATGGAGCTGAGCATCTGTTTGAGAAAACATTAAAAGAATAAATACAAATGTGATGAGTATTATAAATTATAAAAATTCAGGATGATAAGAAAATATGAGATCCAGGCCACGAATTTCCTTCCTTGATGATCCACTCAGAAAATATTCTTATATTTCATAGGACATAACACAAGCAATAAACAATTAGCACTAAGAGATATAATCCCCAATGTGTATTGGTGTGGGTGGGAGAGAAGATAGGAAAATGCACAGAATAAAGTACATCAGTTGCTGACTGGTATTCAAAAAAGCACTGCAAGAAATTTAAAAGGAAATAGCAAAATTAAAATCTGCCCATAAGTGCCTTGTGTTTAGTGTGAAAATTCCTTAAATTATATATTTGATGTAAGTATATTTTCTGTATTTAGGGTTTTTTTAAAGTTGTTTTTCTTAGCAACAAAAAACAAAATCCTAGTAGGGAAGAGTTGGCATCACAGCACATAAACCTAGTGATATAGATGACAAACGAGAATAAGCAAAATTCTATAAAGTACGGAATATGATGAAAAGACCAAAAAATGTACGGAGGAAGGATTACAGAGATTCAACATATGGAAGTTATTTATTCCTGCAACCAGAAAAAAACAGTGGCACAGATACAAAATAAAATGTATATAAGAAATGTTCTGAGCTGAACAAATATCTTTGCCTTCAAGTCATATTTCAGATATATTAATGACAATTGTCTAGATAAAAATAAGTAAACTTAGCAGAGAAAAAAGGAGGAGAAAATATGAAATCAATCATTAAAACAACAGCAAAAACAACACAAAGAGAAAAAAGAGGCAGACAATCCTAGAATAATATCAAGATTATCATTTAAGAATGTAGCCAGTTTTAGCATACTTTTTAAGATAACCAAAGTAATTCTCAAATTTTCAAATTTTGATAAAATATATTATCGAGATATTTTTAAACTCACTCAAATGCAACAAAATGTTTGACAAATTAATGTAAATTTTTAAGATTTGAAAAGTCACATCAAAAGGGGATAGTGAACAGCTAAGCCAACAAAATAAGGTAAAAACAGGTAAATAAATATACTTTATTTTTAGGATAATTTCTGATACTAAATAATTGCTAGAGATTTAATTATTATTTTAAATTGGAAAATAAAATGAAAATATAGTAATTTAAAAATAAAATAAAAATACATTTTTATGTCTTCAACAAAGAATAGTCAAATTTTATTCTTTTCGTATTTATAATTAGATAAATATATTTCTTTTTTTTTTTTTTTTTTTTTTTTTTTTTTTTTGAGACGGAGTCTCGCTCTGTCGCCCAGGCTGGAGTGCAGTGGCGCAATCTCGGCTCACTGCAAGCTCCGCCTCCCGGGTTCACGCCATTCTCCTGCCTCAGCCTCCCAAGTAGCTGGGACTACAGGCGCCCCCCACTACGCCCGGCTAATTTTTTGTATTTTTAGTAGAGACGGGGTTTCACCGTTTTAGCCGGGATGGTCTCGATCTCCTGACCTCGTGATCCGCCCGCCTCGGCCTCCCAAAGTGCTGGGATTACAGGCGTGAGCCACCGCGCCCGGCCAGATAAATATATTTCTACAAATAACTTGTAGAATACATTTTTAGCTAAAGTCTTGTTGGTTTAAAAACTGAATACTTATATTCCAAATCACCTCAGAACTAATGTTACAACAGAAAAGTTCACAAAATGGAGACCAAATGTAGATAGCAGTAACATTTTTGTTATGATATGAATTCTGTTTATAGAAAGCTAATTTTTGAGACTGTATCAAAATAAAAATTGTGTCACTATCTGCTCCTACAGAATTAGACAAAAATAAAATGAGACTGACTAATTTAAATCTAGATACATATTGTGGAAACCTGCAACCAGTTAAGAAAAAGATAGCAATATTATTATTAGGCAAAGATAATAGCAAGAAAAAAATACTCAATTGTGAATACAAGACGATTTTGAACTTTATGTACCAAGTTAACATATATATGCAATTAAAACAATTGTTAGCTATTTCAGAACAAACAGATTTGTAATCTTATTGGCACATTTTAGCAAATTATCATTAGTTCACCCTATACAAGAATACATAAATTATAAAACACAGAGGATTTGGTCAATCTTATCAACATAATAGAAACAACTCATATAGAAATCTTTATACTTCGCTCACATTTTTACATCTGCACTTATAATTTCAATGGGTTATTTATATAATTTCCCTTTATATTTAAAGCCAGAATGATATTCTCAATAATTTAAAACATATAAAATATTTTAAGTTAGTAACTATAATTATCTTTCATAATAAACTTCCCATTCAGCATTGCAAACTATTGGCATTAATCAAAGTAGAATATTCTTAATACTATAGTAAAACAGTAAATAATACATTTTAGGGGGAAGGAAACTAAACAATGTAGATTAAAACATATGGGCAATGGCAAAATCATCATTTCAACAGTTTTATTATTAGTGTTGACAAAGAAGCTTAAACTAAATATTCAAGAGAGGATGTAGAAAGGGAACTATACACATAAAACAAAGTTTTAAACAATGGGATAGAAAAGAATGACATTAATATACCTATGTTTTTATTTATTAAGTCACAAATTGATAAAATAGATTTCCAGAAAATATAATCAAGAATAAAATAGCAAAATGTTCCTCATTCACATCTATCAGCAGCATTTTGGGTGACACACAAACATAAGATGTAAAGGGAAGTTTGTTGAGGAAAACATAATCTTAGTTATATTTTATTAAAAAGAATTAAGTTAGATACTTAATGTGAACACAGATAATGCACCTTAGGTGCATTAGGATTAGTCCTGAATTCTGACAAGCAGGCATATTGCTGAAAGGTAAGAGTGGAAAACTTTGTCTTCTTTTTGATAGACGTGAGTTTTATAGTTGCATGCAATATTTGGATGTCCTCCATTTCCATACATTTGAACTGACTGAAGATTTCAGAAAGCTTTGCAAATTTGGTTTACCTAATTCTTCTGGAAGGTCACTTATTCATTTATACGATGGTTTTAAAATAAAAGAATAAAAGCAGAATAGTCTTTCTTGAAATGTGGCTTTCCTGCAACTAAAATCACTATGATACCAATAATTTCTATTCCCTATTGTGGTCTTCAAAATTCTGTTTTTAACCTTCCTGTTGCACATGGTTTTCCTAGACTATTGTTTCCACGTGCATCATTTTAACTTATACACTGATAACTCCAGAATTATTATGACCAGCTTAGACTTATAAAACCTGCAGAACTCAACATTTTCACTTGAAAGTTCTCCTAAAATCTCATTCTTGCTATAGCTCAAATAGAACCTAACACTAACCCATAGGAAAAACCTGTATTTCCATCAATAAGTGTAACCACCACTCATCCAAGATAAAAACCTGACAATCATCCTGTATGTTATTCTTTATGCTGCCAACCTAACAAATCAAATTAAAGTTACAATTATATTCTAAAAATATTCTAAAAATTTATATTCTAAAAATATTACTCTTTTAAGGTATTCTCTATTCTCTATCCCTACTACAAATAGCAAGCATCTCTCAGGTGGTTAACTATATCCCAGATTGCAAATCCTACTTTTAATTTATCCTTCACACTATTTCCACTATTATTTCCCTCACTTGAAGTCTACATGTAAGCTCGATAGCATTGTAGACATGTTCCTTCAATATTTCCCTAGTTTGACTTTGCAAACATTTCCCAAGAGTTGCTTTCTTGACTTTATGCTGTACTTACCGAACTGCTTTTTGTCCTGATACCATTTTCTCTCTCATCTCCATGATGTTGCACTTGCTGTTATTTCCTCAAATATCTTCTCATCCTTGTTATCTGTTATTACTAATGCATTCTTCAAGGCTGTGTGATCATCCCCTATAAAGCTCTCTCATTTCTTATAAGTGCAGTAAGCTCTTTTGCACAATATATTTTATAAACCTATGTTCCTCTCTTCCATGTTCCTCTGCTGCTATCTTAATTATATTTAAAGTTTCTTCTGTATGTTTCACAGCCAGAAGGATTGCAGTTTTGGTGCATATAAATAAGCAATCTGATAGGAATAATTTTAAATAGAATATCATACATTAGAATTAGAAAAAGCTAAAGCAGGCAAAGAGTGAAATATTTTCTATTAAAACCTTGAAAGAAATAAAGGCAGTTACTGTTAAGATAGCCTTGTGTTTAGACCTATGCAGTGAAGAGAACATTTGCAGACAAGAGCTAAAGATAAATGCTTTAACATGAACTCATCGTGCACAAAACTACAATTCTATTCAAATATATTCTCTTTCTCCAGAGCCATACTTTCTGCACAGCATCTCTTAACATACAACAGCTGTAAAAAGCATACTGCTCTTCTTCTTTTTACCACACCCATTTTTCTCTTTGTTGGGATGTCATATTAAGAGTAAATTCCACAGCAAGGCTGGGCTCCAAGTGATTTAAGATTTTAATGCAAGTCAATTTCAAAACAATCAAAATTAACTTTTATTGTACTAAACTGAAAATCATTGCAAGCATTTGTACTTTTTTCCATTGAAATGCTTTTAGAAACAAATCTGCACTTCCTTTTTCAGTGTGTTTTAGAAATATTTGCTATCCAAAAACTTTGTACATTTTGGGTTAAATTTGTTTGCTTATTTGTTTTATAATTTAAAATGTATAACTTAAAGTTTAATACCTCACTATAAACTCTTCACCTTAATATAAATATAATTGCACTCCTCAGTCTCTAAGCATTCAAATTGAGGGGAAGTTATAAGGGTTAAAAGAGAGGAAATGCACCAGTGCCAGAGAAATTTTATCAGTGTCTAGCAGCATCTAAGAAACTTGAAGCAATTCCCCTTCTTTTCACCCAAATGACTTTGGTCCAAGCACATGCAAAGTCTATATTAGAGGTTCTTAAACGTTTGCATGAATGATGCTCACCAGGGTAATCAGAGTGCCGGCCCCACTTCAAGTGTTTCTAATTCAGTAGGTCAGTAGGGGGTTCTCAACAATTTGCATTTTTAACAAGTTCCCAGGTAATGTTCATCCTGCTGATCCAGTTTGAAAAGCCCTGTCTTTGGGAACTACTAAACTGTCCTATGACCTATTTTTGTTTCTGATTTTTTATAAATACTGCTTGTTCTATATGAAAGCTCTTCTCCCAATTCTTCACCTGACTCTTACTCATTTTCTCACAATTCACTATTTCGTAGCATTTGTATTTGTTTGTTTCTCCTGTATTATATAGGCATCATTGGAACATTCAGGGGTTTTTGGTTTTTTTCTTGGTTTGTTTTGGTACTCTCACTCTAATATCTGGTATGACGTCATGGTAAATTGGAATTTTTTAGTATTTGTTGCATAATATGGGCCACGGATATTTTAGTACACTTTTTAAAGGGACATTTTGAAATATTGGCCAGTTACGTTATTTAGACAAAAAAGTTTATCTTTATACCTAACCAATCTGTTTGATGATTTGATGTTGCATAGATTTAACCCAAGCTACAAAGATATTATGATATTATTTATTTTCATATGCAATTCCTAAACATTGCTTTGAAGTAACATTAATCTACAGTATTTGAGGAAGGAGGAAATATTACTATTCATATTTCTCAGAATATGGAAGGAATACTAATAATCATCATTATTATTACAACAAGGAAGACTAAGAAACATGTTATGTAACAAGACAGCAAAAGAGATGAAAACAAGGCCCAGGTAAACTGGCAACGTATACTGTTTTCTCAAACGCTTCTTCATTTATTTCATAGTGTATGTGTCTTCCAAGTTATTTTATCCAGCGTATTCCAGCCTGAAAAAGAGCTGAAGTTAACTTGGGTGTATACATATTGGCGCAGTCACGTCTGGATCCCAGTTCTGCCACCCACTAATAAGCTGTTCCCTGTTGTGAAGTAAAAATGTAAAGTGTAAAACACACCAGAAACGTGTTCTGCTATAACAGCAAATCTGAAATAAACAGAATCTTTTTTAAAAAGCAAGATTGTAGGAGTACAGAGAGCATTTTGTATATGATTTTAATACAAAAAATATTTTCCTGGTAAAACCTTATGTGGTTTACCAAATACATAAGAGGCAACAGAGGAAAACTGTGAAGAAAGCTGTGTACACATCTTGGGGCTCTGATTTAATCAGAAATTTCTTGAGCTTTGGCTCCCAAGATTTTTAATCAAAATGTTACTTTTTCTAATGAATATGAATGTATTCATGTTTATGAATACGTGGATATACATGATTCATGAATACATTGATATACATAAATGAGAAAATATGATTTAGGATATGCTGTATCTTTTTAATACACCATGAACATGGAGTAAAACTTTCAGTTTAATCAATTTATCATTGGGCTGTAAAATGAAAATTGCACTGGACACTTATGAAAACAGCAAGGAAGATTTTATTCAAGACTATTAAAATAGGGGTCAAGACTATTGCAATAGTGAGGAGAAATTGAACTCTACTGAAACAAAAGGCAGAAGGATTTTAAAACTATGGGGTGAGCTAATGGAAAAGTATTGGAGGACAGTAGGGGAGGCCAGGTCAATGCAGGCAGGCTATCAGTATTTGGTAATTGGTGCTTATCAAAAATTAAACTCCTGCTTTCCCACAGAAACTGGGAGATATGGATCCTATCTTTTTCAATCATTACATTTCAAAGGGATCACTCCCAGGTCCTTGAGAAAGATTTCTGGGTGTAGAATATTTATATCTCGAAGAGGCAGAGAAAGAATTTAAATAGGAAGTTTTCTTTTATTTTTTTCTCAAGGCCTAGGAAAATGTTTTATTTCAAAAACATTTGCCTGGCCTCACACAGCCAGTGTTTAACCTACAGCTAGCTGTCTTTTCTAAATTATTATTATACTTTAAGTTCTGGGATACATGTGCAGAATGTGCAGGTTTGTTACATAGGTATACACGTTCCATAGTGGTTTGCTGCACCCATCAACTCATCATCTACATTAGGTATTTCTCCTAATGCTATCCCTCCGCTAGCCCCTCACTCCCTGACAGGCCCCGGTGTGTGATGTTCCCCTCCCTGTAACCATGTGTTCTCATTGTTCACTCACACATATGAAATGAGAACATACTGTGTTTGGTTTTCTGTTCCTGTGTCAGTTTGCTGAGAATGATGGTTTCCAGGTTCATCCATGTCCCTGCAAAGGACATGAACTCATCCTTTTTTATGGCTGAACAGTATTTCCATGGTGTATATGTGCCACATTTTCTTTATCCAGTCTATCATTGATGGGCATTTGGGTTAGCTCCAAGACTTTGCTGTTGTAAATAGTGCTGCAATAAACATATATGTGCGTTTGTCTTTATAGTAAAATGGTTTATAGTCCTTTGGGTATATACCTAGCAATGGCATTGCCAGGTCAGATGGTATTTCTGGTTCTAGATCCTTGAGGAATTGCCACACTGTCTTCCACAATGGTTGAACTAATTTACACTCAAACCAACAGTGTAAGAGTGTTCCCTTTTTTCCACATCCTCTCCAGCATCTGTTGTTTCCTGACATTTTAATGACTGCCATTCTAACTGGTGTGAGATGGTATCTCATTGTGGTTTTGTTTTGCATTTCTCTAATGGCCAGTTATGATGAGCTTTTTTTCTTATGTTTGTTGGTCACACAAATGTCTTCTTTTCAGAAGTGTCTGTTCCTATCCTTCGCCCACTTTTTGTTGGGGCTGTTTGTTTTTTTTTCTTGTAAATTTGTTTAAGTTCCTTATAGATTCTGGATATTATCCCTTTGTCAGATGCATAGATTGCAAAAACTTTCTCCCATTCTGTAGGTTGCCTGTTCACTCCGATGATAGTTTCTTCTGCTGTGTAGAAGCTCTTCAGTTTAATTAGATCCCATTTGTCAATTTTGACTTTCGTTGCCTAAATTGAAAGTTTTCTAAAGAAAATAAGATTCAGGAACTCATAGTCAGAATTAAGC